>NC_000020.11:21950944-22579147 GCF_000001405.40 Homo sapiens | reverse complement strand
TCTGTCCGAATACATAAAAAGGATGTCGGGGAGCAGGCGCTTTCGGAGGCTTTTCTGTGCTTCTTGTGTCTTTCACGCCCCCCTCCCGCTTAAATCCCTCCCCTAGCCCGGGTTCCGAGATAACGAGCTCACAAATCGCCACTGCGCGCTTTCCCCAACTCTACTCATTGTGGGGTGCAGAGACTCTCCCCCCTCCTTTTTTTCCTTTTTTCCCCACGCTTTCCGCGCGCCGGTTTAAGCAACCATGATCTGTGAATAAACAAAGTCTGTAAACAACCGAAAAAAACATTCTAGATCCGAATTCCAGGAGGGTAAACTTTCCATGCCACGTCACACTTCAGCAAATTTGCACAGATATTATATTGCCTCCCCCCTCCTTTATTATTCTTTTTTTTTTTTTTTTGCCAGGATCCCATTGTACTTAACTGAATTTTATAACGCTGATCGATATCTTGGTAAAATATTCATTTTTAAACTAGCGGGCAGTGAAATCTTTGCTTTGTGTGCTAAAGTCAACAGTCGCTTGGTTTGAGCTCAAATAAATGCGGGGATGCCTCGGCTCGGAGCAGTCGGCCTCCTCCCTCCGCGAGCTGGACGCTCCGCAGCCCGCCCGCCAGCCGGCCCGCCGGCCGCCGCAGGTAGGGAGCGCGCCCACCCGGGGACCGCGCCCGGCTCCCCTCCTCAGCGTCCGCACCCCACTCCTGTCCGCTCACCGCCCCTCCCCCAGCCAGTCCTTCTCCCTTCCAGGGCTCGGACGCCCGGGCGGGCTTGGCTGGTGGTAAGCTCAGCCAACTGAGACTCAAGGCGTTGGGTTTTTTTGCAGGGGGTTCGGAAAGTGCATGACTTGGAAGGATGAGGGGTCGTAGAGTTGCAAACTCAGACCGCTTAGGCTCTGAGCTCAGTTAGAGGAGTTTGGTAGGGCCCCGAGGAAGCCACACAGGCCCCTCGAGCGGCTCGGGTCTGGGGATTCGATCTGAGAGCAGCATGTTTCCAGAGAACAGTGGAGGGTGGGGTGTGGGGAACCCCCTTGGCCCCAGAATCTAGTGTGGGGGTCAGCAGAAAATGATGTGCGTGGTGCATGGGAGTTTGAAGAGGCTGAGGCCGGAGCATGGTGACGCCCTCCCCTTGGCGCGCAGGGGTTCGAGTCCAGTCTCAACTCTTTCTCGGACACAGGCAGGCCGAGGAGACGATGGGGATCGTCATCAAGCAGCAGCAGGGGAGGGGCCGCGCCTTTCTAAGAGGCGAGTGAACCTTAGCTCTGGCTGCAGGAAGCGGCTGGTGGCCTTTTGCGCACAGCCGTGCTTGGCGGCAGGCAGGTTGGGGAGCCTCTGGGGTTACGAGCTGGGTCCAGGAGAGAAAGTCAGAAAGCAGACGCAGGGCCATTTATCATCGCATTCTCCCTGCAACCCAGTCGCCGATTTCCCCCCTTCCACGGGCAGGAGCACGCTCGCGCGTGCCGGGCTTGCCCTCGGGAATTCCGGAGGACGCGAGTTTGTAGGACCCAACAGAACCAGCCGCGTCTTTCCGCCGCCTGCGGAAAGGCGTGGACCTCGGAAAAATAGTAGTTCTGCTGCTGCCCCTTGAAACCTCATAAAGTTGTATTTCCCCAGGTGTCTACCAGCGCCCCCCCCCAATCCCTGCCCCCACGCCAGATCCACATTCTCTCTGGGGTCTTTTCTTTAAACGCCTGGGTAGCAGGCACTGTGAGAGGCCCGTGCCTGGCTGGGTTACTTTGGGTCTTTGGTCTGATGCGACAGGGAACTGGCACATGGAAATTGCCCACCACCCCCGACCGGAAAGCTTTTCCCATCTGCGCCGCAGTCACCAGACTTCGAACCCAAGTGGGCAGAAATCTGTTTCGTTGTTCAGCAGGGTCAGTGTTATGTAGTCACCTTCCTGTGTGGGGACCCTTGGTGGCCCCTCCTCTCCTTCCCTGGTGCCTTGGGCTGTGCGCCCGTGTCCACCGCACCCGAAGCCTGCTGGGGAGCGCGCCCGCCGCCCTCCGAGCCCCGGCTCGCCTCGGGTGGCTGGTTATCTTCGCTGAACATGATGGGACGCCTGCAGGACACACGGCAAGGCTAATCGTTTTTAAATAATTAATGCCTCCCGTTCCGCTGGTAATGCGCGGCGTCGAATCCTTCAATTACTTGTCATTAGACGGGTGTCGCCCCACGGCCTTCCCTCGGGCCTTTGATGGCCCCGGGTCCCCTCGCCCAGGCCACTCCGCAACCTAATTCAAAGGTGCCGTGCCTTTGAGAGCCGGGTACGGAGTAGCCATGACCCTTAATTCAGTGCGAGTTTTGAAAGAAAGACCCTCGCTGAAGAGATGTAATCTTCCAAATGGCCAATTTAAACGCCCAATCTTTATCGCCCGCCTTCTCCCCAGCTTCATAAAGAGAAGCCGCTCCTCAATGCTTTGGGGGCCTTTTAATGTGGGAGGGGGGCGGGAAGAAGCAAGAGATAAGGCTCAATATGGCATAGAAGGAGGCGTTAGCCCTAGGAGGTACCTGAAGTTACCTGGGGGCAACGCGTTTTCTTCGGGGCAGTGCATGCTTCTACACATCCGGGGGTCTGGAGGTGGCCCTGGCTTGGAGGGAGGGGTGGCCGAGATGAGATCTGGAATGTGCAGACACCAGTTATGTTTCAAAAGAGCAGCAAGGCCTTTTCTGACTATGCACCTTCACCCCGCAAGAGAGCGCAGGAAAGGAAACATTTTCCTCCCAAACACCATGAACCTGGAGTTGCAAGCAGCCCGTTCTGGCTTATGTCCGCAAAGTCGTAGGCATCAAGTCCTGCCATACAGAATAGACCACCTCCACCCCCACGCACACCCTAGTGCCATTAGCTCCAGTTTGCTGTCCCTGCTGTAGCAAAAGAACAAGATTTCAGACCTGAAATCCTACTGGGTGGGGGACAGCATGGACACCAGCCCTGGAGGCAGCACCATGGCAACCAGGCCAGCCAGGGGTTGTCGAGTAAAATGTAAAACTTTGAAACATACAAACAGAAAAAAATAATCAATCCCCAAAATTTGCGACTTGACTTAATTACACTTCTTGCTCTTTCCTTCCCAGTCAAATGTTCTTTTTACAGTAAATAAAGACTCAAGGGTCTAGGGATCTTATCTTTATCTTTCCCCTTCTGAGCAAAAACAATGCACTGTATCTTCAACCTTCCTTAAATGCGAAGACATCTCCACTCTAGGCTTTATAGTTAACTTTAGATCAGAAATTTACTGTAGCCGCTATCCCCAGCTTTCCTCTGAGAAGAGGTAAAAGGAGATGGGGGATGGAGAGACAAGATAGTGAGAATCTATTTTAACAATGGATGGAAAAAGGATGAAGGCCTGTGACCCACACCCTACCCCCGCCAGGGTCCTGGGCTGTTCTTTAGGTCTTCAGCTCCACACACGTGGCCTTTCTAGAGCAAATCACCCTGATTGGGATTTTTTGAAAAATTCTTTTTTGATGAGAGGCACCGGATGTGGGCAGGATGTTACAGGCACCCCCAGAGACAAGCAAACAAAAATAGCGTTGAATGGATGAATGTCCTCAGCGGAGCTCAGCAGGGTCCCCAGCTCCCAGCAGGCCTCTTCTCCCTTTAACAAAACTCCCAGGGAGTTCCCTACCCTGGAGCACTCCAGGGGGTGCCTCGGAAGCCTAAATCCTGGGCCATCTTCCCCATTCTGTTCACAGCCTTCCTGCCCACTCTCTTATCCCTTTTCTCCTTTCTTCTCTAAAACAATCATGTGTGTCCCCAGTTGCCCCCTCCCGCTATTGTATTTGTTGATGACCTAACACGCTCACACCAAAAGCCACACACAGAAAACCAACAACGTGGGATGGGAGGAGAGACCAATTATGACTGAGGCTAACAAGCAGGGAACACCCAAGTTGAGGCCGGCTGTCTCCTGGGAGACTGATGGAGGCTTATTTTACAAGCTGTAATTCCGTGGCAGTCCCTCTTGCTAGACTGGAGGTGATGCCTATTCTCCCCTCCCCCTCAGTCCCTGCACCCTTGGGGCCTAGTCCAGATCATTTGTATCCTCTGCAGAAGAAGCTGCCACCTTGTGCTAAAGTACCACTCATGAAAAGGTAGAGAGGACAGGGAGTTTTTACAAGCATACCTTCACACCAGTGTGCTTATTTTTTACGTTAGTTGCTGTTTGTCAGAGCTCTGAGCTCACTGCCAACATTCACATGGACTGGTCAGATGTCATTGTCACCACTCCCCCCGCCCCCCGCAGGTTCACATTAAAAAGCATTGACTTACTTGTCCTCAATCTCTCTCTAAAGAAGGGGTGATATTTCACTGTTAGATAACACAACTGATAGCTGGGAGTGCTAAAAGAAGCAACAAATTAAGTTACATTCATTCATGCAAAGCTAGAGGTCTCACTTCCCACCAGGGCAAGTGCCTGGGGTTTAACCCTCTCTTGTTAATCAGAGGCAGCAATATTCCCAGCAGTGTCAGGAGATGATGCTGGCAATACTATACTTTCTTGACTTAAACATCATTAAATTTATTGAGAGAGAATATTTCAGCCTCACAAACATATGTGTAAGGGAAAAATACTGGCGTGTAATGCAGCATTATAACTTTGTGACGAGAATTGTTTACTGTTTTTTAGTTCTACTTGCTTATGTGGTTCAATCTCTGCTTCTTTAAATGGTTGGGTCCTAGTTTATTTTTTAATCAGTAAATCAGCTTTCCCATTGTTTCAATGATTTGAAAATAATAAGACACAGGTCCAAAAATAAGCAGGGATGTTTTTGAACTAGGGTTGGTAATGATCTGAGCAAATAAAAATAGGATTGCATGCATGTGAATTTTGACTTGGTATTTAATGAAAAATATAATCTCAATTTATTATTCCTTCTATTTTTATAAAGCAGAAGTAATTATATATTGAATTTTGTTGGGAAATTGTTGCTTACTGAAAGGAAAGCATATATATAATTCCTAACTTGAATTCATGAATGTTAAAAGTGCTTTATTTGAAAACATAAAACAATCTTTGGAAGTATTTGGAGGAGAGGGCTTGGAAGGCACTAAGGCCTGAGGTAGATAGCTGGATAATCGAAAAGGACAGATGATGATTAGATGACGTTTTCAGTGAAGGAATAGGGTGAGGTTCCAGGGCAGGAGCTGGGTTATAGAGAGCTTCATATGGAAATCAGAAGCATCTTTAGCAAAAAAGTCAAGATATCAACATGTGCACCCTTCAGTATAAAATATAAAGCTCTGATCAAGCTTTTTGCCTGCTTTACCTCCACAAACCCATTTTAAGTTTCAAATAAAGGAGATCAATTTCACTATATATTTTTCATTTGTTCTGTGATTCTGAGCTACATTAATTGGGGCAGTTCACACACAGAAAGAAGTTGTAACTTCAACAAATCTATCCCCTGCTAGTTGAGAAAATCCTCTCTAGAAAAGAGAGACTTTTCCTTCAGAAAAGTTAGTCAATTTATAGGCAGAAACTTTGTTTTACCATTTTAGTGTTTTCAGTGGCCTTCATGCTCCCATCCACGTCCTGCCCTCTCTTATTTTGAATGGAAACTCTAGTCAATCCAATCACAATTGAGTGGGGTTCTCCTAGGTGCCAGGAACCATGCAAGGTATCTTCCTGAACAGGATCTCTTTTAAGCTTCCCCACTTCCTGCTGGTGGAAATCATAATTTACAGGTAATGGTCTTGGGGCTGAGAGAAGTTAGGTAACTTGCTCCAATTTCACAGCGCAGCTTTGAGCTGGAGTCTTTCAACTCATATTCCCTCAACTTATTCTGGCTTCCCAGGACTCTGGGGCACAGACAATTCCTATTTCAATGAATTAGGAGGCCGGCCTTCACCAGAACTCCAGAATCTGGAAAATGAGTAGGGACATCTGAAGTGTTAGGGGGAGGCTGGAAAGAAACTGGAAGATCTCAGAAGAGCCAGGCTTTGGTACCCCCTGGAAGGATGGCACAAACCCCGTGGACTGTCCTAGAAGAGACGAGGATGGGTGATGTCTGGGATCAGGCTGGATTCTCATGCTGTCTTCTGGGGTAACAGTCAGAATTCTTATGTGGCCATGGTCCCTCGAAGTTGGGCAGAAGTTCATTCAGTCCTGGACCACGCTTTTCTCCCCACTGATGCTTCCAGGGCCAGCTAGCCAGTGCTGGAAAGTAGGAGGCAGCAAGCAGGCTCTTACATTGTGATTAGAAGGAGAAAATGCCAGACAAGAGAGAAAATGTCAGGGGCAGAGACTAAGGGCTGACATATAAGTTTAAAACAACCCACATAGCCAAATCATTTCTGAGCTACAGCCTGTCTGCCTTATTCCCTACCGAGGGATTCTGGGAGCAAGGGCTAGGAATGTCCTAAGAGGCTCTTGCCTCTGACCTCCCCCTGACCTGCACCTGGTGGCCTGACAACCCAGGTGACAGCATAGCTGGAATGCATACACCGCCCACAGCTGGTCCCCAGCACGCCCTGGCCCCAGCCCCCGCGGCAAGCCTCCCCCTCCCACCCCTCACATATATGCCAATGCAGATCTCCATAAACACCTGCCTCTGGGGTTTGCCCCTGAATAGGATGCTGGCCTAGGCACATCAACCTGCAGCCCTCAGGGAGGGAGGATGCTGCCCAGGACCCAGTAGGCCCATCGCATACAAGAGCACCACTCCAGCAGAGTGCATCTGAGTGTGCATGTGAACAGTTGCCAAGCTTGTGCCAGGCTCCGGGGACACAGAGTGGAAATGAGCACTAGACCTCCTCAAATCAGGGCTCAGGCTTGGCTTGGAGGTCTCCTTTACTTTTCAATATCCGGGAAGCTAAGTTCCCTGGCCTGTCCATTTTTAGTGGTGTGAGATTCCCTGCAGACTTAGCATCTTCCATTTCGGCATTTCAGAGACAGGCAGACAATTGGATTCTAAGGCCAGCTCCTCACGTGTTGGCATGTGTATGGCCAACTCTTGGAAGTGAACAGAGTTCTAGATAAAATTGTATTCTCACTCCAAACTGGACAACTGAGTGTTAGACTAAGGTTGGGACACAAGAATGACACAATTACCCACAATCAGATTGTGTGCTGAGCCTTGTAAAGATGGCCAGAGGGGAGGAGAATACCAATTTTGGGGGCTGTTTATGGGGGCGAGACAGTGGGGGAAGCAGTAGCCAATCTGTATTTTGTCCTCTTTCCATTTTAATTACCACCTCCCCCAATCAGCAAAGTTTACCAATTAAAGGCCAATCTCTCTTGATTTCTGTGCTTTAAAGGACATTTCGATTCACCCAGGCAGACAATTAAATCCCCCTCTTGCCTCTCCCTTCCCAGAGCTCAGGAACAAATGCATCCCTATCTCTTCCCAGCATCGAGCAGTGGGAAGGAGTTGATCTCAGGTGCTCACCTGCAGTTATCAGAATGCCAGACTCATTTAGGGAGCTCAACTCTGGAAGCTGAGGCGATCCTTTCATTGATTGTGGCAAGCGCGGTTTAGATTTTGCCCTTGCTCAGTAAACAACTAAAAGTAACTGCATGATTTCTCCCTTGCATTCCACAATCTCTCTCCTCCTTCCCTGCCTCCTCTCTCTCACACACCACATGACACACACACACACACACACACACACACACACACACACCCCTTCCCTACCTCAGGCTCAGGCCTCTGGGCTCTTGGTCATCATGAAAGAACAGGCAGATCACTATCCCTGTATGACACCCTTAGCTAAGCGCCTCCCCACTCCCAGCTGCTGGACGTTTTGCAGGGGTTGGGGTGGGTTCTGTGACTTCTTCCTAGGACTCATGACTCTCCCAAGGTGCACACCCTCCCAAGTTCCCAAGCCCCCAACCATACCACATCTGGAAGTCCCCACCTGTCTAGAATGCTTTCCAGAGACTTTCCCGACCATTCCTCCCTTGCCTCCCTTCCCCCACCCCAGCCCTTCTCCCTGTTTCCTGCTGCAGCTCAGACCCAGTTCAATGAAGTTGAGGGTGGAGGACAGATTCTGTCTGAGGTGCAGCAGCTCTGCTTCTGGCTGAGGTAGCCATGTCTCAATACAGATCTGTTTTGGGGATGAAAGCAAATTAAAATGGCAAACTCACTCAGTGACGATCAAACTTCTAAGATCCTTAACAAGATCTCCATTTACTCCTCAATTACTAATAGAAAAAGGGAAAGATGTACTCTATTGTCCAACATTTGCATTCTCTGAATAGACTGTGTGTTACAATTAGCCCCCTTCATTAGCTCCATCTCTAAGAATGGGTTTGCTGTGAAGCAATTGTGAGGAGCGCGCGTACTCTGCCATCTATTTGTGTAAAATAAAGTAGGCATAATGGCCAGTCTTCCAAAACAATAGAAAACCTTAGTACAAATCCTAACAATTATAATTTAAAATTTAATAATTCTTTTTTTAAAAGCCAAATGGTGAAGAACAGTTTTCTTGCAGACATTGGACAGTCGGCCTGCCACGAGTGTGTTTTTTAAAAAAATTAAGCGACTTTCTCTTTCAAAGTCTGTTGTCTTTCAAATGGAATTTTTTCTTGTTTGCCTAAATGCCTTTCACGTGATAAAAGATATTTTTCAAATTAGATCACCTCAATTTAAAATACAGTTACCTATTATCAGCCAGCCTGGAGCATAAAGCATTTTAAGAAGTCTCACAGATCTATTTTATTTTTTAGGATTTAGAATTTTCACGGATTCTTTTCATTTTTAAGGATTTTTAAAATAAAACAAACATTGTAGTTTGTAAATTCTTAAGATTTGAGATAGAAATATTGCTCACAGTATTGAATATTCCACATTAGTCAATAGCAAGCAGATAAATATATATTTCTAAATGAAGGGTAGCTCTGGAAATTAGACAGCCATTTTATTACATAAGGTATTCTTGGACAAACCAAAAAAGTGTGTCCTCACTTTTTCCAGCACAGTTTCGTAAATGGAGTATAAAATGTATTTGGAGTTTTAATAAATTTATTAGGTGCCAAACATTTCTTTGCACAATGTCTGTCTAGTTTGTGTCCTGAGGGCAAAACAATGTGTGATATGCTTGCATTACAGTTTTGTGGTAGCTGCTCACAGGCAGGTCACACCATCCTACTTTCATTGTCATTGGCAGTGCTATTTTGTTGAATATCAGTTTTGATATGACTAACGCTTATTTCTCAATTTCACCTTGCATTTTCTTCTAATTTTTATGTTTGATAAAATAGCTCAATAGTGGTAATTAAACCTCTCCTTATAAAGGTATAGCTATATATTTCTCAATGCTTGTCTTTCTAGCAATGAAATCCACATTAAAAACATTTCTGGGAGAAGATAATTTCTTTGTTATTTTTGGATTGTTTAAAACTATTAATACAATATAGAAAAATAATGCCGGGTAAAAATAGGATTGATTCTATATCAAATAGGAATTTGTTTCCTTTACTGCCTTCCTTTTTGCAATGTCTGTGCAGGTCTTCCCACACCTTGGCTAGTTCAGTAGATATATTCAGTTTAGATATATTTTAGTTCGTCACCTCTGAAGCTCAGACAAATTTCCAGGCCAAGTTTTGAAAAATAATTTAGGAGAAACTTGCAGATATTTTGAGGACGCGGCGTGTAACCTCCCATGGCACCGAGACAAGCGACATTCTGTTTGGTGCAAGTGGCGAAAAACACGACCTAACCGTGTTTACATGTGTATTCAGCCATGAAATTGAGTATTATCAACGTTGAAAAAATGCAAATCAAATTAAAACAAGAGAAAATTGTCTTTGGAATTACAGCGGCCTGGAGCCCCCAAGTGTTTGCTTAAATTGAATCATTTAGAAAAGAAAAAACATCTAAACTGCCCCTTCACTATTCTCTTCCGCCCCCACCCCAGGCACGAACCTTGTCCTTTAATTCTACCATGAAATGTATCAAAGTTGAGGCACAAATAACTCTACCTAGGACAAATCACGTTGCAATATATATATATGTGCATATAAAAATTAAATGCCTCCCTCTATCTAGGTGTTCACAGAGTCGGACCTGCTTCCGAAATAAAGCAGCACTCCCTTTCCTCATTCCTGGGTGAGGCCCTAGCCGCTGGCTGGCGGGCTGGCTCGGGCTCCCCGCGAGTGGCCCGGGGACCTGCAGAGCAGCCTTCCTTGGGCTCAGGCTGCGAGAGCCGGAGCGGGTGCTCGGGCTCCGGGAAGGCGGCGTGTGCCCGGGTACCCGGGGCCAGGCAGCCGGGGCCGATCGGGCGCGCCGAGGTCGTCAGAGCAGCCGGCCGAGCCCCCAGTCCCCGCGGGTCCGTGGGGCTGTCCCGGTTTGGCGAGCTCCGGCTGCCGAGATGCGCCAAACGCGGAACCCGGGTTGGCCCTCCGGGGGGTTCTTCTCGTCCCCTCCCAACGCTCACTTCGCTGACATAGGACTTCCAAGGGTCTTAGTGGAGAAGGCCACGAAAGGAAAATGCCTGCTAAATGTCACTGGGGGTCGGGGGAGAGATCGAAAAGAGCACGAGGCAGAGGGACGGTCATTCTTGCTTTTCCCCCACAAATTCTAGAAAGCGCAGGGAACCGACCCTAGGCAGCCAGTTCACACCGGACCCGACCTATCCCACCCCAGTCGCCATGGGCTCTGTCAGCTGTATTCCTCTCCCGCCCTCCCCATCGCTCTCCCGTCTCCGGTAACACTGGCGAGTCCAGGGTTTCTCCTGCAGGTGCCAAGGTCGGCCCCGTCCGGATGAGCCCGCTGGGCACCGCGCAGAGGAGGGCCGGGCGAACAGGCAGACGGCCTTGGGTCAAGACTGGGAGCGCGACCCCGCTGCGGTGGGAGCGGGACCCAGGCAGCCACGCCCACCAGTCTTAATGGGGGACAACAGAGGGGGCTAGAATGGGGGGCGGGATGCTGGTGACACCAGTGGTGGCTAGGATGTGCTGGCACGGCCCTGGAGACACTTTTATCTCATTTAGTGACCTCAGGATTTTCGTTTCGCTCCCCCAGCCTGCACTTTCTCCTCTTCGAACACTCGTCCACCCTGCTCCAGCCCGAGCTGCACCTTCTCCGACCCGGTATCTCAAAAGGAGCTCGAACTCCTTTTCCTCTGGGGAGGAGAAAGAATGGGTGGCCTCCGCGTCACTCTGTTTCCCTTCCTCCTCCTCAGTCCTGATAGAATCGAAGGGCTGCCCTTGTTCCAGAAACATAATAACTGCATTCCAGCTGACTCCGATGGGGGCGGGGGGCGGAGTAGTGGAAGCCCATTTTTATTTGAAACCTGTCCCTATATTTTCCTTCCCAGGAATCCCTGGATAAAGACCAGCTCAACCATCGCTGAGAAAACAGACCTAGGCTTCCCAGGGCGGTTAACCCGCCGGCCTCTGGGCAGAGACTGTAAGTTGGGGTCGTGTTTGGGAGACTCGGGACCCTATTTCCAAGGAGAACTGTGGGGGACATGTTTATGTTTGTTGTTTTCAAAATCAAGCAAAGGAAACAACAGCCAATTAAAATGAAATATTTTTATTCCCCTCGCACGTCGTCAGTGATTTGCCCCCAGGGATTCACAATTTTCCCAAGCCTGTTAACGGGTGACAATGAGTGAGTGCCTCCTGTAATTTAATTTTCCTGTCACACTAAATAGAGCTACATTGTAAACCTTAGATCTACTCTTACTGATAGGATCGCCTTGTTTTGCCATTTGCACCATAAAGACCCCCAAAAGGGACACTGTATTGTGACCTCTACTCTTGAATTATTCAAGAACTTAATGACATTTTCCATTTTAAAAAGGGAACTAATTGCCATTGATGCAAAGCATGTGACCTTCTGCAGGTACCCAGTATGAGAATGTAACCATCTGTATGTGCATAGAAGGCTGAAGAAAGCGGGTGCAAACAGGAAAAACACATGCAATCCTAACGAGCTCAAAATGGACACTGGAATCAAGCGTAGGGTTTAATTTCACCCCAAACCGTGACACATAGCTCCACAAAATTCCCTTCACCAGACCTAAAGTCTGCATAAAACCTCGCATCAATTCAGGCTCGTTTTGGGGGACATGACATGACTTTTTAGCTAGGACTGGAACATTAAAAATTTTGAAAGCCAGTATGCCTTTATAAATGTAAAATCACTTTGATGTCAAGCAAAATATCTAATAATTTGCCTCCCTTCTTTTGTGGCTCTTTAAAATTATTTATTTCCTCAAAAAGGAAAAGAAAACCCCATAAATTGGGATGGAACCGCATCTCAGTATTTGCTGTTTGAATCAGTCTTGAGTTTCTAGGAAAGCCGTTATTGAAATTCTTCACTAACTAGAATTATCTCGCTTCAAATTACTTGGAAATGGATGCTTATCTTTTTTTTTTTTTTCAAAGAAAAGACAAAACAAAATAAAACAACAACAAAAAACTCCCAGTGTGTTTCCTACTCTTCTTTGTCTTGGAGGAAAGCAAAGGGAGAGAAATGGACTTCACCAGTGGTCTTTGGCTTCATCAATTCACAGGTCAGTGTGCAGAGATTCTGGGATGCTGTTCCTGGTTTATCTGAGTCAATCCACAGCAGGTATTAACCACTTTTAAGGTGCAAGTGGCATCAGGATGTTGGTAGCAAAACACTTTCTTGTGCTGGGCTGCAGATGCTTCTTTTGAACTTTGAGTGATGCTTGGGACAAGGAATTGTCATTTCTTCAGGGAACAGACAGCTCCTTTTAGAAGGAAGCTCTCATAAACTACCCCCTCCCCCCGGCTTCATTGAGAACTAAGTATCCTTTCTGTGTTTGACTGTGAATCCACATCTCTGTCTTGTAGAATTTCTGGAAAAGAAAAATAAAGTACATTTGAACAGCTAACTCGACTTTTATAAACACCATGTTATATCAACATGTTTGACACAACTGGTGCTGATGCAGCCGGAAGTTGTACAAAACAGAATGCCTGACACTCCCTCTGTTGAAGTGTATCAAATGCTATTTTAAAGGGAATTGCCATAATACTGTTATTACCCCAGTTATGTAACAGAACAACTGTTTTCATATTTCTCTAAAACGAACCTGTTTCCCTCCCTGGTATCATGTGCTTTTTGAGTTCTGTGACATGGTAGGAAAAACGCAGAAAAGATACATAGTTCTCATTGTTAAATAATGAACACATATTTAATAAATATACTTGAGACATTTTCAAGTCAAGAAAAACAGGGATATGTATGAGAGGAGTGGCCAGCCACCTTCTTGCATGTCCCCTGTGATAAAAGCAATGCTTTATGAGTCAAATGATAATTTAGGTTTAGAGATTTTTCACTTAGTTTTCTGCATTTAAAACATTTTATAACAATTTGAGATAGACTGTAAGACAGAATAAATGATAAACGTCTCTCATAGCATTCTGTAGTGTTATAATCCAGGAATTTTTTCACAGTGACAGTATACTTTCAAAATGAAATTTTAATTCACTGTTCAAGTTGTCATCAAGTCATGTTTCTTTTCATTTTAAAAAACAACTATCTTGATCAGGGAGCACTTGAAGGACACGTTAAGTACTGTGGAGATCTCGGTGTCTTTAGGGTAGAGCAAAGTCCTCTTCTGGCCCCATTCTGAGATCTCATCCTCTTCTGAATGGATATCTGTGTTGGTAATCTGGAACACCATGGGGAGGGATTTTATTGTCACTGAGTTCCAGTGAATGCTTCTAGAAGACTTGCAGGAGATTCTGATTGAGTACTATGTTTCACCCAATTCCTGTTCCCCCTCTTTACCTCCAATATAAAAACAACTTTGGAAAGCATTCCCATTTGGCCTTTGTAAAAGGGTAAATGAAATACCTATCTCATTTTAGTTCACCTGTAAAATGGGTTTCTCATTTCTCGATCAAGCCTGGTGTGAAGGGACGCATTGGACTTTAAGTTGTTTTATACCCTTCATCTATTTTTTTTAAAGATTTGAACTGTTGATGTACAGTTTTTAAAATGCTAGAGCTAGCAAAAGTTGACAACTTTCCATCTGATTGTATTTATTGAAACATGTGCATCTACATATATTTACTGGACTTCTTACTGTACATTTTTCTTCCTCTAGGAAATGGCATCAAGATGGTTCAACTAAGACATGATCACTAAAAACATTATAATAATACCTTTTTGAAAAACTCAGTTTCTCCTGTTTACTAAATATTTATTTCATCAACATGGGCTGCGTTCCACTGTGTCAGGATTCTGCATGTGGGTGGAGCACTGTTCCAGCCTGAGAAGATGGTTCTGAGGCCACTTAGCAAGACATTTTCCAGCATGAGCAGGTTTCTCTGTGGAAATAGTGACACCTGTTCTGGTGTGTTGTCTTTCCTCAGGGAACTTAAGGGGTACAAAGCTCCTGAAAATGTTCTTTATGCTGGTTGAAGCTCTTATGTCGCTGTACTGATTCCCTACGATGCAGATTTGAATCACAGAGTAATTAAAATATGGATCAAATAAGGCTGGGGCTCACCAAGGCTGAAAGCTGTAGCCATTCAAGGCATCATTTCTGTCATGAAAATATAGGACCTTTTCAAAACATGCCTTCAGGAAGGTGTTCTCTTTTCAAACAAAAGTCTAATGACTGCATAACTCTTCTTGACCACATCTTACACTTTCTCTAGACTTGCTTATTTACAGCTACTGGAACAAAAAGATGAAATGAATAAAGCACACTGATTGTCCTAAGAGTCTTCTGTGACTAAAAGCACATGAGCTTCTCCCCAGGCTGAGCTTTGACCCTCCCAAGCATTTCCCCAAAGGCCATGACACTGCATCAGATTGCTCCTGGACACTTTCCTCAGAGTTTTCAACAAATATAAACTGAGGAGTGGAGCACAGCACCAGATTTGCTAATCAAGAGGCAATGGTCCCAGTCCAAATGGGTGCTGTGTGTGAATACAGAGCCCAGGAGAAGGGAAGGAGGTCTGTGAACATCAGGAATTGCAAAATCTTGCTGAACCAATAGACCAACAGCCATTAACATTTGTCAATGCAAAGATCCTAAAATATACAAGTGTGGAGTTGTCCTGCCCTAAGAGCTGAAGCTGTGACAATCACGCTGCCATGGTAGATATTTAAGCTCCCCTGAGGTTACTGAATCTAACAATGAATAAACAATGAAGAGTAGCTAATTTTTGGAAATCTCTTTCTATGACCGGAAAATATTCACAAACTCAGAGTGATTGTTTGGGGTGAAAGATGGTCCCATGCCTTGTGGGCCTCTCTTTGCTATCTATACAACGTTGGAAATGAACCCCTCCCTTACAGGAAAGTGAACAGCAACCAAGGTGAGCCCACCCTGGGAGGGCAGAGTGGGTGTACTTTCCTCGAAGAGCCCTGAACACAACAGGGCACACAAACAGCCACAGCACCCTCAACAATGCCCCACCATCTGCCCACCAGGGCACACAGATTCACGCAGATTCAGTGACACATTCCAAAAAAAGGGAATTAAGGAGGACCCATGGCATGGCTAATGGGGAGAGAGCTTTACTACTTTTAGCACCATTGCTAATTATTGGAGCAAAGAAAGGCATACAAGGAATGGAACCCAACCTGTTTAAAGTAATAAATGTCAACCCTAAAGTGCATGGAACCATCTCTCCTTCCCTTTTGAGGACTGTGTGCTTCACAAGCTGGGCGTTTGCTGCATGGGGTTTTCTAATGTAATGTGAATTTTCAATGTGCTTTGTCTCTGTAGAGTGGCTTTAAAAAGCCCTTGAAGTCCTCAGCTTTAAATCCATGCTAATAGGGGAAGTCTTTTTTTTTTTTTTTTGGAGGTGAGGAGCTTTGGTTGGGAGAAACATTGACCCAGACTGCACTCTGGGTAAACTAGGGCAAAAGACCTGATATCGTCTGCAGGGTACTTATTAACCACTGTTCATTTGCAGGATCAATATTTCCAGCAAAGGAGTCCACACTCAAGATACACTGCTACGTCTCACTTTTTCCTTGACACAACAATTTATTTTATAAATGCATCTGCTGGAGAAGAAAAGGCAGTACCAAGGATTGTGTCTTTTATCTCCAGGATATGCAAAGCGCATTTATTTTCAGCTTTTATCTCTGGAATTGTATGTTGATCCCATACATATAGATTGATTTTGTTCAGGTAGATAATGAAAAGTCAAGTGGAAAATTACACAATGGCATTCACGATCCTAGTCTTATATCAGTATATAAATTGGTTTATTATTTCATTCTATTAAAGAGGCTTTTTTTTGGTACCAGGAAAACTTCAAAATGCATTGTGTTGTCAGCCTCACTGAATTTTCTTTTGGAGGAGGAGGTAGGGAGGGGAAGCCAAAGCCCCGATTTCTCCTGCTCCTTTTGCTAATTGTATTGGCTAAATGAGCTTTCACAGAGGGGGGTCCTGGCTGCTTTTTGCTCTCCCCCAGACCACTTGTAGGTTGCACACAGGGCTTCTATAACTCTTTCTGAGTCAGGACAAAGATATCCGCCGTGCACACCCTGTGACATAGGTGGATATTTATTTCATCCCGGGCAATTCTAAATTTTGTCATGATGACTGAAAGAGGCAATCCCCTCCTGAGCATTAAGAGGCCAGGGGTGAGAGGGTGGCAGCATAGAAAAGCCACCACCCAGAGACAGCTTGGAGCCATGATCCTGGAGGAAATGTTATTAATAAACATCTTTTGGACATTTGGTAGCCCGTGGAGCTTGCTCCAGCTTAAAGCAATTAATTCAGGACACTGACATAAACTCTCCAGATCTTTGACAGCTTGGAGCCGAAATAAAAATGCTAGTTCTCCGGGGAAGAGAAGAGGATGGCTAGCCCTTTTCTGGACTGTTTGCTTATAGGCCCAGAGAGCAACCTTCCTTGCAGAATGAAATGCAAGGGCACAAACAATGTACCAGGGAGAGAATAGAAGATGGGAATGAACAGTTTGAACTATTTGCTCAGCAGAAGGGCACCACAATGCTGGGGTAGTGGTTTTCCCATGCGTCCACTGTCCCTTCTTTGGGATCTTTTGTTGTCCCCTGTCTCCTTTGGCCAGATAAAAGCACAGCTGCAGCATTGCAGATAACAAGTAGGCCGTACTTATCCCCCTAAATCTCGGGGTGCCTTTACTGTAACAAGTTATGCTCGGCTCTCTTTTATTTTACAAGAGGATGGTGAGGGAGAGAATGGAAGAACAGAGGGGGCGGACGTATAAGACATTTGACACTGCCTATGTCTGATTTCTCTTTCTTTCTTTCTTTCTTTCTTTCTTTCTTTCTTTCTTTCTTTCCTTTCTTTCTTTCTTGCAAGCTGTGATCGGATGCAATCTTTGTGGGACATTTAAATGGAAGGGTTCATTGATGTGTATTGCTTGCCAAGCCAAAATGTTGCCTTTGGGGAAAAGGGAGAGAGGTGTTCATGGAGTGCAGGGAAAGGAGGTTTTGGGGCAGAGATTTTGACTTAAAATAACCAGACTTCTTCTGGCTGCTGAAAAGAGGCAAAAGTTTTAAATTGTCAAGTTTAAAACTATGTTCAGTTATGATTTGCCACTTCTGAATATTATTTTGGATTTCCCCTTTCATGCTTATTTTGTTCAGAATCCTAATGAATAGAGGTTGCTGGACTCAGGGTAAAAGCAGGATGAACTGGAGATGGGACATACAAGGTACTTTTGGAATTGCCATAGATTACACCTATAATCAGAGTAAATGTCATCAACAAATAATCAAAATATTTTTTACATTTGCTCTTCTAAAATCAGAGCCTATTTTAAATATAAAAGAAAGTAGATGTGATAATAATATAAACTACAGTCACATTAAGTTGATATTAAATTCAAAATCTAACATAGATTTGCACTGTTGGGTGTGTGTTCCGAATCAGTGGGTTTTCCCACTGATGTTGATTTCGGGAGCCAGGCTTCAATGTTTAATTCTATTGTAATGTGGTTATTTAGCCTGAATGGTTTTATAAGGTGGAAAGGCAAAAAATTTAATTCCGAAGAAAACTAGTGTTTTAC
The DNA here is from genome assembly GCF_000001405.40 of Homo sapiens. NCBI lineage: Eukaryota > Metazoa > Chordata > Mammalia > Primates > Hominidae > Homo > Homo sapiens. Next base: position 22,561,200 of record NC_000020.11, on the reverse strand, counting down.
TATGACTGTGGTAAACATTTCCAAAGCCCACCTGTGGGAAATACAAAGTTTTAATGCTGTGTGTTTTTTTGTTTTTGTATTTTGTCTCATCGACAAAACTGGCAGAAAAAAACGCTTTCGTATATTTTTCCTGCTGGGTGGTCAGAAGGAAAGGCCGTGAAGCTAAAGGTCTCCCACTGAGACGCTGTTCTGCAAGGAGCCGACCTCACGTGCCGCCGCCGCCAGAGAAGAGAGCACCTGTTCATCTCGGCTCACTGTGAGGCTGAGCTCAGCGCTGGCAGGCGAGGGGCCGCAAGCATCCCCCACAGCCACCGAGAGGGCATCCCTGCAGGGAAATCATATCCGACATGCCTGTGCCCACAGCAGACTTAAGACTGCCTCTAAAATGTCCATGAAGCCATTGTCCAGTAGAGCTGTTAGTTTTAACACCAGTGAGTATTACCTTTGGTTAAAAGGATGCATGTGTATAGGTGTATGTGTGTGCGTGTGTGTTTGTGTTTTTGGACTTGTGTGGAGAATGAAGAAAGGGTTCCATTTAGGCATTTGCAAATATTCGATGGCATCATGAAAAGACAAAAAAATCCTATAAAATATATCATATTTTGCTATGATTTTGTGTGTACATGTAATAAAATTATTAAGTATAAATTGTTCTGTATTTCTTTGCAAGCATAAATTCTAAAATTTTGTATTTAGTACAGAATAATTCGTATCACATAATAAGGGAAAAATACATTTTTTTTTCCTGATTAAGTGCTTAGACTAAATGTATCTGGTTTTTTGGGGAACTGAGGCCAAGATGGAAATTGTAGTCTGCCTGGGTGAACGTAATTCCTTTCTCTAATTCTTGACATAGAGAAAAACTTGCCCAGGGAAATTTTTCCATTATGGCATTTTAGCATTAATCTGAAAATCATGGGGAATCACTGTGGATAACTCAGGGGAATAAGTGGAACTCTTCTTCCATTAAAAGAATTTCCTGACTTTGAGGCTATGCATTTCCACAACATGGGAAATGGGTTTTTATTTCCAATTTCTGCAAAGAGTACACATGCAACTGGTATCCATACAAAGCCCCACGTGTTGGGAGGCCACTGAGGGAGGAGCAGAGCTCCAGCGAGGGCAAATGCACAAATAACAAATCAAGTTTAAAGACCGTGGTCAAATGCAAGGAGTAAATGATACTGATCTTATATGTTAGGGGCTTGGACATCACATCAGCTGCCATGGAGTTTGATTAATGAGGCATTAAGGAGATGGAGTGACACTTACAGCTAGTTACTTATGGTGCTAATTTCAAAACACTTTGCAATAGACAAAGAGACTCGGCTCATAATGCAAAGTAATTTGTGGTGTGTTCCTGGTGAATGCATTTAGCGAAGCAAATATAGTTATGCGGAATTTAAATTAAGGTTGACACTAATGTAAACAGAGCCCAAGAACCACTGTCCAATAATTTGATGAGGACACAGGTTTTAATCAAGCCTCTTCCACTAAAATAGCAATTTAAATCCCTAACGTTTAAACTGGATAAAACGCTTAAGCTGTAAAGGTTGGGGGGAAAAATAGAAATTTACTTGAAAAGGAAAATGAAACAGAGTATCTCTGGGGGAAACCTTGACTATGTTTTGACCCAACTGGGATATACATGTCGATTTAAATGCCAGGTCGATTTCAAGGCCAGATTCCAGGTATTTGAAGGCATTTGCTATGTATCTTTTCTGTTGTTGTAAAGTTATGGTTGGACACATTCTGGTTGTATTGATCTCAGAGTAAAAATGCTCCTAGTAATAAGAAAGTGGGGATTCTGATTCCGAGGACCCAGAATCATTTATGTATTAAAGGAGGAAATCTACCTGCTTCCCCCTGCAACCAATTTCTATTTGAACTAAAAAAATTCAAAATTGGGGGTATATGAGGAAGGAGTATGGGCCTGGTTAGAGACCCTGGCCAGCCATCGGAGAGGTCAGCTTTTCTAGAGGGTACCACATCCGCACATGGCTTTGTTCGGGTTTGCCTGTTTATTTCCCTTACTCAGATTCAATGGGGAGGAGGTCATCCCAGTCATTAACATTAATTAAAATGCCAGTAGCCTAGGTTCCAGGGCCTGGGAGGCCTTGTATATGAGAAACAAAACCAAACAAAATAGCAATTTATTCTGCCCTGCTCTTGGAGGGAAAATAAGGGGTAGTTTGGCGGCACTTCCTGGGGCTCCGGACTTTACAGCAAAAGAGCAGGAAGGTAAGGGAAATCAACCCTGAATTCTCCGAATTATGATCCTGCCTTCTCCAACCATATTCATGATGTATCTTCTAAGGAAAGGAATTTGTCCAATGAGGTGTTTTTAATACCTATTCCGAAGAAAGGACCGAGAACAATTTGGGAAGGAAAAAACGCTGTAAATGTAAAGTGCTCTGAAAATGCTCCTAGCAGTAATATTAATGGTCACCCAATTTAAGGACTTAGAGTCAGGAATGGAAGGGAAATGGGAAGCTGGAGACTTTGACATTTGGGGGATGAAGGGGGGCCACCATGAACTGAGAACTGATTATGAACTAGGCACCACGGGCACAATTAGGAAGAGGGTCTCAAACAGAAACAAATGGAGCCCATGGAGGTTAAATTACGTTCCTAAGGCCACACAGACTTTGCAGGCAGGGCCAGACTGCTCAGATTGGCTCGGTCCGTCTTAGAAAAGATGCCCTGTTCTCTCAGTCCCCGTTACCATGTGGCCCCGAAGTGGGTACATCATGCTGCTTTGGGAAGCCTCCACTCCACGTCTGGCAGGTAAACAACATCTGAAACTCCCATCCTGCAAACATGCAAAAGAGGGGAAGGGGCATTTGCTACTCCAGCCCTTCAGAAGTTAGAGGAAATGATTGGAAAGTCATCGACTTTCATCACAGCTGCAAGGACAGCAATCCCAAAAACAGTGATTCTGCATGGCTCTTTGTTTCTATAAAAAGACAGACCCTTGACATCTGAACATTGGGCCTTACAGGCAGAGGGGAGAGAAGCCCAGCCAGGGCTGCCTTAGGAGACACAGCTGGCAGGCAGGCTCCTGCTCCCTTCTGCTAGACAAGAAGGAGCAAAGAGGATGGAGCGTAGTAGGGATGGCAGGGCCGGTGTGAGAACAGAGTGTGCAGGCCAAACTTGGAATGTCAGGGCATCTTCCAGAATGATGAGTACATGTGTTTTTAAGAAGAAAGAAAAGATTTGTTGGGTGATGACTTTGGGGACCCGACTTTGGGGACCCGACTTTGGGGACCCCCCAGGCTTAGGTTCCTCTAGTCTCACCTGGCATCCCTGCTGTGGCCATGGGGAACGGTACCCTCGGCCAAGAAGCACTTGGCATTGACATAGAATTTTGATTTCTGCTCTTGGGAGGCACCATGTGCCTGGCCTGTGTGTGTGCAGGCCAGAGTGACACAAAGTCAACGCTCAGGGCAAGCCCCAAGCCCTGGGGGTGGGGTACGTGCTTCCCTCACCTGTGCTCCCCTGGGGATGCTTCTGGCCGGCATTCCACTTGGCTCCTCACAGGGTGCTGGCTGGCTGGAGCCCCTGCTGCTTGTGGCCATGACCAGCCTAATGATGCTTCCCAGAGTTGACTTTTCCTTCTTGCCAGCCTCAACTTCCCCAAGGCCTCACTCCTGCTTTCCGAGGTCACCTGTCTGAGGCTGCACACGCACACACACACACACACACACACACAGCCTTCCGGTTTCCAGCAGAGAATTGTCTTGTGAGCATCTGTCTCCCCAAGGCTGTAGTGCTGTCCAGGCAGTCAATACCGGAGGAGCAGCATAGGAGAGGCCTTTGGCTATTTCCTTCATTTTACTGTTCAAATCAGGGTTCTGGAGACCTCATGACTCAGATCACTTGCCACACACTCTCAAAAGCATCTTATTCTTTTTTGTGCTGAAACACTGATACAGCATTTACTTGAGGTGTGGGTGCATTTTCATCCTCATGGCCCCAGACATGGGTGAAAGGCTTGGAAATGCCAACTCATCTATTGGACTCAGTTTCTCTCCTCCATCGGAGGATAAACAGAACAAACAATTTCACAGACCATTGTGAAAAAGTTTGTTATGGAGAGCATTTTGGAAGTGAATGATGCTGGAGATGCATTTTGGCCTAATTTCCTGTTATAGAAATGTGGGGCAGAATAGATGTGACCAGAGCAGGCAGTGCCGGGCTCTTGACTTTGACCAGGAGTTCTTACATTCTTTCACCTGCTGTGTGAAAGAAATCCGAACCTGTTTCGCTTGCCCAGCCTCTTGATTTGGAATCTCAGTGCAAACCCCAACATCAACAAAGTTGCTATGGATTTTTATGATTATCTTAAGAATTTGTCTCAAGTGAGGCTCGAGTACTCTCAGGAGAAGGGGTGGGGATCCTGATCTGCTCCCCTGCTGCTCTCTATGGAGCACACGTCACCCTCTTTTCTCCTTTCCGGTCTCTGCATTGCAAATGCCTCCTTCTGTGGTGCAAAGCCTACTTTCTTACAAGAACCGATATCTTTTTCCATGTAACTCTGGGCCCAAGGACTCACACCGACTTCCTCTTAAATAGGGAAGAGATGGCTGAGTTCTTATCACCCTTAAAACACTCCTTCTTTATAGGAAATATTGACCCCTTCCACACCAGACCACAGTACCCTCCTGGACAGAACCTGAGGTCTCAAGACAGTGGCCTGGCCACTACAAGGGCCCTGGGATGTCCAGGAAGTCTCTTTCCAGGCCCCAGCTCTTCTGCTCAGTTATTCCAATGAAGACCTAATTCTGCATGCCCATGTGGGCCGTCTCTGGTCAAATGCCAGCATTTGTGGTTGAAATTCCTCTTAGAGAGGCAGCTGGCAGCGGTAAGCCCCTTGTCCTGCTGGATGGGTAACAACAGGTTGGCAGGGACTGGGTGAGGGTGGGGAAATTCTCCATTGAAATCTTAGACCAAAATGATGAGATTTAGATCTTTTGTTCAATGTGGGTCTTCTAACAAGCATTTTTGGGGCTCGCTCCAAGATTGGGTTGTTTCTCCCAGATCTTTATTTCTAGGTTTCGCCTCCTCCCTCCCTTTGCCTTCTTTCTCACCTCCAAGGTTAGAGGGGTTTTCTGGTGTGCCTCCTGCCTCTTTGTCAGGCCTCAGGCTTCCAGCCTATTAGGCTCTGCTGGTGTTGATCAAAATTTTTACTTTCTCCTACAAAATTATCTGTATGTGCAGGGGTATTGGCAGCTCTCCCAACCGCAGAGTATTTATATAACCAATTTGTTATGCAGGGTCTGATTTGTTTTTTTTTTCTTTCCTGATAAATTGAAAACTTTTTGTTTTGCTTCAAAATGCCATTTGCCCCATGCCTCTGCTTTATAGACTACCTCCAAGCAATGGCTCTACTTCTTATTTATGAGCAGTGTTATAAAAAATATTTAGAGATGAGGGGTGGATTCTGATGGCTTAGGGAAATTTCTGGGGTTATATAACAGACCATGATAGTTATCCACAAGGTAGAGGAATACAAGGTGGGGTGTCCGTTGGCCTAAATCTGCAGGATATTTTTCATATTTTTATGAAACTCCCAATTCACATTCTTTTGTTACTTAAGAGTTAGTTGGTCAAGGTATTGGTGATATCTCCACTCTCTCTTTTTAAAATTATTTACCAAATCCTTTCAGTTCTTCCTTCAATTTTTCAAAAATGAAAGCAATGTTCAGAATGTGGTCTGTCAATGAAATGGAAATAATAGGTATGGAATATCTAAAAAAAATACACCTAGTTTTCCATTCTCTCTGCCAGCATCTAGTGCAGGCCCTTTATGATAAGGAAAATCTCCACATTAGTTACTGTCAGTAACCTCCAGCATCAGCTTCTAGCACCTCCTGTGTTGTTAGAAATAGTTTGCGTCTACAGGGATCTGCTAATATCCTCCTAGACGGATAGTTTGTGCAAGCTGCTCCCCCCACAACAATCATTCATACTTTTTTTTTTTCCAGAGATAGCATTTCTCTCTGTCACCCAGGCTGAAGTACAGTCATGTGATCATAGCTCACTGCAGCCTCCAATTCTGAGACTCAAGCCATCCTCCAGCTTGGGCCTCCTGAATAGCTGGGACTACAGGCACTTGCCGCCATGCCTGGCTGAATATCCGTTTTTTTGTTTGTTTGCTTGTTTGAGATATTCCATACTTATTATTTCCATTTCATTGACAGACCACATTCTGAACATTGCTTCCATTTTTGAAAAATTGACCATAGTTCATCATGGAAATGATATAATTTTTATATTTAAGACATTGGTATTTTGTATGTCTTGATCTACTTAATGTAGAGTCTTGAATTTTCTGCTAGTCAAAATGGATTAGATGGTTTGTAAGATAGTAAGAACTTAAAGTTTCTTGACAACATAGTAAAAGTATTGGGAATTTACTGTGGATTGATTGAGTAGATGGTCTCTGAACCCACACATCCATCTGAACATCACAAAAAAAAGAGACCATGAGAAACTTGTACATACGTGATGCATTAGAAAATACACAACATTTTTCGACAAAAATCAAATATGGACTGCAGCAATCCTCAGGTCTAACTTCCAGCTGACAGAACATACAGGGAACAGAGGAACCTATTAAATGGCACCATGTAGATGGCACCAGTGAGATCCACATGGTGGGAAACTCTACAGGACATATTACCTTGTTTCTTCAACAAATAAGCATCAAGAAGAAAGACACAGAGAGAGAAAATTTACAGATGTAAAAGAGAGAAACACATGTTAGCCAAAGGTCATGTGTGGATCATGTGTAGACCTTTGGATCTTGATTTTAATAAAGCAACTCTGCCTTACCCTCAAATAGTGTGAGAAAAAGGGGGAACTTTGAACACTTAGGTGCTATTCAGAAATTCCTGTTAACTTTTTAGATGTAGTAATGCTATGTGGCTATACTTTTATTTTTTTTTTTTGAGATGGAGTCTCATTCTGTCACCAGGCTGGAGTGCAGTGGCATGATCTCTGCTCACTGCAATCTCTGCCTCCCGGGTTCAAGCTATTCTCCTGCCTCAGCCTCCCAAGTGGCTGGGATTACAGGCACACACCAGCACACCCAGCTAATTTTTGTATTTTTAATAGAGATGGGGTTTCACCATGTTGGCCAGGGTGGTCTCAATCTCCTGACCTCGTGATCCACCCACCTCAGCCTCCCAAATTATACTTTTAAATGACTGTATCTGTTGGAGAAAAATTCAAAAGATTATTTAAGGAAGAAATGATTTCATATCTCGAATGAACTTGCAAATAAACCAGTGGGAGGACAAAGCGTGTTGAGTAGTGATGAATCAGGATTGGCATGGGCTGGTATTGTGGGAACTGTGTGATGTGATATACTATTCTCTTTAATTTTTCCAAAATAAACAAATGAGAAAATAGAGGCTCACCTTCATGAAGATATTTGCCCCAAATCTCTCAGGAGTTTAATGTTAGAGATAGACTGGAGTCTGGAGTGGCCATCTTCCGATCCATTGGGGCCACATGCTCTTCCTCTAGACTCTCCTCAATCTCCCTCCTCTTGGTGACTGCTGACCTGGTTGAAGAAGTCCTCTGTACAGGATGCTTCTACTCCCTTGATACTATCCAGAGTCCTTTCTCAAATCTCTACCATTTTGTTTGCCAAAAGGCACTGAAAAAGGTTGACCTCTGAATGACAAACCTAGTGGCCATCTCTCTAGTGACATTATCTGTGACTGTGGCAGTAGTGGATATGGTTGATCAGCCTCTCCTTGAAGCTCTCTTGCCCCCACACTTCCATGATGCTGCGGTTGCTGGTTTTCTTCTGAAGCTGCAGTCACATCCTTAATGAACTGCCCAGCCTCCTTCCATCCATGCATGGGGAGCAGCTCTGGGCCCAGATTAAGCCCCATGCTCTTCTTTCTCTTGACTTCTCCATCTTGAGCAGACAAACTTCCTCTGCTCTCTCTGCAGTCCTCAGCTCTGTGTAGGAGGCACTCCACATTTCCTGCCTTCCTCCCCTCTTCAGCTGCTCGCCAGACCTCCCTACCTGGAGGCCCCATCATCCCCTCAGACACAGTATCTCTAAAGAATGAATCCTTCCCTCACCCACCCCTTTGTATCTCCTAAGGTTCCGTATGTACTGTCAGCTCTCCTTTTGTAATATTTGCTCTGTCACGTCGGTCTCCTTAACCATCTTTACCTAAAACGTTCATGTTCAGCACCTTGATTGACCTGCATAAGAGGTTTCCCCAGCAAGAAGTTCTAAACTTCAGCCTGGGAAACATGGACAGACACTGTCTAAAAAAAAAAAATAGCCAAGCATGGTGGCAAGTGTCTGTAGTCCCAGCTCCTCAGGAGGCTGAGGCTACAGTAAGCTGTGATCGTGTCCCTGCACTCCAGCCTAGGTGGCACATCAGGATCCTGTCAAAAAAGAAGAAAAGGAAAGAAAGAAAAAGAAATTCTAAACTTACTTCTCCACCATCCTCCATTTGATCTCAAACTACTGTTTTAGTCTCATTCCTCACCACAAAAATCCCATGCCGACCTCCTCGCTGACAACACCTTCCCTGAAGGTTCAGCATCTTCCCACTTCCAACCTCCTGCTTAGGTTACAAGACCTAGAACACCAGAAGTCATAGATTGGGATTCTACTGTCACTCTAGCTTATTTGACTTAGCTTGGCATGCAGTGAAAAGATGTCTGTGAACCAGCCAGTCCTCTAAGGTATGTGGCCTCAAACCAGCATTCAACCTCTCTTATCTTATTTTATTTTAACTATTTATTTATTCATTTTTTGAGATAGGGTCTCTCTTTATTGCCCAGGCTGGAGTGCAGTGGCGCAACCTCAGCTCACTGCAACCTCTGTCTCCGGGGCTAAAGTGATTCTCCCACCTTAGCCTCCTGCGTAGCCAGGACAAGAGCCCTAGGCCACCTTGCTGGGCTAATTTTTGTATTTTTTGTGGAGACAGGGTTTCACCATGTTGCCCAGGCTTCTTGTCCATTTTTTAAATGAAAATAAACCCAACTCAGTGCCCACTATGCTGGATAAAGCTGGCACTGTGCCTGGACCACTGGGGCTTATGTCATTTTTAGGGATCCACTTCAACTCATAACACAAAAGAGAGAAAAAAAAAACTAATTTCAAGTGCTGTACTATGCTGTGTGACCTTGAGCACCTCCTTAACATCTCTGGATCTATTTCACAAAGTATAAAATCAGGACATCAACATCCTCTTGCAGCTTGTTGGGATGACCAATTTAGTTAAAAAGATGGTGCCCTTAGCATCTTTCCTGGCACATAGTACGTTTTCAATAAATATTAGCTGCTATTGTCACAATAGCTACTTGCAAAATCTATGTATTTGGGCACATGAGTCAACTAAATTATCTATTTTAAATTAATTTTATCTTTATTAAAATGTTATGGCTGAGGATATGGAATGATTTACTTGGAACAAGATGGAAATATATACATTTTATTTATTCTGTGTGTGTGTGTTTCTGCGTGTGTGTGTGTGTGTTTTTATTAACAATGCATAGGGGGGTATTGGTGGAAAATAAATTGGGAATTTTATTAGCTTTGCCTCTCCCTCTGACTGTCCATCTCTCTGTGTCCCTCAATACAAGTCAATTTGCTCCATAATGGAGATGCCAAGATGGATCAGACACATTTCCTCACCTTCTGGAGTTTATATTATGGAGGGAAGGTTTAGATATATAAACAGATACTGTCAATTTTGAAAAGGACGGTGCTATGCTAGAAGGGTGATCTGGTACCTGAGATAACTAAAGGGAAGCATTTAGGTGAAGCTGGAGGGTCCAGGAAGCTAGCCTTTGAGTTCTGAAGATGAAGCCCCTGCCAGGTGATGGGTGGCACTGAGCATGGCCCAGGTATGTGAGTGACAGCACCATGCAGGGAGCCCAAGCAATTCAATAGCTCCAGTATCAGCCCTAATAGCAAACATGTGCTCACCACTTGCTGTGTGCCAGTCACTATGCTGAATCCTTTACATGTTAGTTTTCTACTTATTCTTCACAAATGCCTCAGAGGAATTAGCATTTCCACTTTACAGAAGAGGGAGCTGAAGTGTGAGTTGCCTGCATGGTTTGCCTAAGGCAACATGACAGAGCCCAGCTTTTAAGCATCTCCTGGACTGAGTGTCAGGCTGAAGGAAAAGCCAGGGAGACAGGCTGTCCTCAGGAATTTGACTTCAGAGTGGGTGAGGGGTAAGGGTAGGCACAGTGGGGAGGGAAGGTGAAGGGTGTGAGGAGTATTGAGTGCAAATGCTTCTGTGTGGAGCATGGATGAAGGGCGCTAGCATGGAGCGGGGAAATCAAGCAGCAGCCTTCTCAAGTGGTCCTGATAGTCTCCTGCCCTTCTTGGTCTTGAGTGCTCCTCCAGAGAGGGTCTGCAAGAAGCCATCAGAGGTGCCTGATATGGTTTGGCTGTGTCCCCACCCAAATCTTATCTTGAATTCCCACATGTTGTGGGAAAGACCCAGTGGGAGGTAATTGAATCATGGGGGCAAGTCTTTCCCATGCTGTTCTCATGACAATGAATGTCTCATGAGATCTGATGGTTTTAAAAAGAGGAAATCTCCCACACGAGCTCTCTTCTCCTGTCTGCTGCCACGTAAGACATGCCTTTCACCTTCTGCCATGATTGTGAGGTGTCCCCAGCCCCATGGAAATGTAAGTCCGCTAAACCTTTTTTCTTCCCAATTTCAGTTATGTCTTATCAGCAGCATGAAACCTGACTAATACAGTAAATTGGTACCAATAGAGTGGGGTGTTGCTGAAAAGTTACCCAAAAATATGGAAGCAACTTTAGAACTGGGTAACAGGCAGAGATTGAAACAGTTTGGAGGGCTCAGAAGAAGATAGAAAAATGTGGGAAAGTTTGGAACTTCCAAGAGACTTGTTGAATGGCTTTGACAAAACTGTTGAGAGTGATATGAACAATAAGGTCCAGGCTGAGGTGGTCTCATATGGAGATAAGGAGCTTGTTAGGAACTGGAGCAAAGGTGACTCTTGTTATGTTTTAGCAAAGAGACTGGTGGCATTTTGCCTCTGCCCTAGAGATTTGTGGAACTTTGAACTTGAAAAAGTTAATTTAAGATATTGGTGGAAGAAATTTCTAAGCAGCAAAGCATTCAAGATGTGACTTTGGTGCTGTTAAAAGCATTCAGTTTTATAAAAGAAGCAGAGCATTAAAGTTCAGAAAATTTGCAACCTGACAATGTGATAGAGAAGAAAATCCTGTTTTCTGAGAAGAAATTCAAGTCACCTGCAGAAATTTGCATAAGTAATGAGAAACCGAATGTTAATCCCCAAGACAATGGGGAAAATGTCTCCAGGACATGTCAGAGGTCTTCACAGCAGCCCCTCCCATCACAAGCCCAGAGGCCTAGGAGGAAAAAGTAGTTTTGCGGGCCAGGTCCAGGGTCCCCGTGCTGTGTGCAGCCTAGGAACATGGTGCCCTGCATCCCAGCTGCCCCAGCCATGGCTGAAAGGGGCCAACATAGAGCTCAGGCTGTGCCTTCAGAGGGTGCAAGCCTCAAGCCTTGGCAGCTTCCACCTGGTGTTGAGCCTGTGGGTGCACAGAAATCAAGAATTGAGGTTTGGGAACATTCACCCAGGTTTCAGAAGATGTATGGAAATGCCTGGATGTCCAGGGATAAGTTTGCTGCAGGGGTGGGGCCCTCATGGAGAACCTCTGCTAGGGCAGAAGGGAAATGTGGGATTGGAGCCCTCACACAGAGTATCTACTGGGGCACTGCCTAGTGGAGCTGTGAGAAGAGGACGACTGTCCTTCAGACCCCAAAATGGTAGATCCACCCACAGCTTGCACTGTGCACCCAGAAAAGCTGCAGACACTCAATGCCAGCCTATGAAAGCAGCCAGGAGCAAGGCTGTAACCTGAAAAACCACAAGGGTGGAGCTGCCCAAGACCATGAGAACCCACCTCTTGCATCAGTGTGACCTGAATGTGAGACACGAAATCAAAGGAGATCATTTTGGAGCTTTAAGATTTGACTCCCTGCTGAATTTCAGACTTGCATGGGGCCTGTAGCCCCTTTGTTTTGGCCAATTTATCTCATTTGTAATGAGAGTCTGCAAGAAGAAATAAAGGTTTAATGGACTTATAGTTCCATGTGGCTGGGGACGCCTCATGGCATCCTCAGTGTATTTACCCAATGCCTGTACCCCCACTGTATCTAGAAAGTAACTAATCTGCTTTTGATTTTACAGGTTCATAGGTGGAAGGGACTTGCCTTGTCTCAGATGAGACTTTGGACTGTGGATTTCTAAGTTAATGCTGAAATGAGTTAAGACTTTTGGGGACTGCTGGGAAGGTATGATTAGTTTTGAAATGTAAGGATGTAAGATTTGGGAGGGGCCAGGGCGGAATGATATGGTTTGGCTGTGTCCCCACCCAAATTTAATCTTGAATTCCCACGTGTTGTGGAAGGGACTCGATGGGAGGCAATTGAATCATGGGGCAAGCCTTTCCTGTGCTGTTCTCATGATAGTGAGTAAGTCTCATGACAACTGATGGTTTTAATAAGAGGAATTCCCCTGCACTAACTCTCTTTCTTTTCTTGTCTGCTGCCATGTGAGATGTGCTGTTCACCTTCTGCCATGCTTGTGAGGCGTCCCCAGACACATGGAACTGTAAGTCCATTAAACCTTTATTTCTTCCCAGTCTCAGGTATGTCTTTATCAGCAGCATGAAAACGGACTAATATAGCACCTCTGCTGACAGCTATAGGACCAAGGACTGTAGACCCAAATGCAGCAGGTAACCTTCCCTCTGGCTGAGCCTTGGACCATCTTGTGTCCTGCCTCTGCTCTACTTCTGGAACCTTCTGTCTCACACCTGCCTGTCATTTCTTGTTAGGTGTGCACAGTGTGTTCCTTTACTCCTGCCCCAGGGAAGTGTGCCTGAGTTCTTCTTTTGTTGACCACCTGGGCTGAGGATCAATGCTGCCACCGGCTGTGGGCGCGTCTGGAATTTTCCCTGGAATCCAGGGACAAATACACTTGTTCAGTTTTTAATTTATTTTAAATTTTTATTTGTGCTCCTCCATAGCCACACGTATTTTCCTGTCATGAAGATTTTCTTTAATAAAGCTGCAAGTTTTGGGGAAAGTATGTGTGATGACTGGGAACTGATTCCCGAAGGCTAGCTGCAAACCACGACTGGGAAAGAAGCAGGATGGGCCCAGACTTTGCGGTGGCTGCTGTCCACCAGAACATTCAGGTTCAGAAGGGTCGTGGGGGTCCCCGAGCCTGCTGAAAGATGAGGCCCAGTCCTGGCTCCACTCAACTTACCGCACCCATGCTTCATTGCTCCTCAAAGCACTCACGACTCTGATATTTTGCTTCTATATTTGCTTCTTATTTGTCTCCCATCACTAGGATGAAATCTTCCAGAGAGCAATGGTTTTCTCTGTCTTATTCACTGTTGTAAATAGTGCCTGGCACATAGTAGGCACTGAATAAATATTTGTTGAATCAATGCATGAATGAAACTTCAACACGCATTTTGTCATTTTTTGCCCATTAAGTAATGAAAAGTCTACCTAGGCCATAACTAAATTTTCAGGATATAGTGCCATGGTGGCTGGTGCCAGCACTGTCATAGGCTCTCCACCTTCCACTGCCCTCTTCCCCACTGGAACCACTTTCTTCCCTTTTCACATATGCCCGATAGCCTGCAGGTTATTGTTGTCATCAGAGTGTTTTTCAACTTCCAGAATGCCCTTGCTATTTGTGAAAATCCTATCTGACCCACATAAAAGCACACCACTTGTTAAATGCCTGCAATGGGCCAGGAGCTTTGTATTCATCACACTATTTAATTCTCCTAGGAACTCGAGAGTCAGGCTTTCTTCTTCCTCCTTAACAGGTTAAAAAAAAAAAAAAAGCTGAGGCTCCACAGCATTGAGATCCTTGTCCAAGGCCTTGAGGCTCAGGTAGAAAAGCCTCAATTTCAACTCAAGTCAGCTTGACCCCAAGGGCTGTGCTGATTGTCCATGTGCCCCAGACCCACATGCACCTGCTGCCTTAGTCCAGTGAGTGAGAACAGAATGACAGGGACAAATATCACCCAGCAGGCCCAGAGATTGCATGCACAGGCATCATGCTGCATAACATACCCGTGGGATTCCATCTGGGGTGAGCATGAGGAGGTGGATGGTTGGCAGGGTCCTCTATGTTTCCAAACTCTTAGGACAAATAATGAGCTTCAACCCTGATAAACTGATGAAATTTTACAGATTTTTGACTTACTAATGGTTTGAACTCATAGTTTCAACACAACCTCCAAGAGACTTTTCACAAGCTACTACGATTATAAAAGTTTTTCTTACCCAAAAAAACCTAGTTGTCTCTCAAGGGAAGTGCCGGAAGAATGAGCAAAGTTCAATGAAAGAATCAGGGACAAATGTTTAAATTGGGGAGTTGGGTGGTTTTAAGGGATGAGGAGGTGTTTTCTAGGTAAAGGAGATAAGAGGAAGGATATTTCAGGCAGAGGAAAACCCGTGTGCAATCTCTTAGTCCTGAATTTCCTGCTTGTGCATCTCTTATGGAACCTGGGTGGAAAGAGAGATTGTGTTTTTTCTGTCTTGCTTCCTGCTGTGTTTACATAGTCAAGAGCAGTGCCTGGCACAAAACAATTGCATGATAAATCCTTGTGATGTTGAACAAGTGGCATCCTCCATGCCCAGAAGTGACTGGCTGTAAAAAGAGCCATCTTTCTTGGTTCTTTCTTCGATCTCACACTGTCAGCCTGTTGCCACATCCTTTTATTCCATTTCTGCCCCTCGCAACCCTTTAGAGGTTCTTTTTACTGAAACTAGAACAGTAGTCCTATAAATAATTTCCCCCACACCATGTCTGTGCTCACCACATTTATCCTATCTATTACTGTAAACCTGATATTGTGAAAGAACAGTTAGAATACTTCCTTCCTGTGCTCAAAAACTATCAATGACTTCCTTGTACCTAATGTGATGAGTATAAATGCCTCATCTTGGCTTCCAAGACTTATATGACCCACTGCTTCTTCAATTTCATAACTTACATTTTATCTCTGTAAGTTCTGTGTTCCAGTAAAACTGAAATATTTTCTGCTCCCAGAACATAATTCCTATTTCCTCATCTTTTTTTTTTTTAATTGAGATGGAGTTTCACTCTTGTCATCCAGGCTGGAGTGCAATGGCGCGATCTCAGTTCACTGTAACCTCCACCTCCCGAGTTCCAGTGATTCTCCTGCCTCAGCCTCCCAAGTACCTGGGATTACAGGCACCCACCAACACATCCAGCTAACTTTTGTATTTTTAGTAGAGATGGGGTTTTGCCATTTTGGCCAGGCTGGTCTTGAACTCCTGACCTCAGGTGGTCCACCTGCCTCGGCCTCTCAAAGTGCTGGGATTACAGGTGTGAGTCAACGCACCCAGCCTTTCCTCATCTTTTAAACCTATTTTATATGGTTTCTAGGGCATGGAAGAGCATTTTCTCCTAAGTACACCTGTTGAGATCTACCTCTCATCTAAAGGGACCTTGAACACCACAACCTCTGAAGGGTTTTCTGATTAAGCCTTCCTAACACTTGGTATCTTATGAGACATAACATATTCATCTTGGAATTTTATTCTCTGTCCCATGTTTCTAGCCTGAAGCCTTGCATAGAGTAGGCAATCAAAGATATTTGTGGGATTGAACTAAGCACCATTTATGTGACAAACTCTCATCTAGACTCAGGGAATACAGCAAGGAAGACCTTCTGAGGATGATATCAGAAAAATCATGAGAAATTATTTTGCAAATTCAGAAGTAGTAAGCACATGAGGTAGTATAATGAGGTAGTATAAGATGATGATGATAGTGGTGATGATAATGCTGGTGATGGTGATGGTGATGATTGTGATGATGATGATGGTGATGGTGATTATGATAGTGATAATGGTGACAATGATGATGTTGGTGATGGTGATAATATTGATAATGGTGACAATGATGGTGATGGTGATGATGATGATAATGATAATAATGACAATGCTGATGGTGATGGTGATGATGATGAATGTGGAAAATGTTCATAATTACTCCTCCAGGTCTACTCTCCACCTTTGTCATCCTGGTTTGTCTGCTGGGAGGCTGAACCTTATGGACTGTATCAACCAGCCTCCTGTGCCCTTTGGTTTACTATTGGGTATAGCCAATAGAAACTATCAACGAAAAGTCAGAGATTGAAAGAAAAGAGAGTCTGGGTTTTTATTTCCCTAGGTCTCTCTTTGCTGTGACTCAGTTTGCACTTGAAAAATCTTGGCTCTTTTCAGCTAGTCCCTCTCCTATAGTTATAGCTCCTGCAAAAAACTGGTGACCACTTCTTGCCCATTTGGCCCAGGGTGGTAACAGCCCCCCTTTGTTGCCAGTCCTAGTGTGTGTCACTAATAAGTTCCCTAAATCCTTTCAAAAGCACTATGCAATTTCCCCTTTTCAGAGTATCATCTGCATTTCTTGCTGAGGTGCTGACAGATGCAGTGACTGATGATAACTGTGGTGGTGATAGCAGTGGTGATGATTTTTCTCTCAGACGGGAGTCTGGGAATCCTAATGAGCAACTCTCTGCAGAGAGGCTACAGAATTGAGGCAGAGATTAGCAAGGTGCCCATTGTCTTACTTGTCTATTACTGTGTAATAAGTTGTTCCAAAACTTGTTAGCCTAAATCAATGTTAATGATTCATTATTTCTTATCCTTGTGTAGGTCAGAAATTTAACAGGGCACAGCAGGATGGCTTGTTTCTGCTCCATCACATCTAGGACTTCCTCTGGAAGGTTTAAAGGCCAGAGGCTCATTCACTTACATGTCTACCAGTTGATCCAGGCTGCTGGCTTGGGTCCAAGGGTGAGCATTCAGAGACAGAGAGTGAGGCAAGGTGAAGCCATATTGCCTGTTATAACCTAGCCTCAGAAGTAATGCAGTGTCCCTTCCACCGTGTTCTACTGGTTGAGGCAGTTGTAAAGGCCCACCGAGGTTCTAGGGGAAGGAAGACTGTTTTTTTGTTTGTTTGTTTGTTTTTTGAGACAGGGTCTTACTCTGTCACCCAGGCTGGAGTGCTGTGGTGTGATCTCGGCTCATTGTAACCTCTGCCTCCTGGGCTCAAGCAATCCTCCCATCTCTGCTTCCCAAGTAGCTGGGGACTATAGGCATGCACCAACATGCCTGTCTAATTTTTGTATTTTTTGTAGAGACGGAGTTTCACCATGTCCCCCAGACTGGTCTTGAAATCCTGGATCCAATCACTCTGCCTGCCTTGGCCTCCCAAAGGGCTGAGATTACAGGCATGAGCCACTGTGCCTGGCTGGCTCCAATCTTGATGGAGGAGTGTTGATGTTGCATTGTATGATGTGGGCTAAACTGATGTATGCCACTTCTGAACCTATGTGTGGATCTCCCTATATTACCCACTCTGTCTTCTCATGCAGTGGCAACTGCAGGTTTCGTACTGAAAGTGAAAATTACCCAAACAAAAGTCAAGGAACCTAAATTTCTGAGTGATCACTTAGAGAAGAGCCACCCAATCATTACTGACCTTTGTGAGTGTGATAATTAAACTTTTAGTGTGTTAATCTCCTGAGGTTTGGTAATTGCTCCAAGAATGGAATTGTATCCATATTCCCAAACTTCATCTGAACCAGCATATCTCTCTTCCTGTGTGAACACATCTATTAGGACTACAAAAACAAGGGACTAGGGTAATTTCTTCTTCCTTCCACTCCACATATTAGTGAGTAGTCAAGTCACTATGGGAAAGAGAAGAAAATCTTAGGACTCCCAAGGTCATGAATTGATGAGCTCTCTGACTATATTCAAAAAGGGATTGCCCAGAAGAAACTATCAACAGGGAAAGGAGACTATTTATAGAATGAGAGAAAATATTTGCAAGCTATGTATCTGACAAAGGTCTAATAGCCAGAATCTATTAGGAACCTTAACAAATGTACAAGCAAAAAACAAGCAACCTCATTATAAAGTGGGCAAAGAACATGAACAGAAACTTTTCAAAAGAAGACATACACATGGACAACAAGCATATGAAAAAATGCTCAATATCACTAATCATTAGGGAAATGCAAATCAAAACAACAATGAGATACCATCTCACACCAGTCAAAATGTCTGCCATTAAAAAGTGAAAAAATAACAGATGCCGGTAAAGTTCTGGAGAAAGGGAACTCTTATACACTGTTGGTTGGAATGTAAATTAGTTCAGTCATTGTGGAAACTAGTTTGGTGATTTCTCAAATAACTTAAAACAGAATTACCATTCAACTCAGAAATCCCCTTATTGGGTATACACCTAAAGGAATATAAATCATTCTACCATAAAGACACATGTATGCATATGTTCATTGTAGCACTATTCACAATAGCAAAGACATGGAATCAACCTAAATGCCCATAAATGGTAGACTGGATAAAGAAACGTGGTAAATGTACACCAGGAAATACTACATAGCCATAAAAAGAACAAGATCATAACCTTTGCAGCAACATGGATGGAGCTGGAAGCTATTATCCTAAACAAACTAACAGAGGAACAGAAAATCAAATACTGCATGTTCTCAAGTATAAGAAGGAACTAAACACTGAGTACATATGGACACAAAGAAGGGAACAACATAACCTGGGTCCTACTTGAGGGTGGAGGGTGGGAGGAGGGTGAAAAAAAAAAAACTCCCTATCAGGTACTATGCTGATTACCTGGGTGATGAAATAATCTGTACACCAAACCCCCATGACAGGTAATTTACCTATATATCAAACCTGCACATGTACCCCAAAACTAAAATAAAAGCGACAAAAAGGGCTTGGCCAACCCGATCAGTGAAAAAGGGAAAACGTTAACACAAATGCAGTAAATGTTCAGTCCTTATTTGAAGGAACTTGGGGAAAATGGAGATTGTTGTGTTAAAAATGATTGGCAGGCATGTGTCTGCAGCGGACTTACCCCACCACAGAAGACCTTGTCTGTGGGAGAAAGTTGGCCTGATGTCCGTCCCAATAAAAGCCTGGGAAAAACATCTGTCAAGTGATATTTAGAACTGACATTTTCATAAGGATCCAGTCTATAGAGGTTTTTCTCAGGGCTTGGAAAACCGTATTTTTAATTCTTCCTTCTTCCCATCATCTGTAATTAAACAATGATCACAGTGTTAAAAGTATCTTTACAGGGACACTCTTTAAGGATTACATTTTAAAAAGCTTTTTATTTGGAAATAATTTAACAATTTAATCAATAATAACAGCTTAATCATAATAATGATAATAACCTCAACAAATAATATTTCTTTCCTGGGCCATTTGAGAGTAAGTTGCACACATCATGGCTCTTTATCCCTAAATATTTCAGTGTACATTTCCTAAAAATCACAATATTTTGACATGACCATAGCACAATTGTCAATCCCAGTAAACTGAACAATGACAATATTTTTTTCTAACCTACCATGAGCATTCTGATTTTATCAATAACTTGGCTCAATTAGGTGTTAATTCAGCATTTTGCCCCCTCAGCACACATTGTCATGTCTCTGTGGTCTCTTTTAGTCTAAAACATTTCCACACCCTTTCTTTGTATTTTATAATATTGACAGTTTTGAAGAATATAGTCCTTTTAAAAACAGCATGTTCTGTATTTCATGTTCTCTGTTTCTTCATGGTTAGATTCAGGTTGTGCCTCCCTAGCCAGGTACCCACAGACAATACCATGTTCTTCTCAAGGTGTCACTTCAGGGACACACAATATTCATCTCCCCTCCTTGGTGCTGTTGGTTTTCATCACAAAAGGCACTGCCTTCAATAAAACCCTTAAGAGGAAGAAGTCCCCCGAAGGTGTAATTCTCTGAAAACTATTTTCCAAGTTCATGTCTGTGGAGTTTCCTACACTAAGAATGAAATATTGGGAGTGGATATTTTTCACGATGGAATGAAGCAAGACATGCATGTCCTGAGCTCAGCGATTGTGCTTTTAACCCAGATTGTCTGGACAGGGCTGACCCTCCACTTCTGGCAGAGTGAGAAGACCAGCAGAGACACACCGTGCCCAAGTGCATTGCCAAGCCAGGACCTGAGACACTTAAGGGAGGCCCACATCTCACCTCAGCTTGGGAAACGAAAGCCCTGACGCTGCATTTGTTCTCCATCCGTTGCAAAATTCCCAAAGGAGAACAAAGGCTGGAAAGCATCCACTCGGATGGACACCCTGCTGTCCGCCACAAGAGCTGCCCTAATAATTTCCCGTTCTGCTTAGGGGAAGAAATAGAAGGGATGCTCGCCAGACTTTCAGGGATGCTGATTGGAAAGAGCTGGCAAACATGGTCTCAGAATCAAAAAAAATCTTCATAAACCAGACCTATACAAGGCCACATTAAAGTATGCATTGAGCATCACAAAATTAACTTGTGTATTTAAGAGGCTTGATTCTAAGAGGCATTCCTCCATGTTTTATTGTTTCTGAACTTTAGATGTCTCTTCAAATCTATGTCAAATGTAACCAGCTAGTTAATCCATAGAATAGTTGTAGATACTGGTAAATCTATCTGTTTCTAGATAAAGGTTCAACTAATTGTTACCTTGTATTTTCCCACCACTACTGGTTCAACTATTGAAGAATGCAATTTTTGTTGAGAAGGAATTTACGTCACACTAAAGTTTTCCTTTTTTATTGCAGTTTCATGAGTTTTGACAATGCATATTGTCTTGTAATCAACAACCAAATCAAGTTGCAGAACAATTTCACTGGCCACAAAACTTCCCTGGCTTCCCTTAGTGGTCAAACTCCTGCCTGCACACCCACCACCCCTGCCAGCCCCTGTAGTCACTGAGCCATTTTCTATCTTTCTAGTTTTGCCTTTTCCAGAGTATCATATGAATAAAATTATATTTATGTAGCCTTTCTGTGCCTGGCTTCGTTTGCTTAGTGAATTTGACGTTAATCTATGTTATTGCATGTATTATTAGCTTGCTCCTTTTTATTCCTGAGTAGTATTCTGCTGTAGGAATGTACTATAGAACGTTCATCCATTCATCATGTAAAGGAAATTTGTGTTGTTTTCAGTTTGATTCTGAATAAAACCTTTACAAACATGAATATATAAGTTTGCACGTGATATGTTTTCATTTCTCCTGGGCAAAAAGGAGTAACATTTCTGGGCAATAGGGTAGGTGTATGATTAATGTTTTAGGAAACTGCGAAACTATTATCCAAAGTGGCTGTACCAGTTTGCACTCCCACCAGCAATGCATGATAGTTTCATATCTTGGTATTGTCAACATTTTTTTAACCAGTCCATTATGGGTGTATTGGTATTTCATGGTGGTTAAAATTTACATTTCCCTAGTGACAAATGATGTTAAGCATCTTTTTCTATATACTTATTTGTCCATATATTTTTTTCGGTAAAGTGTTCAAAATTTTAATTGGTTTGTTTGTATGTTTTTAAACACATATTCTAGGTAAGCTCATTATCTGTGTTTGGCAAATATTGCCCTTATCCCCAGTCTATGGCATTTTTTTTTTCTTTTTTTAAATTTTCTTGGCAGTGTTTTTTTAAGAGCAGAAGTGTTTACTTTTGGTGAAGTTCAATTTATCAATTTTTTTACATGTGTTTTTGATGCCGTATTTAATAAATATTTGTCTAAGTCACAAGGATTTTCTCTTATGTTTTCTTCTGGAAGTTTTATAATTTTACATTTCAGTTTGTTATCTCTTTTGAGTTTACTTTTTGTGTATGGTTTGAAGTATAGATTGAAGTTGCATATGTTTATATATGGCAATTTCTTTGCTGTTATTTTTTTCCGAGAGACTTCAAATGAAAGGAGTACAAAAATAGAAGACTAATGAACCCTGGCTGAGTTTTAATCAGAAAGACCTAGAGGATAAGGTGGCCCCCACATTCACTAAACACCATCAGCATATCTAAGATGTTAGAATAGATTGAGATTGTGGCATATGGGTCAAAGGAGATACTAATCCTACAATTTTTCATACTAGTCAAGCTATGCTTGAATTTCTGTCAAGTTTTTGTGTGATTTTTTAAAAAGAGGGATACTGACAAAAAAAAGAAGAAGAAGAAGAAAGAAGAAGAAGAAAGGAAGAAGAAGAAGAAGACGAAGAAGAAGAAGAAGAAGAAGAAGAAGAAGAAGAAGAAGAAGAAGAAGAAGGAGAAGAAGAAGAAGAAGGAGAAGAAGAAGAAGAAGAAGAAGAGGGAGAAGAAGAAGGAGAAGAAGCAGAAGAAGAAGAAGAAGAAGAAGAGGAAGAGGAAGAAGAAGAAGAAGAAGAAGAAGAAGAAGAAGAAGAAGAAGAAGAAGAAGTTGAAGAAGAAGAAGAAGAAGAAGAAAAAGAAGAAGAACTAGAATGATCTGTGTAGGTTTGGCCTAAGGGTGGAGGGCAGGAAGGTTAGGGAAGTAAGAACCTGACCATCATTTCTGATGAGCAAGAAAGAGGCTTTATTATTTGGAAAGGCAGCTTAGTGTTGGTTAGGCACAGCGGCTCATGCCTGTAATCCCAGCATTTTGGGAGGCTGAGGCTTCAGGATCGCTTGAGCCCAGGAGTCCAAGACCAGCCTGGGCAATATATCGAGACCCCATGTCTACAAATAGCAATAAAAATATTAGCTGGCACCTTCAGTCCCAGCTGCTCCACAGGCTGAGGTGGGAGAATCACTTGAGCCCAGATTCCAAGCCAAAATCCTGCCACTGCACTCTAGCTTGGGTAACAGAGTGACAGCCCATCTCAAAAAAAAAAAAAAAAAAAAAAAAGAAAGAAAAAAAAAACCCTCAAACTTTGATGTCGGCCAAACTGGTGTAAAATTTTAGTTCTGTATCACTCTGGTTGTAGGATGTTAAGTGACTTGCTTAACCTCTCTGATTTTTGTTTCCATATCTGTAAGACATAGATAAGAAAACTCCCTGTCTCATAAGTTGTTATTGTCGTCAATTAAAATAAGGTGATCTATGGCAAACACCTAGCTCAATGCTTGGTGCTTTGCATGTGCTTCAAAAACTGCTAGCTGCTTTTCTTGCTACTTATTATTTACCCATTCAAGTTTCAAGGGAATGATCACTGGGCTTCTACTATGTATCAAACACTGTTGATATCAACATGAGATAATAATTCCTCTAGAGGCTTAGCCTAATAGAACTGGAAATTGGACCAATATAGTCAAGTGAGTAGAGACTGAATGTAGGGTTTAGTTATTTGCATAGGAGTCATCCTGTGTACATATGTATATGGTATTAATATATATAGAGTGAGATATGGATTGAGACTGTATACATTTACCAGAGTGGGCCTTTTGCTTGTTTTACAGCAAAGATGATGTTAAGTCAAAGATGCATCCTATAAACGATGGAATTTTCAACTGAAAGAAGTAGGATAAATGCAAGACTAATAAGGACATGAGTCAACTCAGAGGCCAAAAGCCAAGCACTTCTCTCCAGAGAGCTGAGCCTTGAACTAAGCTTTAAAGAAATCAGTGAACCGAGTGGGATGAAAGAAGATGAAGAAGGTGGTCTGCATTGAGCAATTAGCCAGTGTCCTAGAGTGTGGTGGTGAAGAACATGAGTTTTTGAATCTAGACAGAATGGTTTTGAAGGATTCTGAGAAATGTGTTGACCTCTTCGGACTCCAGTTGCCTCACTTGCAAGGCATTAATAATTTCTCCATCAAAGATAGTTGTAATGATGAAAAGAACCATTTGTGTAGCTTCCAGTGAGCACCCAGTGCTGGTTGTTTTTATATTTATCCACAGAACTCAAGCAATCCAATTAGTCTGGAGCAGAGGGTGGGGTCAGGGGTGGTGGAGAATCAGATTTGAGAGACAGCAGGGCCAGATGATAAATGGGCTTGGATCGCACCATATGGAATGTGGATGTTATCTCTAAGGTAATGATTAACCAGAGAAGAGTCTTAAGCAAAGAGCACAGAATTTTAGAAAAAGCACCTGGGCACTGAAGAGGACAATAAATTGCAGGAGGTCCTACTGGAGGCAGGGAGAGCAGTTAGGGGAGTTGCAGGAACCAAAGCAAGAAATGGAGCCTGTGGGAAGTGAGACAATGACAGAGGGACCAAGCATAGAGGGCAGAAGCGAGGAACATTCAAGAGGCAGCACTAGTGGCTTGGTTGGCTGTCAGAGGTGATAAGAGGTGGAGGCACAGGCCACTTCCAGGTGTCTGACTTGGGTGAGGTGGGAGAAGACAGGGTGGAGTTGGTTTGTAGAGAAAGAAAATGAGTTCAGATTCATCTCCAGGTACCTGTAAGCCGTCCAAGTAGACATGCCCTGAAGGCAACTACTATTCAGGTCTAGAATCTAATTGAAAGGTCGAGCTGGCGAGGCCAACATGGCAGATGTTGGAAGCATGGTAGAAAAAGCCTTCAGTGGGGATGAGATCACTCAGAGACAATTGGTTAAGAGCCAGCCAGACAGCCTGTTTATATATGCTTCCCTGAGTGATCGACTTCAGGCACACCACTTAACCCTTCTCAGCCTCAGTTTCCTTATCTGCAAAAGGAAAGTGAAAGGATCTGTGACCTTATTTGTGAGTGAAATGGATATCTATATGCAAAGTGCTCAGAGCAGTGCCTGACACAGAGTAAGTCCTCAATGACCTTGACAGTTGTCACTGTGATAAGAACAAGGGTAGACAGTGGACACAAGGGGCCTGGAAGGAACCACAGGTGATGGAGAAAAGGCTGAGGGCAAGTGGCTGACACAGATACAGAGAAGGGTCTTCCAGAAAGGAGGGAATGGAGAAACCTCAAGAACGTTTTAGGCAGAAGCCAAGAGAGGAGACCTTTAGGAGAAACGGAGGGTGCTGGACAGTTTCAGAAGATCCAGAGAGAAACTGAGAAAGGGCCACTGAATCAGACTATTGTGAGCCATTGGCACCTTTGGTGGGGTTAGGTGGCTGGTGGCAGAGGCTGGAGGGGAGAATGAGAACAGAGGGAATAGAGTCAAATAAATGCTTAGCTTAGAAAAGAAATACAAACATATATATGTGTATTGAGCAACATTTAAGGCTGCTGTGTAGAGCAAAGCATGTTATCTCATTTAATACAACACATCCAAAGCATGTTATCTCATATAATACAAAATATTTTGCAGTTGAGTAAACTGAAGCTCAGAGAGGGTGCAAGACTTGCTCAAATTCACATAGCTGGTAAAAACGGAATTATCTTAGACTGACTTAGGCTTAAATTCTAAATCCAAGACCCTTCTCTGGTCCAAGCCTCTATAAGCCTCTGAATTCTCTGGGTCACAGTTATAAAATCTCCAATAGGAATCAGCTCTGAGCGTGGGAGGCTGGAGGGGGAAGCCAAGCAGACACTAGCAAGATGAGCAGGAGGGAAGATGCAGGGTCATGAATCGAGGCCACAGGTCCATTCAGGCCCAAGTGTGGGAGGCATGGATGCAGGGAGCAGAGACCCCACACATGGTTTACCAGAAGTGTCTAAATTCCAAAACAGGTCTCAAAATTGAACAGAGCAAGTAGAGCAGTGTTATTCTGAATCAGCCAAGTTATCACGCTTTGCTCCGTGGGGTAAGCCAGCTAGTGGCGAAAACTGTAAGGGGCTGGGCCATACTGGCAATTATCCCCAGTGATCATGAGTGAGTCAAAGTGAGGGTCATTGGGGGATACTAGACAGATAGTGAAAAGGGGAGACTTGGGAAACCTGGACGCTTACTCAACTTACTGGACAAGGCAAGGCCACAATGCCTTTGAGAATCATTGCAGAAATGATTCAGAAACAGTCAAAACCAAGGCACACTGTATACTTTATACGATTTGGTGCTCAAAACAAACCAGTAAAATTTGTGTGATGACCCTGACTTTATATAGAATAATACTGATGCCCAGAGAGGTTGAGCATCTAGTCTAGGATCACAGAGATAGGAAATGGGGAAATTGGAATTAAACTGAGACTCCCAAGTTTAGGAAAAGAGAGAGGAGCTTCTGATGTCAGAAAACTTCTTAAAATTGTTCTTTTCCCTTCAGAGATATAAACACCAGAGAAGACACTGACTTAAAATTCAGGCTGCCTATTTGGGGTTGGGGAAGTCATTTGGAGCAGGAAGACTTAGTCTATTGATTTCCTTGATTCCAGATGCCAGACTGACACCCTGCTGCTCCCTGGATGTCACTGGAATCACTCTCAGAAGTCACAGAAACGTTGGGTAACCGAGGGACTGTGTCTCAAGGCAGCAGGATGATTATGGTGATGTGTGTGCCACCAGTGCGAGTGTGGCTACGATGTTCTTCATCTCAAAGAATGCCATGGACAACTCATGCGATGGCTCCCCATGGGAGCTGGATTCCAGTTCTGCAGGACACAAGGCCTTTCTGGCTGGCTTTCCAAACATTAGGCCTGGAGAATAACTTCAAGTCCCTGGAGAAGGCTTTGTTCTTTCCCTGCCCCTGGCCTTTGTTCTTGGCAGAGCTAATTAGGCTTAGTGGTTAATTGGCCCCAAAGTGAAGGCAACAATGGCAGAAGCCCTGGTGGCTTCCTCTGCCGGCCTCTCCTCTGCCATGAAGTGGGTAATCTGGGCTGGGGTCTTGGATTCTCAGCTCTTCATCCAAGTTATTTCTTCAGCCACGTGTACAGAATTCTGTCTCTTGCTAAACTCACCCGTTAACGAAGACCATCATCACTGTCTTCAGAACTGGGCTGGAGAGAGCTGGGACAGCTTTCATAGTCTATGAGTTGTGACCACCAGGACTCATTTGGAAAAAAAGCTTAAGTTTTTTCTGTTTTCTGCACTGTAAATTGCCTCTCTCTGTAAGGGTGGAGAAAGTAAGGAGACAACCAAGGTCCCTCAAATGCCATGTGAAGACATTTTATCTTATCGTGTCCTTAAAAGCTCACGTGGCAGGGCCCAGGCTTGTCTAAGCTCAGGAGCAGGCATGCATGCTGCCAGGTGTCCTGGCTGTGAGCTGCAAGTACACACGCCCTCAGTCTGTGAAAAGGTCCATTGTCATCTCTACAGACTGGGCCACAGCTCACTCCCCAGCTCAACCTCTGAAGGTCACCCAGCCCCAGTTATTTGTGGACTCTGGATCATAAGAAAGGCTCCTAGGGATTTTGTAGCTTTAAGTACTTCCTTTTCTACTGTGAGGTTCAGAGAGGCCAAGAAATTCTTCTGAGCGCACAAAGGGGTAACCGGGACCCTGACGCCCTATAATTTTTATCAGGAACCCAGCTAGCCTTGGCCAGCTGCCATCCACAGACATGCAGAATGGATGCAAGTGCCTCTAGGCAAAGCCATCAGGGTTTTGCTCTGCTGCTCTTACTTCTCATTCTTCTCCCACCCCAAATCTCTAGGGCGTGTCTGGAGTCTGGTTTCCTTAATCAATTCACATTGAGGGACCAGAGACGATGCATTCCAAATCTTGAAAGACCATAAACTCTAAAGGTTAAGATGAAGTTGGGGGATCACATAGCCTGGATTGGAATGTGTATTTTACTGCTCACTAGTCATGTGATCTTTTTATGCCTCAGTTTCCTCATCTGTAAATAGGAATAATAGAGCTTAACTCCCAAGGCAGCTCTGAGGATTAAATGGGTTAATATGTGTCAAATGCTTAAAACAATGAGCTGTTATTATCTTTGCCTTTCAAAAGTAGGATATCTAGTGGTGTAATTCTAAGAATGGCTCCTTGAGGGTAAAAAGCTGTGGAGCAAGGGCCTTCTGGGATCCTGCAGTCACAGTCTAAGATTGTCTCAAGAAGTTGTACACCACAGGCCACCAATGACAAGTCCCCTACTCTGTTTTCTGTTTTTTCTTCCCCCACTGGCATTTTCCTGGATGTTTTGTCTCTCTAGGGTGATAAATTAGCAAGTACTACTGACTAACCAATTTTGATAGGATTTTCAAAAGAATAAGAATAGCCAGCCACTCTATAGGGACTTACCATGCAAAAATTTTTCTCACTATGTGACATGCAGTCTGCAAAATGGCCACCAATGATCTCTACCTCCTGGTATTCACAGCCGTGGGTAGTATCCTCCTTTTGAGTAACTTACTTCTGAAAAAGAGAATATGGGAACATTGAGGGGGTGTCTATGATTAGGTTACACAAGACTTCAGTCTTGCTAGTGCATTCTCTCTCTGTCTCTCTATCTCTCTCTCTCACTGTTTAATGAAGCAAGCTGCCATGTTAGAGAAGAGAGGGCAGGAAGAGACTGGGGCAGTTTCCAGTTCATAGCCTGTAAGGGACTGAGGCCTTGAGAAACTGACTCTTACCAACAACCACGTCAGTGAGCTTGGGTACAGATTGTTTCCCAGTTGAGCTTTCAGAGGAGACCCTTGGCCATCATCTTGATATGAGACACCATGGAGCAGAGGATCTGGCTAAGCAGGCCTGCTTTGCAACAGAAACTGTGACGTAAATGTATGTTAATCAAGCCACTGACAGGTGGAGTGATGTGTTACACAGCAAGAAGTAACTGATGGCACACACTAGATTATCGGATTTTATTCCTGCATCATTTTTCAGAGAGATCAACTAACTCCTGCCAGTTCACACAGCTAGTAAGTTGCAGACTAAATATCTGAACCCATATCACAGCTGCTTCTCAGAAGAGGCTACAGAATGTAGGGTCAAAGATTATCTCCTAAGATTTTTGTGCATTTTAGCTTTGGTTTTCTAGAATGATTCCCCTGCTTTCATTGTTTGATATAAAGAAGAAATGAATATCCACTGACTGCCAACCCTTTGCCAGGGACTTTGCTTATGTACTCCAATCCTCCCATGATAAGGTGGGCATCATTAAACCCATTGTACTGTCTTTCCCAGAGTGGGTTTTCCAGACACTGATTCCTCAAGGTGCTCCATGAAAAAAAGGTTCCACAGCTTAATGTGTTTGGGAAACACTGGATGCCCCTCTTGGAAACTGACTTTGCATATGAGTCCCTTAAAGGCCCAGAGGAAATGCAGCAAAGAAATCTACCTAACACACATCCTAATTTTATGAGGCCACAGAAACTCTCATTCATGTAACAACAACACCCTAAGGAATATTTCATAAAATACACTTTTGAAAATACTGGCTTACAGGAAATTTTCCCTCTTGTAGTTTTCTTTTCAATCAAACCCCACAAAAATTTGGTCAAGACAGAGTAACAGTTTCTACTATATAGATAAGAAAACTAAGAGTCAGGGAGTTGTGAAATCATTGTCAAATATTGTTCATCTTGGGATGGTGGCCAATCTCCGCCTTATTTGATGTGATTGGCCACTTCTTTTTGTCTTCTTTCCTCCCTCCCTTCTCCCTCCCTTCCTCCTTTTCTCTCTCCTCCCTCCCTCCCTTCTTCATTCACCTCTCTTCCTCTCTTTCTCGCTCCTGTGGTCACAGAATACATTTTTCAGTAATTAAAAAAATATTTTTTTCTGCACCTGGTTCCACGGTGTCATCTGGAGGCCACTTCTCCTGCTCATTCTTTTTTGCCAAATTCCCCTCACATATCCTCGCCTATCCTGTTGGCAAATGGGTGCATTTCTGTCCACCTTCTGCCCACTCTGGCGCATTCTCCCTGGGTCACCATGTTCCTTTCAGAGCTTCAGCTCACCCCGGAACAGTGGTAGCTTTCTAGTCAAGCCCTTTTCCTAGGCCCTCTCTTGGCTCCAGGTCCTCAGTTAGCCCTACTTCTCATCAGGTATTCCTACTGAGGGACTCCCCCAGTGCCCCGAGTTCAAGCTCAGCTAACCACCCTCCCACACCCATCTGTAAGCCTTCCCTTTCATGTGGGTGCCGTTTCTGAGCTGGGTGACATCCAGTGCAGGAATGTGGGAGACATGCTGAATTCTTCCCTCCTAGTCAGTTCCATCCTCGTTTAAACCATCCCCCACCATGCTGGCCGGACGCAGCTTCTCCATTCCCATCTCCGCTGCCCTCATTCCTTATAGACTCCTCAGTGGCTGCTGGTCTGTTTCCTGTGGGGCACTGCCTTCTCACCACCACCCACCAGCCCAGCCTCCCAACTCATCCTTCCATGGAGATCTGTCCTCACTGGCAAACCTGACCTTACAGGCTCTCTTTGGCACCTTTGGGAGGGTTCCCCCTTATCTCCAGAATCTAGTCCCTGTTCTTCAACATGGAGTGTGAGGAAGCCCCTGCACGATCTCATCTCTGCTTCCTCCAGCTTCACATCCCAGAATTCCCTGCTTATTTTCCAGGGGTTCCATGAACTTGCCATTCTGTTTATAATCTCCCTTCCATCAGCATGGACTCTTCTTATATTTTTGTTCACTCACATACTTTATTCATTCTTCAAAACTCTGCTTGATAAGTGATTAGATGGTGACAAAACATTCAGCCTTGTAGTACAGTTTGGGGGAAAATTTGCAGTATGTACCAACAATTAACAAGAAAAAAAAAGTTCCTACATTTTGTCTCTGTAAATTTACCTCTGAGAATTCAGGCTTGAGAAAAATCGAATATAAGAAACATTCTTTAGAGCCAGAGATGTTCATTACAATGTTTTTTATAAAGAAACATTTTCTCAAAATTAGGATAATGATTAAGTTCCTTATTTAATGCTCACTAGAAAGTGAGGATTATAAAGGTGATATAGAAAAGTTGTTCTTGCTATAAATCTCAGTGACACAAACAAAAAGAAGGCAAATTATTATGTTTTATTATTACAACTGTTAAAGATGTGCAAAAAAGATACAGGAAAAAGCACCCAAAACATCACTGTGATTGGCTTAAGGCACTGGGATTACAGGAAGAGGTTTTCTCTTCCATTAAGAAAAAGTCTGTAGTGAGGAGTAGTGGTTAGGATCCCAGGGTCTAGAGCCAGCTGCCTGTGCTGGCTTCTGTGTGACTCCATTTCCTTATCTGAGAAATACACATCATAATAATAGTGCCTGTGTCATAGAGCTTTTGTGGGGGATTAAATGAGTTACTTTAGAAAAAGCTCATAGAATAGAGCTTGGCAAGTAGGAAGTGCCTAACAAATGCTGATTAGCAGTAGTATTGCATATCTACAGGGCTTCTGTCTCCATGAATTCCTGTTGGGTCAGAATGTGTCTTATTTATGTTTACCACCTCAGCTCCTGGTCCATAAAAGGACTTCAAGAAATATTGTTGCTAAATCTTTGAGTTAAGTACCCTGGAAGAATCTAAGGTTTTCCAAAATTCAAATGAGTACCGAGACTTCTCCCCAAGAAGTCTGTGGCCTGAGCCAGAAATGGGAATTTGAGGTCATTGGCAACCCTGGAGCAGGCAGAGGCAAAATTTCAGGGTGGCAACCTTGACAAAGTTCACAGCACACGACTGCCCTTGAATTATGGCTCTGCCGTCTTGCCCAGCTCCAGTTGAGAAGCCAGGAGTTTTCGCTGTGATCATCTGGATGTGACCCTGACTCTGGGAACACAGGGCAATTTACGGCTCTGTTGTGTGAAGCAGTTTAGGTGGAAGAAAGGGGTTAGTTCATCAAAGGCTGGGGGACCTGGCCACTGGCTCGATTTCTAAAATAAATGCCCCGACTCTGCCTCGGTTTCCTTATCTCTAACATCCAGCCCTCAGCAAGTGGTCTTTAGCTCTTCCTGACACATTTCTGGGGGATCATTTTGATTCGGGTTCATTTTGAAACATTCGATTCTCTTCCCCTCTCCCACCCCCACAAGTCTGTGGTCTCCAACATAAACTTCATGCTCTGAGGAAACAGGCTCTGTGAACCCAACTTCAAAGC
Organism: Homo sapiens; assembly: GCF_000001405.40. NCBI lineage: Eukaryota > Metazoa > Chordata > Mammalia > Primates > Hominidae > Homo > Homo sapiens. The sequence goes on along the minus strand of NC_000020.11, from coordinate 22,529,432 downwards.
TTGGCCATGTGAGCACCTTGCAGAAGTGCTGGAGGCAACAATAGGCTTTAGGCAGGGCTGGGTAGGGACTGCCCAGCGGGCACTCTTTAACCTGGCAACTATTGTGTTCAAAGTCATTGCTGCAGGCGCAATCGAACAATGCATTTGGCAACCCAGTCAGGTCAGTGTTCTCAGCTGAGCTGTTCTTGCCAGCATTGCAGAGCTGAGGGCCCTGGGTATAAAGCCTTCTATGACACTAAGTAAAAAGAGTAAAATCCTTTGTTTTTGCTTTTGTTAAATTTAAAAAGTAAATATAGTGTATATCCACATCAAAGGAAAAATTTACATAAGAGAAAATAAAAAATCTTCCTATAATCCCAGTCCCTGATCCAATCAGCTCTTTTGGGTACTTCTACTCTTTCTGTTTTCCTTAGGATTTAACACTTCTGTAACCAGTACATAAGAACTTGTCTCTTCGTTGCTTTTTTTACGGAGCATTTTAATAGGCATAAGATTGCTATATCATCTTTCCACCTATTTTTTAATGACTGGAGAGTATCTCCTCAAGGCAATGTGCCTTAACAAATTAACATTCTTCTGTTTTTGGAGAGTGGTGCCCTATTAAAATTACACTGTAACAAACATCACTGGACTATAACATGTTTTACTGGGTCAGATTTTTTTATCTTTTTTTTTTGTTTGTTTGGTTTTGCATTTTAGTGATGCTACCTTTATTTACTTATTTATTTTCCAAAATGGAGACCCCAACTAGATGTATTGCCACCAGACATGTGCAAGACTGCACTTTTCAGTTAAGGTGATTTTTCCTTCCAATATTTTATTATGAAAATTTTTGGGCCAGGCGCAGCGGCTCATGCCTGTAATCCCAGCACATTGGGAGGCCAAGGCGGGTGGATCATGAGGTCAGGAGATCGAGACCATCTTGGCTAACACAGTGAAACCCTGTCTCTACTAAAAAAAAAAATACAAAAAAATTAGCCCGGGTTGGTGGCGGGCGCCTGTAGTCCCAGCTACTCGGGAGGCTGAGGCAGGAGACGCGCTTGAACCTGGGAGGCAGAGCTTGCAGTGAGCTGAGATCACGCCACTGCACTCCAGCCTGGGTGACAGAGCAAGACTCTATTTCAAAAAAAAAAAAAAAAAAAGAAAAGAAAAATTTCAAACACACAGAGCAGTTGACAGGATTTTATAATGCACACTCATATAATAATTCAGGATGACTTTGGAGCTCAAATGTATGTTTGAAATGAGGACCAGAAAACTAGTAGAGAAATGTGTGTCATCCCTGGCTCTGTGGACAGTTCAAAAGAAAATTTTTTTTTTAAGTGTATAATTTTTCAGCTTGGGCGTAGTAGACATAATAAACATGGTAATTTATTATTATAATATGTTATAGCTTTCATATTTTTCAAAATGTCTTCAGATCTGTTTTCTTGCTTGATCCTCATCTTCAAGTTATAGACAAGGCAGGTGTTATCAGATATTATTTGTATATTTATAGGTGATGAAACAATGACCAGAGAGGTTAGGGGGCCTGTGTAAGTTTATACAGCAAAAGAGGTGGCGCTGCATTAACTGTGGGAAGCTCTCAGCTGAACCACACTTTTACAGAAATATCTCCCCTTTTCCTCTCCCCTTAACAAAGTCGACTGTCCTGTGAGAAAACCTGAACCTACATCATCACATCCCCACTTATTGTGGGTTTTCTTTTCTTTTCTTTTCTTTTCTTTTCTTTTCTTTTCTTTTTTTTTTTTTGACAGAGTCTTGCTCTGTTGTCCAGGCTGGAATGCAATGGCGTGATCTCAGCTCACGGCAAACTTCACCTCCAGGGTTCAAGCAATTCTCCTGCCCCAGCCTCCCGAGTAGCTGGGATTATACATGCCACCACACCCAGCTAATTTTTGTATTTTTAGTAGAGACAGGGTTTTACCACGTTGGCCAGGCTGGTGTCAAACTCCTGACCTCAAGTGATCCACCCGCCTCGGCCTCCCAAAGTGTTGGGATTACAGGCATAAGCCACTGTGCCCAGCCTATTGCAGGTTTTCTATAGCCCTTTTAGCGCTCTGATTCAGTGTGTCTGTGACTTTGAACCTTTTCAGGGCAGGAGGGCAGGAGATGTGTCATGGGTGGCCGGTACCACACATGCCAATGTCAGGGTGAAAGACCGGCCACAAAGGGTGCTCAAGAGCTCCACCCAATTTCAACACTTTTCTAAAGACACAATTTATCTGAAAAAGTAGGACTAATTTGGACAACAATTAGGCCCAACAAGTAAGTGTAAGCATGTGTTGGGTTTTTTTTTTTTCTGGAAAGAAGAAGCAGGGAGAATATTAATTATGTCTGAATGGCAATTCTGGAGGACAAGGGATTTACCCTGGAAAAGTAACCCCCAAACCACCTTCCCCAAGTCTCATGTCTGGGACTACCAAAGGCCCAAGATGTTGCTCATGGCTCAAATGTGATTTTTCGTCATTAATAGTGGTTTCTCTAGAATAGCTCAATGCTCAAAATAAAAATTTCTCTTCTTGGGGAGGCAGGTTTCAATGCTAAGGATCACAACAGAAGTAGGGCTGGGTGTTCACATCCGACATGGAAAAGTGCCCCGGGATTTGAGGCAAAAAATCTTTCCCAAATTTCACAGGCTGTGCTTCCCCAACTTCCTCCTTCCTTCTTTCCTTCCTTCTTTAGTTCCTTCCTTCCTTCTTTCCTTCCTTCCTTTCCTCCCTCCCTCCCTCACTCCCTTCCTTTCTTTTTCATTCTCTCTCTCTCTCTCTTTCTCTCTCTCTATCTCTCTCCCCCTCACCCACTGCTCTCTTTCTTCCTCTTTTTTTAGAAACACAGCCTGGCTCCTTTGCCCTGGCTGGAGTGCAGTGGCACAGCCATAGTTGACTGCAGCCTCAATCTCCTGCACACAAATGATCCTCCCCTCAGTCTCCTGAGTAGCTGTGACTATAGGAGTGTCCCACCTCTCCCATGTTTATATTTTGTAGCAAATGGGGTCTCACTATGTTACCCAGGCTGGTCTCAAACTCCTGGGCTCAAGCAATTCTCCTGCCTTGGCTTCTCAAAGTGCTGGGATTACAGGTGTGAGCCACTATGCCCGGCCCCAAATTCCTTTTCCTTGTTTCTCCATAGGAACAAGTAAACTGCCTCTATCCTTGTTCTCATAACACGTTGAACATATGCTGAAATTCCACAGCCCCCAGAGACATTGTCATTCCATTTTATGGATGAAAAAAATCGAACCTTGAAGTAAGTAAGACAATGGGAACTCATCCAGGAGAGATCCGGTCAGGGCTGGAGCCCACTCTTCTCCACTCTGAAACCCTTTCTTTACCCAGCTGTGGTTCCCACCTTGGCTACAAGGAGAGACTGTGCTTATGCACTCTGGCACTGCTCCAGCACGGTTTTATTTTGGACTCTGGCGCCACTCTTGTTCTGCATGCACATAACGGTCCTGGTCACAGCAACTCTTTGCTGGTGCGGAAACACAAGCCAAACCCTAGAGTCCGATCATGGGGATCCACCTGACTCAGGGACTCACCAAGGAGGCTGCACTCAAGGGCATAAGGCTTCCAAGATGCCTTCTATAACTGGACAGCTTTTGCTGCAAAAAGATGCCCTCTGCCCTTTGCATGTGCCACAGTAGGCAACCTCAGGACTTTTCCTTCCTTCCTCTTTCTTTCTTTTACTTTTTTTTTTTTTTTTTTTTGTAGTGAGACAGGGTCTTGCTCTGTCACCCAGGCTGGAGTACAGTGATGCAATCACAGCCCACTGCAACCTCTGCCTCTCAGGCTCAAGTGATCCTCCCATCCTAGCCTCCTGAGTAGATGGGACCACAGGCGTGTGCCACCACACCTGGTTAGTTTTTAAATTTATTGTAGAGATGAGATCTCTCTATGTTGCCTAGGCTGGTCTCAAACTTCTGGGTTCAAGTGATCCTCCTGCCTCAGCCTCCCAAATAGCTGGGATTAGAGCAGGGAGCCACTGTACCCAGCCTCCTCCTTTCCATTCTTCAGTCTCCAGAATTGCAGTTGTTCAACATGAAGAATAAAGAGTGAGTGCTGGAAAACCATTGGAAGTACCTTTATGATGGGGCCATCTGCTTGTATCTGCCCTTTGGAAAAATCAATGATTTTGATTTTTGGGCAGTTATTTAAGCCTGAAAATATTCATTAGAACACCACAGGGGAACAAAGTCCACCCTTCCAGCCCTCATCGATTTCTCTGAAGTTGGTTAGATGTCACAATTTCTCCAAACAGACTCAGGGAAGTTGACCCAGAGAACAGCACCCAGGACCTTGTGCAGCCAGCAGTGCACGGCTGCAAGAGAGATAGCTATTCGAAGCAGAGGCTTTCTTTTTTTTTATTTTTTATTTTTTAAAGACAACATGATTCTTCCCAGAAAAAAATATAAATCCTACAATGACACCCATTGGGCTGGTGGAAATTCAGTAGAGACAGTTTCATAATTTGGAACTTCGTAACTTGTGGCTTAATATATTGCCCCAAGATAAATTATGGAAAAGCTCCATGTATGGGATTGGTTATAAAATCCACTGCCAAACTGTCTTTCTCCTGGGGCTGGTGGGCTAAGAACCATAGCCAGGTCTCACAGATTAGAGAGCCCCCAGGGAGTGAACCTGGAATGCTGGTGACTCAAGAGAACTTGTAGGCCTACAAAAGTCCAGTGCCTCCCCAGAGAGCTGGGTGTAATTTTTCTCCTTGTTGGGAAGATCCGGGGCTCCTTGGGTGCCAGTCTAGCTATCTTTGTACTGACTAGCTAAGCTCTTTCTGTCAGCCAATAGCGTCAACTTAATTTTCATCATGTCATTATTTCCGTGGCCCAGACATGCCAATGGGACATCAAAATTATTTTGATAAGAACTTTACTTCGTCACTTAGGATTACAGCAAATTACACAATCGCTTTCCTTTCCCCAAGGAATCTCTGGCAGAAGAGAATAAAACCATGTAATCCAAGGCAAGGGGGAAGGGAACTAACTTTTATTGCATTTCTCCTAAATCCAGGTGCTTTACATAGATTATCTCAGATAAGTTAATCCTAGGCAACAACCCTATGAGGATTGTCATTTAACAAACAAAGAAAGGGAGATTTAGGGAGGTTGGGAAGGTTACCCAAGACCTCAGGACCAGAGCTGAAAAGCAGGCAGATGTGGGGCCAAAGTCCAGAATGTTTTCATTGACAAAGCACCAGCTAAAACACAGAATACCAATGACTCTTAGACTCATTCCCGGGCCTCCGGCTGACCACGGGAAAGGGGATCTTCAGGAGCGGGTGTCTCATGGCTGGGAAGAGGACGGCACAGGAGGGCTGGGGAACCCGAATTGCAGCCTGAATGGCCAGTGTCCTTTCTCCAGAATGCAGTTCTCCCTTGCTCAGAAGAAATGAGTCTGCCAGTGGGTACAACATGAGATGATACTTCCACCCCCATTGGTGACAGCCCTCACCTAGCTATCAAGGTATGCAGGGCTGACTTTTCACCTTCAGCCTGCTCCAGGGAAGGGCCAGATGGCATTCAGGCTGATTCTGTGCTTCTGGCTGACTAATCTCTCCAGGTACAAGAGTAAACATGGAACGTGGGGACACCATATGTCCCTGACTCATAGAGCTTGCAGGAATCACCGTCATTCTACGTGGCATCTGCTTTCCTCGGCCGAGGTGGGAGGTGGGTCAATGTAGCGGAGGAAACGTGTCTTAAAGTACAAGGCAGAGTGAACTGAAACATAAAGAGAAGTGTGCACCTGGTAGTTGTATCCTAAATGACATTTATTTTCCAAATGTGCTTTGTTTTGCTAGACAGTGTTCGACTTCCTTCACTCCTTCCAGGGGCCAGCATGTGGCTGGCCACTGTCCACCCTCAGGGGTTGTGAACTGAATTAAAGGGTTGCGTCCTTCATCCATTTTCTTTGCTGAACTGTCTTGAATTTTACCCTAAGTTCAAAATGAAGCAGACCATAGCTGAGTTTAAAGGAGATCCGATTGACATTGGGAAGTGGCACCCAATAAGATGGCTGTTTCTTCCGCCTGCTCCAGGGCTCGCCAACAGGAGAACTGAAAGCTGAAGGTGAGATTAGGGTGTAGGGTCAGCTGCTTGGGGCTGGGATTGCTGGCAAACTCTGAGGGCGGGCAGTGAGCGCTCATTAGGAGCACATGGCTCATGAAGCTTCTAGCACCTGTTCCTGAGTCAACCAGAGTAACGAAGAGGATGAAGTAGCCAAGTCCGGATTCTTAAGCATAGAATCAGAGAAGTAAGTGAAGCAGATGCAGTAAGTGAAGCACAGAGGGGTGATATAACCCACCTAGGACTACACACTTGTGGAAGGTCCAAGTGGAACCAGAGACCAGGGCCTCTCCAAGATCCAAGGCTTTTCTAGAAAGAAAGACTCCACTGGGCCCTCTAGCATTTCTGAGTCACTCTGAGCCACATGCCATGGGACCCCAGGAGTGAACGGCCTGCATTTCATAGGGTTAGGGTCATCGCCTGCACTTTGCAACCAGAGCCTTAGGAAGGTTAAGAATGACCCAGGGTTGAGAAAACAGTGAAAGGCATTCTAAACCACATCTTCTCCACTGTCAAGAGCCTTATCGCATCTGTGACAGTTTCCCATTTCCTATCCCATCCTACCTTGACATATTTGTGAGATGGGTCTTGTTCACCACTGCACAGATATGGAAGTTGAGATCCTGAAAGATCAAATGACCCATCCCAGGGCACACTGTCAACTGCATGGAGAGGATATTAGAACTTACCCAGAGCCTCAGATACTTCCAAAGCTCTATGCCTACATAGTCTTGATATTGTTCTTAGGCTGATGGGCTCATAAATATAGAAGACAGACTGAGAATTTATGCCTTTGGCCAAAGGAAAACACAGGAGTGCTTACTTCCACTGTATACTCCATTTCCAAATCCCTGATAGCACTGGCCCCTGCCATGAAGGACATAGGATCTTCTCAACTTTCTTTATCTTTTGGTTTTTGTTTTAATAAAGTCTCTGGAGCTTTCCTTCTAAAGCAAAAATTCCAACTCCAGTTGAAGAATGTTTCTAGGCCAGGCACAGTGGCTCATGCCTGTAATCCCAGCACTTTGGGAGGCCGAGGCGCACGGATCGCCTGAGGTCAGGAGTTCGAGACCAGCCTGGCCAGCATGGCAAAAGTTCGTCTCTACTAAAAATACAAAAATTAGCTGCGTGTGGTGGCACACACCTGTAACCCCAGCTACTCGGGAGGCTGAGGCAGGAGAATCACTTGAACCCAGGAGACAGAGGTTGCAGTGAGTGGAGATGGTGCCACGGCACTGTAGCCTTGGCAACAGAGCCCGGGGGCGGGGAGTGGGGGGATGAATGTAAGAATGTTTCTAAGGCTAGTCCATGACAGATTTTTTTTTTTTTTTTTTTGAGACAGAGTCTCACTGTTGCCAAGGCTAGAGTGCTCCAGGGTGCAAGCGATCCTCCCACCTCAGCCTCACAAGTAGCTGGGACCACAGGCACATGCCACCACATCTGGCTAATTTCTAAAATTTATTTTTTTGTAGAGATGGGGTCTCCGTATGTTGCCAGGCTGGCCTCGAACTCATGGGCTCAAGTAATCCTCCTGCCTTGTCCTCTCAAAGTACTGGGATTACAGATGTGAGTCACCCCACCCAGCCTATGACAAAATTTATTCTTCACTTTTGAGAAAGCTGGACTCTACCTGTTTAATAGAGCGGGGTTGCTTTTTTTTTTTTTTTTTTTTTTTTTTTCCGAGACATAATTTTGCTTTTCTTGCTCAGGCTGGAGTGCAATGGCGCAATCTTGGCTTACTGCAACCTCCATCTGCCTCCCGTGTTCGAGCGATTCTCCTGCCTCAGCATCCTGAGTAGCTAGGATTACAGGCGCCTGCCACCACAATCGGCTAATTTTTGTATTTTTAGTAGAGATGGGGTTTCATCATATTGGACAGGCTGGTCTCAAACTTCTGACCTCAGGCGATCTGCCTGCCTCGGCCTCCCAAAGTGCTGGGATTACAGGCATGAGCCACCAAGTCCGGCCAATTTTATTTCTTAAAAGCAACCCCAGCTGGGCACAAGGCTCATGCCTTTAATCCCAGCACTTTGGGAGGCCAAGGTGGGCAGATCACCCTTGGTTAGGAATTCGAGACCAGCCTGGCCAACATGGTGAAACCCCGTCTCTACTAAAAATACAAAAATTAGCCGGGTGTGGTGGCAGGTGCCTGTAATCCCAGCTACTTGGGAGGCTGAGGCAGGAGAATCGCTTGAACCCAGGAGGCAGAGGTTGTGGTGAGCTGAGATCATGCCATTGCACTCCAGCCTGGGCGACAAGAGTGAGACTTCGTCTCAAAAAAAAAGAAAGAAAGAAAGAAAGAAAATCTTAGAAATAATCCTCTCAGAAAAGGTAGAAGTAACACTCCATGGTTTCTTGCCCATCACAGTGAAATTTTATTGAGGGAGAAGTGTTGGTCCAGAAATTCAATTCAGCCTCAACGAGGTCACTGCTGCTGGGGAGAGGCAGAGGAGCGCACACCAGTTACTGTTGCAGAGGGGATATCTTCACAGCAAGGGATATTTAGAAAGGAAATTATTTTGAAAAGCTTATGCTAACCTTAGCCAAACATGCTAGTGTCCCAGAATTATGGCCTCCTGCTTGACTTCTCACTGGAACGTCGTATGTGAATTCTCTTCTCCTTGTTTCAGCATCTCAACCTGCAGATACATCTCAAAGGCCCCTTCAGCCGATGTCCTCAGTGCCCTTGACACAGCCCCTTGGCACTTGCCTTCCACACACATGCTGCTGCACCAGTTTCCTCCTGGTAGCATCTTCCTTTCCGCCTGAGGATTTCCCAGGCATCCTGCCTCCAAGAAAGTCAGAAGTCAGTGCCTTCCTGAGAGCCGGTGAGAGCTCCGTCTCCCTTGGGCAAGTGGTGCTGATGCCTGTTCCCTGCATCCATCTCTCAGAAGCCACAGCAGAACTGAGCTCCAGGGGCCACTGCGGTAAGCTCCACAATCTCGTGGGGCACCTGCCCTTCTTTGCCCTGCTTCCCTTCTTCCTCACAGTGTTTCAAACAAACTCCTTATAAGGGAATCTTTCTTTCAGGGTCGTCATCTGGGGGGCTTCAAACTAAGATACCTCAAACTCAGCATTCTTGGAGCATGTGCCTCTCCCTCCTGTTTTCCCATCTCAGTTAATGATAGCACCCCTGACAGCTTCTAGACCAGAAATGAGAGAGATTATGTTTCGTACTCTTTCTTCCGTATTTGAAAGCCCATCTTTCAAGTGGACATCAATTTGTAAGAATTACACCTAAAAAAGTCTCTTTGATTAGTACTTCTCTCACTCTCATTTCTCTCTAGCTAAAGCTCAACAAAACCTTGGACAATTGTAATCGTTCCCTAACTCCTTTATATATCTTTAATGTATCCTCTCTCCAGTCTATTCCTCATAGAGCCACATGACTTATCTTTGGAAAACACAACTTTGATCACATATTGCCTTGCCCGAAACCTTCTGATAGCTCTCCCCTGCCTCCAGGAGAAGGCCCAACCTCCCTAGCTCTGCACAGATCCTCATGAGCAGGTCCTACTTTAAGTCTCTCCAGGCCGGACCTTCACCCACTGGCAACCCACCACCCACCCTGTACTTGCAAGTCCCCAAACAATAGTCTACCTTTGTCAACACTGGGCTTTGCACATGAACATGCTATTCCTTGACCTTAGAATGTTTTTCACTTCTTTTTTTTGGTCTGATGAATTTGTAACATCCCCAAACAACCTAATTGAAACGTCCCTTGCCTGCCCCCCACAGACAAGTTAGACGGATCTTTCCCCTGTCTCTGTGCACAGGTACTATCATATCTGGTGCAGCATATTCTCACTCATGTGTCTTTGCCACTTTGCTGTGAACTCCTTCGGTGCAGGGAGCATTTCTTACTGTGTGGATTCCTGTAGTTCCTGCATAAATGTTGACTGGCACAAAAAGTGGGTACCCAATAGTTACATCCTTCCAGGTCCTTAGGCCAAAACTGGAGTCATCCAGACACTTGCTTTCCTTTACACCTCACACATTCAGTCCATCAAGACATCTGCTAGTTCTGTCTTTAAAGTCCATCTAGAATCCTGCCACTTTCCACAACCCCATGTTACCAATGGGATCCACGCCCATCTCATGCCTAGATTATTACAGGAGCCTCCTGCTGCTTACTTCGTTTTCACCCTCACCAACCTATACTCTATTTTCTTTCTTTCTTTTTTTCTTTGAGACGGAGTCTTGCTCTGTTGCCAGGCTGCAGTGCAGTGGTACGATCTTGGCTCACTGCAACCTCTGCCTCCCCGGTTCAAGCAATTCCTCTGCCTCAGCCTCCCGAGTATCTGGGACTAGAGGAACACACCACCAGGCCCAACTAATTTTTTGTATTTTAGTAGAGACGGGGTTTCACCATTTTGGCCAGGATGGTCTCGATCTCCTGACCTCGTGATCTGCCTGCCTCGGCCTCCCAAAGTGCTGGGATTACAGGCATGAGCCACCACACCGGCCCCTATACTCTATTTTCAACAAAGGAGGTAGTCATCTTTTAAAAATGTAAGGAGGTTTGAGCCACGCCCCACCTCAGCACCCAATGTCATCCCCATTTCACTGAGATCCAGTAATACTTCCTGTGTCTTCATCCTACTCCCCCGCTGAGATCATCTACCACCCTCTCCCTGCTCCTCAACTTCATCCCCAGCCTCCAGCCCACCTAGAATACTCTCCCCTCAGCCTCAGCATGCTTAACACCTCACCTGCTCCATGTCTGTGCTTCAATGCCACTTTCTTAATGAAAACCAGAGCTACAGTTGGAATCACCTGCCCACACCTCCCTCATTCCCCACTTTTTATTTTTCCATAGCACTCATTGGCTTTGAGCATACTCTAAAATTCACTTATTTCCTACTTTTATTTCTTATTGGCTGCCTCTGTGCATGCAAAGACAAGCCTCCTATTTGCTGGAAACTGGCAAGTGCTGGAAACAGTCTGACACACAAAAGGTGCTCAGTAGCTTTACTAAGGGATAAATGGAAAAATGGGTACAACTTCTTTGACTGTGGAGTCACCTTATGTGTCTGAGAATGGTTTGCGGCTGGGCACGGTGGCTCACAGCTGTAATCCCAGTACTTTGGGAGGCCGAGGCCGGTAGATCACTTGAGATCAGGAGTTCAAGATCAGCCTGGCCAACATGGCAAAACCCTGTCTCTACTAAAAATACAAAAATGAGCCAGGTGTGGTGGCAGGTGCCTGTAGTCCCAGCTACTGGGGAGGCTGAGGCAGGATAATTACTTGAACCCAGGAGGTGGAGGTTGCAGTGAGCCAAGATCGTGCCACTGCACTCCAGCCTGGGCAACACAGCGAGATTCAGTCTTAAAAAAACAACAACAATGGTTTACGAAAGATATGCCTCAGAAACATGCCTCAGAAATGTGGCCTTTTGTTAAACTCCTGGTTAAGATCACCTTTCCATTGAACAAATAATATTTGAAAAGTATAGAGTGATTTATATAGCCAAAGTCTAGAAATATAATTAATATTAAAAAATGACAAAAGGCAAAATTTATTTTAATAATATTTTATTTAACCTAATAATTCCAAAAATTATGTCAGTGTGTAATCAATATAAAACTATCAAAGACCTATTTTACATTATGTTATATATTAAGTCATCACAATGTAGTGTGTATTTTACACTAAAAGGCACATCTCAATTTGGACCAAACACCTTCCACCTGCTCATTAGCCATTTGTGCTACCATATTAGACAGCGCAGATCAAAGCAAGTCCCATTTTAGGAAAAGTTCTTGGGTGGAAGATTGGCTTTGTTTGCTTGTCTTTGTAGTAAATGAGTTATTGGAAATATATCCTAAATTCTAATGCTTTAAATGAGTTACTTTTTAGGTTAGCCAATATAAATTCCATTAATGACTCCTAACTCTGTTAAATCTCAGTCACATCTAAGCATTGTTGTAAGCTTGATATCTATTGGATATATCACCAGAGTCCAGCCTGCTGTAGGGCTGAGTTAGCAGAGCTGAGGCTACTTCATTATTTTTTGCACAAAAAAGCATCTACCTAGGTCAGACACCCGGTTCCCCAGGCATCATGATTTCTAAAGTTGAGAAGTGATATGAGGAGAAGCCATTCCCTGATGACTCTTCCCTCCCACCCATTTGTGGATGTGCATCGATTAAGGGCTGCTGGTGTGAACCTAGAGAAAATTGCCCGATAGCCTTGGGTCAAGCAATTATACTGTTTTTCCACATTTACATCTCATTGACACATTGTGAGCAACATAGCTGAACTGTGAACTGTGAGAGGTTATGTGTTATCAGTAGCTTTAAGAACTTGATGCATTGATTACTTAAGACTTTTTTTTTTTCAGAGAAGCATTTATGGAGCTCGTGGAGTGAGGCATCTCTTTAATCCCTTCAGTAAGTCAGTGTGGGCCAAGGAGTCTGAGGATCAGAGACCTTGTGACTTTTTAAGTGAAGATTTACTATGTGCTGGGGCCCATTGTGTTTTATTTTATTGACTCGTCCCAAGCTCTAAGAGGGAGAGACCTTGATTGTCCCAATTTCACTGACACAGTTTGGGAAGGTTAAAACATGATGAAAGGAAATAGACTGGAATGATACAGTAATATGGAATTGAGCATTTTCACCAACATTTTTACATGTTTTAAAATGTCATTTTCTGGCCAGGGGTGGTGGCTCACGCCTGTAACCCCAGCACTTTGGGAAGCTGAGGCTGGTGGATCACTTGAGGCCAGGAGTTTGTGACCAGCCTGGCCAACACAGTGAAACCATGTTTCTACTAAAAATATAAAAAAATGGCTTGGTGTGGCCGTGCGCACTTTAATACCAGGTACTTGGAAGGCCGAGGCATGAGAATCACTTGAAACTGGGAGGCAGAGTTTGCAGTGAGCCAAGATCGTGCCACTGCACTCCAGCCTCGGAGACAGAGTGAGACTCTGTCTCAAAAAAAAAAAAAAAAAAAGTAAATAAAAATAAAATGGTATTTTATTTTTCTTTCATTCTTTTTTTTTTTTTTTACAAAAAAACTTTTATTATTATTTTAGATTTAAGAGGCACGTGTGCAGGTTTGTTACGTTGATATATTGCATAATGGTAAGTTTTGGGCTTCTAGTGAACCCTTCACTCAAACAGTGACCGTTGTATCTGACAGATAATTTTTCAGTTTTCACCTTCCTTCTGCTCTCCTGGCTTTTGGGTTCCCAGTGTCTATTTTTTCCATCTCTATGTCCATGTGGGCCCATTGTTTAGCTCCCACTTACAAGTGAGGACATGCAGTATTTGATTTCCTGTTTCTGAGTTATTTAACTCAGAATAATGGTCTCCAGCTCCATTCATGCTGCTGCAAAAGACATGATTTCATTCTTAAAATGGCACTTTATGAGGTTCGCTTTTCCTGGCAAGATGAACTAACAAAATGGAGATGTTGGATTCTTTTATTAAACCCAAATGTGGTGAGCCACAGATGGAAGGTAGAAGGTTGCTGATTCTCGAAAAAGAATCTGGGAAATGATAGCCTAGGGTCAGGAGGGCCAGGTACCAAAAGGGAGGCTGGCTGGGGTTGTGGAGTTATGTGCTTTTCCTTCCCTGAACTTCCCTCAAGAAAATAAGAGCTTCCCCATCACCTCAGCAAAGCATCAGTCCCCCGGTGTTGAACCAGCTGGTACTCTGGCAGCCCTAAAGCACTCTCCTCCCGAGCTCCCACTTAAGCAAGGTGGGGATGATTTTAAGGCAGGCAGCTGTAGAAAAAGAGTAGGGCTCTGGGAGCTCTCCAGAGCTCCTCTGTCACCTGGCACAGAGGGTGGGTCACTCAGGGGAGGTCCAGCCCACAATAAACATGGAAGCCACGCACCCCGATGTCATCCCCCAGGCTCATCCTCACCACGAGGCAGGCAAGGCCTGCACCTGGGCCTTTGCTCCTTCTCCCAGGGATGTCAGACCAGCCAAGGCAGCCGGTGTTTCCACATGCATGTGGGCTCAGGAGGATATGAAAGGGTCAGGGCCAGCCCAATAACTGAGCCACACACACTAGATGAGATGGTAGGGGAGTTCAGGCAGGGCATGAATTAAAGGAAGCTTAATAAATATTCTCAAACAGATCAGGAAAAACAAAACAAGAACACACAGCCACAAACAGACTTTAATTGTTGGAATAAAGAGCATAATTGAGGGACTGAATAGTAGGGTGGATTCAGTGGAAGAACAAATCAGGAAGGACTCAGCAAGATGAAGAGATTGAGACGGAAAGTAATAGTTAAGAACATGGCTCCCTATAACAGGAGTCCCAGAAAGAGGAAAAAAATAAACAGGGGGTGAAACACACACACAATTTCAGAATGTAAGGTCTTATAGATATAATAATAGTAGGAGAGATGTCAATAAATCTTTTAAAAAAACACTGACAAAGGAGACAAAAATTACCAATAATTTGGAATATTTGAGAAGCATTATAACAGTTACTTAATGTTATATTGTCCAATACAGTAGCCGATAGCTACATAACTCTTGAGCACTTGAAGTGTAGCTAATGCAAGAAAATTTTAAGATTTTATTTAATTTTAATTAATTTAAATTTTAAAACCTAATACTTAATTCAGGTATTGAAAAACTTTTAAGTATGTTTAGAACAATCTGCTCTTTCAATTGTAAATTGAAATCTAAATACAGATCAAGTGTATCCAATTTTAGTATTTGTATTGAAATGCACTGAAAGAGCTAAATCCACCCCAGGTTTCTAACACTCAATACAGAAAAATAATGTAAAGCATCTTGTTAATATTTTTATATTGATTATATGTTCAAATTGTTGTTTTGTATATATTGTCTTAAATAATATTATTAAAATTAATTTCACCTGTGCATTTTCACTTTTTAATATGGCTTCTAGAAAATATAAAATTATATATGTGGCTGGCATTATATTTCTTTTGGACAACACTGATCTAATAGATGTACATAACTTACACCCACAGAGAATATTCATTTTAATTCCCATGGAACAAAGAAAACTTTTGTAAATGCCAAGTAATCAATACATACACAATGTGTTGATTATAATGAAATAAAGTTAAAAAATCAGTAATGGCAATAAAACCACTTCGACCATCTCTTGGACACATAAAACATTATAATGTATGGTATATAACCATTGGGGTTTAGAGGAAATTTAAAAGATATTACAAAATACTTGGAACTGGATAAGAACAAAAGTGTCAAATGTCAAACTTTATGACCCATAACTCTCAAGTTGCACTTAAAGTTTTACATAATTTTGAATACACAAATAGCAAACAAGACACCGAAAGACCACATACCTAAGGACATAACTAAACATATTAGAAAAAGAAAAAGAAAAATGACAGAATAAAACCAAAGCAAAGAAAAAGATATAAAGTGAGTTTAAAAAAATCAATGAAATTGCCAAAAATCCCCATTAAAATGTGATTCTTTGAAAAATGAGATGGCAAAAGTGTCTGTGAAACTCTACACGCCAATACATTTAGACCCAGATGGACAACGGCTTAGGAAAAATAGCAGCCTTGGACTAGAGGAATCAAAGGAAAGCTGCCGACATGGAGTCACAAACAGCACTCTCTCTCCCAATAGAAGCTTCTAGACAGGTTCCAAACCCAAACTAGGAAACCCGTTCCAGGAGGTTCCTAAGTGAGTGAGTGATTTGGGAGCCAGAACACACAGGGAATCCAGGGGAAAGTAGTAAAATAAAATAAAACAAGAAGGGCCTTGGGTGAGCACACTGCACCATGGCCTGAGTAGTAGTATTATTTCAATTATTTGCACCTGAGGAGACGTACAGTTGCTTTCAATGTCCAGAATTTGCAGGTGAACCTCTCAGACCTTTGCTTTTCTCCTTTATGGGTTTCTTTTCCCTGGGACACATTGTCAGCCCTTAGCTGCTCACTAAAGCCTCCTGATTTGAGATCTATATGACAAATGCCTGATGCTAAGCAGAGATGCTGAGGCCTGGAGCCAGGAAGGCGAATTAGTTTCCTAGTTCTAAAGGTAGGGGTGTGTGGTGCATGCATGAGAGAGAGAGAGAGAGAGAAACAAGAGGGAGAGAGGGAGAGAGAGAGAGAAACAAGAGGGAGAGAAGGAGAGAGAGAGGGAAAGAGAGAGGGAGAGAGGGAGAGAGGCAGAGAGAGAGGGAGAGAGGGAGAGAGGCAGAGAGAGAGGGAGAGAGGGAGAGAGGGAGAGAGAGAGAGAAAAGAGAGAGAGAGGGAGAGAGGGAGAGTATATAAAAATTCTCTTGCTCTCTTTGCTTCTGTAGATGTAGTTAACAAGTCCACTTTTAGGGCTTAATCTGCTGGGCACACTTTCTTGATTTTATAGCTAGAAATGATCTAATTTAGGCAGAGGGGGCTGCCTGAAGTAAATACAGCACTGGTTCAATTAGGTGGGGATAGATATGCACTACCTTTAAAAGAAGATAAAGACATTTGAACTGTTGGAAATACTAAACCGATCAGCCATCACCCTTTCCTAACATACCCAGATAGTAGCTGCACCCCCTGCTTTGCTTTGGGACTATAGGCAGAGCCAAGGGGACTGTCCCCTCTGCATGACCCGCAGCTACTCTCCCTTTGTCTGCAAACAACCGAGAGGAGCGAGTTGGAGCCCAGAGCAGCAGAGACTCAGCCTAGCAGCTGACTGGGCCAGGTGCGTTTCCATTGGCTGCAGAGGCCCGGTTGAGCTCTATTTTCTTCTGTACATAAAGATAAGAAGCCAAGGGCCCCCTTCCGAAAGCAAACACGTTTAATTGGAACCACCGCCTCCCCATGATTCACCGGATGGAATTTACAATGGTGTTTACCTTTTTCCACAAAAGTAGCAAATGAATCAATCCCAATAGGAAATATAAATCTAGGAAATATAAATCCCCAGCAGATGCATTTCGAACCACACAGGAAAGGACTCACTGAGAAAGAAGGCCCCTGTAACTCTAGAGGGTTTTGCCCAGAAGTAAGAGTCAAGAGTGGTCCAGATTAGTTGAGGAGAAGCAACTTCACATATGAGCTTAAAACAAGTCCTTGCACGAGCCACCTTTTGCTTGGCCCCTCTTAGCAGTGGGAATTCAGACAAAACTTCAGGAATGCTTTGCTGGGCAGCTGTGGTGCATTCAAAGCAGAGAAACTGCCTTAATCTTTGCAAAACCAACAAAGATAAGCAATAGCTTTAGCTGGGCTGAAATTAGCCAATGCGCTGCTACACAATGCCCTGGTGACCATTATCCAGGCTCTGACCGCCGCACGGCACTGCGCAAGCATGCTGGCAATGTTTAACAAACCATCTGTCTTGTACCTGCTCCCACTCAACAGGGGCCTTTGTTTGAACCCTGGCCCCATCCAGCATGTCAGCTATCTATTCCCCAACAGGGGAAGCCCCTTCATCCCATTGTACAATTTTCATAACTCTTTTGATTCCAGTTTGTCCTACAGAATGACTTCTGCCAGAGAACATTTTGGAAAGGGAGATATGGATTCTGAATCTGTCCACTGATTAGTTTCTAGAGCACCATGTGTGTGAAACCTTACTTGCTTATGTGATTTCCCCCTCATTTGTCTTTTTTTAAGAGAATTTCAATATTCATTCAAATGTTGATTTTATTTTTTCCTTGGTTAGCTGTGTTTAAGTTAGAAACCTCTCTCTCTTGTTCTTTTCCTCTCAGATATATGTTTTATACTGCAGTAAGATATTTTCTGCATATGTCGGGTGCAGTGGCTCACAACTGTAATCTTAGCACTTTGGGAGGCTGAGGCAGAAGGATCGCTTGAGCCCAGAAGTTTGACAGGAGACCCTGGACTCTACAAAATATATACACACGTGCATGTACATACATACACACACACACACACACATATACACACATATACTCTGCCTAAATCGCACAGTACCTGGAATTTACTGATTATATTACATAGGTGTTAGACGAAACCATTTGAACTTAATGTTTTCATAGATTTATAACAAATATTGACGGTTCATTTCATATGGTCCAATATATGTATTTCCTTGTAAAACTGCCCACATTATTTTAGACTAGAGATTTGAGAAGATAACTGATCCAATACATGGTTTTTATTAAAAAAAAGAAAGTCTCCTTTGAGAATTTATTTATTTATTTATTTTGAGATGGAGTCTCCCTCTGTCGCCCAGGCTGGAGTGCAGTGGCGCGATCTCGGTTCACTGCAAGCTCCGCCTCCCAGGTTCACGCCACTCTCCTGCCTCGGCCTCCCGAGTATCTGGGACTACAGGCGCCCGCCACCATGCCCGGCTAATTTTTTGTATTTTTAGTAGAGACGGGGTTTCACCGTGTTAGCCAGGATGGTCTCGATTTCCTGACCTCGTGATCTGCCCGCCTCGGCCTCCCAAAGTGCTGGGATTACAGGCGTGAGCCACTGTGCCCAGCCGAGAATTTATTATTTCTCTTTTTCTTCTTCACCTTGCCTGGCTCTCAGCGATTCTCCCTCATGCTCAGGAGTAAAATGTCCCCATATTCTTTTTCTATATGTCACCATGCTAACGTAATTTCAATTACCTCAGATACACCTTCGCAATGGTGACCACAAGAATCCACTCAGCCTTGGAAGCTGTCCTTGAAACTCACCCTGAAATCCCTGCCTAGCAGACAGGAGACCTCAGGCTGGACTCCACTCACTATGTTATCTCGGCCTCCCCGGGACTCTTAGGACACGACTTTCTTAATCTTTCCAAGGGGCTAAGCTTAACCAAAAGGAAATACTGCATAAGATGTGTGAATACTTCAAGATCTGTGGAATATGAAGCTGAAAACAGCTCTGTGTTTAGAAATGGTTACCGTGCATGTGTCTGTTTCCCCGAACTAGCACCAGAGCCTCGGTTTGAGGGTCTGTATTTGATCCTTTTCTCCTTAGAAAAGAGAGACCTTGTTGAAGGAATGTTCTTTTTCCAGAGGAAATTTGGGAAACAAAACGGTCACCTTAAAAACAGCAGCACAAGAAAGTTTGTCCTTAAATTTAAATTTTCTTTCAAGCCAGGAATTAAAGCAAAGGTGGGAGTGGAAGAATCTCTTCAGATTGTAACTCTTGAAATTTCCAGGCTAAGGGAAGTCACTGTGGGAGCATTCGAGCAGATTGGTGGTCACCACTGGGGATTCTAGGAAAGACACGTTTCTTCATGTTTTTAATCTCATCCTTTAATTCCAATTTCGGTGTATGTTATATGTTTTGTAAGGTATTCTAACATTAAATACGTGTTATATGAATACAGTGTATGTTCATGAATATTTCCTTCAGTTTTATATTTGAGTTGTTTTGGCCTTTTGACTTGTGAATAATGCTGCTGTGAACAGCATGTGCATGTATTTGTTGGAGTCTCTGTTTTCAGTTCTTTAGGGCGTATACCTAGAAGTCTCTAGGTCATATGGTAATCCTATGTCAATTTTTTTGAGGTATTGCCAAGCCGTTCCCCACAACAGCTGCACCATTTTACTTTCCTACCAGCCATTGTAAAAGGGTTTCAGCTTCTCCGCATCCTTGTCAACACTTATATCCCTTAAAACAACAACAGCAATGAACTCACGGTCATCCTAGTGGATGTGAAATGTTGTGTCATTGTGGTGTTTATTTGCATTTTCCAAGAGTCATCTTTGTCCACATGTCCTTTGAATTGAACTTCAAGGACAAGGATATGCACCCTCTGGTGTTGGTTGAGAATGATTTGTGGGTCCTTCCACAGTCCCCTCTGGTATCTCCTAGAAGCTACCACATGGCCACAGGTGCGGGTGCCTCAGTAGGTCCCCCTTCCTAAGAAGCATCGCTGTCACCAGGCCAAGCAGGCCAGGAAGGAGGAGTGGTGTGTACCCCATAGTGAAGGGAAAAGAAAAGAAGACTCAACTGCAGGCAGAGAAGGAGCAGGATCATTGGAGCCCAGGGTGTGGAGACAGCCAGGCTCTGGGAAGTCAGAAGAAAGAGCACTTTTCTAGGCAAAAGGCCCTGTGATGGGCCAGAGTCCTGAAGCCTAAACAGGACCATAGCACGGAGGTGTGTTCTGTGTGCACAGGCAAAGAGACACAACCCAAGGCCAAGAGTGGGCAGGAAGGCAAGGAGTGAAGTGAGATCTCCGGTACAGAAGGCAGGTGGACAACATAGGCTTAGACCAGGGAGCTTCAGAGTCTTGGGGTCCAGAATATACTGGCACATCTGCAAACAAATGGAGGAGCAATTCCTGCTCCTGAGCCCAGAACCTCTCCTCTGTTTCGGGTTGAAATGGTGGTTCTCAACCTGGGCCACAGTTCGAGCCACTTGCTGAGCTTATTAAAATCCCCATGCCCAAGCCAACTAAATCAGATCCACTGTGTGTGGGGACCCAGGCATCAGTATTTTGACATTCCCCTACTAATTCAAATGGGAAGCCAAGTTTGAGAAAAGAAGAATTTTAGGTTTAAAATAGTAGATTTAAAATGTGGAATTTATTAGATGTTTTTGTTATGAAATAAATATGATCATGTTGTAGGAGTTTGGAGGAAAAGAAGATGATGAAGGAAGAAGATACCACCTGTTGCCTCCTGACCTTCTGGCTGATGCAGATGTTGCAGCCTGTGCCCTATTTGGGGGGTTCCATTCCTAAAAGAACAAATTGGGACTGGCAGCCAGGGTTGGGCTGTGCTGCTGGGGATAGGATGTGATGTATCTTCTGAGTCCCCAGCACTGAGGCGGGCGTAGTGATGGTAGCACTCAATAAATGTTTGTAGGGTGAGTGAATGGAAGCATGAAGGCATGAATTCATGAAAAGCAGCCCGAGACATGGTCCCCGCCCTCTAGGAACTTACAAAGGGGCGGCTGAATAGGCATTACAATAACAATAATCGGAGGGCAGTAATAGTTCCCACATCGGTGGTTCTGTGTGTCTGTGCATGCAGGCCTGCAGCCAGGGAAACCAGGGGAGGGGTTCTGAAAACTCTGTTTAGTAGCTGTGGCCTCTCTTATCTTTATTAATGCACCACAAAGCACTGTCACACTGTCCTCTTCTCGATAAAACCCATAAACAGGAGCAGAGGAAAACCCAAGGAGGCAGGTGCCAGAGGGGCCCGGAGCCCTCTCGGGTGGCCACAGAGACAGAAGTTGAGGAGAGCGGAGAAAACCTGACCTCTTGGATGTGGAGTTATTCTGTTGATTTTTTTTCTTCTTTGCTTCTTTGATAATATGTCCCCAAGTTCTCTAGCCTACAGATAAATGAAGTAAGTTGATAAGCTGAGAGCTCCTTGTCAATTAGAGCTTCCTCTTCTGAAATGGTAGGTGTAGGGGAAAGAACACGCCAGGACAAGGAAGAGCTGGGGCTGGTCCTGTCTGATCATCTACTATTTATACAACCTTAGGTAAGGTGCATTACTTCTCCGAACTGCAAAGCACGCAGCAGTTTCTGTTCGGCTTTCCTCTCCTGGTGGTTGTAGAAATTCAGCAAGACAGGTCTAAAAGGTATCTTCTACTGCTTAGGTGGTTTTCGCTTCCTGCCTCTCACAGGGCTGAGGGTGCACAGGTCCCTGCAGACACAGAGCTGCCCACAGGCTGGGGTTACTGACTCCACTAACCTGAGCTGGAGCCTCATGCAGCTGCTCACATGCTGGGGAAGCAGATAGCCGCCAGTAGGTACTAGATTTCTAAAAGGATACCAAAGAACCATTTATACATGCAGCTTTACTAGCCATGACTGCTATTTCAATTCCCTCTCTCTTCTCCCTGTATCATTCCCAGGCACTTCTCTCTCCTATTCAGAAAGAGTATGGCCTTTTCCATCATGGCCTATTCTGCCTCTTTTTTTTTTTTTTTGTAGATTCAGATAAAAAGGCATTTGGGTGACCTTAGGTGGCCAGTGAGTTGTTGATGAAACTGGGGTGTGGACATTGACCTCTGCCTGCTCACCTAGGTCCCTTGCACTGAAAAGCATGGCACAGCTGTTTACCTGTTTACTCTGAGCCCTCAGGGCAGCTATCCCCAGGGTGGCTCAAGTATGCTATGGGCCTGGTTTAGGCTGGGGGAGCTGGGCTGTGGCCAGTGAAATCTACATGCCATTTGAAGAGCTGCTACGGAAGAGCTCACTTGACCTTTAAAATTGTTTATATTTTTATTTATTTTTTTTGTGTGTGGTTAGCGATACCACAGAGCTTCTCTGTATTTTTTTACTTGAGAAGTAATTTTATTTAGTATTATTAAACTTTTTATTATTTTTATATTTTAGAGACAGGGACTCGCTCTGTTGCCCAGGCTGGAGTGCAGTGACATGAGCACAGCTCACTGCAGCCTTGACCTCCTGGCCTCAAGCAATCCTCCCGCCTCAGCCTCCCGAGTAGCTGGGACCACAGGCATGCACTGTCATGCCCAGCTAATTTTATTTTTTGGAGAGATGAAGTCTCACTAACCAGGCTGGTCTTGAACTCCTGGTCTCAAGAGATTCCACTGCCTTGGGCTCCCACAGTGCTGGAATTACAAGTGTGAGCCACCACACCTGGCCAAGAGAACTGATTTTAAAATCCCAACTTGTCTCTGAGCTTCCTGAGGGCAGAAGAGCAGAGACTAAAATAGAAATAGTATTAGAGAACTTTCAACACTTGTGGCTTTGCTAATATCTTCATCTATGACTTACTGATTCCTCTCTTTGGGCCTCATTTTTCTTTTATAAAATGGAGAGGTAGACGGTTCTTATGGTCCTGAAGCTCTCAAGCTTTTTTATTTTTTAAGTGATTTTATTTTCAAATAAATTTTTATGCACAGACCTGAATCTATAAAACCCAAAAGGGGATATTTTATTAGTTTAATAACTAGCTAGTATACTCGTCCTTAGTTTAAATTTATAACATTTAATTATCCTACAAAGAGAATAATATGGCAGTTTGATGGCGAATGTCTAAACATAGCTTTTATTATATAAAGAGAAAAGTTGAGGCTCTTAGAAATTTGGAAATCATATCGACTTCAACACATTTTTTTTGTAAAAAAGTTTTTTGGTTGCACAATCTGGATAAAATTTTGATCCACAGAGCTGAGCAGTTGCAAATGATACCTTTTTAAGAACAATCTGTCTGGAATCTCAATGTCTTCCTCAGTGTCCAGGAAAAGGGAGTGAAGTTGTATTTGGAGGCTGACACCAAGATGTCCACCTGGCGGAATCAGCAGAGTGCCCTAGCTTAGTGGACTGTGCATGCTGATTGTATTACCAGTTTCAAAATTATTTTTAGAATATAAAAATAATAGACAATATTTTAAGCAAATGTTTTCTGGCCCAGAAACACGTTAGAAAAGCAAGATCAACAGAAAATTATCCAATCCCTGAGCTGTCCTCACTAGCTGGTCTAGACAGTAAATATCTTGATGAAAATATAAAAATATTTTATTTGATATTGATACTTTATCTTCACGTTAAGTAGGAAGCATTAAGAAAAATGACCTGCTTTTGGCCGGGCGCGGTGGCTCACGCTTGTAATCCCAGCACTTTGGGAGGCCCAGGCGGGCGGATCACGAGGTCAGGAGATCGAGACCATCCTGGCTAACATGGGGTGAAACCCCGTCTCTACTAAAAACACAAAAAAATTAGCCGGGTGTGGTGGCGGGTGCCTGTAGTCCCAGCTACTCTGGAGGCTGAGGCAGGAGAATGGCGTGAACCCGGGAGGCGGAGCTTGCAGTGAGCCGAGACCGCGCCACTGCACTCCAGCTTGGGCAACAGAGCGAGACTCCATCAAAAAAAAAAAAAAAAAAAAAGAAAGAAAGAAAGAAAGAAAGAAAGAAAGAAAGAAAGAAGAAAGAAAGAAAGAAAGAAAGAAAGAAAGAAAGAAAGAAAGAAAGAAAGAAAGAAAGAAAGAAAGAAAGAAAGAAAGAAAGAAAGATGACCTGCTTTTTAAAAACTCCCGTGTTTTTCAGGGTCATGTAATGTAGCTGTGTGGATCCATTTCTAATGAGCCCCCAGGCTGCAACAAATCAGTGTGGAAGTAACTCCATTCTCCATCATCTTTCCCAGGGCTCTCACTTTTCCTCATGTTACCAGGAAAATGAAACTTTAAATCAAATAGCATTGCTGGACATTCTTACCCAGGGATGCCCACAACCATGTGCCTGGCCCCAGAACACTCAGCCTGGCACTGTTGATACCTGCCTTGCTTCCTGTCTGTGCCTACCTGATAACACTTTTATTTTCAGTTACCTGGGACGAAGGGCACCTTGTCATTTTTAGACTGTGGGTGGCATTGCCCGCTTTGTCAGAGAGAGATACTCTCTACCTGGCAAGGGGCAGGAAGGAGTTACGGGTCAGGCTCTGCCTCTGCAGTTCAAATGTTGCCCACTTGGACAGCCCAGCAGTCTGGACTCTGGAAATTCTGCCCAGTGGTTGGGCAGCTATGGCCTGTTTGGGGTTTGGCATTGGAAAGCAGATGTGTGAGCGCAGTGCAGGCATATGTGGTGGTGGGATTGATTGTGTTTCTGCATAGGTGGCTGGCACTGCAGCCCTGTGGTGCCCATTTCACATGCACTTCACTTCCAGCACCCATGCTGAGAGAGAGAGGTCCCGTCCTGCGTGCGCCAGGTCGTTGCTCCACTAGGGAAGGTACCACCTGTGAGCTCTGCCCTGTGTTTTGTTCAGAACCCTACCTGTTTCTCCTGGCATGAATATTTTGTTGCATCAACTGTCATTATACTGGGTTTCTTTGGCCAAATGAATCGTGGAACTTCAGCCAAGTACCATGCCACTGCTCATGGGAAGAACAACCATTTTCCAGCTGCCACCGAGAAATGGGAAGGGTTGCACGTCCTGAGACACAATACAGCATTCCCTTGTAGGGAAATTTTAGAGATTTTCAGGGGTTACTCTGAACCATGTTTGTATCCTGTGTACCGGCGTTAGAATTCACAAGCTGCAACTTGACTGTATTCAGGAAAGACAATACCTGGAGAGCCCTGGAAGAACCATCAGCTACTCAATGTTAGGTGCACCGTGGCGGTGTGGCATGTCCAGGACGGCTCTCTCACCAGAGGGCTTAGGTGAGGTGTCCTCGCTGGAGATTATGAGAATGTTTAGCTTGTTTAATGGAGACAGTTTCATTCTGCTTAGGAGGCAGCAGGAAAGAGAACACTGCTGTATCAGGTGTGCACACCCACACGTGCACATGTAAACCATGAACACACATACATGGGCCAGGTAAGGAAGAGAGACGGGGAGAGTAAGGGGGCCT
Source organism: Homo sapiens (assembly GCF_000001405.40). Classification (NCBI taxonomy): domain Eukaryota; kingdom Metazoa; phylum Chordata; class Mammalia; order Primates; family Hominidae; genus Homo; species Homo sapiens. The sequence continues at coordinate 22,504,147 of NC_000020.11, read as the reverse complement.
GGGGATAAAACTGGTTGATTAATGAGGCTTTCTAGATACCAGAACGCTTCCAGGATTCCCTGTTTCTGCATCTCTGCTTATTGAAAAACAACCGAAAATGGGGGCATGGGGAGGTGGTTTCAAACACTTGTTTGTTTAATATGGCTTGTCATGATGGAAATGTCAGTGTCTGGGGCAAGGCCATTGAGCAGAACTTTCTGTGTGATGGAAACATTTTGTGCCTGCCTGTCCAGTATGATAGCCACTAGCCACATGTGGCCTTGGAGCACTAGACACATGGCTCTCTTTACAGGGCAGGCCCAAGGCCTCAGCCCAGTAGATTCTGCACTGGACCTTTACAGTCACCAACATGTAAATTTCCTACCTTTTCACCCAAGCTGAATTCCCAGACAATCTCTGGCTCACTCTAGAACTCTGATGCGTGCCGACATTTCTATGTTGCTTTGAGTCTGCAACCTTCCCCTCCCCAGCGCTGGCCCCTGCTCTCCATCACCTCTAATCTGCCAGACCCTGTAGAGAGAGACATTCCATAAGAGTGTGTGACTGGACCTTCGCTTCCCAGGCCACTTCCAATGGGCCTAGAGTTCTTCAGGTACAATTTAGTGCCTTTAAACTTGGGGTGAAATAATTGTGGCACTGCTTCAGAGCCAACCGGCATCTAACACAAACCTGCCCACATAAATGGCGGGGACAGGCTCTGGACGGAGCCTGGTCCCCTGGGAACCAAGTCTGACCTCCTTAGCAGGCCCTGCAAGCTCCAAAGCTGATGCCTGTCTGGTCTCAGCATCACTCACACCTCACCTGTGATGGGGAACTTCTGGTTCCATCCCATGAGCCACACAGGGCGAATTTTCGGGTAAGTCTCTCTCCCCAGACATTACCCAAAGCAGGTACAGGATGAACGTTGGTTGTTAATTTCAGTGGGGATTTCAAAAGCTGCCTAGGTGTCCTGAATAGAGTAGACATTTCCTCACTCTCCCCACACCCTCACCCACCCCACCACAAAGGAAAAGAATGACTTCTTTGTTCTTCAGGGACAAGTGATAAAAAAAACCTCTTGTTCAGCCTGTCCCCTATAAAATGCTTATCTTCTCTGCTGGTAGGAGACACTTTAATTCCTTCCTGTTCACTGATTGCTGCTCCTCAAGGCCCCTCAGTGCCGGTCCTTCCCAGTGCTCCAGGTAACGTCACTGTCACCGAGGAGCGCTGGAGGCCATCTGTCACTGGACACACTATTGTTACAGCTGCAGCAGGTTGGGCTCGCTGGCCACCCAGCCCCTGAGCGCTGCATTAGCTCCGCCTATAGAGAGGGGCCCACCGTTCTTCTCATCAGCTCCACTCCTACCTCCCTGGGGTGATGGCTGTTTCATTGTTTGATTTTGCCGCCACTCTTTCTTCATTTCCCATTGGCCGTCTCTCTTCCCAACTCCTTATGGTTAGAGTGATTTTACAAGAATTACTGTTTTAGAATTTTGCAACCTCGATGGACCCCCCCGGAGGTGTGAGAAATCATAACCCTGCTCTGGGAGTTGCTGACTCAGGCTCCGGCCATCAGCCCTGTTTTGTCATGGTGGATCTCCATGAAGGTTTCAGAAAATAAAATGCTAAGAAATGTCTCTGCCAGCCTCCGGAAAGGCTTCTTCCTGCATTTAAGAAAATTGACAGGTAACTCAAAGGAAGATTTCTATGTTAAAAATGCTGCGGCAGTACAGCATTATCTTTTGTAGCCACGGTCTGCCATAATGTTCACTCGCTTTCCATTTCCTGGTTCTGGGAAGCAGCAGTGAGGGCCCCCCAGGGATGTTCCACTGTGCAGGAAGCAGGGAGCCAGGGAATGCTCCAGGAGCGGGATTGTGTGATTGGAATCGGACCTTCCACTCTGTGGGAATAGCTGGGAGAGTGGAGATTTGGAAAGGGGAGTTGGAAGATCAGAGAAGCGTCATCTACCAGTGAATCTGAGAGGACCTGCCCTGGCAGAGGGGCCGTGAGGGAGTTTGGCAAAAGTCTGCGGGAAGCCATTTCCTCTGTGCAGCTCTGGGTGTCTGGTTCCCGGCCAGCTGGGCTGAGCCTGCAGAGAATGAGCTGGACACTGAACAGAGGACAGCGAGGACCCGTTGAGCCCCACCAGGCACTTCTGCGTCCATCCATCCTTGTGCCAGGCCTACTCAACAGCCTTCAGAGGGTGATGGACACTGCTTTGCCTCTGTAGCCCAAACCTCAAGTAATTCTTCTTTTGGTCAACTCTAACCCAGGTTCTTGCAGGGGTAGGGATTCTGGGAAATAAAACTCTTGGGTAAACCAAGCTGACACAGCACAAGCAACACAGATTTGTTGAACCAGGAGAACTGCTGAGCCCAGATAGGAGAGCTGGCATGGAGGCCAGGGCCACTGCTGAGAGGAGCTGGGAGGAGAGGTGAGAACACGAGGCAGGGTCCAGTAAAGCAGGATGGCACACAGAGCAAGGGTGCATCTGGGGAGTAATGCTAAGCCACTGCCATGTGTCTCGTGGCACCTTGGATGGGCAGAGCACCTTGAGGGCTGCTGGGGAAGGAGACAGCTTGAAGTCAATGACCTGTGGCTGAGCAAGTGGTTTCTATTGGGAGACAAATCAGAGCTCTTCTGGGGCTGTGGCTACAGAAGTTTCCCTTCAGAATGGCAGGTCCCTCAACATCCCACTCCTCTACTCCCCTACTTTGTGCCCTTGGTTTCCACATCTGAACCATAGACACCTACTTCCCAGCTTGCTGTGAAGATTGACTTTGATGTGTAAGTAGGTGGCCTTGATGATCATGCCTATTATGTTTTAGTTAAAGAGAAAAGGCCAGGGACTTTCCCAAGACACACAGCTGGCTGCCAGCAAAGCTGGAACTCAAACCAATGTGTCCTGACTCAAAGCCCAGTGCTCCACCAGGTAAAACATGACATCAATTGCTGTGTTCTGTCTGGTGTATACTAAAACAACAATATAGTCTCCCCATTTATAGAGCATGAGCTTGGAATTGGCTTTCCTCTGTTGAGCATGCATTATTACAGTCTTGCTCACATTTTTCTCACAATTCCCATTGCAAAATAGAAAATGATAGCATTCATGCAAGTGAAAGAAAGCTGACCTTGGACTGAGTTGATTGTCTTGAGCCCAAGCCCTCAAGCTCAAGCCAATAGCCAAGGCTGGTGGGGCCTGAGTCCTAGCCTCTTGGGATGATGGACCCTAAGTAGGGAGCATCGAGGTCCAGGCTCCAAGTGTGATGGTTAGTGATGGAGAGAAGACTCTGAAAAGGGAACGGAGAGAAGGTTCCATGGCACAGGAGGCAAATGGAAGCCATTTCATGGATGATATAAAAAGAGTTGGTCCAATTGTGAAGTGAATGGTTTGGAGCCCCTGGCCATCCTGTCTCCGTACCTTCTCAGCTTCTCTACAGTCCTCCTCTTCTTCCCTGTCTGGGTATCCTGTGCTGTCTCACCCTACTAACCCCTCTGACCCCTTGCAGAGGAAACATTTTCATGCCAAACCTTGAGAGACAAGCAGAGTGTGGTGGGTATTAAGGACAACTATAGGCACAGGACAAAGATGTTAAAGCGAGGCCACCCGAGCTGCAGAGGGTGGCTCCAGTTTCCTAGAATTTCTCTCACTTTCGTTCAGTGGCACAAGGATGATGCTCAGGCGCCAGGATCACTTTGTGGTGGGAAAAGCAGAGGCTCCCCACTGGGTCAGCCGGGGCTTCATGAAGTTCGCCCCAGTGCTACAAGAGGCTGCAGAACTTGGTCACCATCAGCAATGCGTCTTCAACTTTATTTCCTGTGTTGCTCTTCTGGGAAAACTTTTGGCAAGGGAGGAATCAAGGTATGGGGCGTGGTGGGAAGGTATCAGGTCTGAGGGCAGCTCCAGATGCAAGCTGTTGTTTGCAGAGGAAATGTGCTCTAATAGACAAGGAACCCATCAGACAGCTGTTTGGGGGTCCTCAATATATTACATTTTAAAAGGAAAGAAAAAAGCATTGCCTGTGAAAACGGCATTGGCAAAACATCTGCTGAGCACACAGCACTCCTGATCCCTGGTGGAGGTGGGGATGAGGAGGTCTGCAAACAAGCTCTGAAGCAGGTGTGCCCCAAGCAACCCGTGTTGTCCCTTGTCCCTATGCACACCACCCACTTTCTAAGTGAGGACAAAGAGGCACGTGGGAGAGGCAGCTGCTGTAATCAAGAGGGTGGTGGCCCATCACATTACCCAGAGCGACCTCACTCTGAACGTGAGCAAGGTTGTGAAGCATCATCATTGGTACTTCCTGCAGCCTAAGGGAACACGTGTGTCTAGAAGACCAGCTGGGAGGGGGACTGTGTTTGCAGGCAGCTGTTTCTGGCAGACCCTCTCAGCAATTCATTCCCAGCACCATCTGCCTGTAGAACCATCGCTCATGCCAGCGAGAGAGTCTGAGGCTGCACTGCCACTCCATCCAGCATGCCCTTTGGCAGAGAGCACTTCTGCCAGCTCGTGTGGGTGACACTCTATCAGCCGGTGAAAGAGCAATCTCTCTTCTCTAGGACAGATGGGTAAAATAATGATAATAGAGACTTTCCAAAACACATTCTCATCCATCACCTAATCTCACTGAATCCTCACAGCACCCCTGTTCAGCTGCTGTCATGAGCACCGCTGTCCGGATGAGGGGCTGAGGCTCAGAGAGGTCTGCAGAGCTGATGTGTGGGGTGGCCTGGAGGACTTACCCTCCTCTCAACTCGAATGGTGGCTCTGTGATGGTGTTCTAGTCTCTGTGAGCCTCAGTTTCTGTCAAATGAAGGCAATCATAACTCTTATTTTATAGAGTTTTTGTGAACATTAAGAATTCAATATACAGTTTGTAAAGTAGTGCTTGGCACCAATAAGAGCTTAATAAATACAATAGTCTCCTTTTATCTGCAGTTTTGCTTTCTTTTCCTCACTCTGGAATTCATTTTATTACAATGGTTAGAATATTCATTCCTTATCATTCTAAACAGAATCATCACTCTGTGTTCATTAAAAAACTAAAAATCGTAGAATAGATTAAAAGTTTCTTTATAATTTACAAGAAACTTTCATATACATATTTTTTTTTAATTCAACTTTTACTTTAGATACCTGGAGATACATGTGCATGTCTGTTACATAGGTATATTGGATGTTGCTGAGGTTTGGGGTATAGATCCCATCGCTCACATAGTGAGCATAGCCCCCAGTAGGTTGTTTCTCAAATCTGCTCCCTTCCCACCCTCCCCACTTCATAGTCCACAGTGTCTCTTCTTCCCATATTTATGTCTATGTGTGCCCAATGTTTAGCTCCTGCTGATAAGTGAGAACGTGTGGTATTTGGTATTTGGTTTTCAGTTCCTGCATTAATGTTTTAGGATTATGGCCTCCATATACATCCATGTTGCTGCAAAGGGCATGATTTCATTCTTTTTTATGGCTGTGTAGTATTCCATGGTGTATATTACTACGTTTTCTTTATCTAGTACAGCATTGGTGGGCATCTGGGTTAATTCCATGTCTTTGCCATTGTAAATAGTATGGCAATGAATATGCACATGCATGTATCTCTTTGGTAGAATAATTTACTTTCCTTTGGGTATATACCTAGTAATGGGATTGCTGGGTTGAATGGCGGCTCTGTTTTAGTTCTACAAGGAGAACTACAAAACATTGATGAAAGAAATCCTAGATGACACAAATATAGAAAAACATTCCATCCTCATGGGTTGGAGGAATCAATATAATTAAAATGGCCATACTGCCCAAAGCAATTTACAGATTCAACACTATTCCTATCAAACTACAGATGTCCTTTGTCACAGAATTAGAAAAAAAAACTATTCTAAAATTCATATGAAACAAAAAAAAAATAGTCCAGATAGCCAAAGCAACCCTAAACCGGAAGAACAAAACCGAAGGCATCACACTACTGGACTTCAAACTGTGCTATAAGGCTAGGTAACCAAAACAGCATGGTACCAGTACAAAGGCAGACACATGGAATAGAACAGAAAACTCAGAAATAAAGCTTCCACCTACAACCATCTGATCTTTGACTAAGTCAATGAAATCAAGCAATGGGGAAAGCTCTCACTATTCAATAAATTGTGCTGGGATAGCTGGCTATTACTCTCTTCTCCATTCTTCCCTGTTGAGCTTTCCAAAGATGCTGAGATCTCTGTTTTCTCTTCTCTTTCCTTTTTGCTTTTATAAATCTGTATTTAAGGCATTCCTAGCCCTGATCTTACTCTAAAATCACTTGCCCCGATGAGTATCCCCCAGAATTTACTCCTACAGCATCTCTGGCAACCAACGAACTAGCGCCAGTTCTGCGATACTGGGTGCAGGTTCCTTTGTTTCTCCAGGCCCTTGGCTCCTGGGCTCCACTCCCTGGTCCACAGTGGAAGCTGTTGTCAAGTATGTGTTCAAACCACCATCTCATAGAACTGAAGAATGGAGATGTCCGATAAGTTACCACTGGGGCTAAACAGTGAGCAACTTTGAGGTCATTCCATAGAGCCTGTACTGTAGAATGAGCCAGTTTCTTGGCCACTCATTTAGAACAACAAGGATTGTTTCAATTCAGAACATGGAACATAGTCCATGTTTTATTCAGATCATGGAACACAGACATAGAACATAGTCCACTAAGCATTCTCATCACTGCAAGCAGAGGGGTGAACATGCTACGTGCCCAGATGTTAGGGAAGAACCTCACTGTCTGTATTGGGTCTCCCAACAATCGAGATTGAGGGAGTAACACAACACATTCAAAACAGATGGAAAACTTGACTGTGGTGCAAACCAAACATGTCATTTTATTATATACTTCCAAAATATTCATGAAATTCTCCTTTCACCAAAATATTCATGAAATTCTCCCTTCACTTATGTAATAGCCTTCAAAGAGCCTTGTGTGGAAGAGAAGTCTTTTGGCCGTCAACACTCAGGGGCTGTGATCACCAAGTGGGAGAGGGTAGCTCAGGATTGGAAGGGGGTAAATTTATCTTGAATGATGTTTCCCTGGCACTATATTATGAAACATTTCAAACACAAGAAAGTTGAATGAATTATTCAGTGATCACTCATAACCCTGATAATCGTTAACATCCCCCCACACTTCCTTTCTGACACATCCCTCTACCCATCCATCTTCCTTTCTGATGCATTTCAGAGGAAGTTGTACACATCTGTGCATGTCATCCCTAAACAATTCAGCATGTACTTTATTATTAACTAGAGTTAAAATTTGTTTCCATTTTTAAGTTAAAACTTACATACAGCAAAATGCGCTAACCTTACATTAACTATTTGCTGAGTTTTGACAAATGTAGACACCTGTTTAACCCAAATTCTTGTCACAATAGAGGATTTCTATCACCCCAGAAAGTTTGGTCCTGCCTCTTCACAGTCGGTCTTCTTGTGCACTCCCCTTTCTGAGGAAAACTATTCTTTAATTTTCCACCATAGATGAGTTTTCTCTGTTTTAGAAATTTACATAAATGGAATCATACACTATGCAGTCTGTGAGTCTGGTTACTTTCATTCAGTGTGCTTTTGAGATTCATCCATATGGCTGTATATATCTTATGCTCATTCTTTTTCATTGCTGCCTAGTTTACCATTGTATGGAGGGGAGCAACCACAGTTTCTCCCTTTACCTGTTGATGCACACCTAGGCTGTTTGCACTTTGGTGTTGATATGAATGGGTTAATATTTTTAGGTTGACTATAGGGGTCCTAAATGGCTAACAAATACCCCTCAAGCCCATCCCAGATTAACTTTCACATCTGGATATGGCCTGAAATTATCCATAATGTGTGTCTTCAGTCTGAAGTACTGTTCTATCAACAGAGTAAGATAGGAATGAGAATTTCTCCTCCATTTGACTGCTGGGGTAGAAAATTAGTATCCCTAAAAAATAAGTCTTTTTGTGGAGAAAGTAACTACAACAAAAGACACAAAAGCATAATTTGTGCTTTTTTTTAAGCTAAAGTCTTTTCTGCTGACTTTTTTTTCAATAAGAATAGAAAATCAGATAATTTTTTCATAGCCTGTTCAAAATCATAACTGGAGATCACAATACTGAGGTAAGGGGCCCCTGTTCTGTCAGAGTTCGTCTCAAAGTCCACAGACAAGGCAACTCCATTGTGCTGGGTACTGGTTCATCCCTCCAGGGTCATCTCATGCCCAGTCCCTGAGCAACACTGAGGTATAAAGGCTTGGCCTCCTTACCCCAAATGAGAACAACCCTAAAGGTCAATCCAGGTCCAGAACTCCCCATGGTGCCCGCTAGGGCTCATCCTTTTCTTTCTCTTCCCTCTCATAGGTGTAGATCCATTCCCCTCCCAAATAAAGACCTTGCTTGGTTCCACCTCAATGTCTCCTTCTTAAGGAACCCAACCTACAACACCTGTGTTGTCAAATTTGTCCTTAAAATTTCCATTAAAAGGGCCCCACAGAGACTAACATTGCTGTTCTCCGTGGATCCAAGGAGCCTGTGTTACTTTCAGAGCCAGGGTGGATAAATGGCTACTCAGCTGAACTTGAGCAGCAGGAGAAGCATCTGGTTTGTATTTAAAGCCATTGTGTAGACAGACACCTTTCTAAAACCCAGGGGTGAGCATTCGCCCCTTGAGAGGTGCATGGGCCTGTGCAGTGCAGGCAGGCACAGCTTGCAGGTGGCCTGGTGAGTTGGAGGGCCTGCACTTTTCCCAGCATCCCCTCCTTATCATGCTGAGAACACTGGACTCCCTGCAGTTCTATGCCACTCCATGGTAGGAACAGCTCTCTTCACTCTGCTCTGCTCTCATGCTCCAGATTGGTTCAGAGAGGATACCGGAAAAGAAATACCTTCCTGTGAGACAGAGAAGGAATCTCCATTTCAAAAGCCTCAGTGTTGTTAGAGTCAGGTATGGGGCATCTCAAATGCCTGTGTTTCTGTGTTTTCCAGATGCCTGTATTTTATATTTTTATAATTTTTTTCATTTGAGATGTAAGATAATTCCCCATTCCATTCTGAAAAGCTGTTATTAACTCGATATGGTATTTTAACATTAATACCATCTACATCTCATGAATATGGTAAAAAATGTACAGAACTGAGAACAGTGGGGAAGCAGAGGAGGCAGAGGGCCTTAAAGTGGGGTCCCCTGGAACACCAGGCATTCTTAGGTCTTAGCAGCCCTCAGCATCTCCCAGAGGGCTTGTGGAAATAGAGTCCAAGGCCCACTGCAGGAGTTTCCGAATGAGAAGGTCGGGGGTGGACCTGACCATATGCCTTACTAACAAGTTCCTAGGGAATGTTGGTGCTGCTGGTGCAGGTATCATCATCTCCTAAGACACTCTGAAAACCAGTGACCTGAGGCTTCCCTTGCTACGGGGGCATGGATGAGTTGAATGGAACTTACAAAACTGACTTTGTGCAAAGAGGCTTTAAGAATTAGCACTTTAGGTGGGCTACCACCATGAATAAATAAACACATGAATTTCACTTCCTGGTTATTCATTCCCATATGACCACAGCCAAGCCAACCAAGCTCCTGGGATATTGGGAAGATGAGTGTCCACACGGGGGAACATGCAAACCCTTTGAGGTGCAACATCCGAGAGCTGATGATGGCTTTCTTGTGCTTTTAAGGTAAACCCACTGGGCATCTGCAGCCTGAGTTTTGCGGAGCCCGTCTCTCCATTCGATAGCATCCTTATATTGCAAACAGAAGGCACCGGAAATAACTGTGGTTTATCCAAGAAGCAGCATCTTTTTTCCCCTTATATTTAGAGGGCCAAGGGCTCTGCTTATACACTGTGTAGACTTCAATTGGCCCCAGTGCTAGCTTCATTTCTCTGCCCTCTGCTTCCCCTTCAGTGAAGTTTGTGATGAAGCATTGGTCATATTCCGTTGGCCCATCAGAGGTCACCTGCAGACATCTCCCTACGTATGGAATACATCCTGTGGGGAGAGTGTATGCCCCAGTGGCTGGGGTGGCCAGAGTGGTGGAGAGTTGACACATCCAGGAAGCATCCTCAATCAATGAAGGACAGGAGTTGGTGGGCAAATAACCCAGCTTCCCTTTTGCTCGTGGACAATCTTGGAGTGGGCTTTGCACAGTTTCTCACTGGGTTCCCTGCAGGGCCGAGCTCCCGTCTCCCACAGCGATGAACTGATCACACACACCTGTCAGTGATTGTTTTCTCTCCTCTCTCCTCTCCATTGCCACGTTTCCTGGGATCACCTTCCACATAAACAATTTGCACTCAAATTCTTGACTTAGGGGGTGTTAAACTAAGATATCCATTATTTTCCCAGAAAATGAGACTATGCACACTACACATCCCTCTTTCTCTTTTGATTCAATCCACTTTAACAATTATAGGAGAATGTCCATATGAATTAATATCAATACTTCACTATCAATATGTTAACTTGACTTGCATTATGTGGCTCATATAGCCATTTAATTGCTGATTATCCCAATGAGAGATTCAGATCACTTTGCCCCCCAAATAACAAAATAATATTCTATTTTATCTTCTTTGGGCACATTGAAATACATTTAATTGAATGCATGCTTAGTCAAGAGCTTTGCCTCCTTCAAAGCCAAAGGTTGTATTTTAGACCAACTGCATGTGGTGGAGGAACAAAGAAAGATTTTTTTTTTAATTTTTTAAATTTTGCCAGTACATAGTAGGAGTATATATTTATGGGATACATGAGACATTTTTATACAGGCATACAATGTGTCATAATCATAGCAGGGTAAATGGGATATCTATCACCACAAGCATTTATCCTTTCTTTGCATCATAAACAATCAAATTATGCTCTTTTAGTTATTTTTAAATGCACAATAAATTATTGTTGACTGTACTCATCCTACGGTGCTATCACATACCAGCTCTGATTCATTCTAACTATATTTTTGTACCCATTGACCATCTCCCCTTTCCCACTCCCCCACTCCCATTTTCCAACCTTTGGTAACTATCATTCTACTTCAAAGATGGAATTTTTAAAAAGTAGAGTCAACTCTAACCTTATGTACAAATCTGTGGTTGAAGAGCTTGTGATCAAATGGAATAGAGAGGTTATAAACTGTGTTCATGCTACCTGTATGAAGAGCATTTAAAAAAATAAAAGCCGATGACACTATGGAGCTGCTCATTATGTTAAAACTGATAACATTATTTGAATTGGGTGCCTTCCACATTCTAACATCCAGGACCTCTGAAATCATCAGCTTTTCCTTCCTCTGGAGAGTTTTCAGATCTGGGGCTAACCTCTGCCAGGATGAAAGTACTTAGGCATTTCTTCATACAGCAGTGAAATGCCATACACTTTCTCTCCCTGAGCTGTGTTTTTTTGTAGTACATGTTGTGCCTTCTGAACTGCTTCTCAGTGGCAGGAACCATATTACATCTGTCTTTGCTCCCTCTAGAGCCAAGTGCTCTGCAGTACATAGAAGGTGCCCAGTAAAATTGAGGGAGGATGGACAATTTCCTTAAGAATGAAACCAGGCCACAAGGTGCATGAAGTAGCATGCAATGGCAAGCTGTCACTCCATCCCGAAATAGTGGCCACACAATCACATCCTTCTGGGATCTATTGATCCGTCTGTTGTTTCACTTCCAAGTCAACTTTTGCTTCCTCATTTGCTAAAAAAAAAAAAAAAGATAGCAATACAATTTGACATCATCCAATATGCCCTAGATGTTGTAAAGATCAATTGGATATGATCTTTAAAGGTATTTTGACGCTGGAGAAAGGGAGATATGAGAACCATTGGCAGTACCATGCATTTAGTGTAATACGTTTACTGGCAATGCCTTTATATATCATCAGCAGCCATCAGCAAAATTTTCATGTGTACAGTTCCTAGAAAAAAATCTCTGCTCTTTAATTCCCTCAAACTTTAAAATCTCTATTCTTTATTAAGCCAGGTTTCAAAGATGCTGATTTGCTTGTTTTCAACTACTCTTAAAGGACAATGGTGCATTTGTGGTTTATGTTTTTGAGAAGGCTAGTGGTAAGATGGTAGCACAAATCTGAAGAACATTTTGAGCACGCTGGAGGCCAAGCATAAAATCAGAAGGTTGGGATATCTCGTTCTTGGGAGGGTGGTGATTTCAAATAAAAGAACCGAATTTGGGAGACCAATGTGGGCAGATCACAAGGTCAGGAGTTCAAGACCAGCCTGGCCAATGTGGTGAAACCCCATCTCTACTAATAATACAAAAATTAGCCAGGAGTGGTGGCATGCGCCTGCAGTCCCAGCTACTCAGGAGGCTGAGGCAGGAGAATTGCTTGAACCCAGGAGGCGGAGGTTGCAGTGAGCCGAGATCGCACCACTGCACTCCAGCCTGGGCGACAGAGCAAGACTCCATCACAAAAGAAAAAAGAAAAAAAAAAAAGAACTGGTAGCTGGAAGGTTTTAATGTGGTTCTCATTCACCCTAGCTCCAGTCATGTTGACACACAAGCTACTTACCATTAAGGATGTTAAGGTGAGGTTTTCTATTTAAAAAAATTGCTGTCAGGGACACCTGCATTTTACTTGCTGAGTGGAAATATTAGAATATACCCGTGGGTGACTCTCTAAGCTAAGTTTTGGAAAGAAAACACCCCACTGATGTTAGGGCAAAACAATCCATCCTTGGTACACATCCAAACAAACAAAAAAAAAATTCAGCTTAGCTTTCTAATTTTTTTTTTTTTTTTCCTAGCTGGGGGAAGGATGACACAGGGGAAGAGAGGATTATGGGCTTTATAATCACACATTTCCTAGCCTTGCTTCGCTGAACTCAGGCAGATGCTTTGCAGAAACGTGCAGGATTCCAGGCAGGTGGGTGATCAACCAGAACAAGGCCTAAGGAGTGGGGGCACAGCGGGCAGCAGGAGGGAGCTCAGGGGGCAGGCAGGCTTCAGGTTGATGGCAGCACCTGGGTCCAGGCTGGGCTCTGGGCTCTGCCAGGGAGCCTGGAGCCAGGGGTCTCATTAGTACCTGGCTAGGACTGCAGCCGGCTGATGGCAAATACAGGCTATCAAAGCCCTGTCAGCACTCCTGAATGGGACAAAGAAAAGGCGCATTAATGATTAACTCTGCTAAAAGCTCCGGCTTTTGTATTCCCATGGTGCCTGGCCTATCTGGCTGCCATGTGACCGGCCCGGGCCATTTTCTCGCAGATTGGGGAAAGCTAGTGAGCAAACACAGGTGGTTCTGTGTCGGCCGCGCTGTCAGGGACAACCGCGGACAGCACCAGCTATGCCTGGTGAAATTAGCTGCTGTGTTTGCCTCCAGTTTTGCTTCCTGGTGCTCTTACTTTCTAAGTCGAATGTCATTTTGCCACTCATTTTCAACTATTCACAGGAGGTGCTAAAAAGGGGGAAAAGGCCCCCACGCAAAAATGGGAAAGGGAGACACACAACATCATGTTCTTTGAACTCTGCAATAACGTTTGGCGACCAAAGGCGAGGGCAGGGTAAACTAATTAAAACCTCTCAGGTCTTTAACTTTCTGCAAGAGCAAATTTATTCTTCTCAAAGGGAATTATTTTAGTGATCCTGACCAAATAAGCAAGCTACAACAATGACGTCATAAGCCTGCTGGCATGGACCCAGCTCGGCTCCCTGTGCCATGGGGCCTGGAAGAACCTGCTTTTTAAAATGGGCCGTGGCACTAGCGCCCACCCGTACAAGCCGGGCAATGAGAGGGTGCCCTTCCAAGTCTGACCCTGCCTATTCGTGGTTCAGAGTCAAGGTCCCTCTAGTGGCATTATTTGTTTAAATGCATTTCTTCCTTGGTCTACATCAGACAGACCTTCTTTTTCCTGTTCAAATATTTATATGTGTGTATTATTGCACGCGGCTTCAACTGCTCCCAATCACACCAGCGGCCATAAAGCACAGATTATCAGCATGAGGTGATAAAGGCCCTTTGAGTCAACACCAGAAATGAAGAGAAAATGAAATAAAGTTATAAAAAGAGGACAGCATAAATGTCTACAAAGAGTATATCAGTCTGCAGATATTCAAGCAATTAGCTACAATAGGAAAGACATTTTATCCAAACTAAAGTACCGCTGACATGATTAACAACGTTTGATATTTAAATATAACATTCTGCCAGATTCCCAGTTAAGAAAGAGGGCACTTGCGAAGTCTTTGGATTGGAATGCAGTTAGTTCAGTGTTAGTGAATATCAGCTCAAACACAGCCGTGGTGTGTGCTGCGTTGCTTTCCAATGGACGCTGACCACAGAATAAATGTGAGCAGTCTCTAGCCCCAAATGGCAGGGTGAGGCTGCTGTAATCTCTCAGCGCTGTTGGTTTGAGGTTTGTAGTGGTGTTTATTCTTGCTCCTTCCTCGTGGTTCCTAAACTTTTGATTTTTGTGAAATGAAGGAAATATGGTTATAGGCCCCAGCTGCAGGGGAGACTTGGTTGCCCCTGGGTATAAGCACCTCAGTGTGGATTTCCATGTCATCAAGCAATTTTAGCAGATACATTTTTTTGAAGGGGGCTGACAGTAATTGGTTTTTCTTTGCAAGTGCTGATAGGCAGGCAGTGGTGTCACTCTTGCCCGAATTACTTAGAGCACAAGCATCATACATAAAAACCCTTTATTTATTTGTTTATTTATTTATTTCAAACCAAAAATAAACAATTATGAAGAGCATGTGGCCAAAATGAAAACTCAGCTTTTGGTTTATTTCCAATGCCTCCTTGCTCTCCAACATCTTTATGTTGTTTATCAAAACCATAAGTTAGTTCTGTGAAAATCAACATACTGACAAACCTTTAACTAGATTGACCAAGAAAAAGAGAAAAGGTGAACACCATCAATCAATACCAATTTTGGCCATATCCCGGGCAATAAAACAAATCTCAAAAAATTATAAGAATTGAAATCATAGAGAGTGTGTTCTCTGACTGCAATGTAATAAAAATAGAAATTAATAACAGAAAGATAAGAGGAAAATCTTCAAATACTTGAAAACTAGACAATACACTTCTAAATAACACATAGGTCAAAGAGGAAGCTCCAAGTTAAAAAAAAATTGAACTGAATAAAAATGAAAATATACATCAATGTTTGTGGTACACAGCTAACGTGGTGCTAAGAGAGACAGACATTTATCATTCATAGTACTAAGTGCACACATTAGAAAAACAATTCTCAGCTCAATAATATAAGCTCCTACCTCAAGAACCTAGAAAAAGAAGAGCAAATAAGTCCAAGGCAAGAAGAAGGGATAAATTAATAAAAATACAGTCAGTACTGAATGAAAGTGAAAGCAGAAAGCAATAAAGAAAATCAATGAAAAAAAGAGTTGATTCTTTAAAAAGATTAATAAAACTGACACACCACTAGCAAGACTGACAAAGAAAAGGAGAGAAGACACAAAATACCATCTCAGGAGTGAAGCAGGAGAAATCACTACAGACCTTCCAGACAGCAAAGGATAGAAAGGAAATACTATAAACAACTCTACACACATAAGTTTGACAACTTAAATGAAATGGGCAAATTTCTTGAAAAAAAAAAAACGTAATTTACCCAATATGAAACAGAAAATTTGAATACTTTTATAACAATGAAGGAAATTGAAATTTTAATTTAATAACTCCCCAAAAGAGAAGTCTCCAATCCCAGATGGTTTCAATGGAGAATACTACCATATGGGTACAGCAGAATTAACACCAATTCTATACAATGTCTTCCAGAATAGAGAAGAGAGAAAACACTTTCCAATTTATTTTATGAAACTAGTATTACCTTGATACCAAAACCAGACAAGGGCAGTTCAAAAATAAAATTATAGACCTTCATGAATGTAAACAAAAAATCCTTAACAATATATTAGCAAATAAAATGCAGTGATAGATAGAAAGAATTATACACCACTACCAAATGGGTTTTATTCCCAGGATAGAAGGCAGGTTTAATATTGAATGTTAATCAATGCAGTTCACCATACTAATAGATTGAAGAAGAAAAATCACGTGATTATATCAATCTACAGAGAAAAGCTACTTGACAGAATTCAGTGCCCATTAATGATAAAAGCTCTCAGAAAAATAGGAAAAGATGACATCCTTAACTTGACAAAGACCACTTACAGAAACCTACACCTAGGATTACTTAATTGAGAAATACTGAACACTTTTCCTAAGATTGGGAACAAGGAAAGAATGTCCACTTTCACCACTCTTATTCAACATTCTGCCAGAGCTTCTAGCCAATGCAACAAGCCAAGAAAAGTAAATAAAAGACATACATATGAGAAAGAGAGAAAGAAAACTGCGTTTATTTGTGGATGACATGTTTGTCTATATAAAAAATCTGAAGGAATCTGTAGGAAATCTCTTAGAACTAATAAGTGAGTTCAACAATGCAGAATACAAGATAAATATAAAAAGGTTAATTGTATTTTTCCATACTAGCAATGAACACATGGACACCAAAATTAATATATAATATAATTTACAATTGCTCAAAAAAAGAGAAATGCTTAGGTATAAATGTAAAAAAACATGTAAAGGACGTTTATGCTGCTGCCTACACAATGCTGGTCAAAGAAACCAGTGAAGAGCTAATTGAAATCAAGGACACATCCTGTGCTTATGAGTTGGAAGCCTCAACCTAACAAAGATGCCAGTTCTCCCCAGATTCACATACAACTTTAATGCAATTCCTATGGAAATATCAGCAAGATGTTTTTCATAGATATGAGCAAGATTATTCTAAAATTTATATTGAAAGGCAAAGGAACTAAAAATAGATTAAACAATTTTGAAAAACAACAAAGCAAAAGAAATCAGTTTATTGGATGTTAAGACTTACTATGTAGCTAAAGTAATCAAGACTCTGTAAAACTGGCAAAGAAATAGACACAGAGATCAATGAAACAGAATGGGAAACCTGAAAATAGACCCACCCAAGAAGTCCCAGAAATTTTTGCACAGTTGCAAAAGAGATTCAGTGGAGGAAAGATAGCCTTTCCAACAAATGGTGCTGAAGTAATTGGACATCCATTGACAAAATATGAACCTTGACCTAAGACTCAAAACTTGGACAAAAATTAAATCAAAATGGACTATGGGCTTAAATGTAAAATGTAAAACTATAACATTTTTAGAATAAAACTTAATATTAAATCTTAGGGATTTAAGACTAGGTAAAAAATTCTTAGACTTCAAACCAAAAACATGATACATAGAAAGGAAAAACATAAATTTGGCTTTATCGAAAAAACTTTTCCTTTATGAAAGACTTGTTAAGAAGATGAAAACGCAAGCTATAGACTGGAAAAACAATAATTGCACACCACATATTCAGAGAGACTAAAATATACAGTATATAAAGAACTTTTGCTACTCGGGAGGCTGAGGCAGGAGAATGGCTTGGACCCAGGAGGTGGAGGTTGCAGTGAGTCGGGATCACACCATTGCACTCTAGCCTGGGCAATAGAGAGAGAGAGTCAACAATAAAAAACCCCAACAATTCTATTGGAAGTTAGGCATGAAAAGACATTTCATGGAAGAGGATATGTAAATTGCGGATAAAAAAATTAAAAGGTCATCATGGATTAACTAAATCATTAGCCATAAAAAGATGCAAATTAAAACTACAGTTAGGAATAGTAACAATGACGAATGCTGTTGAGGATGCAGAGAAACAGAATCACTCTTCGACTTCTAGTGTGAAGGTTAAATGGCACGGCCGCTCTGGAAAACAGTTTAGCAATTTCATTGAAAGTAAACACATTACTACCATATGACCCACCAATTGCATTCCCAGATATTTATAGCAGAGGAATGAAGACTTATATTCATACAAAAGTTAAAATGTTTGTGGCAGTTTTATTCATAACAGCCCCAAACTGAAACAACACAGATGTCTTTCTAATAAATTAAGTAAAATGTGGTACATTCATACGATAGAATATTACTCAGAAATAAAAGGGAATAAAATATTGATACATGAAACAACCTAGAAGAATTCCAGAGAATTATGCTGAAGGGAAAAAATTCCTTCTCCCAATATTTTATACTGTGTGATTCCATGACTATAACATTCTTGAAATAACACAGTTATAAAGAGGACAGATTAGTGTTGCCCGGGGTTAAGGAGAGCATAGGGTGGAAAAGAAATGGGTTTGACTACGAGCAGACAGCATGAGGGACCCTTGTAGTGACAGAAATGCTTTCTATCTTGACTCTATCAATGTCAATATTGTGGCTAGCATATTGTACAATCATTTTATAAGATGTTACATTGGGGAAAACCAGACACAGAATATATGGAATCTCCTTATATTATTTTTGGAAACTGCATATGAATCTACAATTATCTCAAAAAAGTAGGTTAGAAAAATCCTTTGCCAAGTTTTTAAAAAGAGAAGCTTTTAAGTTTTTAAGCCAGAAAATATCTGCACTAAAATGTAAAGAAACAACTACAGCCAATGTTCCTAATGTCACCAACTGGCTCTCGGGGGGCTCATAGGTGCAGCCCCCAGGATTCCTTCCACATTACCTCTCTTAAAGGACAGACAGACAACCCAGGCTCTCTCCAGAATCAAAGCAGATCACAGAAATAAGCAACTGTGCAATTTAATGTCATGATAATTTGTTTTGAAAACAACAGGTTAGTCACAGTCTGTACTAACCATGAATTAACCACTTTAGGTTTAATGAATAAAAATACCCTTCTCGGGATGCATAATCATGATTTTTAAATAAGAATAATTTAGCTCACCAGTTGCATAGAATCAAAACAGCAGTATTAATGCTACAGGAAAGGTTATCAACAAAAGCAAAACATCAGAGAAAGAGTTGGTGGTGAATCAGTACATAAATATCTGTTTCTTTTTAATTTAAACCATACCCACTTCCAGTTAGGAACTGAGGCAGTCTCAAATATTAAAACACTCAGGGACCATAGTTCTCCTTTCGTACGTCTTTTGTATATTGCAAATCAAGCCAATATTGTTGGTTTCTCTCTCGTCTTGCCTTCCTATCATTGAAAAAAAGAGAAAAAAAAGAAGGGAAAAAACCCTTCAAACAATGGAAGGTTCATTTGCAGCTTGTTTTCCAGGCTATTTAGGTAGACATTTTTATTTTTAGTTGGGATTCTACACTTGGACACTGCCATTTTCTTTTTTATTTTTATTTGTTTGAGATGGAGACTTCTTCTGTCGCCCAGGAGGGAGTGCAGTGGTGTGATCTTGGCTCACTGCAACCTCTGCCTCCCAGGTTCAAGCGATTCTCCTGCCTCAGCCTCCCAAGTAGCTGAGACTACAGGCGTGCACCACCATGCCTGGCTAATTTTTGTATTTTTAGTAGAGACAGGGTTTCACTATGTTGACCAGGCTGGTCTCAAACTTCTGAGCTCAAGAGATCCGCCCACCTCCGCCTCCCAAAGTGGTGGGATTACAGGCGTGCACCACTGCTCCAGGCCTGCAATGCCACTTTCTAATGACCTTATGAATCCTTCTGTTAACTCCACATCTCACTCTGCAGTAACCAGTTTGCTCCCTGATTGGCTGTCTGAGGATAAGCATCCCTTAATATTCCAACTAGCTCTGAGTATGGTAGCTGGCCTCTCCTTAGCAGGGGGTCCCCATGCCTTCTCATAGCTCACGGCTTCTTCATAGCCACCATAGCCCTTGGGGTCTCATGAGCCCCACAAAGGTTCGAGCTCCCAAGAGGAGCCTTCTCCCTTTGCGAAAGTGTAAGAAGGAAAGTGATATGGTGTTAATCAATACGCCCAGTGATAAATGTTTATCTTGAACAGAAAGCAAATAGAGGCAGGTTAGCGAGCCCTTTATTGCCTGCAGCCTGGCCAGAGCCACCATCAGCAGCTGAGTCTTTTCCAGGTCATATGGCAAAAAAGTTTAGCAATCAATTTTTTTTTTTTTGCTGGAGTGCTGAGGACAGCTAGGGAAAAAAATTTACCAAGCCTAGTATTTAGAATGTATTTACTCTAAAATTTTCATGAATGTTTGCATGCGTGTGTTTTCAGAGGCATAAGACCAACCTTGGAAGATTTTGCTAAGGTAAGCCCTAAAGTACTCACTAAATTAAGAGAGAGATGGGGAGACAGGGAGAAACAGAGGGAAAGAAGTGGGGAAGAGGGAAAGAGAGGGGAAAAAACTGATTTAAAAGTAGTGCAATATTGCCTAGGAAAGCTCTCCTGTCTGCACCCTTTGGGTTCTCTCTAAAGCAGTGAGTCTCAAATTTTGCAAGACTCCTCCTCCCCTGGAGGGCTGGTTAAAACATGAACTGTTGGGTCCTGTTCCCAGAGTTCCTAATTCAGTTAAGTCTGGGTTAGGAACAAGAACTTTGGGCCATTTATGATGAGTTCCCAGCTGAGGCCGATGCTCTTGGTCAAAGATTCCTGCTTTGAGAACCGCTGCTGTAAGGCATGGTTGCTCTTCCTGGGTTATCTAGTTGAATGGAGATTTCCATCAGTGGTTCAGCTGATGTTCCTGAGAATGAGCACATTAAGTCTCCAATGTTTTCCTGAGCTGAGTGGAATCTCCTGGACTAGACAAAATGATGGGATAATGAACCCATATTTGGCAGCAATTGGAACAGCCATGCAAGGTCAAAAACGAAGCTGTAGCAGATACAAACTTCGGGCAGAGTGACCACTAGCTCAAGGAAAATGATGGGCCATCACAAGGTCGATGAGAGACCACAATGCAGGGAAGCTGTTGTGAATATTCCCGTTGAGGATCCCTTTAATGTTACAAAGTTCAATAAGAAAGCCAAAGCCACCTGACCATTTGGGCAAGTAAATTCTAATTTAGGCTGAGCCATGCAAGAAATGGGCAGGAAGAGAATTACAAAGCCAGGAGTTCACAATAGATTAACTTATTTAGTTCAATAACCCTTGTAAGTGGGGTTACTATTCTAATGTTAGAGATGAAGGAACTGACTCTCCCAACATCACATTGCCTGAATATGGCAGATCAAAGATAGAACTCAGGTAGCTGATTCCCACTCTTCCTGGCTACAGCACATTCTCCTTAAAGATTATAATCATCCAGTGGACATCTGCTCCCAAAAAGAGGAGGCCTGAAGTATCCCCAGGGATTCCTAGGATGAGAGAGAAGAGCTAAGCAGAGCTGCCCACTATCAGAAATCAGAATGGCATCTATTGACTGGCACAATGGGCCCAACCACCTCATTATAAAATCAGTTGAGTGCAAGAGATGTGCTTGAAGAGTGACCAAGTAAGGATTTCAGTACCCTGGGAAGCAGCTTCTGAGATGGAGAGAAAATTGCTTAGGAGGTGTTCTTGGGGGGCAGTAGTCATAGAGGCAAGGGAGGGGGAGGAAGAGAACTGGGCAGAGGAAGCGTTGAGAGTCCATTCAGGCTCAAGGAAGCCTCAGCCCACTCCTTGGGCCCTCTGAAGGTGGGATGAGCCTTCAGTGCTGTCCTTGGGAGGGGCAGGCTCTTTATGGACCCACATGGCTATGTCTTTGAATGTGAGGATCCCGGGAGGCGAAGGCATGACCTTGTGTGAGGCAGCTTTCCGTCCCTAAGGCAAATTAAATGATGTATTACAGAATCTGGTCCAGTTCAAGGGATCCAGCATTGGCACAGATGGATTTTGCATGTATCAGAGGCCTTCATTCAAAATTACAGTTGAACTCAAATTTAATTTCAACCCTGGAATAAGCAAGCTGAGGGTAAAAAAAATTCACTTTGACTTAAACAAAAAAGAAACATGAATAGCTCTTACTGAAATTGGCCATATTGGCATCTTTAGAAATTACAATCATAAATGCTTGTGGCAGAGGCTGTGTTAATTCCCTGAGATCCTTTCACCCTCAGTCCCCTACAATAATATATCCCCAGTTTTTTTTTAGCAAGTTATTTATGTAAAAGACTACATTTCCTGGCCTCCTGTGGGGGCTGGGTATGAACATGTGAACAAGATCAGGCCAATGAACTATAAACAGAAGTGTCACATGGCAGCTTTGTAGGTCCTTTCTTAAAAGACAACTGACGAATCCTCTTACCTGGAAAGGGGACATGGTGTTGCCGTCTTGCATCACGAAGATCAGGGCCATAACTTACAGACAGTTGATTAGTGAGCTGCAAGGAATTTTTGGAGAACAACTTGGATTTATGTGAGAGAGAAAGAAGCTTTTGTCTTGTTTACTTCATCCATTGTGGATCTCTGTTAGTTGCTGTCAAATCTAGCCTTAAGTAATATAAATGCACAAATGTTTGACTATTTTGAGTATTGATTTTTATGTGTGTTCATTTTTCAGCATGAGAATGGCTTACTCCAAACACACATAGGCCACAAACACACACACGCAATTATAAGAGATTAGTGATTATTATTCACTATTTGGCAGCCTTACTTTTTTCAGACATTTTGATGCCAATATTAAGTACTTTTTATTGGCTAAGTCCAGTACAAAATTTAGAAACAGCAATGTATCATCGTGTAGATGTTCATTTCATTTAAATGAATGGCACTATGAACAAAGTACATCTCTGCAGTACATGGAAAACATATGGGTGTTAGTCTACAAGGGGATATTAATTTTGTACTTTCCATCTGGCATCCATAAAAGATTCATTCTCAGAAATAGTAAAGATCCAAGGTCATACTAAAATATCACATTTGCCATGAAGATGAAGGTCTTATGATGTTTGAAATTAGGAGCTATCACACCTACAGTAATTCTGAAAAGACACAATACTGCCTCCTGGTCTCCCAATTGCATAAAGCACTGACATAATTAAAGCTTGTGTGTGTGTGTGTGTGTGTGTGTGTGTGTGTGTGTGTTTGTATGTGTTTGTATAAATTCTGAGATGGGTTGTGGTGCCTAAAAGCCATTTGAAAAATCACTGAGATTCAGGAAGTAGTATTTAATCTTCATAATCTTATCAGTGACATGCTAATTAGCTCTCTTCATTAGCAATTCAAGTGTTAGAGGAAAGCCACTGAATTACCTGGGGAGGGTCACTCTGGGATGTGACACTGACCCTATCAATTTTTAATGGCAGCACACTTTTATTTTAATATTTGTGTTGGACCAATTCTGGTGAATAGGATGTACTCCTGTAGAAGAAAAATCTGGAAAAAAAAACCATAAATCTTAGGTTTTAAGAAAATGTGTAAGTATGTGAAAGTAGGTGGAATAGAAGAGAGGTTTAGCCACGGTGTGGTGGGATTCACCAGGTTTGGGTTCAAATGTTGGTTTTCCACTTACTGGCTGAAGTGGGGCGGCTGCTGCCTTACTCAGACCACCTGGCCTACCTTTAGGGTTTGTTTTCCCTCTCCTAGCTTTGGTGTGCCTTTGTTTTCAACAGCCATACCTGTGATTCTTTTCTTACAGCACAGAAAGAGCTGAAATGCCTAGGGATTGTACATGCCCCAGAGGGACCTGGGGCCACCCCACCTCCTGTTGGAAGACACTCTCGGAGATAATTTACACCCACTTCCCCTGAGGATCAGGATGAAGCCACCCTCCAGGGAATTTTTCCTGACATCTCATCCTTGCTATCTTCCTTCCCTTTCTTATTCTGCACTCGACTCTCTAATTTCCTCTGGGAGCACTTCCTTACTAAATTACTAAATTACTTGCTCATGAATCCTTGTATCAGAGTCTGTTTCTGGGGAACAGGATGTGAGATAGTTGCTCTGTGATGTTAGGCATTTTTTCTCTTCTATTCCCTCAACTGAAGACTACAGGCAATAAGTGTCTTCACTTCATGGGGTTCCAGTGAAAGTTAGGCAAGACAATGTGTGTAGCCAGCGCCTGACGTGTGTTTAGAGTATGATCAATGTTACCCGGAAGGAGCTCGCAGAGAAAGAGGTGGCACTTGTTTTGTTCATCTATATCTCAGCCCCTTTTTCTTTTCCTTTAAAGCACATACTGCAACTTTTAATTTTTTTAAACATCTGCTTGATTGTGTTTAGTTCATGCCTCTCACTGAATGGTAAATTCTTGCATGGCAGAGACTGTACCTCAGATGACCGACTGTCCCAATTTGCCTGAAACTGAACTGATTTTGATACTGAAAATTCTGTGTCCCGATTTACCCCCTTAAGTCCTGGGTAAATCAAGATGGTTGTCAGGCTACAGATTTCTTATTTATAGTTGCATCTTACCATCTAAGCACAGCAACAGCATATAGTAGATGAAAATACTTGATAAAGTTTTGATAAATGAATACATGTGACTTTTTTTTCAAGCTTTTATTTTAAATTCTGGGTACATGTGCAGGATGTGCACGTTTGTTACATAGATAAATGTGTGTCATGGTGGTTTGCTGCACAGATCAACCCATCCATCACCTAGGTGTTAAACCCAGCATCCATCAGCTATAGCTATTCTTCCTGATGTACTCATTCCCCCACTCTGACAGGACCCTGTATGTGTTGTTTCCCCACCATGTGTCCATGTGTTCTCATCATTCAGCTCCCACTTATAAGTAAGAACATGAGTGTTTGATTTTCTGTTCCTGGGTTTGCTGAGGATAACAGCCTCCAGCTCCATCCATGTCCCTGAAAGGAATGTGATCTTATTTCTTTTTATGGCTGCATAGTATTTCATGGTATATAAGTACCACATTTTCTTTATCCAGTCTATCATTGATGGGAGTTTGAGTTGATTCCATGTCTTTGCTATTGTGAATAGTGCAGCAATGAACATGTGTGCATGTATCATTATAATAGAATGATTTATATTCTTTTGAGTATATACCCAGTAATGAGATTGCTGGGGCAAATGGTATTTCTGCCTCCAGATCTTTGAGGAATCACCACACTGTCTTCCACAATGGTTGAATTAATGTATACTCCCACCAACAGAGTAAAAACATTCCTTTTTCTCTGCAACCTCACCAGCATCTATTGTTTATTGACTTTTTAATATCCAACCATTCTGACTGGCATGAGATGGAATCTCATTGTGCTTTTGATTTGCATTTCTCTAATGATCAGTGATGTTGAGCTTTTTTTCATGTTTGTTGGCTACATGAATGTCTTCTTTTGAGAAGTGTCTGTCCATGTCCTTTGTCCACTATTTAGTGGGGTTGTTTGTTTTCTTTCTTGTAAATTCATTTAAGTTCCTTGTAGACTCTGGATATTAGGCCTTCGTCAGATGGATAGATTGCAAAACTTTTCTTCTTATGACTAACCAGTTCTCCCAGCACAACTTATTAAACAGGGAATCATTTCCCCATTGCTTGTTTTTGTCAGGTTTGTTGAAGATCAGATGGTTGTAGGTGTGCAGTCTTATTTCTGAGTTCTCTATTCTGTTCCATTGATCCTTGTGTCTGTTTTTGTACCAGTACCATGCTGTTTTGGTTACTGTAGCCTTGTAGTATAGTTTGAAGTTCAGTAGTGTGATGCCTCCACCTGTGTTCTTTTTGCTTAGGATTGTCTTGGCTATTTGGGGCTTTTTAAAATTCCATATGAATTTTAAAATCATTTCTTCTTATTCTGTGAAGAATGTCAATTATAGTTTAATGGAAATAGCATTGAATCTATAAATTACTTTGGGCAGTATGGCCATTTTCATGATATTGATTCTTCCTAACCATGATCATGGAATGTTTTTCCATTTGTTTGTCCTCTCTGATTTCTTTGAGCAGTGGTTTGTAGTTCTCATTGAACAGGTCCTTCACTTCCCTTGTTAGCTATTTTCCTAAGTATTTTATTCTCTTTGTAGCAATTGTGAATGGGAGTTTATTCATGACTTGGCTCTCTGCTTGTTTGTTGCTGGTGTATAGGAATGTTTGTGATTTTTGCACATTGATTTTGTATCTTGAGACTTTGCTGAAGTTGCTTATCAGCTTTAGAAGCTTTTGGGCTGAGATGATAGGATTTTGTCACCTGCAAACAAAGAAAATTTGACTTTCTCTCTTCCTATTTGAATACTCTTTATTTCTTTCTCTTGCTTGATTGCCCTGGCCAGAACTTCCAATACTATGTTGAATAGGAGTGATGAGACAGGGCATCCTTGTCTGGTGCCAGTTTTCAAAGGGAATGCATCCAGCTTTTGCCCATTCAGTATGATATTTGCTGTGGGTTTGTCATATATGGTTCTTATTATTTTGACATATGTTTCTTCAATACCCACTTTATTGAGAGGAGAGTTCTTAACATGAAGGGATATTGACTTTTATCAAAGGCCTTTTCTGTGTCTATTGAGATAATCTTGTGGATTTTGTCTTTAGTTCTGTTTATGTGATGAATTACATTATTGATTTGTGTATGTTGAAGCAACTTTGCAGCCTGAGGATGAAGCCCACATGATCTGGTGGATAAGCTTTTTGATGTGCTGCTGGATTTGGTTTGCCAGTATTTTATTGAGGATTTTTACATCAATATTCATCAGAGATATTGGCCTGAAGTTTACTTTTTTTGTTGTATCTCTGCCAGGTTTTGGTATCAGGATGATGCTGGCCTCATTGGATGACTTAGACAGGAGTCCCTCCTTTTCAATTTTTTTGAATAGTTTCAGTAGAAATGGTACCAGCTCTTCTTTGTACCTCTGGTAGAATTCTGCTGTAAATCCATCTGACCCTGGGCTTTTATTGGTTGGTAGTCTGCTTATTACTTCCTCAATTTCAGAACTTGTTATTGGTCTACTCAGGGATTCATTTTCTTCCTGATTAAGTCTTAGGAGGGTATATGCGTCCAGAAATTTATCCATTTCTTCTATATTTTCTAGTTTATGTGGATACGAGGTGTTTATACTATTATTTGATGGTTGTTTGTATTTCTGTGGGATGAATGGTGATATCCCCCTTATCATTTCTGATTGTGTCTATTTGATTCTTCTCTTTTTTTCTTTGTTAGTCTAGCTAGTGGTCTATCTATCTTATTTTTTTTTTCCAAAAAACAGCTCCTGGATTTGTTGATTTTTTTAAAGAACTTTTCATGTCTCTATCTCTTTCACTTCAGCTCTCATCTTGGTTATTTCTTGTCTTCTGCTAGATTTTGAATTTGTTTGCTCTTGGTTCTCTAGTTTTTTAGTTATGATGTTAGGTTGTTAATTTGAGATCTTTCTAGCTTTTTGATGTAGGCATTTTAGTGCTATAAGTTTTCCTCCTAAAACTGCTTTAGTTGCGTCCCAGAGATTCTGGTACATTGTTGTTCTCATTAGTTTCAAAGAACTTCTTAATTTCTGCTTTAATTTCATTATTTACCCAGGAGTCATTCAGGAGCAGATTGTTCAATTTCCATGTAATTGTGTGGTTTTGAGTGAGTTTCCTATTCTTGAGTTATAATTTGGTTGTACTGTGGTCTGAGAGACTGTTTGTTATGATTTCAGTTCTTTTGCATTTGCTGAGGATGGTTTTACTTCCAACTATGTTATCAATTTTAGAGTAAGTGCCACACATGATATTTTATAACATGTTTTCTGATCTTTTTTTTTTCAGAGAAATATTCACAGACCCTGAGGAAGGCAAAATAATGGTCTCCCCACAGATAGCCACATCCTAATCCCTTGTACCTGTGTCTATGTCAGATTACAAGGCAAAGGGGATTAGGTTGCAGATGGAATTAAGTATTACCTTTCAACAGGGAGATGATCATGGATTATCTGGGTGAATTCAATGTAGACATAGAGTTCACTATAAGTGGAGGAGAGAGACGGGAGGGTTCAGAGGAAGATGTGACTACAGAAGACAGCACAGAGAAGACCCCAACCCCTGCCCCTCTCGCTGGCTTTGAAGATGAAAGGAGAGAGTCACAAGCAAAGCAACAGGGGAAGCTTCTAGAAGATGGAAAAGACAAGGAAAGGGA
This sequence comes from Homo sapiens, assembly GCF_000001405.40. Taxonomy (NCBI): domain Eukaryota; kingdom Metazoa; phylum Chordata; class Mammalia; order Primates; family Hominidae; genus Homo; species Homo sapiens. The sequence continues at coordinate 22,476,351 of NC_000020.11, read as the reverse complement.
TTCTACTCTAGAGCCGCTAAAGGAGAAAGCATCCTTGCCCACACATCTCAATGTTAGCCCAGTGAAACTAATTTTGGCCTTCTGACTTACAGAAATGTGAGACAAGAAATGTGTGTTTAAAGCCATGACGTTTGTGGTAATTTGTTACAATAGCAATAGAAAACTGATACAGACTCTTTCAAGATCCACTGAAAGTTACACAAAGTTCCTGCAAAGGAAAAATAAAATGCATTAAATTTGGGGAGATCCCAGACCATGACCTCCAGGTGAAGTGTCACAACTCTGACATGGAGAGCCATATTCTGGATGGAAAGCAAGATGGGCTCCTTAAAAAACCGTACACATTGCTGGGCTTCAGATGCTTGGCTGCTGGGCACATATGCAGGTTTATAAAGCAAGTATCTGGGCTGACTTCCACAGGCAACCCTCACAGTGTGTGAGATGCCATGGTCAAGCATCAGAGAGCACTGGCTTGGAGGGAGGGTATCAGTTTCTCTTTTCTTTATAGTAGTGTATAAGTTCCAGTTTCCCTCTGTCCAAATATGGAGTGAGTATTTTCAGTTCAGAATTTCAAGTTTCAACTCTCAGAAAAACACTGTAGTGGGCACTGTTGGACCAGCAAGATGGAAAAGGCAGGGTCTTTCATGGTGTGATCCTCAGGGTTAGTTCTGATGGTGACCAGTGTAATTGAGGCCCTGTCCATGATGGACATGGGGGAGGTGGATGCAGACCTGAGAGTTCCAGAAGTCTTGAATAGGGTCATGGGGTATTGCAGGTACAGACTGCGGTTGGAGCAAAGGCCCACAGTAGGAAAGAACCAAATGTCTAAATAATATCCTGTGACTTTGTACTGTAAGTAATGAGACTGGTATCTAAAAGAAAATAAAGGCAATACAATGTAAATATAAATCTAAGTGGGTGTTATTCCTTCCTGTGGACGTACTTGCATTCACTTATCCTATGTGTAGTTTATCCATGAAACGTGAATCCCCTCCCTGCTATCCAACCCAATTGCCCTCTTGTCGCATTTTAGTTTTGATTGCAGGCACTTTTACCCATTTTTCTCATCTGCATTCTCAAACAGTTGGCTTTGAGTGACTTTAAACTGTTTTAAACAAATGAAGAGCCTCATCATTTTGAGTATCTTTTAGAAGCATCACAGACTTCAAATTTCACAAGCAAAGGCTGTTTTTGATAACACTTACTCTGTTTGACTAGAGAATAGGCCCCTGAGGTTATTGCTGTGAAGGAATTAATATTCATCTCGGTGCAGAAGTTCTGCCTGTTTATTTAAAAACAAAACAAATCACTGTACCTGTGAAATACAATAAATAAAATAAGTAAAACTACTTTGTGAATTGCTTAATAGCATAGCAAATGCTAACTCTGTGGTTAGCATTTATGATTAAATGAAAGCAGATTACAAAAAAGTCTACTGTAATTTTTTTGTGGTTAAATTTGCATACATATTCACAGAAGTCTACATATACATTCTTATATGTAGAATACCAAAATAGCAGTATTCCTGAGTGTTAGCCATAATTCCTGAGTGGTGGTATCATTTTTCATTTATCTGTGATTTCTCAGCTTCTTCAGTTAATATTTGTATACCTGTAAGACTTTTCCAGAAATCCTGAAAAGACATTTGTAGTCCCGTTTAGTTTCTTCTTATACTTCCTACTGGGTAGATTTTGATAGTTTTTAATGGTTTTGTTTCAGTTGATTTTGGGGACAATATTATTTCTAGGACTTCCCGGCCTGAAGTCTCCTGGTAGCTACTTATTTGTGCAACAGACACTGTGCATTATCTCCATGTGAAGACCTTTGTAGAACTCAGCAGATGGGCTCCTGCTGTTCCAGCCTCTTGTTCTCCATGGTACAGACACAGCCAGGCATATCCTGGGAAAGAGGGCAAGAGGAGTTTCAGGAGCAGCTCTGGCACAACTTAGAGTGACAGAACACAGGTCAGGTGTACACTTTGCCTTATAAGAGCTGATTACCCACAGCTCTTTCTGTACTCAAGACAAGGGTGCCCGTACAAGTGATCAAGTATTAAGAATGTATTCCCAGGGGAAGTCGATGAGGAAGGGGAAAAACCAGGCCAGGAAGGGAGGAAGCCAAGAGAGGTGTTATCTCAAAGTCATGCAGAGGGGACCTTCAGCCTGACCCTGCAGGGACTCTGGTATGTAAGGTACTTGTCCCACTGCAAGCAAGGTGGCTGTGCTTTCATACCCCACACTGCCAATCACTGTCTATGGCTTGCCCCAGGTGGGGTATAAACTTTCAGGCACTTCTGCCATCTGCATGAGGAGGGCAAAGGCTTCTGGTGGCCAAGGGCAGAGCCCCAAAGGAGAGCCTTAATGCTATCATTCCTCTTTGGAAAGGAACACACTGATGAACTTTAATTCCATGCACCAGGTATTCCAGACATCTCCAGCCTGTGTGCTCACACATTGTCAGGCTCCGGGGGATTAAAATCAATGCAGACTTCTGAGTGTCTTTCTCCTGAACTTGATTGTAAACAACAATGCAAAGTAAACTAACAAATAGGAAAATGTTCAAGTAAGACAGTGTGTTCATTTATTCTTGGGCAATAATTCTTCTTGTTATAGTGCAGTAGCATAGGCTTAGGAAAGAAACACCTGGAGCCTCCCCTCAACAGAAATATCCATCAGTTTGAACTGCAACTTAGAATGGCTGATTAGACTGCTTCCTTGCAAGAATTCTGAGGCCAGGTGTGAATTCAGAGGGAGAGATGGGCATGATTGATTAATGATGTCTGCTAGTTGTGACTTTAGAGAAGATGAGTGAGATTGACTAGTGATGTCTTCCAGGTGTGAATTTTTAGAGGAAGTTGGGGCAAATTCAGAGGGGAGATGGGCATGACTGATTAGTGATGTCTTCCAGCTGTGACTTTAGAGAAGGCGATGAGTGTGATTGATTAGTGATGTCTGCCAGGTGTGAATTCACAGGGGCAGTTGGGGTGAATTCAGAAGGGAGATGGGCGTGATGAGTCAGTGATGTCTGCCAGGGTCCTGGGAACAGAGAGTTGGGCCCATGGACCAGGTAGGTTCCATCCCTGCTTTCTTTTGTAGTTAAAGCTCATTAGGGCAAATTTACCACATAGTCCACACCTTAGCTGAACTTGGTCAGGAAGACATTTCCTTTTCCTTTTTTTTTTTAAAAAAAATCTCTCTTTCCCTCTTTCTCTCCCCCTCCCCCATTTTATCTCATTTTGGTGCTTATAGGTTTTTATTCTATAAACACTTTGCCGTCTTTGTGACACGGACTCATTCAGGACATGTTTACAGTACTTAATGACATCTCCCTGAGAAATAATGAGAATGCCTTTAAAGGTTGTCTTCCTCCCCGTGCGAGCAGAGGGACGCACGCCAGGCCTGCGAGATGAGAGCCGAGGGTCTGGCGGGGGGAAAATTGACTTAATTTCTTTTCACCACATGAAATGGAATGTCTGGGTGATCTGACCTAAATGCATGGCCTAAAACCAATTAATTCTGAATTGCGAATTTGTGAGCGCATCAAGTTGTGCATGGAATTTCCGATGAACCAGACAACGCATACCTGCCTTGTTTGCAAAATGTGGAGATTTTTGCACATAAATTTGCCTAATGGTCCATTATTAAAGTGCAGCTTCAGTCATATTGTACCTCAGCTCGCGGGAAGACGTGTAGTGGTTCCCCGTGCCCTTCCTGTGGAATTCAAGTCCTTGGTCTGTCTTGCCTGGCCCTTAGCAGTGTGGCCCCGGCCTCTCCTCAGTGTGGGTGAACTCCCCCTACGGGTCAGGGTCCTTTAATGCTGTCATCAGAGGGGACCTTACATCCTGCTGCAATGGCTCTGAAGCTAGGCTTACACTACAATCCCTATGCACAGGGGGTGAGGTGCCGAGCCACTGTCATCATGGAGTTTGGGAGAAAACGCGCAGCTCACCACCCCCAACCTGGCCTTGACGCTCCCACTGCCGTGCAGTTACTCATTCTCTTTTCTGTGCCTGTTAGATTAACGCTCATTTCATTGTAATCGGTTTAATTCACCTAATGTTCATTGAGACTACTGTGCATGTGACACCGATTTGTTTGTGGGAAACAAAAATTAACCAGACATAGCAGCTGCTTAAATGACCAAATTAGAAGAAGTTGGCAGGAAATATAAATAACTATAATAAACGTTTAATTTGGTGACTTACAATAGAGCTATAATTAAAACACTACGAAAACACATAGAAGGGAGCTTGGTATGTGTTTCTGCATGTGTGTGGTGGTGTGTGTGGTGGTGTATATGGTATGTGTGTGGTGGTGTATGTGTGTGTGGTGGTGTGTATGGTATGTATGTGGTAGTGTGGTGTGCATGTGTTGTGCAGGTTGTGTGTGTAGTATTAGTGATGTGTGTGTAGTGTGATGCATGTGTGCACGGGTGTGCTGTGGTGGAGATGTGTGTGTGTGGTGTGTATCTGGTGTGTGTGTTTGTCTGTGGGGTGGGGCGGGCTGGGTGCTAGCAGGCTTCCTGGGAGAGAAGAGTGGAGTCTGAGAAGTGGGTGTGGCATCTCTGAGGAGGCGGGGTGGAGAAAGGGTGAGGGTGGCTGCGCACACATACAAACACACTACCACACCCATGGTTGTGGGCTGAACTGTGCCCCACTCCACTTCTAAATGTTGAAGGCATAACCCTGGTACCTCAGAATGTGACCTTATGTGGAAAGAGGACCTTATGTCGTTGCAGATGTGTTTACTTAAGATGATGTCATAATGGAATAGGGTAGGCCCACTCCAAGGTGACAACATGCAGGGAGGACGCCATGTGCAACCGTGGGCAGAGGCCGGGCTGATGGGTCTACAAGCCCAGGAAAGTCCGAGATTGCCAGCAAAACACCAGAAGCTGGGGGGAGGCATGGAGTGGGTTCTTAGAAGGAACCCACCCTGCAACACCTACATCTCAGACTTCAGCCTCTGAAACTGTGAGACATAAAATTTTCGTGCTTTAACCCACCCAGTTTGTAGAATTTGTTACACAGCCATGGCAAACAAATGCACCCAATGTCTAAAAGTCCTTTGATTAACGACTCACAGTTATCCTTTGAAAATTCCCAGAATAAAATGCAAATGTCAAGACTCACAGGAGTCAAGATTCAAACCTTTTGTGTATTTTAAGCATCCACATTTCACTCTTTTTGTTAAAATAAGAAGAACCATTCCAGGTCCAACTGTCTTCTGCAGACCTTCTGTGTGGAATCTTTTCCTGGAGTTGGAATAGCAGACTTGGGGATGGTGCTGTGGGTTTGTTTGGTTTATTGTTGAAATCCCAAGAAAGAACTTTCATTTGCAGCTGGTAAGTTGGTCTGAAGTCCCTTTATCGTCACCTGACCCAAGGCACATTCACCCAGACCCCAGACTTAAGCTGGCTAAAAGTCAGCTGGACTCTTACCTACTTTGTTGTTCCAGGAAAATGTGTTTTGTTTTGTTTTTGGGTTGAGTTTCACTGACCCTTCTCTGCCTCCTCCCTGCTCTATTTCCTTTTGGAGGGAAAATTATTTCAGAGATTTGCTGGATTTACTCATGAAGACTCCACCAATAAATTCCTAACTCAAAAGATTAAAGACATTTATGTACAGCATACAAAAAGAAAAAATCTTGCTTACATCAGAGTCCTGCTGTTTGTATAGCTTAATCAAACAGAGAATAATGTTTGACAGACAAGGACTAACACAGACATTTTTTGTTTTCTAAAACAAGCCTCAATTACTCAAAAAATGTTGCCTGCTTGGTTGGCTTTAAATGTTTTGATCTCCTTCTGATTTATGGCAGTCCCATGTATAGAAATAGATCTCCCCTTAACCACCTGTAAGCAGGTGTATCCCTTTAAGCACAGTTGCTAGGACCTGGGATTCATTCATCAACTGCAACTACTTGGAACCAGAAGCATTCAGCATCTTTTATCACTGTGACCCAGTCAGCAGGTCTATTTCATTATAAATATTCAATTCTATATAACCACGACAAAAGAAAAAAGGAAATTTAGGGAAAGACGACCAGGATCTGAATTCAGAGAAAAAAAGGAACAAATATTTATGAAATACCTATTTTTGGACCAAAACTGAGGGAGGCATGTTTCTTTCTTTTTGTTTTGTTTGGTTTCTGATGCTTGAAAAAATTAAGTGTGACTTTGAGCAAATTACTAAATCTTTTTCTAAAAAACATCATCTGTAAAAGTTAAACACATTAAATAAAAATAGTTACATAATGCCAACTTGTATTTATAAAGTGACTGATTTTCTTCTGTCATATTTTTCATGATTTACATTTTACAATATTCTTTCAAGTTCTTCAACTCCATTGCTTAGAAGATACTTTGAATTTTGTTGAACAAATAAATAAATGCATGACTAATTTGTTTTAAAAGGTGTGATGGTGAAGCATCATGGTAACTCTAGGAGATATAACTGAACACATACCCAGGCTTGGTGTCTTCTCATGAAAGATAAAGATGGCTTTTTATCATTTTTCTATTTTCCTTACAATCAGGAAACTATCTGTATTGTTTTTCATAAAATTTAAATGCTTTCTAAACATGCAAACCTAAAATGTAATAAAATATTATGTAGGTAAGTATTATGCAGGCTTTGGTTGCGATTTAAAGCAGCACAGCACTATAAATAAAGATGTGTATTATCTGACGCAAAAGCAATTTCAGGATATTCTGTAGAAATCACAAGGGAAGGCGAGTGCCATCTTCTATTCAACATAGTCATTTTTAGCAATTTTCCAAATGAGTGTTGTAAGATTCACCAAAATCAGCAAGATTGCCTAAGGGAAGTAGCTTCTTAGCATTACCGAGTTGAGAAACTGAATGCCTCTTAGCGAAGTTGACCAACTCCAACAGCCACCGCTGACAATGCTGTGTTTTCAGGTTGTGATTATTAACGGCCTGGAATTTCCAAGTTTAAGCATGTCTTCTGCAGTTGGAGGCCTCTCAGGGCCTCTGCCCTTTGTCTGAATTAGACATAGAAAACTGTATCTAGGAAACTTTCTCTTACTCTAGGAAGCAACAGCAACAGGTCTTGGAGATGATAGATGTGTTGCAAGCTCTGGTCTTCCAATTTGAGAATCAGTAGGAGTGGTGGTTGTAATACATCCCACCCTAGTCTTCCTCAATGAGCAAACAGATGGAGTGCTCCTCCTCGCAGGGCCTGACGGTGCGATGGGTGGGGCATCTCGCCAGCACATCCTCCAGCTCCAACTGACCCACCCTGGGGGAAATTGAAAGATAGCATCCAAGCTGCAGATCCTGCCATGGATCAGTTCTGCACTATTCCTGCAGAGCAGGGCTAGGGGCTGTTTGACTTGCTTTCTGTCTGCTCCTTTGGGCAGCTCTCATTTGCTTGTGAGTATTAGAGAAACCTTGTATGAGACAGATGTCCTCAGGGTGTCACATGTGCCCGCCCCTTTCTGATGCGAACACCTAATCTCAGAAGCCCCTTGCTTAAAAAGAGAAGGGGCTGCTTAGATGAATGTTTATTAAGACTAAGCTTTCACCCCACTCTGCAGACTTGGCTGAGCCGGTGGACAAGATTTCAGGAAGGAACTAAGCTCTGAGCTTTACTGATAGGCTGGTATGGAAAACCTTTCTGGACTCCTTAAATATATCCTTCAAGATTTTGACATTTCTCTGATTGGAACTGACAAATAGATCTTGGTAGGCCAAAGGTTCCACCCTTCACTCTAAAGCTAAGTTGGGTGAGTACTTGAATTTCGGAGTCCTCAAATTCTTTGGTCTTGAGGCTTTTTACGTTCTTAAAAATTACTGAAGTCCCCAGAGAGCTTTTACGTATGTGGGCAAAATCTATTTATATTTACCATATTAGAAATCAAAATTGAGGAAATATAAAAATATGCATTTATTAATCTTGAAATAATAATCAACCAGTTAAATGCTAACATGAATAACATGTTTTTAAATAAAAATAACTATTTTTCAAAACAAAAACAATTCTGGAGAAGAGTGATGTTTTTTACATTTTTGCAGATCTCTTTAATTTCACGCTTAAAAAGACAACCAGATTTTCGTATCTGCTTCCGAGTTCATCTGTTTGTATTATATTATTGTGGTTGAAGTATAGGAAGAAAACTATACTGATTGTTGTTGAAAAAGGAAATTTTTAAATAGTGTTTTCAAATCAGCTGTGGATATTCTTTTTTGATGCCATACCAAACCCCAGTAAGTGATAGTTTCTTTTTTTTTTTTTCCTTTTTTTTTTTTTTTTTTCCTGAGACAGAATCTCACTCTGTTGCCCAGGCTGGAGTACAATGGCACGATCTCAGATCCACCTCCCGGGTTCAAGCGATTCTCCTGCCTCAGCCTTCCAAGTAGCTGGGATTACAGGTATGCAACCCCACGCTCAGCTAATTTTTGTATTTTTTAGTAGAGATGGGGTTTCATCGTGTTGATCAAGCTGGTCTTGAACTCTTGGCCTCAAGTGATCCGCCTGCCTTGGCCTCCCAAAGTTCTGGGATTACTTACAGGCATGAGCCACTGCAACCAGCCAAGTGATAGTTTCTTGGAGGTGAATTGCAATGGGACTTCCAGAAAACATGTCATATTTCTATGCTTGTAAAATGTTCTTATTAAATAAAGGGTTTATTCCATTGTGATTATTTAAAAGAGAATCATCTTTTCTGTATCAGAGTGCCGAACATGGGCCTCAGCGGGCACAGCACAGCCCTTCCAGAACTCCCACCCGACATTTCCAGAAGCCTCCCAGATCTAGATCTCTCTCCCCTACACATTCCCCTAAATGTTTTTAAGGGGTAGGTGCCATGAAACCCGAAGATCCCCTCTACCAACAGTTTTGCTGGCTCTCTCCCTGTCAGAAGCAAAGGCCATTCCAAACGTGAATTCTGCTAGGTGTGCTATTGACTAGAATGAGATGGGGAGTCAGACAGGAAAGAGCCCAAGCTTCAATGGCCTTGTCGCCTCATTTACTGAATAATTTATACAATGTCAGGGCAAAGTCTTCTAGAACCCAACCTGGTAACTGCACCTTTGGCCTGATACCTCCCAATTCTGAAAGAACATATCGATGCTCAGCAGGGACAGAGGGAAGAATCAACTCCCCATCATGGAAAATAAAATGTTCAGCTGGGCAATAATGAAGCAAATGAGTAATGCCCAGAAGACACTACAGGTAAATACAATTATACAGTGAACACAGTGGCTTTAATAAGAGGTTTCTTTGTGCGAGACAGCTGTCCTCTGAGCACCTGCCCAGGACTCTTTTTTACAACAGTCTCCAGCTTTTGCCCCGACCCTGCTTCACACAATGGGGAAACGTACCATATTCCCATTCCCTTTATTTACAGTTCCTCTCCTTCCTGTCTGTGGACTATTGTTTCGTAACCTTTGTGGCTGTGTGTAGATGTGTGTGTCCACCGGGGCTTTGCACTCAACTACCAGCCCCACTATTGAGGTTTGTGTGAAGCAGCACAAAGAAGCTAAAGGAAAAAATATTCATAAGCAGCCCAGCTATCCCAAACCCAGCACTGGTGCCCCATTTCATGCATCTATGTGCCAGAGAACACAAGTGAAGCATGTCACCATCAGGGCCCTCTTGGCTTGATTTCACCTCTGCATCTGCATGAGAAGCTCAGGGAGTCACTGCTCATCGAGGGGTTTGGCCAATGGCTTTTCCAGTTTGCTGTCCACCTAGAATCTCAGCCCCTTCCACCTTTAGCCAAGCCCTCAAAGCGCTTTTTCCAATGGTCCTGAGCCATATGGCTTTCAAGGAATCTTTCTTTTTCCAAAGATCCCAGAAACCATGCTTCACCTTTCACTGTGGAGTATTTTTTTCTTGTTCCAGTTTGTTTCTGGGAAACACACTCTCTGTTCAGGTAGCTTCAGTTCCGGTGTGCTTGCCTGCACTGCTCAGCCCATGGACCTCCTGCTGGAGCCACCTTCTGAAAATGACTAATGAACCTCTCAGTGGCTTATCAGCTATTTGCTACCCTGAACTATTGCAGATATGCAAGAGACATTTACCTTAAAATGCAAAGAAGACAAGCCCATTTACTTTGGGTTCAGGCCAAGAAATTAATCTGAGTTTGGAGGTAAAATTCCTTCAAGTTCAAACCAATGAAGATCTATTTTAGGTACTTTTGATCTTTGAATTATAGAGACTTAGTGCCTTTTTTGCCTGGATACGTTAAACATGGAGGTCACTTTACCAGTTCAAGTTCCTGGGGGAAAGGAAATAATTTCATCATGGACAGGGCCAAATGCTGAAGCAGAGGCTTGACTTTCAAAGGTTGGAGTTCACAGTCCATTGTGTGCTTGGGTCCATGTGTCCACTGTGGTTTGAGAAATGACTTTTATTGGTAGTTAATATCCCTTCTCCAACAGATATTTCCAGGAAAAATATCTAACATTGAGCAATGGAAGCTGGCCTCAATCTGAAAGGTTGTTTTTGCTGTGCTTTTCTGAGAAGAGCCACATTGTCAATAGAACTGTCCCCAGAGAGCACTAATCAATCAGTGTGACCTCCAAAGGGGACCCAGTCCTAATCAGAGGTGAGGCCAGGGCAGATTGGATCTGGAGAGATGCTTCTGTAGAAAGCTGTGTGGGGACCGCATGGTGGCTTCACATCTCACTCCCTGCATTTGATTGTTACCGAGGGACACGTCATTTGTTAATGAACAACACTGGTCACCTTCTGTGTGGTAAGAGAGCCTGCAGAAAAGACTCCTGATCCAAACATTGGTGTTGGTGAAAGGAGATCAAAGAAAGTGTGCAGGAAGAGGTGACTTCTAAGCTGAGTCCTGAAGATTGATTGTCAGTTAGCACCTTAGGCAGCGCTTTGGGTTTAGTGTCCCTGAAAGGAAACTCTGAAACAAGGACCAGAAGTTTATGTGGGAGGTAGTCCCAGGATGCACCAGGGAGGGTGGGGAAGTGACACAGGAAAGGAAGAGGAGGCAGCCATGAAGGGTTTGTCATCATCGGGTTACCACTGTGGAAAACTGGGCTCAGTGCTAATGGGGACCTCTCGGAGAGTCCCCAGTAGGCATGGCATGCCTCCAAGACATCTGCCAGAGGAGAAGGAGGTGGGGTGTTTATCCATCAGCTCCTATCAGTGGCTAATGGAGATTATTCTCAGCCCTGCCTCAAGAGTAGCCCTGAGCTCTGAAGATGAGAGTCTTAAAGGTGCTTGGAATTGGACAGTGTCACATAAGCACACACAGGAATAGCCACTTGCTCTCCCAGGACACGCACAGCATCTCCTGCAGGGAGTTAGGGGACAAGTACCACAGCCATTCCTGGTAGAAGAGGCAGCCTGGAGACCATGGGCTTAGAGAGCTTGGACACTGAGTCAGGAGGGCAAAAGCGGAGAGTGGAACGAAACCTGCCTTGCAGAGCTGGGCGCTGTTCTGTTGTCTCCTGGGAGGTGGTTTCTCCATTCCAAGTTTGCTTAGGCCCCTGGGGAATAATCTGTGACTGAGTTCAGGTGAGAACTCAGGTTCTTCAGCATCTCCCCTTCAGTACATTTGAATCTGTCTCCATATATGTGTGTGTGTGTCTGTGCATGTGTGTGTGTGCGTGTGTGCATGTGTGTGTGAATATGTATATCTGTCAAATCCATGGAAAAACTGATAGGATTTCTAGGAGCCACAGGGACTTGGCTTAAGAAAAGCAGCTTCTTTGGGTCTGGAATGCAGCAGTACCCTGGGTTCAGATTGGGTCAGCCCAATTTGGCATCCCTGACCACCAGATGCTGCTGCTTGCCAGATTCACATAGGCAGAACTCCACGTGCAGGTCAGCATGTGGTCCTCCTGCCTGCTTTCAGCTCTGCCAAACCAGGTCCACAGCAGGGCCTTTGCACTTGCCCTTCTTTTCTCTGCAGCATCCTGCCCAGGGGCCTTTGATAATGGCATCTGCTTTTAGGTCTCAGTTCCAGAGCCTGCTCCTTGGGGTGGCCTCCTCTGAGCTGCTGACTTAGGAGAACTTCTTACTCCCAGCCTCCCTCCCCTTCCTGGGTTTTATTTTCTCTATATCATGCATTACTCTCTAAAATCATATATTCATGTGTCTCCTTCATTTAGCAGGGCCCTTGCCTTGTTCATTGCATTGCCAGCACCTGAGATACATTGCTGAACGAATGAATGAATGGACACAGGAGTAAGTGAATAAGTAGATGAATGAATAATAAATAAATGAATGAAGTGTTCAGCACAGTATTTGCCACAGAGAGAACTCAGTAAAATGGAGCATTTTATTACTTTGGATTAAAAGGAGAAAGAAGAGCCCATTGTAACCTCTACCACAAAAACCTCTCACCCAATTTTGGATTTCTCTTTCTGTTGATAACTGTATTTCTTCATTTAATTTTCTTCCTGAGCTTGCTGTATAAAGATCTTCCTCTCTGTTGCTATATTCTCCTCCCTCCCCTCACCTTTGTTCCTGAGCACTCAGGGATCCCTCCCTACAGTAAGCTGTCAAGACGAGAAACACTCTGGCTGCGATGATTGATGCTCAGTGAATGACTCTCAATGATTATTTTGTGCCTGTGTTTATTTAGCAGGTTTAAGTTTCATTTAATCCTGAGGAAAGGTCCTGGATGTGGACTGGAGATCCATAAACCTGAAAAGGGCCTGCAGGCTTGGTTTGCTTTTGATAAGCACTGAGACGTTGGATTCTTATTGAAATGAGTGGGCCCACCCACCGGGCCCTGCTCCTTTCTCTTCCAGGATCTGGTAAAACTCATTTCCCTCAGTTCATCTCTCACTGGCATGAGTGAGCTCCTCCCAGCAAACAGCCTCTGGCCGCTTGCAGGCCGCCAAACCTAGCAGGTGCACTGTGAACTTCATGCTTCCCACGGAGAACATCTCACAGGGGCCATGTGGTCCTTGTCCTAAGGAGGCAAAGGAGGAAGTTGGTGCCTGATACCCACAGTTAGATAACAAAATGCTTCCAACTCCAGGTGACAGTATAGACAGCACAGTGGGGAGTAGTGGAGACCGTGTCCTGTGGACAGAGCACCCCAAGCTCATTGAGGTGGACCCAGGCCTGGGACTTGGGAGTTGAATTGGTGTGGGCTGGGTGGACAGATTTCACAGGAGGTGCCCGATATATGTGCCAAGTATCTTGATTTCTAAATGCTGATGACTCATTCAATTTTTAAACACCCTATGCCGGCTGAAAAGCAGGTCAGCATGCCTCCAGCTTGTGCATGCGGGAAGCCTGTCCTGGAACCTCTGCAAGCACTCTTGCTTTATTTTTATTTTTTATTTTTTAGGGGTTTTTTTTGCATAAAATCTAGATCCTGCACAGAGCATGCCCTCACTTTTAAGATAACTTACTGTTTCATTTTCTTTTCTGTTAAGAAAAATATTGTTCTTGCAAAAATCTTTTCTTGTAGAAAATACAGATGGATGAAAATAGAATCAATAAAATCCCCCATAAATCTGCCATTGAGAAGAAACCTGCTGTAAGCATGTCAGAGAATGGTGCTTCACTCTCATTTCAAAGCATAGCTTTACATCCTTTCTTGTGAATTCTCGTTTGACTCCTGTAGAGAATGTCTACTGGGGACTACAAACAGCCATCAGTATGGTGGATTTGCAGAAGAAACTGCCCTAAGCTGTGTGTTAAAGGTGGATGGGAAACCGGAGGAGGGCATGGAAGGACAGGCCAGCTTCAGAGGTAAAGAGAAAGTGGCGTGGGAAGGAGACCTGTATGGGGAGAGCAGAAGGGTGGGGTGGATTGCATGGACATCAGCAGAGACTACTTCATCCCCTGCCCTGCTGCTCACATGCATAATGTGGTCGTACACTCCACTGGGCTTCCATTGGCCCTGGCAGTGCAGGAGTGGGGGTTTCCAAATCCAGAGTCCCTTGTATAATAAGACCCAGGTGTCCAGCTCCACTCCACAGGACCAGGAAGCATCCATGGTGTCTTTAAACACTATCAAATATCAAATATCAAATTGTTTTTTAAAACAACTCCCCTCCACTCCTGAATTTGTATGTTGTCTAACTCAGCTTGGTGGTGGTGTAGAATGGGGCATATTTTATCTACGAATTTTTGGTATCTGAGGTGGGTCTGAAAGCATGAAGAGTTTTTAAGTCAAGTACTGTGATTGCCTCTGTCCTCTGCCCACATCAGAGGAAAAATCATCATGTATTCCACAACTGCCTTCTATTAGACTCACTGGATAAGATGGAAATTCTGCCAGTTCTGGTCTGACAAACTTGAAGGTGTATGCAAGTTTAGAGCTGGAAGCTATTGGATTTCTTGTTGTAATAGGATAAGTCAGATTTCCAGGTTGATATGCAAGAGGAGAAGAAATGAACTAATAAGATAGCAGAAAGCTGGCTGCATGAGGTACCCAGCCATGGGAATCATGATACCAGATGAAGAGCAGCTCACATAACCTTTTAAAGTGCTTGGTGTTGGGCACAGTGTGACTCCTCTGTATGAAGCCCAAATAGTTACTGAAGTCTAATTCATTACCAAGTGCTTTGTGTCAGTGGGTTACAAAATATGGGCACAGACAAAGGAGACGTGCCACAATATTGGGATGAAATTTGGAAACAAATAGAAGTTGGAGCCTGGAGACATAGTTTCCTTTGAGAATATAATCCCTTTAGTAATCAATGAAAATGTCAGGAGGATTTTGAATTTCCCTGGAGTATGAGATGAAGATTTACATTCGTCCCTCGGTATCCACGGGGCATTGGTTCTAGGACCCACCTTGGACACAAAAATTCATAGATGCTCAAGCCCCTGATAGAAAATGACATAGTATTTGCATATAACCTATGTCCATCCTCCTGTATACTTTAAATTATTTCTAGCTTGTTTATAATATCTAATACAATGTAAATGGTATTTAAATAGTTGTATTGTTTAGGCAATAATGATAAGAAAGAAGTCCGTACATATTCAGTAGAGCTGCAATTAACTTTTATGGGGGATGGTGAATACTTTTGATCGGAGATTAGTTGAATCCGTGGTTGCAGAACCCCTAAATGTGGACGACCAATTGTAATGTGATTTGACCTGTGCTCAAGAGGCTATAAGACAATTGACATTAGATTTTGTTGTGATTTCTTCAGTTCAGCTGGTAGGCAACAGAGCATATGGTGTACATTCCTGAATAAGATATTCAATTAAAAGTGAGACACATTCCTTGATAGTGAAGCCAATATCCCTATTGCATCCAGACTGGTGTTATTTGTGCAGGTAAAGCAGAAGTAGGGAGAAACTCAAATGCACACAAAGCCAAGTGAAAGTCAGCCTTGATTACATCAAGCTGGCAATTTCAGATTACCTTGTACTTTGCAGAGCAGCAGTACTATTTGCCTCTTTCCAAAGTTCAAATTTCAGAATACCTGAGTATGTGCGTGAGTGAGTAATGGAAATTTGTATCTGGAGGAGGTCTTCTGCAAGGTGGTTATCTCCAGTGGTTTTTGTTAAGTACTCTATATAAGTTTCAAGAGGAGCATGTACCGTAACATAGGTACATGTATTTATTTTATACATACAAGTATATTATTATATCATGAATATTATGAAACACACAAACGTTATTTTTTACATAGTGAGATAAAAATACTTATAAATTTAGGATTTAATATTTTCTTCCCATGCCCCAGTGGGTCTGTTTGTCACTCCCTGGGGTGCAAGCCTGGCTTGGAATACTTCAAGGAGCAACAGGATCTGTCTTTGGAACAGGCATGTAACTTTTCAGAGGAAATGTTTTGGCTGGGTCAGAAGGATGCAGGGAGGGTAGAGGGAAAAGTGAGGACCAGTGAGTTGGGGATTTCTCTTTGTTACCATCCACAAATTGTGATGAAATCTTCCAGCAAGGCCTCTTGAGGTATGCATACCTATTTGCTGAATATAAAGGTGAGCATTTCCTCTTTAGAAGCAAGTCCTCCAGTTCAGGTGTTTGCCACTCAGCGAAGCTAGTAGTACAGATGGCTGAGTCTCTCTCTGGTGGGTAGGGAGCCAGTACACTATCTTGCACTCCTCTATCATCTCTGCCATGAAAAGAGGACAGGGAATGCTTCCCAGTCACCTAGCTCCAGGGACATTAAGTTGCATGGAAAAGAAGGGTCCTCAAACAGCCAGGCTATACTGGTTTTAATTTTGCTTTTAAGAGGTGAAGAGCAATATAGTATGTGTTATTTGTTGAAAAGTTAGTGTAAAATATGGCACAACACTTTTGCCAAAGCTTGCTTTTTGTTGTTGTTAAATTCTTAGGACCCATAAAATCACAACTAATACTTGAAATAATGACATCAGAATATCAAAAATGAGCTACACTCACCATACTTCCTATGCTTAATCAAATATCATTACTACCTGTGTCATGTGACATGGTTGATTTGCTGAGAAGCCCACATTATCCAAGCCCTGGGATTTACCTTACCATGGCTCCTTCCCTCCACCTGCATGTCTGTCCTGCCCACCCCAACAGAACCCCAGAAGTGGCCTAAGGCTGGCAGTGCAGGTCAGGGCAACCCTGTTTGCCTCAGGCTGTGGGCTCAGCAAGTGGCTGCTCTGTGTATTTTATGTGGGGTTTTGTGCCATCCTGAGAAACACTGAGACTGCCAAAGTATTGGTCTGCAGGTTAAGCAAATTAAAAAAAAAAAAAAAAAGCAAGAGATAACATTGACATCTGCTAATTCTGTTTTTTTCTTTATTATTTATTTATTTATTTGTTTTTTAAGACAGAGTCTCATGCTGTTGCCCAGGCTGGAGTGCAGTTGTGAGATCACTGCAGCCTTGAGATCGTGGGCTCAAGGGATCCTCTTGCCTCAGCCTCCTGAATAGCTGGGATCACAGGTGTGCGCCACCACACCTGGCTAATTTTTTTACTTTTATCTTTTGTAGAGACAGGGTCTCGCTCCACTGTGCAGGCTGGTCTCAAACTCCTGTCAGCAAGTAATCCTCCCGTCTCAGCCTACCAAAGTGCCAGGATTACAGGCGAGAACCACTGTGCCTGGCCTTTTGTTTTCTTTAAAACAGCTAAGTGGGGTGGACTCATGAGGACTAGGAGCAGCATGCCTTCCCCTCTACTCCACCCAAAGATTGTGATAAAATGACAACCCCTTTGGAGTTTAGTCATCATTAAAAGCAGTAACTTATTAGACGCTTAATAGCACTGCCAAGACTAATGGAGATGCAGGAAATGTGGGGAAAAACCTCATTGGTCATCTTACAAGAAGCTCATAGATAGAAAACAACACTTACCTGTGCCTGACCTCTAGAAACACCCAGGAGACTTTGGATAGGTGCTTTATACTGTCATGTGGCCCACAGTTACTGTGGATGTCTCAAGATGGGACGTGAGGCATGAAGGGTCACCCAGGTACACAGTGCTCTGCACATGCTCCTGCTTCATTCAGAGCCACACCGAGAGGAAGGGAAGCTCAGCTCGAATCCACAGATGAGAAACTCGCATTCA
This sequence comes from Homo sapiens, assembly GCF_000001405.40. NCBI lineage: Eukaryota > Metazoa > Chordata > Mammalia > Primates > Hominidae > Homo > Homo sapiens. The sequence continues at coordinate 22,458,877 of NC_000020.11, read as the reverse complement.
GAGCAGTTCTGTGACTTACCTGCGGGATTGCTTGGGCGTGGTGATGTGGCATGGCTGGAGTAGGATGCAACATCTCTGCAGGAGAGCCACAATGGCAAGTCACAGACTGCAGACAGGGGATGCCAAGAGGGTTTTGTTTTTCCTTGTGTATGTGCTTGTTTTTATTTTTGTTTTTTGAGACAGGATCTGGCTCTGTCCCCAAGGCTGGAGTACAGTGGCACAATCTTGGCTCACTGCAACCCCCACCTCCCGGGCTCAAGCCGTCCTCCCACCGAAGCCTCTCAAGTAGCTGGAACTAAAGGTGCTTGCTCCTATGCCTGCTAATTTTTGTATTTGTTGTAGAGATGAGATCTTGCCATGTGGCCCAGGCTGGTCTCGAACAACTCCTGGGCTCAAGTGATCTGCCATCCTTTGCCTCCAAAGTGCTGGGATTACGGACATGAACCACTGGGCCTGGCCATTTTTTCTGTGTGTTTTGATAGACCCACAACTTGAATTAAGCTTCATAGAGTGAGTTGGTATAAAGATGAGGATGTGGAGGCAGACACCACCTGACAAAGGCTATGTAAGGGAGTGGGGGGACCAGGAAAAGCAAAACAAAAGGCAGAACTGACTGAGCCAGAATGGGTGCTCAAGTGGAAACACAATTCCCTGGCTGATTCCTGGAATAATAGAGATCCATATCCATGTCTATATTTTATCTCTCTATATTTCCAAAAAGCATTTATGGAGACTAAACATAAAGTATAAGAAATAAAAGGTTTAAATAAGAGTTTGAGAATCATGCAGAGAAAGGACATCATGGATCATACTTATCAAAAGCCCAGGCTAAAATTCCCCATAGTTTTCAGACTTCTGGCAGCCAGTGCACAAAGGAAACTCTGCATTCTACAACTATACAATTTTCATGTCATAAGAAAGAATCATGACAATTTTTAAGAGTTTACCAGATTCATCTGATCTGATTATTAACAAATATTTTATTGTGTACATTTTACACGTCCTACAGTGAAAATGTAATAGTGGATCAAGTCCTAAGCAGGATTGATCAACAGAGTGTGTTGATCTCGGTGAGTCTCTGCTGGTAACATTCTGAATATTGGTGGAAGGGATGAGGATGAGGAGGGGAGTGTTTGTCAGTATGACAAATTCCTCTTCAAGGGAGGGTTCCCTGTTCAGCTGCAAGGATTCAGATGAGCCCACAGCCTCCAGACACATCTCAGCTTGTGAGCTCTTACAGGGCAGCCCCTGGCCAGTGCCAGAGCACAGCAGTGGTACAAGATCCTTGCAACTTCTGCCCAGTGAGGGGTTCTTCCAAGGGGTCGCCTTTTCTCTGAGCTCCCATTGTGGTGGACACAGACTTTGCCAGGTCTGCACTGTGGTCCAATGACCCTTCCAACTTTTTCCTTCCTCCCTTTTGCTTTAACACTGTTATCCCCCAATAAACTCTGCACTCCCAATTCTATCTCAGTGTCTGTTTCTCAGAGAAACCAATGTGCAAGAGTAACTTATTAGAAATTATGTTCCTAATATTATTTATGAGGAATTGATTGAAAGTAGTCCTTTCCATGACCCTAAACTAGTTTTAGAGATTTGCTTCTCTATTTATAACCTGCAGTAAATGCCAGCAGTTTAGTCTGCTTAGAGGGAGACCCTTCTATGTTAGACTCCCTAATGAGACTCGATAAAACTTCTGGGAAAAAAGCCTTGAGTACTTTTAACCTTGTTTCTTGCCTTGATCAAGCATTTTCCTTTTAACTCCTTCCAAACACAGGTAACACACTAGATAGCCTGTTCTCTTTCCTAAATACCAAATCTTTATTTACTTGGCAATTTAGAATTCGCTTCACTCATATAAGCTCATTGACAGTCGCTGCAACAGATAACATAGAAAATAGTCTCTGGTAGGTTGCAAGGAGATTCACGGGGCCCAAGCGACTTGTCCAAGTTCTTGCTCAGAGACATTTGAAGATGGGAATTTGAGGTTAGTTCTTTCAAAACTAGGTTCTGAACCCCAAAGTCCTTGTCCAGGTAAGGATATGCTCTGAATACTGTCATCTCAGGCTGAGGCTGACAAGGTCTCTATGCAGCCTTTAGTTATAATGCAATGGTTTTCTCCTGAAAACACGTTAGTCCACAAGGAAGGTAATTTTCAAAGAAGGCATTGGGTCCCTAGTGATGGCATTGGCTCCTACCTTCCTCCTGGAGACTGCGGTTGGATGCTCCTTTGACATGCCTCATCCCGGGGCATGCTGGCCCTGTTCTATTCACCGTGGAATCAACAGCCTCCAAAGAGCCACGGTGTCTTTGCCAGATGTACTTCAGAGTAGAGATTGTATAAGAGCCAAGCCAGTCTGCTTTCAAACTTAAAATACACACACAGACTCACACACAACCCTAAGGCAGAAATGTACCAGGATCCTACTCCAGAATGTCTCTGGATGGGAATAGGCTGAGACTCACTTGGCCTTTTCACCAGCACAATAAGGGCCTGGCAGGAGCCACATCAGAGCCCTGAAAGAGAGGGATGCCTCTTAAGCTGACAGGCCACCAGGAGGGCATTGCTTTTAATTTAACGTGACAATGTAGTAATTACAAGCCTTCTCTAACTCACTTGCCTGAAGGAACAAAGGAGGATTCTCCCTGGAAGAATGTCAAGGAGTCAGATGGATACGCCCCCTGTTCCCTGGCCTTTTCCAAGCATACCCCACCTCCCCGTGCCCTGTCCTAAGCCAAAGGAATAGAGATGTGGATTCATTTCTTCATACACAAAGACCAGGAATAAAGTGGCTAAAATTAAATGATTTTCTTTCTACCCTGAGAAGAAAGTCACAACCCTCTCTCTGTTGCTCAAACTAAGGAAAAATACAGTGTGGTCTTTAGGAGTTCAATTCAAGTGAAAGGAAACACCCATGCAAATACACATTCACACACATGCAGAGAAAGCCTGTATGTTACACCATCTCTTACTTCCTTTACAACAAATTATCAACCAAAAAAACAAGAGCCTTGTGTCAATCACATTACTAGAAATCCACCCCGATAAATATGTCTTGGGCCACACATTTTTCTCAGGGTAACCGACTGGGTTTTCATGAAGGATTTGTTGAACTGCATAGTGTGTACGAATGATTGCCCCAAAGCTCCAAATATTTATGGCCAGGGCCAGCAGCAGGCGACAACATCTAACGCTGCACTTGGCAGTCTGGCCCCCATTATTCTTGACAATGGGTGGATGGAAGGGAGAACTGTTGAACTGTTTACTACTTCAAGACATTTTAAAAGGTAATGAGTGTACAAACAGCATGGGAAAAAGAGCCCTCTGTAAGGTGGCTTAGAGTCAGGATAGAAAATTCAAACAATATTAGCCTCAAAAAGTCAACATTAGACACCCTTCTACTAAGGACCTACAAACAAACAGAGTTACTCTGTACACACACTCACACATGCAATTCCACGCCACTGTGGCTTTCACCTTCTCAAGCCCTGGGTTCATACGTGCATTTGCACAGGACTTGGAAGTTTTCGGAACGGAGGGGTTTTGTCTCCTGAGAGCTTTCAGCATTAGGACTCGTGCACCTGGCTTGTCCAAGGCAGGTGAGGGCAGGGAGAAACCGAAATTCAGGCCAAGACTGGGATGTGTTTGGCCCTAAGACCAAGCCACACTCCTGTGTGTGGACCAGGAGAGGCTGTTGGGTTTTCCATGACATCACAGTTCATCGAGACAAAGTGCTACACAACAAACACCTCTTGTGCACAGACACCCTCATCCTACAGAATTAAAAGACAGAAGTAACTCTTTTGAAAAGTCAATCATTAATAATGGAAAGAAATCCACCATCTTGTCCTCTTCTTCACACAGACCTAGAGAAGGCAGGTACTTGCTTTCCATTCAAGCATTGAATATGACAAAGAAAATAAATTCTTTCTATTTTTTCTGTTTTGTGAGAGTTAGTCTCCCACTATTGAAAGATTGCCCTATTTCTGTTCAGCCAAATCTGTGCTTCTTATTCAAGGGGGACACTTGGTTACTCATACATCTATCTGGAAACAGGAGATTGATTTCAGAGGATACTTGGTTTTCCACTCCAACATCAGGAGTAATCTACACTCTGATAGGTCTTGTGTTTGCATGGCCTTCTAATTCTTTGCAAATAAAACCTGACAAGAGCTACACACAAGGAAAATTGCCAAAAAGATGTGCATGGGAAAGATTGTGCCTCCCCCCAACCTCTATTTCCTGAGTTTACCCCACATATCTTATAAAATCTAAAACAGTGTTACCTGTGCTTAAGGGTTTTCATAGTTTTGAAAAATGAAGTCGCTCTTTGTCATAACATCTCAAGAAGAAGTAAAACAAAAAACAGAAAGGATATTCTTCAAAAATACATTTTCCAAATTAAATTGATCACAGGTTTTTTCAGCCTGTTTTTTAAATGAAATTATGCAAAGAGGGAAAATTTAATATTGCAATCAATAGAGTCCCACCCTTTTATAATGCCAGGTCTTAGCTCCCATTGATTTTTTAGCTAGCTGCATAAACTTAGTTATGCACAATAAGAATTTCATGCTACAAAGAAGAGAAAATGACTTTTTCCTCTTGCAGTGAACAGTAAGAGCAGTAATTGTAATCTCACAAAATAGAAGTTTTATTCTCAGCCTTTAGAAACTATAGAAGGGGAAGGCAGTACATCTTCAGACGATTTTCACAGATACATATGTGTGTGTGTGTATGTGTGTGTGTGTATATAAAGCAGAGACAATTTGTAAAATTTGGAGAAAAAATATAGTGTCTTAGTTTTGACAATGACAATGTGGTATGATCAAGTTTGCTGCAAGGAGGTGTTTCAAAGATTATTTTTATTATGACACACATTTCCCCAGAAAATTCTCTCTAGCAAAAGGCATCTCTAAAAAAGAAATCCTCCTAATTGTGGTTGGCTTAACGCCTCTCCAGAGTAGGTCAATAGCACACCCAGCGCAGGTGGCCCACCGGCCGCTCCCCGCCTGGCGTCTGATAAAGCTAGTCTCTTCCCTGGATCAAGGTATTAAGGTTCGGGTTATTTGTATTGATTTTATGTGCCACTATGCTGCGCTAGCCATGCTCATATCTGTGGTTCACAAATTCCTCTTTAAAATGTCACCGCCATTTCATTTCCTCTGCATCAATACTGCAGCCAGAGGGGCTGCTTGTTAACCTCCGGGGCTGTAGTCTTATCAGATGCACTAGGACACTGCATATTCCCAAAGTTTTCACAGACATCAACAATGCAGGGGGTGGGTGGGGATGAGACTCTTCACAGAAAAAAAAAGGGAAAAAGAGAAAAAAAACAGAAAACTTTTAACTATTTTTCTTTTGATGTTCAGAAGGATTTTCCCTCTTGCCCAGGAAACCCTTGGAAATGGATCCGCCCTCTAGCGGTTAACAAGGGAGCTGAGGAATAATGGGATTTGACATCATTGGAAAGCACAGCCACACCCAAAAACAGGTGTGTGCACAAGAATTTCTGAACACAGATTTTACCAGCTACACCCACACCCTCAATTCTACTTGAAATTAATCTTAAAGAAATTTTGAATTTGCTGATAATTTGAGATCAGTAAAGATTTTCCCTGAAAGTTCTAAGGTAAGTCTTTCTCAGTGAAATAGGTAAACTAGCCATCTAATAATTGTAAAGATACTTTTCCTCCTCAGCATAGAGTAAAACTAGCCTTAACTGAAATCCAGATGGAAATCTACACACAGGCACAGTCATGACTCTATTTATCAGTCTACGGTGATCCTTTAACAAACATGCAGCGGGGTAAAAATAAAACACATGTTTTCCCTTATTTCTCTGTAAGCGCTTACTTAAGGTTTTATTATATTTGGCCATGGGACATTCAGTAAACTTACTGATGATATCAAAGAATGATTTTACAAACAGTAAAAGTTACACTATTGACACCTCCAAATTCTGGAGTATTTACATTGTGTTAGGTGCACACTTGCTCAGGGAGATTAACAAACATTACTAGAAAGGCTGTGGCCAAATCCACCCTAGTTGTTTATAAAACCTTTACAACTCATCAGCTTCCACTAACACACTGGCACTGTTCAATTACCATCAGTGTTAGAGAGCCTTAGCAAAACATCTAGTGCCCATGTAAATAGACAAATCTGAAAACTAGCTGGTCTGTTGGCTTACATACTGTAGGTAATGTTTTCTTTTGCTCAAATTTGTTCTGGAAACTAATCACGCTCTGATAAAGCCATCTGCAAATATGAGAAAGATTGACACCCACATGTCAAAGTTTACACAGCCTGACCAAGTGTACATATAGTGCAGATGATGTGAGGGCTCCGCTGTACAGAGCTTCTCCGGGGCCATGTTGGAATGGAGCTCTGGTTGAGAATGCAGGTACCACTATCTACATTAAAGCAAAACTTGCCAGTTTCCTTGCCAAGCTAAAACTCTTCCAAAAGGATGGGTGCTTTTCTCCATGTTCATCATGGAGTTTTAACTTCATTCGCCCAGCATTACTAGTCTAGGGCGATGGAATGATTATCGCTTAGCGAATTCCAAACCCAATCGCTTTTCTACAAGTCACTAAAGCTTTAATTTGTCTAGAAAATGATAGTAACTTATTGTTCATATGCTAGAAAGGATAGCATAAATATCAATAGGAGTAATGATATGAAATGGCATTTGTCTAGAAAGTCACAAGTTAACTTTTTACTGTGCATGGCCTAATTTGCAGGAAATGCTTTATACATAGATTTGTCCACCCATGCTCAAAGAAAACCCAGAATAAAAACCTGAATATAAAGCAGATGGATTACCAAACATGACTGAACACAGCGAGGAATTCATCTTCATTTTACTTTGGCAATAAACGTTTCTGATTTAGAGGTACCTGGAACAATTCTCTTTTTCCTGGTTGTTGTCCATGTTTCCCAGAAATATACCCAGTGGATCTATTGCCTGATCCTGATCCCCCCTCTTTGGTAACACAATGAAAACCAACATCAACAACTATGTGGAAGGGTTTGTTTGTTGTGAACTTATTTTGACTCCTGATGCTCATTCCTTTCTAAGAGCTCTGAAGTCATATGATTGAAATTTTATTCTTGAATTTTCTTAGGGATCAACTACAAATTTTCTCATCATTTCCAGAATGTAGCCTAATAATTCTTTGAACGATATGGCAACATTTGCTTCTTCCTAGCCTTCTGACAATTCTCATGATTGGTTTCTCTTTTTACTTATCAAGTAAAACCCTAAGATTTCATCTGCCAGATCTTTCCATTTCCATTGTAAAGTTGGACAATTTCTTAGCCCTTCACCAATTCTGGATTTTTGAATCTCTCCTTCAAATTTCCAATTTAAAAATCACTCTTCTTGATAGATTATTAAATCTATATCCAGTAATGGGTTTGTCACTTCTTTGTTTGTCTTTATCTAAATGTAGCAAAATAAACCCATCTGGTGGTTCTTAGATTTTAGTTTTTTGAAAGCATCTAACTAACACCTAGTCATTGGTTTCTTTGAAACTCTTTGATGGCGACATAGTTCTGTGTCTGTCTCTGTCCATCTTTTGTGTATTTTAAACAGCACAAAAGAAATCTCATTGTCCAGACACAATTGTTTAGATGCATTTATCTTTATAAACATATATATTCCAACGTTTTTCAAAATAAAGTCTTATGATCAACAACTCATAGGTCTTACATAATAGCAAATTTTCATGAATAGGATATATACCTAATTAGCTGCCCTTGTTATTTTAAATACTTACTCTATTTACCAAAAATCGACTGAGCCAACCTGCCAACTTGTTTTTAAGGGCACATGATTATATTATATCTGTGTATATCTCTTTCACGTTTGCCCAACCATTTGAGCTGCCTTTGATCATAAATATCATTTCTAGAATCCCATAACCTCTTTTGTATAGTAGTTAGCTACACACGTTGATATGAAATGTGCAATAATTTTACAATGATTCTTGTCAAACAGAAGCCTTTTCTACCTTAGATCATAAAACTTAATTTCCAATTTCCTCCTCCCAAAGAAGAAATGATCTTTGCCCCCAAGTGGATAATTGGATCATGGAGGCAGGTAATAGCTTAACAGTTACTAGGTAATATTACCTTAGAGGAGGTGGTTAAGGACAGGATAATAACTCTGGCTTCTGAGGGGATGGGTGCAAGGGGAGCGGCAAGAACTTCTATTTGTTGAACATTTGTGCTGTGCCAGACACTGGTCTGGTGACCTTGTTATTGGCACTTAGCTCATCCATTCTCCACTTGCCTCCTAATTTCTTCTCATGCCACTCATTCTCTTGCTTCATGCCCTTTAGTGGTTTCCAATAGTTCTTAGCACAAACACCAAGCTCCTTTGAGGCCTGGTATGGTTTGGCTCATGCCGACGTTGTCAGCCTCAGTTTTTTGTCTTCGTCTCTTTGTTTTCACTGCCTCACTGCCACTAACCTTCTTTCCTTTGGCCACAACTGTTTGGTTCACCTGGGTATCCCAAGCCCAGTCTGTTTCTGGCACAGAGTAGGTGCCAAATATATATTTCTTGGGTGAAGGAACAAATAAGTGAATGCATTTAATCCTTTCAACCATCCTAGGGTAAGGAAATAGAGGGTTATATGGATTCGGCCACATGCCTGAGTCCCAGCTCATAACAAGGAGAGGTTAACAAGGTCTTAGCCACGCTATTTAAATTGCTCTCAGAGCCTGCATCAGATCCATGTTAAAACCCTTTTGCAGATGAAGAAGCACACACGGTTGAACTGGCTGCCCAAATACAAGGGAGAGATAGTGGGGAATATGCCCGCTAACTGCATCCTGAAGCAATTTTCTTTCCCCTCAGATGTGTTTACCACCTATGGTGTTCCTTGAGAGGTTTTATTTATCTGTGGATTTTCTTTGAAGGAAGGCAGCCAGAGGAGGTTTCTTAGAAGCCAAGGTGAGAATTAGTAAGATGCATTGATATGGCACCTTTTATAACACTGAAAAATGATCATTAGACTCACTCTCAAGGATGAGGGATTTGCATTTGGCTTGCGTTGTGCAAACAGGGCTTTTGTTGATTTATCAACAGGACTTCGCTTGGGGTTTTGGATTGGATTCCAGAGGTTGGCACCTACGCTCTAAAAAATCTAAACAGAAGGAGAAAATAAATCACCAACTGGCACTTTAAAGACAAAGATTTATACCAGATTTAATAAACTTCCTGTCTTGCTGAGCATGAGGAAAATGTCGTGTTTACCCCGATGCTCTCTGCTCCTGGCAGCGTGTGTGCTGAGTTGGAAGGGCTGCAGAAGTGGGTCACGCTCACCCAACTGGAACTCGAAAGACTCATAGAGAGCAAGCACTGGACAATGGCCTGGTGTCCATGATGTATCCCTGCCTGTCGTTACTAATCCTACTCAGGGCCAAGCTGGAGAGAAATGTGAGTCAAGTCATATTGTCTTGTGTGGGTTCCCTAAAAGCAGACCCAAATCGAAGATTCAAGCACAAGCTGTTTATTTTGGGAGTGATTCCAGGAAACAGCAGTCAGGGGTTGGGGAAGTGAGAGAGGAAGGCAGTCTGGGAAGGTTATGCCATGAGGCCAGTTTCCACCATGGGCATGCAGAGCTTAAACCTGCTGGGGACCTCTAGGAGCCAGCATCAAGCATGTGCCTCAGATTTATCTCAACCAAGGGGCGAACGAGCTCATGTGCCTATCTGCTAATTCTCTCAGGGACTGGTCAAAGGCTGCTCCCAGAAGCATTAATTCCTCAGGACATTCAGCCTGTAGCACCTGTGGACAGAACAGATGTCAGCACCAGACAAAGTACTCAAGTAAAGGGATGCAGGTTGGAAGAGAGGGACACTCACTGAACTGTTACAGATCTCAGAGCAACAGTGACTCTGACTCAAAACAAAGCAAACATCCACCACAGTTAAATCAAATCCTTATTTCTTTGTGACTTCTCCTTTTACTATTTATGGTGGTTCACACACATGGTCTGGGAGGTGTAAACATCTTACCATATCTCCCATCATACATAGTTAAGCTTTCTTGGACTCAGTCATCATATTTATCCAAAAATTATTGACTTTCACCACTAGTATTGCAAGCAGCCCTAAAATTACAACTACAGCTCTGTATGGTGACAAGGAGCATGCACTTTCCCACTGTCTCCACATCAACAAGTGAGAAACACCTGGATCAAAATTGGCATAAACAATCAACATGACACTGGGTTTTGGAGTGTAATATGGACCTGATTTACTTCCAGCTGGGAAATAAATCTTTTGCCAAACTAAGTATATACTCACTCACACACTGGAGAAGAAATGAGAAACAGGGCACATGGTTAAATAGTTTAGTAGTTACAAAATTGTTGTTAGTAAAATGACTTACTGGATGATCTGTAAGTCTGGTGGCATCATGAAGACTTAGCCATCATTCGGGATATTCACCGCCTTGTGTGCAATTCAATCCCCCTAAGTCTTCTTGCTTCCACTAAAGTAGCCTCACCCTCCCTTTCATTTACTGCTGACCGGATCTTATGGGCCTTACAGTCATTCATTCCCCTCCTTTACCCTTTAGGCTGCCTTTAAAGCCAGATTCACTGCTTTATCTTGAAACCAAAGCCTTTTTTTGTTTTTTAAACCAATGTCAGCTTTACTTAAACTACCAAGGAGGATAATCTTTGTATTTTTCTCCTTGGAAGAACATTGAGTTCGAAATTAAGGTGCTTTGTTGCTAGTCACAGGAGTGCCATCTGCTAGTTTTGTTTGCTTTTATCTCCAGTTCCCTCCTCTTTGAAGTTGGAGTTAGATGAGATTGTTCCAAAAGTGCGTTATTCTGGATAATTTCTTTTTAATATGTGTTCTTATTAACTTGCCTTTTCTAACACAGCCTTCATTATTGTGACAAGAAGGTGAGTTTGACTATATTGGAGGGCTCTGTTCACCTATTTCCTCCATTTGGAAAATGATTCTGCTTTCTATTCTCCCTTTGTTTCTGGAGATAGATTCAATCATGAGCATCAGCGAACTTGCAGTGATAACTTTGTAAGAGATTGTTTCTGTTTCTCTATTGACGAATCAATTGATTAGTGAATCAGTCTTACATTTTAGAAGGCAAAATGTGTAAAAACTATGATCTTCTCTTTGAGTTAGCCATGCTTATTAAAGACATGGCTATTCATTTCATGTTGGCAAAAGTGTGCTTCACTAGATATGTCAGGTATTACAGAAAAAAAATAGGTACTGCTCACAGGAAATCCTGGGTTAAAGCAAGTAAAACAGGTTTGGGAAATGCTATAACCTCTAACTCCAAGTAGTGAATCAAAAGAACAGCAGCCTATTTAAGGAGCTGGAGAGTCCTACAGAAAAAAAAAAAAAAAGTAATCCATGTGAAGAAAACATGGAAAAACGTTGGTCTATAAATCCTCTCATACCCAGGAGGCACAGAGGCAAAAATGTAGTTCAAGAAATGATACAACACCATTTAAACATCTCCTCCAGTCGGAAGGAAAGCCACCACACTAGCAATGTTTTGGCATCTGGCCGACCCTCTCTCTCTGGGACTGTGTGAAAGAATTCACTCTGAGTTATGTGGTATGTCGCTAAGCATTGTAACATCAAATTTTTTGTGTAGACAGAATACAAATTAGAGTGGAAACAGACAATCATGGAATAAATGTTCTTAGCATACGAAGAGGGAAAGGATACTCATTGGTGCTGGATAATGAAACTAAAATTCCTGCAGCTAAGATGTGAGGGAGAGGAGGGGCCTTACAAGGCTCACCATCTTCATGTCCATCTGTGCTGTTACACAAGTCACAACATGTGATGGCCAGAATGCTGGGATTTTCATCCCTGGCTGGTATTTCCTTATTTTGCTATTAAAACACCTCAAAGTTGAAGAACAATGGTCAATATTTAGGCATATTATGAAATCACTTCAGTTCTTCTTGACTGGAAGTTTATTTATTTGGATTTGTTAAATTAATAATTTCTAAAGTTGGTACTCAACATTGTGTAAGCATGACTTTTGGAAATATTACCAAGCAACGTGTCATGAACAGCTAATAGAGGGAAATTATAGTTAAGTGAAGTCTCATTCATCTACTTATTAGAATAAAAGGAAATTAGGTAGTTCCCCAAGCAGAAAGTTTTGGATAAGAATTGTAGAGAACAAAATAGATCTGTCTATTAAAATATTCTTTTAGTAATATATTAATACTGAAAATTAGACACAGATCCTGGAAATAAATATAAGGTTGTATTCAACTTGTTAATATTGGTTGTATTTGTGTGTACTCACAAATATCCAATACATATTCTTTGTAATGTTGGTATTTTAATTTATTAACAAATGACTGGGCTTAATCTGACTGAAACTCACCTAAGTGTCTTCAAGCCAGTGTTGAGAATGGGCTCTCAGTAAAGGGATCTCCTCTATCTTCCAATTCAGCAGCTCACCTAACCCTATGCTCATCATCCTACAGCCCCCAACAGTTCTTTACAATTTTGCCCTTATTTTCATAATCACTGTTTGTGAACAAAATAATAAAGCAATTGGCCTACCCTACTCACTCTCCCATCCTCCACCTCACACCCAATAAATCAAATTTCTTTTTTCTTGTTTCTCAAATAGCAAGTTGGAATATCGTAGCAAGTTAATGAAAATATGACCAGAAAATCATCCAATAGTTCCAGTGTTGTTATTGTTGTGACCACTGTTGTTGTTTTAATCTGATAATTCCACTCACTTTATGTGGGACTATCCACAGATCACATACCAGACAAGAGAAGGGCCTGGGCCCAATACTTGAGGACCTACAGCCTTGTTGAGAGAAAGACATTTGTTCTCCATCCTCCTTAACTTTGTTTTGTTTTGTTGGATGATACCCTTTTCACATCTTTACTCAGGTGACAAATTTGGGAGCCCTTGTGACAGGCACCTACTTTCCTCCCTGGCCGCACCACCAAGTCAACATTGTGTTCTAAGCGTGCCTTTATTCCCATCTCTGGAAGCTGTTCTCCCTTCTCCGCCATTCTCTCTGCCTCGGTTCTGAGCCTCACTATTTCTGCTTGGACTATGGCAGGAGCCTCTACCCTTACATCCAAGCACACCCTAGGATCGCCTTTCTCCAATCCGTCCTTCAAAAATGCCTATTTGATTATTTTCCTCCCCTGCCAATGTCTTCAGTGGCCCCACCAGTGAGCAGTCATGGCCAGACCCCTCCAAGGAACTCTGATCCCCCCCATCCTTTTCCCTTATCTTGGTTAATCTTGCCACCATCCACCCAGGGTATCTGGACAAACCCATGACAGCCATCTTTGATTCCTCCTTTTCCTTCACCCTATTCACCCAGTCTATCAGCAAAACCTGAGGCTCTACCTCCAAAATACATTCAGAGCCCATTTGCCCCTCTTCAACTCCTAACTGGGCTCCGTGTTTCCATTCTTCTTCCACCCACAGTCCTTCCTCCATGCAGTCCCAGAATAAACTTAAGACCTCGATATGCCTCTCCTCCATTTCAGAGTTCTCAGGGATTCTCACTGCTTTTTGTGTCAAATACAATCTTAAAATGTCCATCTTGGTCCTTACCTGATCTTGTCCTGTTCCACTTTTGGAACTTCACTTCTACCTTTCAAAATGTTGCATTAGGCAAATTCTGACATAATGTAATACAAAGTACACTGCACTGTTCTCAGTGCTCTGGAAACACTGGCCTCTTATGCCTCCAGAATGGCAGATTCTTCCTGTCTTTGGATCTTTGCCCAGCTCTGCACTCTTAAAAAAGTTCTGCCCACCCAAACCTACCTCCATCTCATTCCCACCTCCCAAAATGTACATAGCTAGCAACACCTTAGCCACCACCTTTCCTCTCTGGGATGCCTTCTCTGTACAGTTCTTCTGACTCCCACCTTAGTCTATTGAAAGATGCTATTTATTTATTTATAGAAATGTCATTATCTGAAATTAAGTTATTCTCATGTTTGTTTATTTATGTATTGACTATTTCCTACTCAGTAATGCAAGTTTCTTAAGGACAGGGAATCTACTTTGTTCTCAGCTATGCTTAGAATTAGGGCTGGTATAAGCTTAGGGCACAAAAATATTTGTCAAAAAATGAATGAATATTATCAAACAATGCAAATTTACCAATATGGCAGGATAAAAACAGTATCTTAGTATTTTGATTTGCTCTGTGATTATTCTTGAAACTGAGCCTTTTTCATACTCTTATTGACAATTATTTTCCACTTGTCTGTTAATATCCTGTTTACATCCTTTGCTTACTTTTTTATTAGTTGTTTTTCTTTCTTTTACTAATTTGCAGTTACTTATGTCTTAGATTGTTTGTCCTACATTTTGAAAACATTTTCTCCTAGTGTGTCCTTTGTTTTAACTTTATTTAGGGGTGGGTATGTGTCATTACAAAACTTCATATGTTGATGTGATAAAATATATCCATTTTCTTTCTTAAAAATACATAAAACGCAAAAGCAGCAAAGACTTCATATTCCTTGAAACATAAACTCCCACTTGAACACATTAGTCAGTATTAGGATTCATAAAAGTGTCACAACTGCATATTAGGTAAGTTCTGGTGTGATATAATATGAAATACACAGCACAGTTATGATGCATTCTTGCAAAAATTAAAAAAAATAAAGAAATGTGTATTTAATGAGGTCATTACATCCAATCTCCAGCCTTTCGGATGTATCAGGGATGTGGGAACAGGTACAATGACACCATGGGGCACAGGCAGGTAAACCCAGACTGTGACATTCTATGGGCCCAGTGACTTCAACAAGACAATTGCATGAGAGAAAGGAAAGAGGAGGGGAGAAGGGGACAATTTCAGGTGAAAAGAGACTTAAAAGATAAAACAAATATAGACAAGTAGTAGCCTCTTAAAAATCTTCATTCAAACAAACTATAAAATGGCATATATGAACAATTAGAGAAAACTGAAAACATCAGACAGCAGATAATATCAAGGAATTTTAAAATTTTATTTAGAGTCATATGGCATTGTGAGGACATCCTTTTTTAGATACATATTAAATATTCAGGAATGAGAATATATAGAGTTTTCTTTAAAATATCGTATTTTGATGTTGAATTCCAAAAAAGTGTTAAAATTTCTTACCTATAATTTTAGAATTAGAAATTTCTTATTATTCTTGATAGTTTTGTTTTATATTATTTGAACCTAAAAAGTTCCATGAGTAATACATCCTCTTGATACAGTGTTCCTTTTATCAGTGTGAACTATTACGTGCTTTCTAAAGGCTTTTTGTTTAAATGCTATTTATTTATCTGGCATCAGTAAAACCTGCTTTTAGTGTATGTTTCACAGATTTTTTTCTATTTATTTTCAACATTTCTCTTTATTTTGTCTCGCCCATGTGTGTGTATGTGTGTGTGTGTGTGTGTGTGTGTGTGTCTATGTAACAAGATGTGCCCAGATTCTTTTTTTCTTTTTTTAAAAATCCTATTTTTGACTTCCAATAGGTCAATTTTATCCCTTCATATTGGGTGTGATTACTAATTTATTTGGACATATTCATATAATCTCATTTTTCAGTTTTCTTTTTACAATGCTCAATGGAAACATGCAGGCTTTTATTGGATTTATCAAGTTCTCTTACGTTTTATATATTTTTTGCAGTGTTGTGGAAATTATACATATAATTTCTATTATTTAGTGAATATTCTTTTTTTCCTCTTGCCTCTTTAGTGATTACTCTTATAATAATTTATATTGTGTTTAAACGTACTATAATGTTATTTTTATCAATGTCTGGAATTAGTTTTCTCTCCCAAGTAAGACCTCAGCAGGCCAGGTATGGTGACTCAGGCCTGTAATCCCAGCACTCTGTGAGGCCAAGGTGGGAGATCACTTGAGCCCAGGAGTTTGAGACTAGCCTAGGCAACAGAGTGAGACCCTATCTTTAAAAAAATTTAAAAATTAGCTGGGTATGGTGGTGGCGAACACCTATAGTCTTGGCTATGCAGGAGGCTGAGGTGGGAGGATGGCTTGAACCCAGGAGGTTGAGGCTGCAGTGAGTTATGATGGTGCAAAAACAAAACAAAACAAAAGAAACAAACAAGGAAACATCAGTAGAACTTAATTTTCCTCCCTTCTTCCCATGCCTACTACTTGTTGAGGTCATCTAGAAGTGCTGACCAGTACAGAAGGCTACTGAATATCCCAAATATGCCTAGTCTGAATGGAGAGGTGCTCTAAGTGTAAAATACATGCCAAATTGCATTGTTTAAATATTGATTATATCTTGAAATAGTATTTTAGATATATTGGTTTAAATAAAATATATTAAATATTTTATTTTATTTTATTTTATTTTATTATTTTATTTTATTTTATTTTATTGACGGGATCTCACTCTGTAGCCCAAACTGAAGTGCAGTGGCGAGATCTTGGCTCACTGCAACCTCCGTCCCCGGAGCTCAAGCGATTCTCGTGTCTTAGCCTCCCAAGTACTTGGGACTACAGGCAAGTGCCACCACGCCCAGCTAAGTTTTTGTATTTTAGTAGAGACGGGGTTTCACCATGCTGGCCAGGCTGGTCTCAAACTCCTGAGTTCAGGCTATCCGTCCTCCTCAGCCTCCCAAAGTGCTGGGATTACAGGCATGAGCCACCGCGCCCCGCCTCATTTCCCTTTGTTAAAGTTGTTATTGAAAATTTGAAATTACAAATTTGGCCCACGTTATTTTTCTATGGGTCAGAGCTGCTGTAGGATTTTAGTTCTGCCTTGGTATTAGTTCTTTTGGAAACAATAAACAGACCTTCCTCCTTTTACCATTTCTTGTGTTCCATTTTGTTTCCCCTCTTTGTCTCTGCTTTTTTGGTTCACTGTTTAGCCCTTGAATTATACTGTCAAGTAGGTAGAAAATTCTGGAACTCTGATGCAATTGCTACCTCATTTTCAGTTTCTTGCTTTCTCTGTAGGCAATCTGTTTTTCTTTCTAGAAGATTTTAGGAATTACTCTTGACTCTTAGCGTCCTTCAGTTTCCCTCAAAATGGAGTGTTCCTCCATTTTCATCCCTACCGTTTTACTCTCATAAAACTTCGAAACTTCGTGTCTTTTTTGTTAAACTCTGGAAGAACTTTTTGCACTATCTTTTTGTCCGTCTTTTGCCTTCCACGAGATCTATTTTTTCCATTCTTTCCTTTGTGTCTCCTTTTAAAGGAAATTGCATCTTTTGGATCCATTGCCGCATTTAAACTTTCCTTTATGCCTTCTCTATGTTCATCTTTCCTCCGACTCATGCTCCCAGCTCACTCATTCCTGCGTTTATTCCATCTGTTCTTCTATTTAGCCCGTCTGCTGTATAGAAGAGCTGGATTCTCATTTTAAAGTCTGCGTTTGGTTCTTTTCCATAACAGCCCACTCTTGTGTCACAGAAGTGATCTCTTCACTTGTCCTGCTGAATATGTTAATTTTACCCTCATAAATGAGCCAGCTTTCAGTTACAGATTCTGTCTGCAGAGTTTGGTGTCTTTCTTTCTTTCCTTCTTTCTTTCTTTCGTCTCTCTCTCTCTTTCTTTTTCTTTTTTCTTTTTTTTTTTTTTTTGTTTGTTGATGGAGTCTCGCTCTGTCGCCCAGGCTGGAGTGCAGTGGCGCGGTCTCGGCTCACTGCAAGCTCCACCTCCAGGGTTCTCGCCATTCTCCTGCCTCAGCCTCCCAAGTAGCTGGGACTACAGGCGCCCACCACCACGCCTGGCTATTTTTTATTTTTTTATTTTTTTAGTAGAGATGGGGTTTCACCGTGTTAGCCAGGATGGTCTGGATCTCCTGACCTCGTGATCCACCCGTCTCGGCCTCCCAAAGTGCTGGGATTACAGGCGTGAGCCACCACACGTGGCCCAGAGTTTGGTGTCTTTCTAGTGACAAATGAGACCAAAGCCACCATCACTCCCAAAATGAATAAACTGTGGCAAGTCATGTTCCACAACACAGACACTCAGATCACCAATCTCCAGCTTGTTCAGGAGCAGGTGCTCAAGATAAGACCACAGGCAAATCTTTGTCACCCCTCTGTCGGTCCCTCAGAGCTTGGGACCCTAAAAAGGAGCTTGGTCTCTGTCTTGCAACAAAGCCCCCTGCCTTTGCTTTGGGTAGCACTCCCCACTTTCATATGACTTTATCTTTACTAGGATTCCTCAAAACTTCAGATGCACTGAGGTTTCCACTTTTATTTTCTAATACTATTATATGTTTAAAAACAAAAAAACCCACTGTCTATTCTGTCATTTTTAGGTTGAAGGGCAGGAATTGGATGCCATTCTCCACCTTCTCCACATTGCCAACTGCTGTTCATCCTTCAAAACCCATCACAGGATAGACTCTTGCCAAAAACCTTTCTCAGTTTCTCTAGGTGGATTTAACCTCTCGTCTCTGTGCTACCTGAATATAACATACCTATTTTTAATTGCTATTTTTAATTTCTTTATTGTTTTAGTTCATCCTATCCTATTTTAACACGTTCATTTGCACAGATTTTTTTTTCTTTACTAGAAAGTATATTTATTGAATAAGCATATGACGACATAATCATTTCATTTTCTTTATGTGGGCACATTATCTAGCTCAGATTGGGGGATGAGCTGGAGTATTTGCACTATGCCCCATAAATACGTACACTTATTATGTGTCAATCATAAGTTTAAAAACTCCGGAGTATCTGACACTTTTGGTTCCTTTCCACCACTGTGGCACAGGGGAGCAGCAGGCATCTGCCTTGTGGCATGAGGGGCCCCATCCTGGAGACCGCTTCATAGTCTGATGCCATGGGAATTGGTCACTCTATTTTGAGTGTGCAATCCAACCTATAGCTTCTCTACTATTTCATTCCTTTCATATTATTTGAAATGAAGGGCATGGATGTTTCATTCTGTTTTAAGAAAAGAAACCATATTCTTCCCCTTATATGATAATGAGCTTCCTTTTAAAGGTAAAAATATCTGCTGAAAATTTCAATAACATATTCCACCACCACCACCACCACCATAACACTGATTCTCTCTCTTTGTCTCTCTTCTCTGCTTCTCTTCAAATTGTGGAAATATTAAGCGAGAAAGCATCCAAAAACAAAGCATTCTGAGTACTATCCTGATTTGTCCTTATCTGCAATATATATGCAAGCCAGACCAAGTTGATAAACACAGACAGCCCACCTGACTTCAAAAAACAAACAAATAAATATACAGGCAGACGTTGATTTCCCTGTGGAAATTTTACAGGGGAGTTAAGTTATGGAGTGTACACAGACCTGAAATTGTCATGCAAACTGGGTTGGCAGGGATTTCAGTGTCTATATGTGGGTTGAGTAAACCAGTTCAAATAAGGAAACCCTGGGACTAGATGTTTGAATAAAAGCAGCTGGAAACTTAGAGTTGAGATGTTCTCCCTTTATCTGTCCATATGCATCCACTATTTCTGGTTGCTTTTGCTTTTAGCAAGAGAAATTTACAAGCCACTGTGAAAATGATTGCTAATGGTATCTGGATCTGGTTGAGGAGAGAATGTTACATATCACATCCAGGCTTTCCTGAGATCAGAATTCAAATCCAGTTGTCCATTTGGGAGGTGGCTCCAAGAAGCACTGGGAGGTGCATGAGGAAGGGAAACGGCTAGTACAGGGAGTGTTACCATGAAAATTATCACTGTGGGTCCTGGGAGCCTCATTCCACCCAGGGCCTGTAGGGGCAGCACGGAACATATACTTCGAAGCTATCCCACTTGAGGAGTGAAGGAGTGGGGGCATTTATCCACCAACTCCTATCTGACATTGGCAAAGGGCTGCTCCAATTGGGTGTTAAATCCCAGAAACTCTGGTCTGCGTTGCCCAACAGACAGAGTGGGCCCCAGGACCCAAGGAAAGACCTGAGGCTTCATAGGGCCTGTCTGTGACTTCAGACCAGCATAAAAAACTGGGAGAAATTGCAGTAACAACACATTTTTTTTTTCCATTCAGACTAATTTTTATCATTTACAAAAAATTTTATCATTACAAAAAATTTATAGATAATTCATGTTTATTAATTTATCTGGAAATTTTTATGCCTAACCTCTAAGAAACAGTCACCTGTTACAGTTGTTCGATTTAAATCATCCATCCACGCATTCAATAAACTTTATGACTGTTGAGAAAGTTCTCATTTTAAAAGAAACTTCTCCAGGCAGAGAGAAAGACCAGGTGTGTGATCTTGGAGAAGCTCGAGGAACTGAGAAAGGAAAGGAAGGAAAGTAGCAGGAATTAGACGGGACAGGAAGTCACAGGCTTTGCCTTTTGTTTCTGCCTTGCTTCTGCCTGGGTTGCTGTTGGTAAATGCCTCCCTGCTCCGGGGCTCAGCCCCCTTATCCACAGATAGAAGGGCCTGTGCTAGATATTTTGACACTTTCTTAGTTTTCTTCCAGCTTCGACCTCCTGTAAATTCTATACTAAATGGCATTGGAAAAGAGGGGGTTACTTAGGTTAGATTAAGGCAGAGTGGAGCAGGGCTTATTGATTGTATCAATCATAGTAGCCAAGGATAGCCTCTGAGTAACCTTCCTTATTTTTAAAACTCCCTCTCCATGCACTTGTTGGGGAGGTTACCATTGTCCTTCCGTATTCAATGCTCCGTTCACATGGCAATATTGTTTGCTTACCAGTGGGCTATACCCTTGGGGTCTAGTACTTCGTGGGTATGCAGAAAATACTTGAGATTTTTTTTTTTTTTTTTTTTTTTTTTAGTTTTAGAGACACGAAAAGTGTTCTATTTAACCTTTAATCTATGCTTCAACTGTTCTCTGTTTTATTGACCCTCCTGTTTTCTTATTAACATTTTGGGTACATTCTATCACTTTCTGGTCAATTTTTTATTTTAATTTTTAATTGTAGTAAAAATACATAACATAGGAATTATCATCTTAACATATTTATCAGAATTTTTTTCTTTTTAAGGCTAAATAATATTTCACTGTAAATATATACCACATTTTGTTTACTCATTCATCTATTGATGGACATTTAGGTTGCAAAAGCTTGTGTTTTCTATGAATGAAAAAAATGATTGAGAATCAAATCTTGCCCATTAATGGTTGGCTTTTAACCCACCTATTAGGATATGTCAAACAAGTATTGTTCTATGTATATAAAACCCTCTTTTTAAAATTTTGTTAGTTTTGAAAATTTAGGAGGGAGAATTTCTTCTCCAATGAAAAGTCAAAAAAGAAACTAACCTTTATTGAGTGTTTACTCTGTGCCACACAGTCTTGCAAACATGTCATATTTTGCAAGTGAGTAAAGAACACTCCATAGAAGTGAGGTTATTATAGCCTGAGAAGGTTCAGGGGGAGGGGAGAATAGGGAAAGGTTGGTTAAAGGATACAAAATTACAACTAACTAGGAGGAATGGGTTCTAGTGTTATGTAGCACTGTAGGCGGAATGTGATTAACAGTAATTTATTATATATTTTTAAAAAGAGAAGATTTTGGATATTCCTAACACAAAAAAAATAAGAAATATTTGAGGTGATGTATGTACTAATTACTTTGATTTGGTCATTACACATTGCATACATCTATTGAAGTATACCTCTCTATCCCATAAGTATGTATGATTATTACATGCCAACTAAAAATAAAAGAGGGGAAAAAAAGAAAAGAATACTCTTTCATAATTTGATCAGTGACACTGTGATGATACTGAGGGGTTGTCAGGTGCCGGGCACTGTGTGGTTGCTGAAACTGTGACCCAAGCAAAGATGTCCCATCCAAGCCTCAACACTTTACATCACTAACAACTTTGCATGTTGATTTTTTACGTATTTTTATTCTAACATTCTTGACTCCCAGGACAGGTGAATTATATATTTGTTATGACATTTTTCTAGAAGGCAGCCATAAGATATCATGGTCTCGTGAAATCAGTATATTACAACAGTCCTGACAATGGATGTAAAATAACTTTACTTTTAACTTAAAGAATTAGCACAACAATCAATCTTGTTAATCTAATAACATCTAAAATAACCCGTACTTCTAAATAGATTCTGTGAGCAATGAACTCAGAGATGAGGACTTTTAAGTGTAAAATTTAAAAAAGAAACCTTATCAGTAATGCTATAGTGGCAATATTTAATGTTCTGCTTGATGTTCATATAGTCTATTGTTTTTAAGGTACCAGAATGAAATTGCTGGGTCTCCAGTTTACATTGACAATTACTTTTATTAAAACACAAATCATTATGTAATAACCATTAACTGTTTATCATAAATGATCCATAAAGTTTTATTTAAATGTGTTATAAACATTTTATACGTTGTTATGGAAAATTAATCCAGTAGAAAATAATTGATACCAAAATTTAAATGTAGAATTTAAGTGAAATATAAATGCAGAAATTATTTCAAAGTGTGAAAAAATTCTAAGATAAAATGTTAAGCTGTCATAAAGTTTAGCCCAATATAAAAAAGATAATATAAAAATATTTCAGTCCAAAATAGAAAATGAAAGCTATCAGAGGGGGAAAAAAAGAAAGCTAATTGTTCAATCAAGTATTGGAGAAAACAGACAAAATGTCAGAAAAAAGGAACAGGCACCAGAGTCACTGTCTGGGCAAATTCCAGCCGAGGCCCTTTACTTACAGAGCAGGGTATGCACTTGCTGTCTATTCCCATGTCAGTAAAGTGGATGGATTTCTAAAAAAATTAGAAGAAAGAGACCCAAAGAATTCATTCATTCAAATATACTCTCTGTCATATCAGGTAGTGGCCCAGTGATCCAAATATTCAACAAAGGGAGATTCAGCCCTTATTGGAAATAGTCTTCCTCAGGGAGACTTGCTGGCTTTCCAAAGACAGAGCAGGAAAGACACTGCCAGGAATTCAGTGCATGTGACTCGTTCTAAGAGGTAGGGGAAAATCACTGCCACTTAGGTTCTTTATCATCCTCAAAATTCAATATTTCTTTTGGTTTTTTTGCAAATAATGGGAGAAGAAAAATAAGTAAAAATATGAATGGGGCAAAGATTGGCACAAGCTAGCGCTAGTCTCGGAGCTGGGAGGGTCCTTGAAGGTCATTCTGAGTTGGCCAAGATGTCCAGGCTTGAGGTCATTCACGGCCACCAGTCGTTGGATGTGGGAAGCTATGACCTGAGGCCAGGGGCTCCAGGCAGCTGAGGCTTCCCTGAAGGGCCCTCCAGCAGCCAGAGCAACATGTCCTCCCTTGAAAGCGGATGAGAGAGCACATCACAGCTTCCCCCACAGGCTGCCACCATACCCCAAGTTGATCTGACTGAGCCAAAAACAGGAGCCGGAGTGGGAGTGGACAGATGGGATTTTTATGAAAAGAGGCTCGATTTTCATTAGTGGTAGCAGAGACTAGAGAGGAAAGGCAAATGAAGCCACTGAGAGTCGTTGGAAATCCATGCAAGTTTCTGAATTTAGATGCCAACTCAAGTATTCATCGGTAATGAGAATTATAATTTGAATTTTCCTTTAGCAACAAGTTTTCTTTTTCTTTTTAGGCAATTAGTTAAGATTGGGTTATTTGATTTTAAATATATGAATGATAGCAATTTTATATACATTTATATAATTTGTATCTAAATGAATACATATGCTTCTATTGTGGGAGAGAAAAGTAAATTGATGTTACATTAGGATGTGGGTAGTGGGTGAAAAGTACTGTATATATCCCAGCAAACTCATCTTTACTTCTTAACAGTAATCCCAGACTTTTTCTGGTTAACTAGTTACATAGGTCTTAGGACTTTTGGAAAGACACTTTTTGCCTTTTTAATTTTATTTCACTAACTTCAGATCTGTTGCATGGGGGATGGGAAGACAGATTGCCAAGGCTGTGGTGTGGCCAGAAATGCCTCAGTTCTCTCTGTGCCACAGGGTGCAGCCCTCGAGGCAGGCATGACAGTGTTCCAGGGGCTTCTGTCATCCCGAGAGCCTGCCCAGGCACCCAGAAATCCTTCTGTGAATGCCTGACACCAGCTTAATTTGGGAACCACTCCTAAGAGCATGGAAATGGGCTTTGCTAGGCTAACAGACCCTCCAGGGAGGTCGACCATCTCTACATTTTCTCGTATCTTGAGTACCACTGACGTCATCAACAGAATCCCACCTCTGACTCCCAGTGTGCTGTTTGGCAAAGCTTCTGGCATTGGCGGAGGTGTAGATAGCAGGAGCACTCTCAGCAGCTACCACTGGCCAGCCTGTGGCTGTTTAGATTCTGGCTTAGCACCCCTGGAGTGTGACGGTCAGGGCCACAAA
This sequence comes from Homo sapiens, assembly GCF_000001405.40. Lineage (NCBI taxonomy): Eukaryota > Metazoa > Chordata > Mammalia > Primates > Hominidae > Homo > Homo sapiens. Next base: position 22,434,568 of record NC_000020.11, on the reverse strand, counting down.
AGCACTGGGGTAGGACTTAAGCTCCGAACTCCCTGCTTGTGATCATGCCGCCCAGACTAAAGTACAGTCCGTTTCCCTCATTCACTCTAGTTATGTTCTATGAAGTTGCTGCAAACACTGTATTAGCAACCCACTGCTCCTAAAGGAAATATAGAGTTAAGTTCCTGCAAGCCTCTGGTCACAACATTTCCACAATGGATCCATACATTGTATTATGAGTGTTTCCACTTACTTAAATAAGAAGACACCTTATTTCCTATATAGGGTTGATTCATTTACCATGAAGTCATAGCAAACAGCAGTTTGAAGAAAGCTTGTCTAACACATCTTGTTTTCTCTGTAAGGTGCATCCCAGCTTTCCCAGGCTTAGGGACAATAGCCAGTACTTCAGCACCATGTTTGAGGGCCATTTTCAATAGTAAAATTACCATTAAAAAGCACAAAAATGTAAAAAAAAAATCATGTCACTGAATGGACTACAGAAGAACACTCATATATAGTCTGAGAGCTAAAACAGGAAGGCAGAATGGGAGCTTGTTCCACCTCATCTGAGAATAGGTACTTTGGATGACTCAAATTTTTGCCACACTATGCATGTCTGTGAATGGGTGCAAAAAGGCATGAATGAAGATGTGGGGGTTCCAAACAAATTTTAGAGAATAGGTCAGAAATATGGAACTCATATTGAAAATAGACTTTACTAAAATATAGACATTAGAGCAGCGGGAAAGAGGGCTCAGAAACAGCTGTCAGAATACATGGTAACAGGTATGATTAACCTCTTGAATAATAAGAAAAATTCTATTAAGAACCTAACTTATATAACCTCACAGCACATGGTTTTTTAAAAATACGATTGCTAGATGACAGCGGTGATCAACTGGGTATTTTCTGAGCTAAGCAACAACTTTTGCATTCCTTTTTTTTCTGTTAACAGTACATATTCATTAAGAAATAAAGATTTACAGAATAAAGTATAGCATAGACAGTGGATATTTCCCTGATCCCAACCCCAGAGGTGACCATAACTGACTGACTGGAGAATTTGCTTTCAGAATGTTTTCCATGGATAGCCCTATGTGATTATTATTTTATAAAATGGGGATGTTTCTCTATGGTTCTTTATTCACTTAAAATATCATGGAGAATTTTCTATTTTAGGCTAAGTGCATGAATCTTGGTACTTTTAGCAGATATCTAGCATATGAAATAGTTTATCTCAACGATCCTCTTTGGAAGGGCATTTGTGGTGTTTCAAGAAAGTCTGGAACATTGCTCTCTCATATAAAACTGCAATGACTGTGGTTGAACAGATCTTTGCAAAATTGCATGTTTTTCAATAGAAGGAACACACAGAAGTAGAATTACTAAGTGAAAAGGATATGACCATTTGAATATTACTAGTTAGTTTTAAAAAAAAAGTTTTTATCCATTTTGCTGTATTCAAATTCTGCTAGCCACTAAATACTCTCTAGTTTGAGTGTATTTCAAGTTTGAGGAATATTTTCAGAAACTTCAGGCACCCATCCCAGTGGTCAGAGGGCAATGTGTCCCCGTTACGGTTGCATCCAGAGTCCTGAGGACAGCCCCCTGGGTTGTTAGAGGACAGACCACCTGGCATATACTTGACCTCTCTGTGCCTTGATTGCCTAAAGTGGAAATGATAACATCCACTTCCAAGATTGTTGGGAGGATTAACATGAACGTGGAAGATTGGAAGTGCTTAGAGCATAGCCCACAGGAAGCATAGAGATTAAAGTGTCATTCTTTCACTGTTATCTCAAGTAACTAACAAGAATTCACTTTTACAGAAAAATATTGTTCTATTTCTAACTTGGTTTCATCTGCTAGACCACTAAGAGTTGGTAGAAGGATATCAGTCTTGCTCTCAGCTTTGCAGGCTGGCCCCAGTGACAACTGTGCAGGAATAGGAATATACCTTTGATTCTTGTTCTCTCTTTGAGTTACTCTCTGCCCTCTTCTTGGAACACCCTACCTTCCTCCCTAGCACTCTCCACCCTGTATCCTGATCAATTTCTTCTTAAATACTCCTTCAAGCCTTATTTCAATGCAATGCAGGAGTGGGGATGTACAGATGCCATCTAGATTCAAAGCACGAAGTTATAATAGGGTTATTGGGGTGGTGAAGATACTATGTGGTGGTCCTACTCAAAGCCCCCTCAATTTCAAGACGCAGCTTTCCTCCATGCATCTGAACCCAAGGAGGGTGACTATTAGAATTTGGTCAGCTTCAGGGCCCACATAGGCTGTCTTCAGCCATCTTTCCATAAATTACACTGATTTCTGCTTTCTCTTAATAAATCCTGCTGCTTCATAACAAACAGTAAAACCTGGTTTCTGAGTAAATGTTTGAAATATTTATTTTCTAAAGACAAATTGCAGGCATAAATGCATCTTCTTACCATTCCTTCCCCTCACTTTTGCAGCAGCTAAGCCAGCTCCATCTCCCTTTGTTTTGTATTCAAAGCACAAGAATAGTGTCCATGAATATCAGCTCAAAGAGACTGAAGGGATTTTAGGTGGAATATCTTAACCCCAGGAGTGTGGCCCACGCCAGGGTGGTCACAATGTTTGTTTAGTAGGTTGGGCTGGGGGTTGAAAACCAGAGACTAAAATGCTATAACGGCCTGGATTTGAGGGGTTGAAAATATTTCACATTTGGTACAGGCACCAGGAAACTACTTATTTTGCTTGAATGTCTTATTGTTCATTTGGTCAAGTGGGGTTAGGATTCAGGACATACTGGGGAGATAATTTTTATGCATCGATTTGAAATTGCCTCCAACAGCTCATAATACCAGCTGCATGATACTACATCCTGCACCCTACTCATGCCAGAGGAATAGACGGCTCCCTTAACACACCTGCCTTTCTTTCCTGGCTTTATTTTATTCACCAAGATAAGTAGGAAAGCAGATAGATTAGATAGATAGATAGATAGATAGATAGATAGATAGATAGATAGATAGATAAATAGATAGATAGATAATCAGATGGATAAATAAACATATAGATCAATGGATTGATAGATAAAATAGAAACATATTAGAAGATTTTTTAAAAATTTTTTATTTATAAGAACAAGACACCCTGAGTTATTCCTGTAAAGTTCAGAATGGGCAGAGAGTATCTCATTCTTAAATAAGAGAAGGGAGCTGAGAAACTTCTGTGCAGTAAAATGACTGTTGGTACTAAGACCTATGGATAATTTTTAAAGCATAGTAAGCTAACAAAAAAGTTATAAGAAACTGTTTGGAGGGATTTAAAATTTCAGGATTTTAGATACAAGAGAAGTATAGCCCCTGCCCCGAATGCTTTTATCAGGGCTTTCCAAGAGGAGCAGGCCAACCAAAGCTCCCTTAAAGCCAGCATCTGCCTCCAAAATCCGCCTGGAGTTTCAGCCAGCCTCTGCCACCAAAAGGAGCCAGGGTGGCGTGCACAGCTCTCATAAAAAGGTGCCAATCTGGGGTTTGGCCCGGACTAAATCCGACTGAGATAGAAAGCAGTGACCCTGTAATTGGACGACTTCCCCTGTGTCCAGACCACCATAGAGACTGCTGGGCTGCACAAGCTTCCCGGATCGCAGTTCACCAGGGGTCACCTTCATGCTGTGAGAACAAAGTCCGACTGAGCCCAGGGCCCCAGCTGCATGGTTCTGCTGTGTAAACACAGCGCAGACAACAGGACGACCAAATGTTAGGGTCCCTGTGTGATCCATTGTTGGATTATAGACATGGCCATAGACTCCGTTTCCAACTGCCCCTACTTCTCTCTTGTCTTTCTGTCTCCTCTTCTACCTCATTTGTTGGCTTCTAAACATCCTCTAACAGGACAAATCTTTGGCTGTTTTGCCTTTTTTGTTTTCCAAGCCAGGGTTCCCACTGCACCCCAAACAAGCCCAGTACTTTTAACAGGCACGGCCTCAGCAGAGGTGGCCCCACTGAGGCCTGCATGGTCACACGATGAATATTTTCTCATTTGTCCCCATGAACAAAACTTGCTTAAAATCAGGTGTGGGAGGAGGAGGTTAGGAAAAGGGCTGCCTCTCCTCTTCCTTTTAATCAACCAACTCATCTTTAACTGCCGCCATTCCCGTCCTCTCTGCCAGGCCCCGGCTAATAGAAACTCGGAATGCAGGTTCATACCCCTGCTCTTAGGTGTTCGAGGATGCACTCTGGGAAGCGCCGCTGCATCCATCACTGTCGGTGGCTACTTGAGAAACGCCGTGATGGACTGGCCCGGCAAAGCCCCTCCCCACTGCCCGCAGGCTGCAATTCAATTAGTCATGGTCAGAGGGAGGCATTATTATTCATACACCAACGATTGTTCCCAAAGTAAACAGAGCTGGGATGAGGTCTCTGATCCTCCCAGTGCCTTTAGCTGGGACACAAAAGAAAAAAAACTCCAGAGACACTGGGGTGGGACATTTGATCTGAATTCTGATCTCCTTTGCAAGCTTCCCCATCAAATCTTGTTGATTTCTTTCTTTGCTTCTTTCTTTTTTCACAGTCTTCACAGATAAGTGCCCTGTGTGTGCATACGCAAACCCAGCAGGGCCATTTTATTCCTTTATTGCCAACAATGCCAGAAAGTCTCTTCCACCCAGGACACCCCCCACCACTTTATAATAGGGACATGGATCCCTTAACTGGAGTGAATGATCCTGTTAGAATATAACAGACCAATAACTTCCTAATTCACAATAAATAATCCCTGTAAAAATAAAGGATGACATTTGTATTTTGTAAAGTGCTAACCAAATTGCCCGTGGCCTGGCCAGCCCCCATCTGTTTATCAGTTTTGCTGAGTACAAGTGAACCCAAGATAAATGCCAGTTTTCCTTGGATAAATTTTACAGCCAAGCAGAAACTGCCAAAGCACACAGGAGAGGTAAAAGCAGAGCTGTGTTCTCATTGACAGAAAAGTCAATTTTGCAGGATGGACTTAGGCAAGAGCCTGTGACCCCCGCCCCAACTCAAGTTTGTATGTTTATAATAGGGCTGTTTTCTCTGGGAGGGAATGAGCCAACTCCGGGAGCTGAAAGTTCAATGGAGCAGGCTGGCTGGGGCTTCCCAGCTGCAGGGGGAAGAAACAGCCCTGCCTGCTCACTCTGTTTTGCAGGAGTGAGCGTCATGCACCCTGGCCCAGACAGGGTGATAAACTTGGGGTGTCTGGATAACCCACATGCTCATTTTCACTTTCGCTGCATCTGACCCTCTGAGGATCACTGCACTGGGACACTTGACCAAGCCATGCGTTTAGACACAACACCTTAGCACCTCATTCTGCTCCGGAGAGCCTCAGAGCGTCCAGCTGATATGACGGAAACCCCTTGTGCAGAGTCACCTAGAGCCTTTAAGAAACATGAATTCTCAGGCCTGACCCCAGACCACTGAACCAGAATCTCTGGGGGCCAGGGCCTTGTCATTTGTGATTCACAACAAATCACTATGGGAGGCTGTCCAGACCCCCCTTTAAAGAAAGACTTTAAGGAATAAATCTCAGCTGCTAAGAGTTTCACTGGCAGACAGTTTTCACTATCAGCCCCTTCAGAAATGGGTCAGCTGTGGAGAGCCACCTGGAGCCCGTGCTCAGGCCCCTTTGGGCAGGTCATCCAGTGGCTGATAAATGGATGTGCACATAGGCTCTGTAGCTTGGCCCCACTCAGGACTACTCTGAAGGAACAATCCACTTCAGAATGCCCAGTAGTATCCACTGTGGCTCCCTTCCACAGATATTGGTCCCAGAGCCTCTCCTGAATAAATATCCTGCAAGTTAAACTCCATCTCAGAGGGAGAACCTTATTGCCAGGCTTGGAGAATGATGATCTAGAAAACACTGTTCTTGTCCAACACTCAACCCATCCATAAATTCTCTCCATAATATCACAAACAGCTGGGCACCTAGCCCCAGCCTGGCAAGCCAGAGGAAAGAATCCATCAGCTTCTGATCCAGTCCCTCTGGACAACACTGGGAGGAATAAGTTGGGCCCCTTAATTCTCTTGCTTTCCATAGAAAATTGAAGAGCCCTGGAGTTCTACTGCTGGCTCCACTATTAGAGATGGGTTGAATGATTCAAATTACTTGGCCTCTGTTTTTCCTCTGTAGAAATACAGAAATGGTGAGGGATTTTGGAGACAGAATGAAAAAACAATTACCTCCTAGACTTTTTCCTGTTCTACCATCGGTGACCCATGGAAAGAAGAAAGGGAGGGAGGACCGGAAGGAAGCAATGTGCTGAAGACCTGCTCCTCTCATCAAGAGGTGGCATCAACTTCCCTCCCATGGAACAGGGCTGGGTTTAGTGACTCACTTCTAATGAGTAGGATGGGGCAGAAGTGGCGCTGCATGACTTCCAAGGCTAGATTGTAAAAGGCAATACAGTTTCCACCTGGTGCTCTCTCTTAGGACACACACTTCAAAAGATTTGAGCCCCCAGGTAAGAGACCATATGGGGAGACCACATAGAGACAGGGAGGCCCAAGGAGGCCAGCTGTTTGAGTCTTCTGTGAGCTAACACCAGCCCCAGTCACTGTCCAACTGTTCCTACATGAGAGACCCTGAGTGAGAACTGCCCGGCTAAACTTAGTCAACTTGCAGAATCATGATCAATAATAATAATAAACGGTTTGTGTGGTTTTACAGTAAACTTGGGGTGGTTATTACATAGCAATAGTTGAGCTGGGGTGAATAAGAGATCTTAAAGCAGAGATCCATATTTATTCATAACATTGAGAATAACTTGACAAATATACATACCCACATATTTATGTGTGTGTGTATGCATATATATGTATATATATATAAAATTTGGAAGAAGGTAAACCTGGTTCTAAAACTACTCAAACAAAACAAACTCAAGTTGTAGTCATGAGATTTTTCTCACAGGCCTCAGTGAGGACAGGTCAAGCACTGATGAGGCAGAGACTGGGCCTTTGTCCACACGCCAATGACTGGCCTACCTCGTCTGTCTAAAGATATTTAAGAGCTGTAATAACCAAGCAGATGTCACATCTACATGCTCAGCATATGCACTCATCTCCACAGGGATGCCAGTGATGCTCACTGGAGCCTGTTTTCTCCATTTGACATAGTTGTTCTAGGCCAGGCACAGTGGCTCACACCTGTAATCCCAGCACTTTGGGAGGCCGAGGCCGGTGGATCACCTGAGGTCTGGAGTTTGAGACCAGTCTTGCCAACATGACGAAACCCTGTCTCTACTAAAAATACAACAAATTATCTGGGATGGTGGCAGGAACCTGTAATCCCAGCTACTCAGGAAGCTGAGGCAGGAGAATGGCTTGAACCTGGGAGGCAGATGTTGCAGTGAGCCAAGATCACACCACAAGAGTGAAATTCCATCAAAAAAAAAAAAAAGACATAGTTGTTCTAATTTAGGTTGCATTTGAAATGGTAATTTTCAGCATGGGCAGAGGCTGCTTCCTGTAAGCACTGAAGAATGTTTACTAACACACTGCTTTTGTTAAGCTGCTATATAAAAAATACCACAGACTAGGAGGCCTAAACAATAGACATTTATTTCTCACAGTTCTAGGGGCTGGGAAGTCCAAGAACAAAGTGCTGGCCCCTTTAGTTCCTGCTGAGGGTCCTTATCTGAGCTTGCAGGCAGCCACCGTTTTGCTGTGTCCCCACCAGGTGAAGAGAGATGGAGCTCCAGCATCTCTTCCTCTTCTAATAAGACCATTAATGTCATCATGGGACCCCGCCTCATGATTTAATCTAAACCTAATGACCTCCCAAAGGCCCTGCCTCCTAATACCATTACTTTGGGGGTTAGGGCTTCAGTATATGAATTTGGGGGAGCACAAATGTACAGTCCATAACACACACCAAAAGCATAATTATTAAACTTTTATTAAAATGGTCCTGAAGTTTTATTTTTAAATAATTCAGATTTGAGGTATTGTGTTTAAAATAACAGAATTGTGCTTAAGCCTTTGGAATGATAGCCACCCATAATCACTAAAGATTTTGAAAGTCTTACTGCTTGAAAGGGGATGACTTTTCAATTGTCTTGACATTAGCGCTCCATGCTGCTATCTCCAGACACTGTAATTGTAAAAGGCTTACCATCATCCTTGCTGCTGAGTTTATTGTCACCCCAACAGACACTTGATTTTTTTTTTTGGTTATGCTGCTCCTAGGCACAACATGGGAAGAAATCCACAATTAAGGGAAACATGAGTTTTAGTTCTTTCCTCATGGTACCACCAAGGGAAGGGGTGAGAGGAAGATCAGAGAGCAAAACTTTTAAAGCCAATTAGGGGTGTTTTAATCATTTCGTTCACAACTTAGAGAGAAACTGCAACATGTGTGGATTGTGTAACCAGAGCTGCTACAGGCCTAATCCCTGCCAAGGCAGAGCTGGAACAGTGGCCTCCTGACTCCCAGTCCAGGGCTTTTTATATTTTGTGAGTCTCACTAAAACTGCAGTCATAGAAATGAATGTATTCTCTGCATACTTATGACAGGTCAGGCTAAGGGCAAAACTCTGAAATTCTGGGAATAAAGGGAATGCATTAGATCTTTTCTTATTATCTGCCTTATGCTATCTCCCCATTTTCCACCTCAGTAACTCACATGTTCCCCAGCCCACTCTTTCATCCCTGGTGATGGACATTGGAAGGTGTGCAAGAGAAGTTGGGCTGCCCTGTTGTGGAGGGAGGGCTCTAGAGGAAACTTACAGAGCCATTGTGAGTATCTCAAGCTCTGTCAGTTATTAACTCCTGACTGAGCATTCCAGACTTACAGTCAGCTTAAATACATTTCCTAAATTCTTCAAACAGCTTGACCTTCCTAAATCGCGAAGTTGACTTTGCATTTACTTCCATGGTCCTAGTTTTGTTTTTGGTTTTGCTTTGCTTTTTGCTTAGCATTATTTATTTACTTTAGAAGTAGAAAAACACATTCTAGAATTTGTCTCTCTTGTTGCTGCAGGAAGGTTACTCTGTCCCGCATTAGATTTATGGACAAATTTGTAATGTCAACAAAATGTGGACATCCTTTAACATCATTAGAGTGGGTTAGTAAAACAATCTAGTTGCTTTGTGCTTCTAATTTGCCTTAGTTGAAAACAGTTTGTGGTCTTCAGAAAAGTAACTCGCATTTGATCTTTAAGAGCAGAAAAGGTTTTACTTTAGTTTATTAGAAAACTAGGCCAATTTTTTCTGTAAAACCTAATTTGGGGATGAATATGGGAGTACTTATAAGTGGAAATATTTGTGTCTGTGTGTGTGCTCATGTGCATGTGTACACACATATGTAGATCAAAGTATTTTTACTTTTTGAAGAAGACGTGTAAAATATATATATGTGTGTGTGTGAAATATAAATATATATATATACATTGATTTTTCCAATTATTCTGGAACTTATTTGCAAGTAAACTTCAGATCTATTAAATGTTAGCACTCTCCATTCCTAGTGCTCAACCATCAGCCTAGCATTTTTTATAGTAATACACTGATACCAGCTTGCCATAACCCTGGTAGTGGTCCAGACTTACATTCTCGCTTTAAAGTGTCTTTTCACCCCTGCTCTGAAGGCCAGTGTTCTGTTTGACTGGCTCGTCATCATTTTTTCTAGTTATTTCTCACCAAAAAGTGAACCTATGGTCTTTGGCTTGTGTCAGCTACCCAGAGTGCAGGAGAGAGAGGCTGTGAAGGGGAAGGCGTGCAGAAATAGAAAATGGTAGACTGGAGGGACTATGGGTTCAAGGTTGAAATATAACAAAGAAACCCAGTGCCAGCCTGTGATGGCAGTTTGGGCAAGATTTCCAATGGTTTTAAGACTCAGTTTACCTATATGACTCATCTGTATCTGAAATAATGCCTATCTCCAAGGCCACTGTGATATTTAATTTAATATTTTATGTGAAATAGTTAGCTTAGCATGTAGAGGAAACTAAGCATTCCATTGGTGTGTACATATGTAGCACTTCCTAACCCTCTTTCACATATGTGTCTGCATGCCTGCCTGTGGGTAGTCTGGGTGTAAGTGTGCGTGCACGTATAATTGCATGTATCGTAAGTACACAGATAGATGCATGTATGTGTGTACCTGAGTATATGTGTCTTCATGTGTGTGTATGTGTGTGAATGTGTGCATGTCTGGTTATACGTAGCAATCACTGCAGCTGAAAGGAATGTGAGCTTGAGGAGAGGCTTAGAGACTGAACAGAACAGAACTTTCATCGCTTCTTAATTTTTCCCTGGTTGGCCCTGTCATCAGGAGATTCATAACTTAATTCATAGAGATGTTAAAAATGCTCAAAGGATAATGCAATAAGATTACTTGGTCTTTTTTTTTTTACAGTGCATTTAAGAGTAATTAAGGAGTTGGTACTTTTTAAAGAAAGGGATGTGGAAATTCGTTTATTTATTTATTCAATCAGGATATTTGGGATGTCCACGATATGCTAGGCACCAGGAAAAAAGTTGAATCAGTAGAATAGGTTAAATATCTGGTCCCACCTCAGGGAGCACACCTTTCCTGGGGAAACAGAGAGGTGTAGATAAACATCTACCCTATCCTGTAATACGACCTATTATAGCAGCAAAATATGCAGCAGTAGCAGAAAAGAGAGAGTGATTAGTTTGTCCTGCTATAGTCAGTGAGGGCTTCTGAAGACGTGGTATTTAGGCTGAGAATCAGGGATAAGAAGGCTCTGTCTAAGTGGAGGAAAGTCAAGACAGAAGGTAGAAGAAATGCAAAGACATGGGGGCTTGAGAAAGTCATGCAGTGTTGAGAAATAACAGTGATTTAGTGCCACTGGTGAGTATGGAAGAGGTGATCAGAAGCCCAGCCATGAAGGGCTTCCTCAGGCCCGTGGTAAAGGGTTGTTGCTTTCTTCCTGGAAGAGATCAAGAAAGAGCCAGCTAAATTACCAAGAACTGAGTAGACTATGATGAGATCAGCTGCGCATTTTGGAAGGATAAGTAGTGGTGGTGTGAGGATGAAGTGGAGTAGGAAGTGAGGAATCACTCCACAGTGCGGTGAAGGACTGGACAATGACCAGGAAAAGAGAGGGAGGAAGAACACCTGAGATGCATTCGAGACATAATTGTTAGGAATTGTCGACAAGAAAGAGAAATCATCAAAGCCACTCACATTTCTGACTTGGGCAATTTGTCAGTGGTGGTGCAACAAGTGAAAACAATAGCACATGGACGAGACAGTATGGACATTGGACAATGAAGTGAATTCAGCTCATGAATTTAGTTCAAAATATTTGACTTAGAAACACTTTATACATTCTGGTAGAAACCCCCAAATTTCCTGATATTATCTCTATGAATTGGGTAAGCATTTGAACAATTTAAGAATCATTTGAAAACCTGGGACTGAATTTAACCAACCGTAAACCTGTGGAGTAAGAACAGATTTTCTGAAACCCAAATTCACTTAAAAATGACATTTGTGTATGTGTGCACACGTACACAGATATATTTGTATATATTCTGTCCCTTGCTTTCCCTGACTAACCTTCAGATTTAGCAGTTCTCCCTTCCTATGTTGAATTGTGTATATTTGTATGTGCACCTATGTGTGTGCGTATCTGTGTATGTGTGTCTCTGTGTGTGTGTGCTTGTATGTAGGGTTTATAATTTAAGGCTCAAGGACTACGGGATACAAGTTTTTCCAAAACTCTGAAATTACATCCCTATTTTATGAATAGGAACAGATTCATATTGTGTCTGAAGAGGAAGATCACAGCTTTCCTAAAGGAACCATTAAAAAAAAGTTTCAGAAACACTGTCTGGAATCATTTTGTTCATTTCACCATTCAATGTATGGGAGAAATTGGAATCCCATTGCGGGGTGGAGATACTTGTTCAAGGACAAAAAACAATTTTATTAACCACAAGAATCTCATTCATTAATCCCAAAAGACTTTTGATCCAGATGGGACCTTTTCTTTCATGGAGTATGTTGAATTGTAACAAACTCAGCTATGACTGATTATTGCTTTTGACAGATTCTACATTGCTTCTCATGGCAAACTGGTGGAAATAATTCCATAATAAAGCTCAAGCAGATTTTTATTTCAGTAGTTATCTCAACACATTTCTAGAGATAGAATCTTCTTGTACAGTATTTATATTTTTATTTTTTAGTATTTGAAACATGTTAGAATCTTTAAACCTAATGATCTAGAATTTGAGTGACAAAATTAATGACCTTGTACTACATGAATTTGGATAAGTGAAAAAAATTGTGTTTGGCTTCTGTTTCAGTCTCTCAGGGCGCTGGCAGGCACACTCAACTCTGTACAGGGTCTGGGAAGTGCTGGGAGTGATGGTGCAGTCCCCCAGGGCCAGTTGCAGTGGGGAGCTGTTCGGGAACCTGAGCCTGATGGGCCAGGGAAGGAAGGAGCCACCAGAGCCCAGAGCAAGTAGCATCCACTGATAGGTGCTGCGGGCTTCAGTAGACACCGTGGTGGCTCAGCGGGGAGACAGCAGGAAAGAGCACCTCCCCAACTTCAGTCTCTCTCACCTCACATCTTCTGCTGGTGATTTCCATTGGCTGAGCCTAACTGGAAGCCAGAAAGGAAGCCGATGATGCAGTTTAAAAGGCCTGAGTAGGTGGAGAAAGGTGAGTGCTGCATTCAGAGGTAAGTGATCCAGATTCACTTAGCACAAGGTCATTAATTTTGTCAATAAAATTCTAAATCATTAAAGATTCTAACATATCTCAAATTACTAAGAAGAAAAATATAAATAACATACAAACAGATTTTCCTGTACAAGGAAGGTAGCCAGCATAGATTCTTTTTTTTTTCAAGAGGGCTAACTACATGCACTTGAGTGTAAATATAATGTGAAAATATGAGCCTGGTGGATTTTTTACCTGTTCTTTGATAAATTATGTTCACATTTGGCCATATACCATCACAGCTCTGCTGACCAGGAACTGAGCTGTTTGAGTCCTCCAGGAAGCAGATGCCAAGAAGAAGGTAAAAGAGCAAGAGATTTATTGTGAGCAACTGCAAATGGCAAAGTGGAAAAAAGCAGGAGTTGACAGGGAGAGCCTTCAGACCATGCTGCGGGGCTAAGACTAGCAGGACAAGATGGGGAGAAGGGAGGATTAAAAAGATGGACTCTTAGAGCACAGCATTGCTCCGAGAAAGCCCCCAGAGACCAACCAGGAGCTCTGCCACAAAGACCGCCCATAGAGTGGTCCCATGTTGGGAGGAGATGGCCCTGCCTTGTTCCAATATTTTGCTCATTGTTTGAGGGCCACCGAAGAAGAGTATCATGGCTCAAAAGCAGTGCCAGACCTAGGGGAGTTTCCTCCTCGAAGCTGGGTAACAGATCTTTTCTTGGAGATCTGAGGTTGCATCTCCATGTCTGCCACAGATACCATGACTTTCACCCCAGAAGGAGCACACCATGAGACAGAGGAAATCCTGAGCAGGCATGAAAGGGAAACTGTCTCATGTCTCTGGAGAAAGGCCCCTGTGGAGGGAAAAGAGTAAGGCAAGTGGAAGCAGGGGTTCAGGGACCTATGACTTGACCTCCTTCATCAGGATGGAAATCTTGAGCAAGGGGAGGTGTTGAGAAAACCAGAAACTGGAAATGCTGATTTGAGAGCACTCAGAGGGTGGCCCTGAGTTTACAAGGGATGCTACAGTTGATTGACAATGGCGTGATGGCCTGATTAGGCTGAAATAAGGCCTCCATCAGCCTCCAGAACTACTTTGGCTGTTGGATGGAGTGGAAGGCCTGCAGGAGGGCCTGCCTGCTCACAGCAAACACGACGGGCAGCTATGGGTGCCAGCTGCTGGGCCTGGTGGGCCACATCAACTGTGGTCAGGGTAAACACCCTGTAGCCAAGGTTAATATCTGAGCCACAGACCAAATTGGCAGTTAAAGCTGGTACTCAGGACATTCCGTTGGGCTAGAGAGGGAGAACCACTCAGCTGGCTTAATGAAAGACACGGGTGTGGGACTTTGTCAGCAGATGCAAGCCTGGAGCCACCACACAGCAGAGAGGAGTAGGAAACCAGAGTATGGAAGCCCCTTCCTCTCCTGCACCAAATCACTCACAGCACCATGATGGGCAGCAGTAGAAGGATTAGAAACCACACCGCCCTGATAGGAGTTGAACTTTTCTTCAACTGGCTCTTAAGCTGACATGAGATTGCGCTAGTTGGAAGATACCAAGATACTCTTAAAAGAGAAGATGAAGTTCTCATGTTTCAACCCCTATTACTATTGACTGTCAACTTCCCAAAAGACCCCAGAAAAACATGTTAATGGAACAAAACTAAGTTTATTAGATTTACTGTAGTATAAGAGAAAACCACCTTGGTAGAGTCTTGATAGTGCCTCAGGTTGACAAAGTCAGGGTCTGCACTGGGGGACTTCTAAGGTAGCTTTTGCAAGGTGGGGAGTAGCTTGGGACTGGGCAGGGTTTCTACCCTAACAATTCTCAATTGGTAAGCCCCGCAAGGCCAAGGATCCTGAAGCAAATCTAGATAAGAAAGATACTGGATTTTATAAGCTAGCTATTTTAGTGGATTTACTGCCTCATTTTTGGTAAGCAAGTCTTCCTGAAGCAAGCAGGTAAGTGATTTTTGCTTGGTTCCAACATTGTTTAATAAGGAACAAAAAAATGACTGGCCCCAGTGTTGTTTTAAGACACTGGGAACTATGCTGATTTCAGTTCTCAAGGGGTGGAGAATTGTGAGAAGAATCATATAAATTTGTTTTAAAAAGTGGCATTTTGGGGGTCTGTCTTAGCACATATTTTTAAAATGTTTCCTTTTAACATAGTTTTAAATTTCAGAAAAATTTCAAAGGTAGTACAGAGAGTTCCCATATATCCCCCACATCCAGTTTCCCCTATCATTAACATCGTAATGTGGTACACTTATCACAATTAATGAACCAGGATTAATACATTATTACTAACTAAAGTTCATATTTCATTCCGATTTTCTTAGTTTTCACCTAATGTCATTTTCCTGTCTCAGTATCCCATCCAGGCTACCACGCATGTTTAGTCCTCAAGTCTCCCTAGGTTCCTCGTGGCTGTGACAGTTTCTGACTTTCCTTGTTTCTGATGACGTTGATAGTTTGAGGAGTGCTGATGGAGAATTTTGTAGAATGTCCCTCACTTGGAATTTGTCTAATGTTTTACTCATAATTATCCTGAGCTGATGGGTTTTTGAAAGGAAGACCACAGAGGTAAAGAGCCATTCTTACACATCATATCAAAGGCACATTCTACAGGTTGACTCTCCCTTATCTGAAATGCTGAAGACCAGAAGTGTTTCAAATTTTGAATTTGCTCAGATATAGAAATATTTGCATATACATAATCTTGGGAGTGAGACCCAAGTCTCAACAGGAAATGTATTTATGTTTCATATACACTATATACCCATAGTTTAAAGGTAATTTTATAAAATTTTAAAATAATTTTGGGCATGAAACAAAGTTTTGACTGTGTTTTGACTTCAATCTGCCACATGAGGTCAGGTGTAGAATTTTCTGCTTGTGGCACCATGTTGGCACTCAAAATGTTTCAGATGTTGGAGCATTTGGATTAGAGAATGTTCAGCTTGTATCAGCATGACTCATGACTATTGGCATTGACCTTGATTACCTGGCTGAGGTGGTGTTTGTCCGGCTTCTCCACTGTAAGTTTCCTTTTCCCCTCTTTTCATACCTTGCTTTTTGGAAGAAAGTCACTACATGCAGTCTAGTCTTCAGGAGCGGGGAGTTATACTTTACCTCCTGGAGGGCAGAATTTGTGCATAAATGATTTGGGAATTTCTGCAGAGACCTTTGTCTCCTACCCCATTTATTCATTTATTTTATTATTTTTATATCAATATGGAATCATGAATATTTATTTTATACTCTGGGTTATAGTCCCATATTGTTTTATTTATTTTGTTGGTCTAATTATTCCAGCTTTGGCCATTGGGAGCTCTTTCCATTGCTTCCTTTGTCCATTTGACATTTCTCCATCATTGTGTCCTTTTTTTTTTTTTTTCCAATCACTTCCTTGCTTCCTGGAACTGCAAGCTGTACCATGTTCATTGTGCATATTTTGTGATGCAGCCTGAGAATCAGCCATGTCTCCAAAAAGCCCTGGTTCCTTTTATTGGAGAATGGTATAGAAATGAAGATCTGGGTGCTAGGTTTACTCATTGCTACTGGGGTGACATTGTTTCTAGCGGCATTTCTTTTTTCCACTTGCGTACTATATTTGTGACCCCTTCATTTGTGAATCTACTTTTATTCTTTCAATAACAATGTCACTTGAGGAGCCATAGAAGTCAGCCACAGAGTGACCTGAAAACTTGGTCTCTCACAATAAAGATATCCCACAGTACAAAAACAATTTAAACTGCAGAAGAGTCTTCCATGCACTGTAGCTCCAAAAAGTTAAAAATGATCTCATGTCCTCACCCAAATCTCATGTCTAATTGTAATCCCCAGTGTTGGAGCTGGGGCCTGGTAGGAGGTGATTTGATCATGGAGGCAGTTTCTCATGGTTTAACAGCATCCTGCTTGGAGCTGTAGTCACGATAATGAGTTCTCAGGAGATCTGGGGTTTTTTTGGTTTGTTTGTTTGTTTGTTTGACAGGGAGTTTTGCTCTTGTTGCCCAGGCTGGAGTGCAGGGGTGCGATCTTGGCCCACTGCAACCTCCACCTCCCAGGTTCAAGCAATTCTCCTGCCTCAGCCTCCTGAGTAGCTGGAATTACAGGTGTCTGCCACCACGCCTGGCTAATTTTTTGTGTTTTCATTAGAGACGGGGTTTCACCATGTTGACCAGGCTGGTCTCGAACCTCTGACCTCAGGTAATCCACCCACCTCAGCCTTCCAAAGTTCTGGGATTACAGGCCTGAGCCACTGTGCCTGGCTGATCTGGTTGTTTAAAAATGTGTAGCACCTCCCCTCTCTCTCTCTTCCTCCTGCTCCACCCAGGTGAAGTGCTGGCTTACCCCTTTCCTTCCGCCATGATTATAAGTTTCCTGAGGCCTCCCCAAATGCCAGCATCATTCTTCCTGTATAGCCTGTGGAACTGTGAGCCAATTAAACCTCTTTTCTTTACAAAGTACCCAGTCTCAGATATTTCTTTGTAGCAGTGCAAGAACGGACCGCTACAGTCTCCATTTGTTATATACCAAAAACAACAGAGAAATTTTCATTTTTTCAATGCAAATTCATAGTTTTGAACAAGGTAAATTAGAAGTCTGGGAGGTGAAGTCCCCATCTTAGTGTGACTGATGACTGCTCACAGTGCTGTGATGAATGGGTCTCTAAACCAAACACATCAATACCTACTGGGCGTGGGAAGGACAACGTTTGTTACCTTCAGCGAGGTTAAACCCTTTTCTCTCAGACTTCGTGTTAAAACAGGCTCCATAGTTACAATTTGATCCCAAGACAAAGAAAGAAAGGTCAATGATTAAAGGCAATTCTTTACCATCAAATTAAGATGTGACAAATTTGTCTCTTCTTCACTGACAATATTTTGCTTCTTCTGCAAAACCAAGATTAAAGAAAAAAAAAACAGAAAAGTAAAAGAAAGACTAAGATTTAAAAAATTTTCCATTTCAGTTCTCTGGTTGCTTCTGTTTGTTCACTTAGATATTCTCCCTAATTGTTTTGAATACAGTAAAATCTCATACCACAAAAACTTTTTTAAAAAAGAAATACAATAATTTTGGTACAGAGAGTTGCGTTTGATTCTAGTGAAGATCTGGGCTTCAGTAAAGGAAGTAAGGCTTAATGAGACAATTTATAAAAAGAAAAACTTCACGTAATTGAAATGTTAAAATATTTTATAATTCTATCGCCTAGCATATATTCACCCTGGGCAGTTCATGGGTCTTTGGGGGTCCATCTTTCCCAAGAGGCTTTCAGAGCAAGATGCCCCAGGTCTTTCTCATATACATTGCCATGGGACCTGTTTCATGAACCATAGCTGAGTGTAGCAGGACTCAGCAATACATCCAATGACACACAACTGGATCCTGCCACTGATCCAGGGACAGCATTGTCTGTGAGCTGCTCGATGAGTTGGCCTCGTGTGAAAACCTGGGTAGGTTGTGGTACACCACACTGGATTGTGATTAATCAGCTAATCGACTCCTCTCTCTGGAGAGGAGATGGGCCCCCCAGAGTGGTGTTAGGATCACCAGAGCTCCTATAATACCCTGAATTGTGGTCAAAAATGTTTCTGGTCTCCATAATTCCTGGCTTTTGGCTGCTGAGATAACTTTTTGTGCTTTCTACCATCCTGGAAAGCACTTATAATAAAAGTTATCTCCTGTGGTTACCCACGCACATCTTGGCTCCTTGAAACTTAAGAATCTAACATAATGGTAACACATTAAATGACCAAGAGTATATATTGTAGGTTTCTTGAGGACAGCTATCAAGTCTTATCTTTGTATCCTAAGTGGGCACATTTAGCAAGTACAGACACTCCCAGACTTATAATGGGGTTACTTTCCAATAAACCCCTTATAAGTTGAAAATGCATTTAATATACCTAATCTAGTGAGTATCATAGCTTAGCCTAGCCTATCTTAAATTTGTTCATAACGCTTACATCAGCCCACAGTTGGGCAAAATCATCTGGCAGCACAGTATACTGTAGAGTCCCAATTTTTTACCCTTGTGATCATGGCTGACTGGGAGCTATGGCTCACTGCTACTGCACAGCTTCATGAGGGAGTATTGTATGGTATATTACTAGCCTGGGAAAAGATCAGAATTCACTGATCTTCTGATCAGTTCAGAATTCACTGAACTAGGGTTTCTACTGAATGTGCATTGCTTTCTCACTGTTAGGTAAAAAATTTTAAGTCAAGCCATAGTAAGTCAAGAATCATCTGTACTCAATAATGAATATGATTAGTGAAAGGGAAAATGAATGAATGAGTGAGCTAACAAGAGCCAGAGAGAGTAAATGACTTACCTGAGGCTACTGATAAAAGAGGTCAACATAATGTCTTGACCCTGTGTTAAACAGTACTGAAACTACTCATTCTTTCCTGTCCGTATGTTAAATAATACCAAGATCAAGCAAAAGTAGCTGAGCTGCATGTTCCAGGGATACCGGTTTCTGAAAAATAAGACCATAAATGAGCTAAACAATTCATTTATTAAGGCAAACTATTTACTCAGAAAGACTGACTTCTTAGCCTGGCCTTGCTGTGTCCAGCTAATTGAAAGCTATAATACCATAAACTCCATGCAGTTCAAACCAGTTGCCTACATGAAAAGAACATCTTAAAAATCACTCAGCCTAGGTCCTAGGGTGTTATTTATACCCTACCTTAATTTTCATTTCCAGCCTAATTTTCATTTCAAGGTGGTGTTCTATCTTACTATGGTGGTTGTTATAGTTTTGCTTGATAGGTAGATTTTTCTGGTGGTCTTCAGGGGAATTGATGGTCAATACAATATAATCAGTTTTCAGTTCCCTTTTTCTTCTTTTTAAAACATGATTTCACATTTCTTTGAATGTGCAAAAATCTAAGCAAGGGAAGTATGGATGTCATTGCTTTCCTACAAGGTCTTGGAGCATGAAACAAATAAACCATTTTCTTTTTTGTTACTTTGCCTAAGGAATAAAATTATTGGACTAGAAGTTATTTCAAAAATATTTCCAATTCTAAAATTTGGGTTTCAGTAAATCTAGGGAAGTGCTCACTAAATTCAATTTTGAATGAACATAATTGTTCTCTACCGTGTTGAAAACAGAAGAAATTCAACATTGTCTTGACTCTGAGGTAGAAAGTGGCTTATGGTACATGGCAAACTGTGTTAAGGCCCTCTGGCCCATTGAACACTGAGTTTAATTTCTCAAATATACACAAAAATGCACAGCTCTGGACTTGCAGTAAAGTGTCTGTCATGAGAGTTGTTTTAGCCCAAATGGCTCTAAAACATGGCTGTCAATTCCAGACGTTTCCAACTGGAAGAGACAACAGCCACCACATGTCACACAATGCACCACACACAATGTAAACATAGCATTCACGTCCACACTCAGATATTTATGGCATTTTCTGTGGTTGCCATGTCAACTCATGGAGCAACCAGGCCATTAAATCATGCTGTCAGCAGGCCAAGACAGTAACGCTACAAAAAAATTCCAGTTGCTGACATGAAACATTACATTTATCATTTCAAGACCTGTTTTTTTCCAGCTGCCTCTTGCTTTATGCTCTTCACTGCTTTCGAGCTGGTCTTTTAGGGTACAAGGAGAATACAAATGAGCTGTTTAAAATGCAATGGAAATCCCAGCCAACTCTTGAGTACTTTTACTTTCGTAGAACTTATTTTTTTAAGGTGACAATCTTGAGGTCACATGCCAAGAGAAGGGATGGACTGAGAACTGACATATTATTGATATAACTGGCCAGTTTTTAACTTTCTAGCCTGGATTCAGTCTTTTCTTTCTCTCCTCTGCATGAAATTGTTCTCAGCAAATTTCTAGATTTCAAGCACATTCACTCTAATTTCTTCTGAACTCTGATGTCTTCTGAAACTCTGATTTCTCCTTAGGAGTTCCCATTAAAAAATTTTTTCAGGGTCATGTAGAAAGAAAGCATGCAGAAATCTCATCAACAGATCTGAGAGGTCGGCTCTACAATCAGTAACAGAGACAAAGAGCAGATTTTTTAGGGCAGTCCTGATTTTTCTTGATTATATTAATTTCAGAAAATGTGAATCACTGAATGTATAGATGTAAATTAAATGTTCTACCATTAGAAGGCTTTTCATATAAATTCATAATCAGAAGAATTTTTTCGTGTCACACTATGCACTAAGAATTTTAGAAAATAAGGACATTGTGACATTTCGGTGTATGTGATGATGCAATTGTCAGACCATGACAACTGTGCATGAATAGAAGGAGGATGCAAAGCCAGCCTGCCTTGTCTCGTGCTGTCTCTCCTCTCCAGTGGCTGTGCTTCCTCCTCTTCCCTTTGGCCACCTCTGAGCACATTAAGCTTGCAGGATTGTGATGGGATTTAAAGGCATTTCAGCTACTCATGTGCACAGCGCTCTTCTCCTCATTCTACCTGGAGAACAACACTAAGAAGGTACAGTCAGTGAGAGCTTTCAGAGGAGAACAAGTCTGGATGAGAATCCTCTCGAACTGGGCATCAGAATAGGTTTCTCCTCCTCACTCATCTCTCTGTGACACACAGCCCTCGAAAGGCATGCCATCCCACAGACATTTTTCCTGGAAAAAGAGACAGAACGTAATCAGGAAATGTGAAAATAAAAGAAGAAACGATGGGTTAGAGAAGATCCAGGCTATTCTCACGGAGCAAATATCTGGGGGCAAAGGTGAGAGAGGCTGGGAGCAAACCCGAGGCCCTCAGACGCCTGCTAGCTCACGGGGAAGCGGAAGGGGCAGAGCCCTACAGAGCCGACTTTGAAACAGGCAAACTGGAGACCAGAGCTGGGACTGTATAATATGAACTGGGTCTTCAAGGATGGGTTAGCAGTGTCTGACACTGTATATGGGGGGAAAAGAAACTTCTAGACTGAAGAAACCCTTCAACATATGCCTAGGGCTGGGGAAATAATGATGCAGTCCCAGAAAGAAAAAGTAGATCCTGTGCTTTCAAAGCGAATTAGGCAAGATACAGGAAAGGACCAAGCCAGGGAGGATGAGGAGTGCCTGGGTGAGAAGACTGCAGCAGGAGAAGTTTCAGTGGAAAGGGATGTGGTCAGATCCGTGCTCTTGGGTGATGTTTGTAAATGAATCTGATGAGAAGGGAGATGAAGCCATGAAATCATTAGAAGTTCATTAGAATAATTGGATGTAGGAGACAGCAAAGATAATAATAATAATAAAAGAGGATTTAAAATTATGATTCAAAGTCTGAATGTATTGGGGTGTGGCAAAAACTCCTCTCCCAGAAATTTAGAGCATAAAAACAATACCTTTAGAATGAATAAATAATAGTATAGTAGCACAAAGTGATAGTATACCGCAATGAAAAAAGAGTGAGCTATAAGCACAAAAATATGGTTGAATCTTGCAAAGATAAAAGTTGAGAAAAAGAAGCCAGTCACAGAAGAGTCAATATGATGTGATTCCAATTATTTAGAGTCCAAAAATGAATCATGCTGCTGGCTAGATGGTTGGGATCTTGGGGAGGGTAAAGTCGTTGGCTGGAAGGGAAATAGCCGGTGGTTTCCAAGGGGCTGGTGGTGTTCGTCTCGATTTGGGTGCTGGTTACAGGATGTGCTTGGCTTGTGAAAAATCACTGGGTGGTACATTTATGATATGTTCACTTTTCTTTCTGCCTGTTAAACTTGGATAGAAGTTTTTACAAAATGGCACATCTTGCTTTGGAGATCTTAGTTTAAGGAGGCGGATTGACTGACAGGTGATCTTTAAATGTCCAGCCCTTGAATCTAAGTACAAACGGGGGTAAACAAGGCCATGTTTCTTGGATTCCAGGAAATTAGGAACTATGATTCAGCAAATTAGAGCATTGCATCATGTAGTGAAACCCAACATCTCCTGGCCGTAGTCCTCCCACCTCTCAGCCAGACTTGGACGCTAGCTTAGCAGCCACAGGCCTGGAAACGGTCACCACAACCAACTCATTGTCTCATTAATTTCAAGGATGTAGAAGAATAAAAAGTGATAAGGGCAAGGGTGGGAGGCTCTCTGTTAGCAGCTTCAGAATAAAACCAGTGGAGCTCAGTTCCTGCCAAGAACTCGGGAGAAATCCATCATTCCTCTTGCTGGCCTGTGGTGAGCACCACTGTGGTGATAAGCAGAGAAGCCTGTAATGATTAACCGAACATGTACATACAATGGTCACCCCCACACACAGACTTCTTATCATCCAGGAGCCCAGCACTTTAATACTGAGTCATACCAATGTTCGGAGAAGGAAGTTTGCCGCCACTAACACACTTCAAAATTTGGATTCAGAGTTAATTCCTGTAGTTCAGTATAACCCTTCCCAACTGCTTCCTACCTAGAGGAAAAAGAAGTAATTGAATTAAAAAAAAAGTCCCAAATTATTCCCTGGGTGGATTCCTAAGAAGCATTTCATAATGAGAAGTTTCCATAAATGCATTTAATAGATTCTTTGCAGACTATTAACCCCTTGAAAAGGAAGAAGGAACAAAGAATGAAGGTAGTGTTAGAATAAGGCAAGTACCCAGAAAAATAATGTGATCTACATTCAGAAAAATCTCCTTACATTATCCACATTACTTCAATAGTACATATAAGATTCCTATAAAATTGTGGCTTATAAGCAATACTTTCAACTTCCCGTCAGAGCTGGTTTAAGCAGCAACATAGTTTTTAAAAATATTTTTTGGAAACTCTGATACAGAATGCATTACATTTTTTATATAGAATTCAGTATTATTCAGAGCTATTTTCCTGATATGAACAAACTTGAGATCTCTCCCCCTTCCTCCCTACTTTACATTTCCGTCGTTCATTCCTTCAGCAAATGTCGCTGAGCACCTTCTGTGTGCCAGGCCCTGTTTAGATTATTGGGGACATAGAGGGCAGTAAGTTAGGCCTCATCCAAGCCCACTGGACCTGACATTCTTGTTGCTGTGGCCTGGTGCAGTCTCATTCCCTCTGGTGCTGACTTTTGTAAATTCCTCCCAACTTTCCCCACCTCTAGTCTGTCAGCTTCCATCCCTTCCACAACTCTGGTTATTAGAGTACTATCCTTAAAGATCAAATCTGACCATTTCACACCATCCTTCTTGCTTCCTTTCTGTCTTCCATTCCATATAACAAAACAATACAAACATGCAAATTATTCCCCACCAAACAAAAGCAAAAGGAAACGAAACCTTTAATGGGATAAAAGGAAAGTTCATAGGATAAGAAAGGAATTCAGAGTCCTTTGAAATCACATTCCAGATCTTTTTCCCAAGGTCCTGCATGTCTTTCTTGGTGTCTTCTGTAGGCCCTTTGATGCCTCTCTATGTCAAAACGGTTTCCCTATTTTGCCTTTATTTAAGTGTGTCTTTTGCCAGGAATGTCCTCTCCCTCCATTTCTGTCTATACAAAGTTCCCCATGTTTTACAAGCCAAATTCAAATGCTTCCTCCTTCATGAGACCTGTAGATACTGGTATCCTGTTGGTACCTCTTGCCAAATCCATGTTCATGTTGATAGTTTGAATTCATCTGTGATGAGAGTATCCAAGCCGTGAAAACTGGCAAATGCTGAAAATCAGAGCTTGATTTATTGTTTCGTTGTTTGTCTAGACTTAAGAAAGTGGTGGAGAAAATGTTAATATAGCAGGTTAAACTTAAAAATGTGCTGCGTTTATAGCCATTATATTATGAAAACACATAAAGCATACTTCAGGAAATATTTTTTGAGTATTTGAAAACTGTTCTCCAATTCAACAAAGAAGCCATTCATTCCACTGATGAACAACTAAAGTCCCAATATATGTCCTCATTGTTTCACTTTCATTTTACTACTTAACATCAACAAAAACATCAACTAACATTCATGTTGGAGTTGCATTTGCTCATCATTGAGGTGAGGGGCTTCTTTGCAGAATCTGAGAGTGATCAAGAATTGATTTGTAGGCTGAGCATGATGGGTCACACCTGTAATCCCGGCACTTTGGGAGGCCAAGGCAGGCGCATCACTTGAGGTCAGGAATTCGAGACCAGCCTGGCCAACATAGTAAAACCCCGTCTCTACTAAAAATACAAAAATCAGCCGGGTGTGGTGGTGCCCACCCGTAGTCTCAGCTACTGGGGAGGCTGAGGTGAGAGGATCACTTGAGGTTGCAGTGAGGTGGAGGCGGAGGTTGCAGTGAGCTGAGATTGCACCACTGCAATCCAGCCTGGGCAACAGAGCGAGACTCCATCTCAAAAAAAAAAAAAAAAAAAAAAGAATTGATTTGTAGTTGGCTATGAGGGCAAAAGTTCAGCAAAATCAACAAAAGAATTCTGTTAAAATCAATTAGCTATATGGAATTTATAATTAATAATATTTTAAAAAAATATTTAATTGACAAAAATGTATATTCAAAGTATACTATGAGATGACGTGATATACATATACATTGCATAATGATTACCACAGTCAAATTAACTAGCACGTCCACTACTACTCGTTACTATTTGTGTGTGTGTGTGTGTATGTGTGTTAATCCTTAAAATCTGCTCTCGTAAAATTCCAAGTTATCAATACATTCTCCAATTATGCATTAGATCTATAGAACTTCTTCATCTTATGACTGAAACCTTGTGCCCTTTGACCAAAGTCTCCCTATGTCTCTCACTTCCCAGCCTTTAATCACCACTACTCTGTTTCTATGAGTCAGACTTTTTTAGATGCCATGTATTAGTGAGATTATGCTGTATTTGCCTTTCTGTGTCTGGCTTATTTCACTAGGCATAATGTCCTCCAGGTTCATCCATTTTGTCACAAATGGCAAGAATTCTGTCTTTTTAAGGGCTAAATAGTATTCCATTGTATTCTACATTTTCTTTATTCATTGATCTCTTGTCAGTGGACACTTAGATTGTTTCCATGTCTTGCTTATTGTGAATGATGCTGGAATAAACATGAGGGTGCAGATAATTCTTCAAGATTCTGATTTTGTTTCCCTTGGATATATTACCCAAAAAGGAATTGCTGGATCATATGATAATTCTAGTTTTAAATTTTTGAGGAATCTCCATACAGTTTTTCATACTGCAGCACCAGTCTGCATTCCAACCAACCACAAAGGCTCTCTTTTCTTCACACTCTCGCCAACACTTGTTATTTCTTGTCTTTTTGATAATAGCCATCCTGAGGTGTGAAGTGATAACTCATTATGGTTTTGATTGTCACTTCCCTGATGATTAATGATGTTGCTCACCTTTTCATGCACTTGGCCATTTATATGTCTTCTTTGGAAAAATACCTACTCATTTTTAATTGAGTTATTTGGTTATTTTGCTATTGAGTTGTGTAAGTTCCTTATATATTTTGGATATTAATACCTTATCAGATTTATGGTTTGCAAATATTTCCTCCCATTTCATAGGCTGCCTTTTGTTTTGTTGATTGTTTCTTTTGCTGTGTAGAAGCTTTTTAGTTTGATGTCGTCCTGCTCGCTTATTTTTGCTTTTGTAGCTTGTGCTTTTGGTGTCATATTAAAAAAAAAAAACATTGCTAAGACCAATGTCAAGGAACTTTTCTCCCATATTTTCTTCTAGATATCTGTAACAAACACGCACACACACACTTTTTGCCAGAGAGCCATTTG
Organism: Homo sapiens; assembly: GCF_000001405.40. Lineage (NCBI taxonomy): Eukaryota > Metazoa > Chordata > Mammalia > Primates > Hominidae > Homo > Homo sapiens. The sequence goes on along the minus strand of NC_000020.11, from coordinate 22,408,263 downwards.
TTAGACATTTACCAGAATATAGTAGTCCCTCCTTATTCATGATTTTACTTTCTGCCATTTCCATTACCTGTGGTCAACCACAGTCTGAAAATATTAAATGGAAAATTCTAGAAATAAACACTTCATAAATGCTAACTTGTGCGCCATTCTGAGTAGCATGATGAAATTCCTCACTGCCCCACTTTGTCTTGCACAGGACATAAATCATCCCTTTGTCCAGCATCTCCACACTGTAGACACCACCATCCATCAGTCACTTACTAGTCGGCTTAGTTATTTAGTGTACATAGGGTGTGGTACTATCTACAGTAGCAGGCAACCAGTGGGGTCTTGGAATGTATTCCTCAAGCATAAGAGGGCACTACCGTACCACTATCAGGCTGAGGCAAGTATCCTCTGGGATTGCTTAGCACAGGAGGAAGAGGGAGGACTGCCCAGCTTACCTGCTCACCTGCCCCTCATGTGGCTCCTTGGAGGCCCCCTGCACTACCATGTACATGTGATGCCCCAGCAGCTCCTCCCTGCTGCAGTCTCCTCCTGTGGTTATTGTGGCTGAGCCTTCCCTCAGACCTTGTTCCTCCATCCCTGTAATCCTAGATGTGTTTTCATTCCAAGCAAGTCCTCACATATTTGTCCTGCGTTGGTTAAGCTCTCTAAGCCTTAGTTTCTCCATCTGTAAAGTGGGAACAATATTAGTATCTACCTCAGAGCATTGTTGTAAGTAAAAAGAGGGTAATGAATGAGAAAATCGTGGCCCACCGCCCTGGCACACAGTAGGAATAATGCCAATAAACATCACAATAGCAAATGTGGCAAATATCTGCTGAGTGCTTGTGAGACTTCCTTTGGAATCTCTATTTATTTACTTTTCATGGCAATCCAGTGAGATGGATTCCATGTCACTCCCATTTTACAGATGAAGAAACTGAGGCACACAAAAATTAAGATATGTGTCCAGAGCCCCACAATAGGGGATGTTCGGTAAGCTACTATTGAAGAGTTAGACAACATCAAAACATGGTTTTCAGATATACTCCCCTTCTCTCTTCTCTTTCTTTTTCTCCACCCATTTTTCTTTATTCTTACATTCTCTCTTATTCCACTGCATTTCTGATTGCTCATTTCCACTTTAGCCACTTGAAAGGAAAAGGGAGAAAACGTCAAAGAAGGTTCTTTGTTTTTCTGTGAGTGCTTCACTTTCTTTGATGCTTCCTTTGGGGTTTTATTGACTTTTTAAAAAATTGTTTTGATGTAACTTCAAACTTGTAGAAGAGTTGCAATATCTGTGCAAAGAAGGAGAAAATATACCTCATTCAGATGACACATTTATTTCCATTTTCTCTCATGTGCTTTATCTTTCTTTAGAACTCTTTGTCTTCTCTCCACCTATTGTTCGCCAAACATCAAATTGATGCTGTCAGCTGTCCTGGCTTTACAGACTGCTGTACCAACAACTTGTTTCTCCAATTCCTCTCCTCTATATTCTCATATATGATCAAAGTTTTAGTTTCCTTTTCTAATTACAATTTTCTTCCTGTCTGTTCACAGCAGAGTCCTTTCAGCCACAAGTCTTAATAGTTTGTGTGAGTGTTAATCTGCTTCTCATAGAGTCACCATGAAACACACCTTAGACAGGTATGTGCTATGCTGTCCAAAACCCTTGGGTCTGAAAGTGTTCAGAATCCAGCAACTTAAAGATTTTTAAAGATAAGATGAACAATATTCCATGTGTTTAATAAAATACCCAGTGGGGTCTAGGGGAGCAATCTCATAATTAAACACAAATATTTCTGCAGCAAATGCATGCAGAATAAAAGATTTTACATATTCTCAGTACAGTTCATGTCATGTTAAAATTTCAGTATTCAGAGCTTCTTGCTTTTTGGAATTGCACACAAAGGGTGCTGTAATTTTTTATATGGTAGGGGATAGGTTCAGATAAATACTTTAGTGACTGATCAACTATATAGCATCTAAATTGCATAAAAATTTAGTAAGTAGATCAATTTTATTTTAATTGACATATTAAAATGATTATAATTTCAATAGAACATAAAAAACAGGATATTGACAGCTAAATATCCCTACATACACCAGAGTAGGATTAAAGTCTTAAAGATAAAAAGCAAAGACTAATGCTTTGTTTTACAACAAGAAGGTCTTCTTTGAAGTCATAGGGAAACAAGGTCTCAGCTGTAGCAAATTGCGTGGCCTTCCAAGAGAGCAGGACACATTGTAACCATGGGGACTCCAGACCGTTAATAACATTCTATATTAAAGAACAGATAGTCTGTAGTCCCAGCACTTTGGAAGGCCAAGGCTGGCAGATCACCTGAGCTCAGGAGTTCGAGACCAGCCTGGCCAACATGATGAAACCCTGTCTCTACTAAAATACAAAAATTAGCCAGGTGTGGTGATGGGCACCTGTAATCCCAGGTACTCAGGAGGCTGAGGCAGGAGAATCGCTTGAACCCAGGAGGCAGAGTTTGCAGTGAGCCAAGATCGTGTTACTGCCCTCCAGCCTGGGTAACAGAGGGAGACTGTCTCAAACAAAACAAAACAAAACAAAACGAAACAAAGAATAGGCAGGCCTATGTACCAGATCACAGTCCATACAACACATTAGTTCACATAAGTGCAACTAATACATTCTATTCTATAATAGCACAGCTTGTTATCACATAAAATTACCAGCTTCCTCATAGTATTGTATGCTTCTTATGTTGACTAAATAGATAGAATGAATATTCCCCCATGTGGCAACCTCTATTGAGTCTTCTTTTCTCTGAAACTTTTAAAAAATACATACTTTCTACCAAATTCCACCTAGCATGAGATTGGACACTACCTCAAACTTTTCTCAAATGACTTCATGAGTAATATTCATTTGGTACCTGTAGTAGGATTTATGTATTCTAAGCTAAGAGTTGATACTAAACAAATATTTGAGATTGGTTGCAATAAATCTAAAGAAAAAAACAGCAAATTTCAGTTGGGATGCAACTTGAAATTATCCCAAATATATAAAAGTTTTTGTGATGAATTTATTGTTACATATAATATATTCTCAATATTCACTTACTGAGGTTGATTAACTTTATGCCGTTTTAAGCATTGGGAAACAAACTTAAACAAATTGCCACAGTCAAAAGTCAAATCAGAGTACCAGTGATGTTATGTTTTAAAGCCTTCAGTGTAAGTAATGAATTGCCCAATACATCATGGATGATTTTAAGATATTCCTTGTTTGAGTAAGAGACCAGAAATCACGTTTGCCAAAAGAACACTCTTTTCCCAAGAATGCAGCAAGGCTCCCCATCCCCAGGAACAAACATCACTTTTTTCTTGATGTTGCCCTTAAAATATGAGGCTGAAGTTCAGAGTTAAGCACATCCTGGAATTAGGAACTCTCACCAGCACCAGGTGCAGGGAAGTAGGCAACTTTGCCACTGGCTTATTTTTTTAAGGAGACTGTGCCTGTACTCTCTGAGCAAAGTGGCAATATCTGCAGCTGCCTGCCTGCCACCAGACAGCCAGTCCGATGTGAATTATTTAACAGAAGGTATTGCAACCTCCACTCACAACAGAGGAGGCTTCAAGATTTGTGGGTGACACCCTGACAGGCTGCAGGATCAAAGCCAGGATTTTAGAGAAGAGGTGCAGTTGAGCAGTGCCCGCTGGCCAAGGAGCCGTCATGACCTAGGGGCAGAGGAAGAATGCCAATCCATGCTGCGAGGGTGGCACATTCCAAGGACTAAACCAGAAGAAGTAAGGCCAAGTGCTGGCAAGAGGGAGCCACAAACCAGAATGATTACGTTTTTAAAGCACTGCTTCCTGGTTCAGACATAAAATTATATTTAAATGTCCTGCCTCTTTGCAATCAAAAGAAGCTAACTGAAAGAAACACGCACTTCAAGGCTGTAAATCTGAAACTTCCTAATCCCCGAAAGTCCACACTAGACTTCTTGCCTCCATGGAAACAACAAAGCATTCAGCCAACTGATTGGCCTCCAATGAATTTTAGATAAGACAGCTTGGAAGGGAATGGATGTGATTTTAATGCAGAAGAAAGCGCTGGAAGGGAGGTCCACTTGGTTCATATTTGAATAAAGCAAACAAGGCAGACGAAAGGCTGACAGCTGTAAATGACATTGTCAGTACAAAAATTATCAGCCAGTTTACAATCTGTTTGCTTATGTTGAACAAACAGACTGTGTGTGGCATCCTTCGGCCTGGTGAATGGCAGAAATACTTGCGGGCTTCAGAAAAGCTATCTGCTCTCCTGCAGCCCGGCCACAATTAGATCGCCATTTGACAGCCACACTGAAAAGGAAACTGTGTTCTCTGCCTTCCCCCACACTCCCTTGCCTCTTTGCTTTCTCTTTTCCTTTCTTTCTTTTTCTTGGTCTTCTTCTTCATAAGACAAGCACTGAAGTTGGGTAGAGACACTCGTCCTGTTGTATCAATGGCGTGAATTACGTTAGTTCTGTTTCTGGATCAAGTCGTTTACTGATGTGTCTGACATTCCAAGTGGGAGATCTTCAGTAACCTAGCAAGGCTCAGCGCCAACAGTCTTCATTTTTTATTCCTTACAGGAAGCAGAATCCAGGAGCTCCTGAAAGAATGCCACTTTTTTCTTCTTTGTGCAGCCTGTCTCGCAGACCGTTTGCTTTGAACTTGCTAGCATTGCATTTGGTGCCGAAACAAAACACAAGCAGGGCTGTGGAGCTCTATTTCCCCTGAGCAAGACCCCGATAGCACAACTTTCAGGAGGGAATAAAACCTAGTGGGCGCTACCGCTCCCGGGGAGCTATGCTGAGTGTTTAACCCAGCCCCCAACCTGAAAGGAATGAGTTGTGTGGTCCCATTGCTTAATCCCCTCTGTGTTCTGCAAACTCAGAACACAGAAATAGCTCCTTTTGTTCAAAAAGAATGGAAAGCAAACACAGGTACTAATTTTATCCCTCACGTTCTCAGAGGCTGCCTCTTGTTTAACTGCATCAGAGAGATTTAAGCTGCTGGGAGTGGCTTTTTTCACCGGGCCCGAGGCTGTTTGGGCACTGGGAGCTTTTTACCTAACAGATTCCAGCTCACCTTGGAGTAAGCGAGTGACACACCTCCTTGCCCTGGGCGACAAGTCACCTCTGTAGAGCGCACACACTGGAAAACAGAATAACCTCATAGGAAGACAACAGTCTACAAAATCTAGAGTTCTGATTTTCATCTTCTACCTTGTGTATTGTCATTATTTATTGTGTCTTATTCTTGCTAGAGTTAGCAAATGTATTCATTTGAGGAGAGGATCAAGTCTTTCTGTTACGCCTTCCTTTCTTTTCTCCTTCTTTAATATAAAGAATCTATTTAGAGGTACTTGGTTTATTTGACCGGAAAAAAAATGATGATAGGTGAGTATGGTGTGTTCGTCACAGATAAAGGGTACATCACAGGCACACACAAAGCCGGAAGCCCGTGGTAATTACTGGTAAGCAGCGAAGCATCAAAACACCTCTTGTATGAAAGTTCATCCAATTACCACTAACCTAGAGAGGAGAGTTATGTTGCACTGTGCTTTTCATTTTAATCTAAATGGCTGTTTCTTTTTCTCTGATATGGCCATCGGTCATAAAGAGTTGACCATCATCAAAACTGTTTGATTTGGAAGTCTGTAGTGTTTGGCTAAGAGGGCAAATGCAAATTTGATGAAAGAATAAGGATAAATTTACATATCAGCCTCAGCTCACATGGAGAGAGTAAACATTCTGTTTATCTCAAGTGTCACTTTATGATTTCAGGAGAATATAAAACTGACCTTGGCCCAGTCATTGCAAAAGGCCTAAATGAAATATACGGTTGTCTAAATACAATTTACTCAAGTAGAACTTGTCAGCAAACCCTGCGGAACTCAGCAAACAGGACTGGAGAGCGCAGCGAAAGAATTTTGTTCTGATAAACTCCAAAATGAAATTCTGGAGCAAGGAGTAGGTGAATAAGAAAGGTTAAGAAAAAAAATCCTACCTCATGAATTTTATGGTAATTAGCGTGAATTAAAACATCCTATTTAGCTGTAGTTTTAGGCTTTAGTTATCTAAAAATTAGAAAATAAAAACAAACAGAAAATTTTAAACGCCAATGTTAAAACTGTAATGTATAGTATTCTTTTACCAAACCTTTGTTTTATCATTTGGGGACAAGAGTAAGATCATCATTTGTTTGGTTTCTAGAAACTAATTGATTCCAAGAACTTTAACACTCCATAGGTAGTTTACACTGCAAGAGGATAATTCCTTTTGGCTGTTTAAATCAACCACGTTTGCATTTTCCACAACATTTTTAATTAGTTTTTTCTCAGGCTAAGTCAGCATTCATCACTGGGTGAACGAACATCAGACTTTGTTCATAATGGAGGCTTTTGAGTGTGCAGAAAAATATTCCAAGACAATTGCAGGCATCTGAACTCATATTTCACCCCCACTTTCTTGTACCCAAAAGTTCAATGTGGAAAATGAAAGCATAAAATGAGATTCTTTTATGGAGAAAAGTTGATGGCATAAATAGAGTAAGGGGGTGAGGGAGTATATACATATTTTTAATTTGAGCTATTCTAGAAACTTTGCCCACAGTAGAGCAAATAATAATAATAATAATATTCTGAATGAAATAAAAGGTGAAGAAAATTTGGCAGAAATGAATAGTTTTAATTACAAAAATAAAGAATATTCTTGTAGGACCTGTTTATGCATTTACCTTTATAGCCCACAAAATATTTTTTAAGTAAATAATTATCTATTTATATTCACATAGAATAATACAAAGCTTTAACGAAGACCGCAGAAGAACTTCATATCTGAGTACCATTTGCAATCGATTTACAAATAATGCCAGCATCCTTAGCGACTTCTTCAGGCAAGGTTATACTGGGGGTTTTTGAGGCTAAGCAGGTAAGAGTGCTAACATAAATGAGAAGAAAGTACCTCATTGTTACCAAAACTGTAGCCAGGCTTTCCACGTGGGGTTTGAAAAGAGATTGACATGTTGCCCTCACTGGAAGGAGAGTAAAATCAAGTTTGTGTGGGGTGGGAGGAGAGGTTGTATGTATCTGAGGAAGTCAGGCTGTTGAAATGCTTTTCCTCAGTGTCCTGTGTTCACATACAGGTGAACTGGGAGTACCGCACACAGCATGGCTTCCAGCCTGAAGTGACTGTAAAATGCCAGTGAATAGAGAGGCTCAAGGCTGAGTAAAGGATCCTGCACACTCAACAGGCTCATCCTTCTCTGCACCCGAGTTGTTCATAGAGTCCCAGTTACAGAGCTTTCAGAAGGCGGAATTCGTCCACAGCACACTATTGATGCCTATCGAATCTAAGGAAATTAACTAAGAAGGGAAGAAATAATCTTCATAGAAAAGGGATTTGAGAACCCAGAAGAGGGTATGGGCCTGGCAGTGTGCATGCTGCAAACTATGCACCATCACTGGCCTAAAACGCACCTCTGTGTGCATCATTTACTCACGTTTAAAAATCACCCTCTACTTGTTCTCCTGTGACCCTCATTGGACTATATCCAGACAGCACTGAAAGTGATAGCCAGAAAAAGTAGAAACAACCCATGTGTTCATCCACTGACGAATGGATCAAAACATGTGGCGTGTCCATCCATACAAGGGGATATTACCCAGCAGTCAAAAGGAGCAAAGAACTGATGTATACCACACCATGGCTGATTCTCAACAGTATGTTCAGTGAAAGAAACCAGTCACAAAAGCACATGTACTGTATGTCTATTTATATGAACTGCTTGGAGGAGGCACCTAGTGGTTGCCAGGGGCTTGGGGTGGGGGTGGAGGGCAGGAATGGGGAATGCCTGCCCCCTCCATGGGGTTTCTTTGTGGGGTGATTAAAATGTTCTAAAATTGGTATGGTGATGGTTGCATGAGTCTGTGAATACACTAAAACCACTGAGTGGTACACTTTAAACAGGTAAATGTTATGGTATATGAATCAAATCTCAATGAAGCTGTTAGAGAAAAAAAACAAAAGGAAGCAAAACCTGACATCTAGAGTGTTATGGAGCCAAAATGAGCTTTCAAAAAGAATTGCATAGGCCCCTGAGGAACCATGGAAAGCAACATGAACGTGAACTCCAAGCAGGCCATGGGCCATCTCCAACCGATTCCACCCAGGTGAAGGGAGCAGGTGTCAGGATCAAATCCTGACTTAAAATTGGTAAATATTTGTTGGTTATCTATGCTGTACTAGGCATCGTGGCCCACAAGGGAGAACAAAATTTCTTGTGGAGCTCACAGTCTAGGAGAGAGGCGAATATATGCAATTAGCCAGACCACAAGTGGCACAACCATGCATGTCATTAACAGTGGGCTTGGAAGTGCAAGGGGCATCCACTTACCTCTGGGAATCCCTGCTGCAGAGCAGGGAAATCAGACAACAAGTTTTCTAAGTTTAGATTTTATTCTGTAGGTCATGAAGAGTCTCCAAAGTTTCTTTAGAAGAAAAGTGATAAGATATTTAACAGAACCCAATGTTAGGTTCTGTGCTGGATCCCAGCACAAACGCACGAACGCAAGCTTGAGGATCCATGATTCAGCAAACCTTCAGGTCCAGGGAAAGCACCTGGAAGCTTCTCCCTTTGCAGCATTGTTGTAGGTTGAAGGGATTGTGTGGTTCTCCAAACACCTAGCAAGATTCTGGATTGCATGAATACTATTAAGCCTCAGATGCAAGTTGGAGTAAGTTTACCATTCTGAGACCTGAAGATCACATCTGAAGGCCTCATTCAAGCCTAGATACCTCATTTCCAAGGACCACATATAGAGGAATATGGGCAGGACTTGGGAAGAGCCAATAATTACAGAATATAGAGAAAGGTGGAAGAAAATATGAAAAACCCACTTAGCCAGGGCAGGTATCCAGCCTTACCAAGCCCCTGCTATGGACTGGGTGCTGTGTATCACTACCAGCATTACTTCATTTAATCCTCAGAACCCTAAAAGGGAGAAGATGGGTAATGATATTATCCCCATTTTGCAGATTAAAAAACAAAGCAATAGAGCAATTGAGGAATTCGTCTAAGATCATTTAGTAAATAGTGAAAGTATTCCAACACAGATCTGTTGATCATCAAAGGTTGTACCTTTAATCACTGTGTTATTCTGCTTTCTTGTTCCGAATATTCTTAAAATATTTAAAAACTTGTCAATAAAGAAAAGCTTCAAGAAGGCAGCAAGTTCAGTTTCTGAACTCTGTAAAGAAGAGATACACTTTCAGAAAGAGTTCCCAGTTGTTGAAGATGTTGGTGCAGGAGCCAAAAGACCATTTGTCGGAAATGTGGATGATCTAAAGTATTATAATTAAATGGCATATATGTGTTCTGTCAACCTGGTTATTCTGATGTGGGATCCTACTAACAGAACCAGAACCCCCGCATATGGCCATGAAGGTTGGATATTGCATGACTCCAGGGGAGGGATGCTTCATATTCAGAGGCATTGTGGATTTTCATATAGATCATGACAGTTTTCCTGAAGATTTTAGTCAAGAGTGCGAAGGGAGAGCTGCACTCTATTTCTTATATGCTCCAAGTTTCCATTTGGACCCTTAAAGGCGCTAACCATATCTGACATAGAAATATAATTTTAAAGGAAAGGGATGGATAGGCATAAGGCCAGAGATAGGAATATGAGTTAGAGGGTAATGGTGATGACTTCAGCAATAGGTAAGGAATGAGGGTGTGGATAAGAATAGAGAATTGATGAGGATCAGGAAGCTATTTCATATTTGTATTAGTCCAGGAGAGAGATGAGCTGGAAACACAAATTTAGGAGTCGTGAATATGAGAAGATAGTTGAAGGTTAAGGGAACTGGTAAGTCTACATGAGAAAGACCAAGGAACAAGAAAAGACAAGCATTGAAAGCTTGATCACTGTGCAAATCTAAGTCACTGGTCAGGAAACAGAACGTTTTCTGCAGGTAGAAGGTGATTGACAGAGAGAGTGTTTCAGACAGTGGGATGATGGAGAAGTTGATGGACCTCACAACTTGGATTGCTGTCAACCTTTACCAGACCACTTTCAGTAGATTGTTGATGGAGAATGGTACAGAAGTCCAACTGACAAATTGTGGAACAATAGCTGCTCAGAAAGTAGAAATAGTGAGTGCAGAAGGGTGGTGTTGGAGGAGAAACCCAGGGAGCTGTAATTTGAGGTGAAAGGAAGTCACGGGAAGTTTTTTTCATGGGAGCATTGGGAAGACCTGTTGACACAATAAATAATAAATCCTTTGTCAACAAAAGCCATATCTTACACATCACTGTAATATCTAAGGTAAATTTGGTGCTGAATGATCATGTCCCATAATTCCTATACTGGCACATAATAGAACAAGACATTTATTTGTGGGAGGAAATCTAAATGTTTTGCTGTTGAATCGCTTGGGAAGATGGCTCTTCTCTTGCAGTATTGAGAACCTGCACTTGATGTTTTAACAAGGTGTGAGAACACTAAAAAGGAGGGAACAAAGCTTGTAAGCAACTCATAAGGCATGATTCCAGGATCCAGCCTCAGTTTCAGTGAGTCCCACTTCTACATTTCTCTCAAATGCACCATGTGACAGAGAAACTTGGGAGAGTCTTGATTTGGAGGGTGCAGAGTGACTGGGAGACTCAGAGGCCAAGAAACTCTGAAGCCACTACTTGCACTTTAAATTCTTCCTTCTGCTGTTTCTGAACCAGCCGGGAAGCTGTGGCTGAAACTCTGATCATGTATCAAAGCTCTTAAACTGGCCTGGGGCAATTGGTTAAAAAAAGAAAAGGAAAAAAAAAAAGCAGCTGGAACCATTTTGCCATCCCATTGTATCATTATTATTAAACTCTTAGGAGAAAGGATTTTGCAAAATAAAAAGCATGACATATTATAACTTATGGGGAAAAGCATGACAATATAGCATGACATGTTGAAAGAGCATGGCATGTTTTAAAACGTATGATGTGGTAAAGCATGACACCTTCTAACTTCCTTATTACTTTCTGATTTCCAAAGTCTTACTGTTTATTAAAGTAAACAATAGTGAGATGATGGATGATTTCCATCATCTTCATTATAATATTCAACACTTAAAGGTAATATTTGTTTTTATCCTTATGTCTGTTCTGTGTTTTCTTTACATATACACATAAGCTATTATTATTTGTATAATTAAGTTCAGCACTCAATGTGTTGGCTAAATGAACGACAGCATGTACTTTTTGATAATTTTTCTCTTAGAAATACACTGTCAGTTGTTTCCATAGTTCAGTGTGTTTGTCTACTGCTTGATTTGTGTCATCTTCATATTATTCCAATCCTGTACACATATTTCATGATTGGTTTGGACATTTTGGCTGCTGGATACTTAGATTGCCCTATCCTTTTTTTTCAGTTACATATGATGCTGTAGTGAATATCGTCTCCTCAAACCCTTGGTATTATCCCTAGGAGAATCTGATATCCTAACATATATCCTACTTCATACAGAATAAATTTTAAGGCTTTTATATTTATTGTCAAATTGTGGATTAGAATGGTTAGTCCAATTTATATTTCCATAAGCTGGCATGAATGTTCATTTTCCTACATTTTTATTAAGTGCTGGGCATATTCATTAAAAATAAAAATGTTGGCCAGTTTTATAAGATAAATGTGGAATATTGTGTGTATATATATCATATGATAAATGTGTTGGAATTATTGAAATTTTCATTTGATCACAAGGTTTTAAAATTATTTCATATATTTGCCATCCATTTTACCATCTATTATTTCTAGCTCTTCTTCAGTGAGTTGCCTGTTTATATCTTTTGCCAGGTTTTCTATTGATCTATTGATGTATTTACCTTTTTTATTATTTATAAAATATCCTTATATAGTAAAGATATTAGTCTTTTCTCTGTCATGTATATTGTGATGTGTGTGTGTGCATGTATTTTGAAATGTTATATTTTATGTAATCATATATAGTGCTTATTTATTTGGTGAGATCTTTCTTTGCTCTTATGCTTACATAAGACTCTTCTACAATAAAATTATTCCTCTATTTCTCTGATTTTGTTCTAATTCTACCACGTGAAAATCTTTATCTTTTAACTTTTAAAAAATCAAAATTCATCTGAAAGTATGTGAGTGCATGTATGATATTATATGAGGCTGTAATTTTGATTTTTCCTTAAAGATTTAAAGAATTGGCTCATTAGTATTTATTTTTTCCTTTTCCTGTTGTCTTGAAAGCTACCTTTATCAAGTACCAAACTTTTATACATATTGAGCTTTCTGGATTTCTATTCTGTCCCATTAACATATTTTTATATTGATATCATACTGTTTTAATGATATATCAGCTTTGTCCAGCAGTAATCTTTAAAGAAGAATGACAAGACAATAGTAGTAAATTTAACGTAACTTATCAGCAAGGTCTGAGAAGTGAGCATCAAGTTTTAATTTAGGCATTTTCACCAGCTTGCAGGGTGATATTGACTGAGTTGACTGAGTCACCTAAGATTTTAAATATATTCCTTTATTTTAAAATTTAGATTCTGCATGCCTAAAATTGGGGTTGTAACACTTCTGTGGCCAATGTCATTCCACTGTTGCAGAATCAAATGAGTGAAATTATATCAAATCACTTAAAATTTCAACTCTAATTTTGTCGCTTATGAAATCTTTTTTCTTTGTGTGGCGGATTAAATGAAATCTCAGATTTTGTAATGTTTCTTTTAAAAATGAGTAGCCCTGGATTGCAATAGAAAGAGGAAGAGTTACAGGTTTCATTTTTGACCCTAATTCATAATTTAGAAGAGTCACCATTAGAACTTGCCATGTAACCATAGGACCTGCTTAAAGAAAGAGATGATTCAGAAAGCAATTTGAAGCATATTTTGGGATTTTCTGGTCTCAGGAAGAAAAGCCTGCTTCAAGACAAACCTTCCTCTTGAAGGCATACTTTGCATTTGGCATCATCCTAAAGGAGATTCTGCTACTACTGGTGTAGGTGATTCACTACCTAGTGAGCTATTTAAGGGGAAAAGGCTGTGTTCCAAAAATATTTTATGGGTAGTAGTCGCAACACATGTACCATAGAACTTAGAGTATAATAAAAAAAAATTTTTTAAATCTAAATGAATACTTCCTCTGTGTTCACATTTGGATAAAATCCCTCAACCACAGAATAGCAAGTTGGGCAGGAAGGAAAAAGTCTCCCAAGGGCAGGATGCACCAGGTGCAGGACCAGGAGAGCTGGATTGGGACTCAGGAGCTGGGAGATGTGATTTTACCACCCCTTTAACTTTCTGTGTGCTTTGGCTACATCTAGGCTTCAGTGTTCATGTTTGAAAGCAAGAGTGCTGGTTGAATTCTACATTCTCTTCCAATCCAAGCTTCCTATGATTTAGAAACCATCAGCATATGATTCACTGGTGTCACATGGGAGCAATGCCCACTGGCACCTGCTCACCCAAGGTTTGAGAATTACATCACATGAAAAGAAAAGCAGGTGGAGTGGATGATGTTTATTAAGCTCTGGAAGCAGAGTGTGAGCTCTCTGAAGGCAGAGACCATGCTGTGTTATTTTTCCTCCCAGTACCTAGCACCGTCCTGGGTGCACCCAGTGAATGTTGGTTGAAAGAATGAAGAGATGGAATTGAATCTATGGGAAAACAACACAGGTGGCCCGCAATCAGGATAGGAACCTGAAAAAGATGTTTACCCTTTCTGATAAGTATCAGAATCTTGTTCCTTGCTCTCCCATTCTCAGCCTCAGTTTCATGTCTTCCATCCCCACCCCTTCCCCCACAACCTTCACCCAGGGATGAAAAGAGACAGGGCTCCTCCCACAGGCAGACCTCCAACTTGGCCATATTTGTCCACACAAACAACCATCCCTCCTTGTTTGTTCTTCCAGCAGGGTATGAGCCTGAGAGGCAACACTTCAAGGCCAGTACCTCCTCTCCAGGGGCAGTGTCCCAGCATTGATGTGCAGCCTGTTCCCACCCACAACACCAAGGAGCTATTTTGCCAGTACCAGGATGGAGTTCCTACTGTGAGAGCTGGAGGCATTGTCCTCCACCTCAGCTTGGTGCAAAATGTTCCGTTTAGACTGAGCTTTCTACCAACTGGCAGAAGTTTTCTTCTTCTTTTGCTATGAGCTCCATCCTCCTTGCAGCTGGGCTTTGGCCAGAAATGGGGGTGGGGTGTCAAAGGGGTGGGGCAGAGCAGGAGACAAGACCATTCGCTAGAGTTACCTTTTGACGGGATGGTATTATTCTGCCTTCATTCGCCAAGAAATGGAAGAGAAATTAGGGACAGGTGCACTGACCAAACATTCCCAAGACCAGCCCAGACCTCCAGAGGTGAACCTGGGAGCCCTGGAGCCAGGGAAGTTCACTGGTAAGAAACATGGGAAAATGACTGTGCCAGCTTCTAGCAATACAACCAGTCACCTGTCCTGACTGCCTCGTGGGTGCTGTGCTACAGGTTTGTCCTTTAAGCCTTGTCCTTAAGGGTTGGGCATCCAGGTATTCACAACATCCAGGTAAGACAAGCAGCGGTCAGACTCACCATTGCATCCCACTGCATGAATTTTGCAAACATTAGCAGCCTAAAATGGCAGAAGTCTTGGAAGCCAACACAAAAGAGGTAATTGTAAAATGAAGTTATTTACTTCAAGCTAGAACTCTGCATGAATTGCAGTTTTCAGGGAGAAAAGGTGCATTTATTTTCTATCCCAATAATGAAGTTATTTATCATAGTCTCTTCACATCTGATAGAAATGTGTCCCAAGGTGGTCAAACATCACTAAATTTGAAAATACCACCCTAGCAAATAATGTTCCCCAATATTGGTTATAATTGAGTACCATATAACTCAAAGTGTAAGGTGATTCCCATCACTTCTTTAATAATTCTGTGATAGGGAGGTGGAAGTCAATGAAAATAAAACATTTTCAATGATCACTTCTTTAAGAGACCACTGTTTCCTTTGTCTAGCCTCGTGAGGTCGGCACTCCACTTCTGGGGAGTTTGTAAATGAGCCAGGCAGGTGAGGACACTTGGTGCGTGGCTGGCTTGATTCAGTAGTTTGGGTGTTTGCTTCTGTACACCAGCCTCTTACTTTGTTCTATTCAAATTTGTCCCTCTGCAAAATGAACAATTAATGCATGGCCACTTGTAAATGTTAAATCTGAAAATACCAGGGCCACCGTATAGGATGTTTCCATAAATTGCAGGCTGCTTGCCATGTTACCCCCAGTTCTCTTGGGGAGGTAGGAAGATTAGGATGAGCACTTTGCTTTTGGGGAAGTAAAGGCACAGGAAGCTCAGGTAATGAGTTTGATAGAATCAATGCAGAAACCCTATCAATAATCCCTGGGAGAGTAAAAAGTCAGGGGGACTTCTCATGAACGTTTTCAGCCATAAATACATTTTAATGCAAACATGTTTCAAAATGTAAGCAAGAGTGTGCAGCCATTCGAATGAGATTTTATTCACCAAGCGGAAGGCTGCATTGTCATGCGAGGACTCAGTGGCAGGAGAAGATAAAACCATCTTCCATAAAAATGGGGTCATGTAGGTTAAGTCTCCTGGAGCATTTATTAAAAAGGAAATAATTCCTACTTCTCATTCATTGAAAAACTGGAGCATTCTCAAGAAAAAAATGTTAACTATAAAATATAATGATATAATTTATTTTATAGATAGACTGTATGTGTGATTTTATAGAATTGACATGCCAAATGCATCTAACAGGTTTATATCTAACAGTCTAACAGGTTTAATGTTTCATGTTGGTGTTTTTCTTCCTTGATAAGTCAAGCACTTTCTTATTCACAAATCCTTTCTGAAATTTCACACTCTAAATGAAACTAAGGGAAAAACCATATTTTTAAATTTTCTGAAGTGAGTAATATTCTTTTCATTTTACTTTTGTATTTTTGTGCAGGTGATCTCATCTTACACCTGGATGTTTGAAATGAATGAGTTTTTATGTAAAGTATAGGCAGAATTTCTCTATAGTTTAGTAAGTCAAATGTTCATAACTAGATACTGTCGTGCAGTGAACTAGTAGGCTCTTTATGAGCAGAACTTCAGAAAATTGATTATTATAATTCTCTTTATGTCTCTTTAAAATTAGAGAACATTATTTTCTATTCTCTTCTCTTTATACAAGTACTGAGAATACAGCTCAGTTAGCATTTTGATATATAAATATACTCACATATATTTTTACAGATTTTAAGTTCATGTTGTATGCAGATTTTGTTTTTGTTTTCTCCTTTGTTCCCTCATACTATATTGTGAGCATTTCCCCATGGCATTAAATATTCTTGGAAAACATGTTCTTTAATACTTTATGACTATAAATAGTTTAGGGTACCACATATGTGATATCTTAATATGTTTTATGATATACAACACTGTCTATTTAATTTATTGGAAAAAAGGTAAATTCCATGAAATCAGTCAATTTAGTAGAAAGAATAACATATATTTAGTATGGTATTGAATTAACAACTACACAATTTGATCAACAGTTTGGCCTTTCAGCTGTGGTTGTAATAGATTGTTGCGGCAGATCTGGTGGCCATCAGGGTCCTGTCTCTTCTAGGAGTCAATTCACTACTACATTTCATTTTAAACAGAATTCACATGCAGAGAGGCAGAGAATGGGGTATGGACAGAGTGAGATGAAGAACAAGAGGGTTATGCTTTGGATAACACTGGTAACTGGGTTTCTCATGAGCTCCTAATATCTGGGTTTTCTGATAACTGGATTTCTCATGAGCTTCATGCAGGGTATTCAATTTCACTCAATGAGAAGAAGGAAGACCCAACATGAAAAGCAAAGAGCTCATCAGGGACAGGTGGAAAAAGGTATATATTTTTAAAAGCTAGTGTTTTTTATAGTTTTTAACTAGTCATATTTTCCTAACTGAAGTTAGTCCCAGCCTAGTCACTCTGACCCAGTGCATTGCTACTAACAATCAAAGTTGTATTCCACTCTTCCACATTTCTTATCCCTTTGGTTGGCCAACGGGTCACTCCAGCCTTTTAAATACCTCTTACCAAAATGATCTCTTGTATATATTATGATACAGAAATGTGGAGTTTCATATGAGGGCTTAAGCATCATTTAATTGGTAGAACTATAATAAAAGGCCCAGAGAATCTTTGCTGTTTCTTACTCTAATACTGTGCAGGGTCTTGGAGCTTTAATGATATCAAGCATCATAGAAGATTATTATGGGTATTTAGGTGGAGAATAAAGGGTGATTAGAAATCTGGGTTTATATTTAAACTTCAGTCAAGAAGTTTTATCCATTCCAAACTCCAAGTTTATTTCGTCTGCATTCTGAACGTTTTCCTTGAGTCTCATTGGAACCACCTCATGATTTGTTCTTGGTCACACATTGGCCTTTAGCATCCACTTTAAGGTAGAAAGTTATAAAGTATCCCCTCCTTTAGAAGATGTGGGGCTGCATTTTCTTTCCATGACTAAGTAGGCCGTTAGTGCCTATGTAGTGAGAACTAAAAGGGAGTTAGTTTCATATGATGGCATAGCAACATAAAGGAGGGTAGGAAAATACCTATTAAAAATGAATGAAGTAAAAAGTTTGCCTGGCTTCTTCTGACCTGAAAACACACCATTGCCTTGGGAGCAACTCCCATCACGATAGATTATCGGTGAGTCAAGCTGCACATTTCCCTTTTTCTTCCCTTAATTTCAGATTGGGCAGCTCAGGTGTGTGCCAAGTATCTGCTCCAGCAAAACCCTCCCTCCAGCTTGTCAGAGTGGCTATTGTTACTCAACGGAAGCTCATGATTCAGCAGGTACTCAGCGTGTGGTCTCTTAGGAAACGGCTGCAGGGCACCTGAATGATTCACTGCTGACTGACCGCAGCTCCAGCCAGCAAATGCCTCCTACAAACTAACTTTCTCCAAGAGTAGCAGGGTGGACATGTGTCCCAGGGCCAATAATGGAATGACATCCTCAATTAGATTGGTCCCCTACCCACCCCAAGAAGTCTTAGGCATTTATTCGGGAACACAGGTTGGTGTATGGACATTGTCTTCAAACTAAATTACAGGACAAAAGTGTGCGCCATTGCCATAATGAAAAATGTCTGGCTTTCTGCCCCTGGTTATTTCTTCATAACCACTCCAGCATAAAGGACTAATTCGAGAGCAAGACCCTCCCAACATCCATGCATGTATCCACCTGTCCATTAGCCAATAACCAGTTACGTTATCTAGTTTTACCTGAAAACCTTGTACCAAATGCTGAGGATACAAATATGGCTAAGATCAAATCCTGAAGCACTCAAGAACTCATCAAGAACTCAGTCATATGGGATGATCAGCTTTTTAATCTATTAAGTGTCCTATAGCAGTAAATATCATACAGAGGAAGTATGAACAAAATGCTATAGAGGAAGAATTGGGTGTGAGGAAAGAAATAAACTTTCACAGGGGGTGGGGCATGTGGAGTTGAGTGTTTCTTTCTCTGTCTCGTTTTTAAAAATAATTTTGATTATGTGTATTTAAGGTACACAACATGATGTTATGGGATATATAGAGGTAGTAAAATAGTTACTGTAGTGAAACAAATGAACATATCCATCATCTTAGGTAGTTACCCTCTTTTTGTGTGTGGCAAGAGCAGCTAAAATCTACCAATTTGGGAAAAATCCTGAGGACAGTACAATATCATCAGTGTAGTCCCCTTATTGTGCCTTAGCTCTAGACTTGTTCATTCTGTATAGCTGCTGCTTTGTTCCTTGGACCTACATCTCTTTATTCCCACCCCACCCCTGGTCCAGATAACCACTGTTTTATTTTCTATCTCTGTATATTTGACTTTTTTTTAGCTTCCATATGTAACTGAGATAATGCAAATTTTTTTTTCTGTGTCTGACTTATTTCACTTAGAATAATGTCCTCCGGTTTCATCCACGTTGTGGCAAATGGCAGGATCTCTTTCTTTTTAAAGATTAAATAATATTCCTGGCCAGGCACAGTGGCTCACGCCTGTAAACCCAGCAATTTGGGAGGCCAAGGCGGGTGGATCATGAGATCCAGAGATCAAGACCATCCTGGCCACACCACAGTTTCCTCATTCATTTGTCTGTCAAGGGACACTTAGGTTGTTTCCATATCTTGATTATTGTGAATAGTGCTGCAGTAAACAGAGAAGTGCATATATCTTTAAAGGTGATGATTTCATTTCCTTCGGGCATGTACCCAGAAGATAGATATTTAGGCCATAGGGTAGATCTATTTTTAATGTCTTTAGGGAACTCCATACTGTTTTTAAGAATGGCTGCACCAATTTACAGTCTGACCAACAGTGTACAAGGGTTCCCTTTCCCCACACTGTTGCCAACATTTAATATCTCTTTCATTGTTTGATAATAGCCATCCAAACAGGTGTAAGGTGATATTGGACTTGGATCTTGAAAGGTGAATAGGAGTGTGTCTGGCAGAGGAGGAGGTCAGGTGCATCTCTGGCTTAGAGACCCACATGACCTTTTTTTAAATTTTTTGAGACAGGATCTCCCTCTGTCACCTAGGCTGGAATGCAGTGGCACAAACACGGCTCGCTGCAGTCTCAACTTTCTGGGCTCAAGCCATCCTCCCACCTCAGCCTCCCAAGTAGCTGGGACTACAGGTGCATGTCACCACTCCTGGCTAATTAAAATAAATTTTGTAGAGACAAGGTCTTGCCATGTTGCTCAGGCTGTTTTCAAACTCCTGGGCTCAAGCAATCCTCCCGCCTTAGCCTCCCAAAGTGCTGGGATTACAGGCGTGAGCCACCGCACCCAGCCTCACCTGATCTTTTGTTGCTACTCTTTGGGACCCCTGCTCCACAGTGAATTGGGGTATAATTCCTAGTCAGCAGGTTCCATCCCCAAGCAACTTAAAAGGGCACAGACACATTTAGTTATAGACATGGTTTTGTTATAAAATAAGTTTCTCAACCTCTTCAATAGTGGTTACACTTTTCCATGCTGATGTTTTGGGTGAAAATTATCCTTCTGCAGTCACTTACACTCTGAAACCTCAGTGGCCTCCTAAGTTTCTGCTCCAACTCGCTTCACTGAATAATGGGAGTTACCCCAAGCACCACCATAGTGGTGCATTTTTTCTCTTTCATGACTTTCCTAACTGACTTAGCTGTGAGTGACAGCACCCATCCTCTTCCTCATAATTTACTGCAGTGCTGCAACCTAGAGTCAACTCTCCTTTGTGATACACCTTACCAACCCTGCTTTCTCTGCACAATTTCTTTCTGCTACTCTGCTCCAACGCTATCCCCACCTCACTTTGGGCAAGTCCTGCCTAGCTGAGGCTTCCTGGTGATCCATCTTGACTTACAATTAAATTGGCATTTCAAGATCTAGCTATTTTTTTATGTTGGGAAATGGGGATTGCAGTCTGAAGCCAACACAAGGAAGAGAAAGGAATTGTTTTCCACATTTGTGTCAGTTACACACACAAGTAATTCTACTCCCATTCTCATGATTCATCTCTGAATACCCTTTCAAAGGCATCACATATACTTTCAGGGAGTAGCACAGACCCATAAAACCTGTGTGTGTGACTCTTTCTTTCTCTCTTTCACTTCTTTCTTTCATCTGTGGCTCTAGTCATTTGCATACATTTCAGAAGCTGCCCAAGAGGGAGAAACAATCAATTAACTCTGGTGCGCAACATTTCTTTTCTCTTATAACTGTGACCTGTTTATGCTTTAATCCCAAATCTGCCTTTCAGTTGAGCAAACTGGTATCACTTAACATCAATAGCAGCTAATAGCAGATGGAGAGAGATCAGTAACAAACATTCAAATGTCACTCTTCTATGTGGATCAGTTCAAATGTGTACCTGAGACATTTTAGCTTGATCACACAAAGTGAATATAGACCAGGGAAGCATTATAATTGATGAAAATCTACGACTTTGCTATTTTATGTTAATTCACAAATTCCAATTTTAATGACATTCAGAGAGTTAAACAGAAAACATTTAAGTAACTACCAATCTCAAATTATTTTTAAAAGAAGGAGTATCTGTACAGATGAAAGAAAGCCAACATTGATTTGAGATTTTATTTTGGTTGGTTCATGTAGAAGCCGTGTGTGAAAAAGTTCCAGACTGGGAAACCCAATCTGACCAGATATTTTCCAGGCCAGATATTTTTATGATCAAAAAACAGGATGCATGATTTGATACAATGCCTGATAACAGGACAGAATACTTGAAATACGAACTATTGTGAAAAACACAGGAGTCTTGAAGTGGGCCCATGAAGAAGGTAATTCCATTTACTGTGAATGTGGGTGGCTGAGGCCTTCGACAAGGAGCCCTCACCTCTGCATTCGCTTTATGACTGAGTTTCTCCTGAAACAGTGGAGAAGCAAATGCAGTGAGGATCTAGGTGATTCCTAAAGGAATGCACTGTGGACGAAGTTCTGGTTAATTGTTGCAGATGTTAGCTTTGCCTTATTGTAGCAGGTTTGACCAGAGACACAAAAAGTAGAAGGTGATAGAATAGACCATCCATCATTCACATCTCTGGGAAGATAAATTTCAAAATTAAAAGGATTATATTCCTCTTTGGTTTCTATTGAAATACCTTTCACTTTTTGCATTTTATTTTAATACAAACTGATACCTTGTTGAAATTTCCAAAAACCTAGATAAAGTCCTAATTCTTTTTTGGTCACATGGAGAAAAAAAAATTCTCAGACTTGACATATATAATTAGGAAAAGACAGACCCTTTAAAAGCTAAATGCAATGTTTATTTTTAAATGTCCGAGGGTTAAGACCTTGCTAGCAAGTTTTTATTGCTGAGCGACAACCCTAAGTGAGAAATGTGGTTTATAATGGAAATGCAGATGCACCGCCTTAGTTATCAGATTGCCACCAGGCACCAGCGTAATGAAGGAATTTTCTTATTTTTGCACAATGAATACTAATTGAGGTAGCAGAAGGGAGTGTCTGGGTGGCCACACTGCAATAAACTGGTGCCATCTAAAGGAGAGGAGAGAAAAACCACCCAAGTGGTACTCGCAAAGGAGACAGGATAGGTACGCTCTTCTAGTCCCTGGACAGCCAGATTTCTGCACTTGAATTTTTAACAGAAAACACAAAATTGAATTCTACCATGTTACTAACACAACTGGTTATCAGGTGGAGTTAGGAATGGGACAGATGTTGCCAGTTTTTCTGAAACCCATCTCTATACAGTGAACTTCTCATCTGTCAGCCTGTAGAGGAGTGATTAGGTACCATTGATTAGGCATGCCAGATGAGAGGGAGACGAGGAGAAAGAACAGGGCAGAGAAAAAGGCGGGAGGGGTTGGGGGCACAGAGAGGAAAAAGGGAGGGAGAAAAGAGGGTTGGAAAGTTTATTTCGTGCAGGATATTTTGCTTTCATACAAGCAATATGAAATTTCACCTTTAGTTTTCACAAACTATTGCATTTGTCCATATATTCAAGGAAAGTGAAACAGAGAAGTGCAATAAATGACCCTCAGATGGGACTGTTGGCAAGCCACAATGCTATTCTAGCTGCTTCCAGGACCATGGCGTTTCTGCAAGCATGGGGTCATGAATGGAATAATGTGGTGGCTATTCTCAGAAAAGGAAGCGCTTCATTCTTGAGGTTTCACCAGGACAGGGAGTGGAGAATGCCCCTGAAGGGCACAGCCAGGCTCCCTCCAGGGGCTCTGGAGTACAGGAGAAAGGGTTGGAAGGCCTCAGTTTCTGGGCAGGAGTGGGGAGTTTGCCCAGGGGCCCGTGTCTCAGATGAGAAAAACATCTCAGATGTCTTTTGTTTATTTCATAGAATCAGCCTGTCTAGGCTGGAAGAGACCCTGGCATGGTTATCACTGCCCAGTGAGCCAACAAGCTGAAGCTGCTAATGTGAGATCAAGCTGGTTAGCTTCTGGTCAGCCTGGGGCTCAAGGCCCAGGCCCGGAAACACGGTGTTATTTTCAGACCTGAATAGCCTGCATTGTGGAAGAGTAGAAGGTACCTTCCATGCAGGTGGGGGCAGCTAATCCTTAAGTAAACTGCCTCCTTTCCCCAGGCAAAGACGGAACTCCCTCCACTAAGCCTGCACTCCCTTGGTGACCCCATGGGCCAGTCCTGTGCTGTCTGTTGGTGCCTCTCAGTGCCAGGAGGATCCCTGGCTGCCTGGACCTGGTACCCAGAAAGTTCTTGGTGAATGCTTTTGGAATGAATGAATGAATGAATGTGGTGTCTCCCTCTCATTACCAACTGGAGTTTAGTTTTTCCATAGAAAGTGTTTCACATGGGAGTTAGACTTGGACACTCACTCATTCGCCCCTCGTATCTGGGTGGGGGGTGGGCAAGAAAGTTCCTGTAACCCACTGGGGCAGGACAAGGGAGGGGATTTGGGCCACATACCCCCGAAACCAAGGACACCGCCTACCTGGGAAAGGAGGGTCTGGGTAGACCTCACATCCAGAAAGTGGAAATGGGAAAGAGAGCACCTGAGGGGTGGGTTGGGGTGGGGAGAAAGAGTAGAGCTGTGTCTCTCGCTGGACAGAGTCAAATGAGACCCAAGTCATCCAGCCAGGAAGCGCATTCTCAGCCCGATCTCAAGATCTGACATGATGACCTGAACAATTTTAGAGACCAGCTGCTGCCAGACAGCAGACACTCCGATTGCTTCTGCATCCAGAAAGTACCTCGGTGATCTGAAAAATGGGTGGATTAATAAAGAAAGAGGTAGAGGCATTTTAAAGGATTTTAGGTTTCAGGGGATGGCTTGGAATGAATCAGCACAGTGATGAGGTTGGCATTTCGGGGAGAGTGGGGTTGTGGGAAGGGGGCAGGTGACCTGAGCCAGGCCCTTAAGTAACATGGTCTAGTTGGGGGTTGCTTAGCTACAGGGGGAAGGTGCTTGAGAGAGACCCCTCCCTTAAGGAGAGGACCTCCCAACCCCTCCCTACCCAAGAGGGCCCTTGGGGTGAGAGGAGGGCCGAGAGCAATTTACTCAAGTATTGTCTTCATGGTCTGTCATCCTCCCCTTTCCCTACCAACTCCCCCAAAATAAGTCCAGTGGGTGGTTTCTATTCAGTGAAGCATCCAGATAGTCCTGGTATGCAGTTGGCACTCAAATCCCACTGAATGAATGAATGAATCAATGAACAGGGTCAGGTTAGGCTGCCCTGCACAGATTCTAATCTTGTGATCCCTTTTGGTTTCTAAGCAATAAAACACTCTGGGGACATACACGTGTATACAGCACACACATGCTTTCTCAGATTTCTCTAGAAATATTAGTTTTGCCTATTAGTCCCAAGAAATGAAATGACAAGTTATATATATGTCAAAAAAGGGAAGCACATATTGCATTTATGTGAATATTACCATATATAAGTTCAGGCACCACTGGGAGACTTAACATTGAGTATTCCCATTAAACAGACTTGGAGAAACAAAACACACACATACACACACACACACACACTCCTTCACACTCACAGTTCTGGTGAAAATTGTTGCTTCACCCCACTTTCATGCCTTTAAAATGTGATTTTCTGATGCATCAAAAATTCATGGGAGGACAGGAGAATAAGAAAGCCCCTCTGGGATTTTAACTTTAACTTTGACAAACTATCTCAGTACGATGAGGTCCTTTTCATAAACCAGGGCAAACTTGGACCTTGCTGTTCTGTTTCATGGCAATATACGGGAAGCAAATGCCACTTGGTAACCAAAAGGTATTAATAGATCTCAAAATACATGGACTTGCACTGTCGCTACACCCTGGAGATCTGGTTAACAGCATTGAATGGGTGTGGGATTTGAGGCTAAATACAGCATTTCCAAAGTAGCTGACATTTCCAAATGTGGCAAACCACAAAAACATTCCTTGTGTGAAGAGCATTTTTCTACAACCGGAACAGGGGCAACTGAATAATTTTAGTCATTTTACCAACCCAATGCACCCGTCACAAAAGCTCAGGTGAAGGAATGCACAGCTATTTTGCAATGATGGTCTGCAATGCTGCCTTGTGTGTTCCCCAGCTGACTCAGTTGTACCATCTAGACACAGCCAGCCTATATGGAGCTGGGGTTTTCACCACAATTCACTAAAATAATGGGCGACAGGCATGAGTGACTGGGGCAGGACTCCTTGCCTTTCACATGGGTCAGCCTCTCTGACGAGTGAGCCCAGGTGCACTGTCTCCTACTCGTTTATTAAAAGAAAGAAAGAGGATATAGTATTTCAGCTTCTTACAGATTTAAAACGGAAGTGATTCAAGTCACAAGAAAAGTACAAACACGTTGCTTAACCGAGTGAGTATATTCTGAGAAATGCATTGTTAGGCTATTTTGCTGTTGTGTGAACATCATGGAGTGTACTTGCACAAATCTAGATGGTAGAACCTGCTACACCCCCAGGCTATGTGGCATTAGCCTATTGCTCCTGGACTACACACTGGGGCAGCACGTTGCTGTACCAAATACTGTAGGCAGTTGTAACACAACGGTAAGTATTTGTGTATCTAAACATAGCTAATATAGGAAAGCTACCCTAAAAATACAATATTATAATCTTATGGGACCACTATTTGATATGCAGTCTATCTTGACTAAACTGTTGTCATGTGGCACATGACCTGTCATCTCTTTTAACAGTGTATATTGACATATTATAGACTCTTAACAAGGCTTGAACATTTCTTCCAGGGGAAACACCTGTTTGGAGCCTTTCACTTTAAATTACAGGCAACTACAGTGAGAGTTCTAGCTTTACCACTTTTTTTTGAGAGGAGGTTCTGGCATTAAAAGTTTATTTCTATCCATGTTATTCAAATATAGCGCACTAACTTTATATTATACAAATAAGTCAGAGAGGAAGAAGGGAAGAGAGCAATTAAAGAGTTATGAATACATTTTTTATTGCAGAAAAGGCCTGAGCCTCCTGGGATTTGAAGGCACACAGAGGATAAATAGGCCCCACCCTGTGTTCTTTGAGAGGTTAACAATATTTAATCCAGAACTTTTTGGAATACATACAGGTGTTCTTTGAAAAAGAGTTTAGCAGTCAAGTGAATTTGAGAGAGGGTGGTTTAATTGAAGTTAAACATTACTTTACTGCAGGGCTTTTCAGAGCCTTTAATCTGCTAAATGCTTGTGACATTCCAAGTGGGGCTGTGAGTGAGGACTGCCTTCGAAAATTTCACACAAGGCACTGCAAGGTATGGGCCCTAGGAAGGGGTGAGGAGGCAAAAGGACGAGGAGGCTGGATAGGGGCCTGAATAGGGGCCTGCTTATGGGACTGTATTTCCCCCAAACATTGAACTATAAAATGCTTTTTGATGGAAATAGTAATAACGTAACAGAGAACACACAGGCACAAGTGAAAAATGAAAAGCAACTTTTCTCCCAAAGAGAAAGGGAAACTTCCCAGGCCCTGAGGGGTGGGGGCGGGGGAACCAATGTTTTGAGCCCTTTTTAAGCATCACATTAGCTCCTTTACAACTACTATGAGCTTCTAACATCGGGCATTTTAAGATAGAAAGGGAGGGGTCCAACACATGGCTTTCTGGGAGAGTGATCCAAGAATGTCAGGTCACCTGCAACACATGCACAGGTACCCAGAGAGAGAGAGAGAGAGAGAAAGAGAGAGAGAGAGACCTCTTTGCAGAAGGCCATGATGTCCCTGGGAAGTGGCATGAGAAGGAGTCACTACAGGGTCCACAAATCATACATGCTCTAAGCATCATCCATGGCCCGCATACATGGTCTGTCTTAAAGTGATTTGCACCATTCTATATCAAACAGATAAACGCTACTGTGATTGATAAAATACAATTAATGTAAAAATCTTGCTGAGTTCACAGTAACAGTCTGTCTTTAAATATTTTCTCTATAGATGGATAAGAGTAGAGCTAATATTATGTGTAGATCCTCAAACTTAAAATTTTTAAATGAGCAGTTTAGACATGGTTCAAAAAATAGAAAATGTCAAAAGATATAGAATAAAATTATCCATTATTTATATCTGTAAAATTATCTCCCTTCTGGTCCCATATACCAAGACTCTGATTGGATAATCCTTGTTCTTAGTTTCTCATGTAATCATCCAAGATTTTTAGCACACACAAGCGCATTCAAACATAGATTTTTACTTTCCCCTTTCTTACAAAATAGGTAGCATATTTTATATGCTATCCCACATTTTTTGAAAGGTCAAATATGACTGCACTACTGTATCTCCTCTCTATTGAAAGGGACTTCTTCACCCTCACACAGCTCATAAACACTGTCAAAAGCTACCTGAACCTTGAACCACTCATAGAGCGGTTGGTCTTATGTCCCATACCTCACTTTTCCTCCCCACCTTCATGGATGCCCTTAGAACACTTCTGGTGACATGTGGGACTGAACTTTTATCATTGCTTTGTGACTGTTACACCCATCTGTCTTCAAGGAGAGGCTGTCTCCTGTAGAATAGGATATCTTACTATCTCGAATCCCAGAACCTACAGAAGAGCTCACCTCTTAATATCCAATGTCTCCAGGGTAGAAGGTTACCATAGGTAGGGGTCACTGGACGTGTGTATTTCTAAATAACCTGGGAGATTCCAATGATACTCCAAGAAAGAAGATGCTTAGGTGGGTCTCATGGCCTTCATGGATACTGTAATCTGCAGGAAGGATGTGATGGGCAGCCCTTCTCCAATTCATGTACAGTTTGGTTATATTCTCTTTTAGTAAAAGAAGAAAAACAATCTTCATTTCTAATTCTACTTGGCTTGTAAATTTGGACTTATCTTCAGAAAGAAATCACTCAGGAAGGAAAAGAAATAAATCAAAATAATAGAGGGACAGAGGATTCTTCAACCAAAGGAAAAAATAATCTCAGTTTTTCAACAAGAACAAGTGAATATGGCAGAAAAAAAGTAATTCATCTGAGCTGGGTGAAGTTAGAAAGAAGATTCAAATTTGAATGAAGTTGAACTCATGATCATATTGCTTGACTGAGTGCCTACAAGGTGCCCCCTTTACCTCCACTTCCTCCTCACATTGTTCACCAGCCTTGGAACTTGGTGTGATGCAAAGGCTGGCAAAAAGAGAAATCAATGAAGTTCAACATCACGAGGAAATTGCAGAGGTGTGGGAGAAGCTGATGTCTTTTACAGAAAAACTTGAGAAAATCTGAGTATGTGTCAGGAGCTGTGAGAACCATGGAACTGTACCTGACCCCAGATACAAAGCAGAAGGAACAGTTCATGATTCTTATCCTGGAATTATTTTTGGTGGATTAAGAGTAGATAGATTAATTTCAAGAATGGTGCCAATTCTCCACAGCTCCCTGTATTTACATCTTCTGAAATGTGACTTTGCAAGTCTTCCCAAATCTATTTCCTTCCCTATGAATAAGGGCTTCCCCTGTGACTCACTATGCCCTATAGAATGCTGCAGAAATGTTGGGGTTTGGGGGGCAAAACAAGCTTAGGCTTAAGAGGCATTGCATGCTGTTACTCATTTGGAACCCAGCCAGGGCCATGGGCAGTTGCCTGGGCTAGCCTGCTGGAGGATGAGAGGCCCTGGGGAGCAGAGATGAGTCAATCCAGTGGCCCTCCCAGGTAATGTTTAAGACTCCAAAGGAATAGCCAGTGAGACAGGAGGAAACCCACAAAATGTGCTGCTAGAGAAGGCAAGATTGGGGATGTTTCAAGGAGATTGTGGCTGGCTGTGTTGGATTCCGTTGATAATCAAAAATGATGAAGATAGAAAAAAATGTCCTTTGGATTTAATGTCATGGGGAGTCTTGGTGACCTTAATAAGATCTGTTTTGTTCTTGTTGGTATGCTGAGGACAGGAGCCTGCTCAGAGCTATGCCAAGTAGATTAAGACTGTGAGTGTAAGCAACTCTTTTGAAGACGTTGTTGATACACTTTTTGATGAAACAAACTAAGGTGTAATGATGTGGTATTAAGAATCATTCAGCAGAGAGAGAGAGAATCTTGATAAGAGGGAGAACTCCATAATCAAGGGACAGGACACTTGAAAGACAAGGGTTTGGGAGCCTGGTAGACAGATGCCCAAACTCAGATGAGTTCTCTAACTGTCTAAGGTTTACGTGCCAAGTGCTTTGTGGCCTGTAGAGAAATGCGCAACAATCATTCATTATTTTTGCTTTTTTTATCAACTCTTTTTCCCTGGACAATGCTTATTTTTGATAATAATTAGTAGAAGTAACTATATGGAAACTAACTTTATGGCAACGAATCTGGCAGACACCATCTTAACCATATGATCATAAGTAACTGGACAAACTCACATTATGTGTCTCTTGATATGATACACTGAGGAGGATAAAACCTCACTTCCACAATTTTCCTGGTGAAAACGCATCAATTACCTCTCATTATGAGGAAATACCAGACAAAATCCAAATGAGGGCTATTCTATAAAACAAGTGGCCTATCTTCTTCAAAAGTGTCAAGGTCATAAAAAGCAAAACAGATTAAGGAACTATTCCAGATTTAAAAGAGACTGAAGAATGATGATAATCAAATACAACATATGTGATTGAATTGTTTCCTGGAATATATATATATATATACACACACACACATATATATATATATATATATATATATATATACACACACACACACACATATATATATATACACACACATATATATATACACATATATATACACATATATATACATATATACACATATATATACATATATACATATATACACATATATATACATATATACATATATATACATATATATATATACACACACATATATATACATATATATATTTAATATAAAGGATAATTTCGGGATAATTTACAACACATGAGTAAGGTCTCTAAGTAGTAATATACTAATGTTAAATTCTGATTTTAATTATGCTATAGTTCTGTAAAAGAATGTCCTAGATCACAGAAAATACATACTAAATTATTTGGGGATGATGAGGCATTATGTTTGTATCTTACTCTCAAACAGCTCGGGAAAAAATATGAATATAGTAGAATTCTAAGATAGTTCCCAAGCTTTCTACACCCTGGTACACAGGGTGTAGAAATTAATTGCTTCTCCATGGGTTTGAGCAGAATGTATGCATATGATGGGAGACCACTCCCATGATTTGATTACTCATCAGTTGACTTTGAGTTAATCCAAAGGGAAGTGATCCTGGGTGCACCTTGCCTAAGCAGGTGAGCCCATTAGATGAAGGTGAAGCATCAGAAAGACTCCATGCTGCTGGAGAGCAAGCCAACATGTTGTGGGAGTATGGGAAGAGCCACTCAGCAGGAAATGCCAGGAAGCCTCTAGGAGTTAAGCCTGATCCCTGGCTGATATCTGGTGAGAAAATGGGGAACCTCATGAGTCCTACAACCACAAGGAACTAAATTTGACCAGTAAAAAGTGAGCTTGGAAGAGGGCCCTTAGCCTCAGGTGAGAGAATAGCTCCAGCTAACACCTTAAAGTCAGCCTGGTGAGACCCTGAATAGAGATCTCTGCTAACCTGTACCTGTACTCTTGACCCATAGAAATTGCAAGGTAATAAAAGTGTATTGTTTTAAGATACTAAATTTGTGATAATTTGTTACATAGCAAAATAAAACTATGATGTCTAAAGCAAATATGTCAAAATATAAACAACTAGTGAATCTTGGTGAGCAACTTAGAGCAGTTCTTTGTACATTTTTGCAAATTTTCTGTAAATCTGAAATGATTTAACAATAAAATGTTATCTAAGGTGTTATATATATATATATATATATATATATATATGGCTTAATATATGCCAGATGATGGTTAAAGTATTTTTAAATATATTAATACATAAATTTTCATTAAAAAACAAATGACCCTTCTTCTTCATGACCTGTTTTACAGATAAGGAAACTGAGGCATGGAGAATTCAGATGACATGGGTGAGGTCCCACAGCCAGTAAAAGGCAGAGCTGGACTTGAATCTGGATTCCAGGTTCACGCTCCTAAGGACTCTGCCCTACTCTCAGTGACCCTGAAGTGATATCAAACCAACTGACCCAGGGGACTGGGTGAATGTGGTTGAGCATGATCCCGCAGGGCCCTGAAATTCATGGGGAATCATTTTTGTTTTATCCTCTGTCATTTTTTTTTTTTTTTGAGATGGGGTCTTGCTCTGTTACCCAGGCTGGAGTGCAGTGGTGTGATCTTGGCTCGCTACAACCTCTGCCCCCCAGGTTCAAATTATTCTCATGCCTCAGCCTTCCAAGCAGCTGGGATTACAGGTGCCCGCCACCACCATGCCTGTCTAATTTTTGTATTTTTAGTAGAGACGGGGTTTCACCATGTTGGCCAGGCTTGTCTTGAACTCCTGATTTCAAGTGATCCGCCTGCCTTAGCTCCCAAAGTGTTAGGATTACAGGCATGAGCCACCGCGCCTGGCCTCCCTCTTTCTTTTATTTATCATACACACATTTATAGTCATGCTGTGAATATCACAGCAGGACGACTCACAGCATTGGAATTTAAACAATAGTATATTTGTCTTATACTGACGATTTTATATATTATCAAAGGTATTCATATACCATAATTTGCCTTATCTATCCCCAAATCTGAAACCTCCATAATATATCAAGCTAACAAAGTTAAGTAGATGAAAAATATGACTAGAGGGGAGAACAAATTGAGCATGTAAAATGGAACCAAGAATAAAAACAGAAAAATAAAAGCATAAAGATCAATGTACTTAAAAAGTCAATCAATAATGCACTTTCAATCTTCTCACATATTTATTTCATACATTTATCATATTTCAGGCTTTGGAATAAGATGAAGTCACCCAAACTCCATTGTGAAATCTAGTCTCCTTGCAATCTGTCTGACCTCAGAGAGGCAAACAGTGAGTAATTCAAAATATTTTTGAATGAAAGTGTCAGTTTAAGATCCTCAGCATAAAACATACCTACAAAGCCTATTTGCAAAGTAAATTTACTCTGGATTCTTGATACCTATGAAAGTTTTTTCTATTATATTTATTTAAAATTACAACAGTTTACATTAGAAACAAGCTCAAACAATTAAGGTAAAAGATAAATAACTGCATACAGTTTAATTTTACAAAATGCAAACATACATCTTTCATTGTTCCATTATCTGAGTATTAAGCGCCACATAATTGCACAAGGCATTTTCAAATGTCTTAAAGGCTCTAAAATTACAGAGTTGACTTTTGTGAAATAGACTTTATTTTCCTCCATTATTAC
The DNA here is from genome assembly GCF_000001405.40 of Homo sapiens. Lineage (NCBI taxonomy): Eukaryota > Metazoa > Chordata > Mammalia > Primates > Hominidae > Homo > Homo sapiens. The sequence goes on along the minus strand of NC_000020.11, from coordinate 22,375,941 downwards.
ACAAATAATTGACCACACAGATTAAATTTAAATCGGAATTGGATATGTCCCCTACAGAGTTCATTTCTCTTGTGCAGCTAAAGGTTGGCAGCTTATGATGGCTCACGGAGCTTACTCAGGCCCTTGTGGGATACAGAATGGGCCTTGCATTTTCATAATTTAGGATGTCTCAGCTGGGAGAGACCCTAGAGTCCCCTGGGATCGCATCACATCTAGTTTTGCCCAAGACCACCTCCTTTCTGGCTAACCCAGGCTAATTCTAATGGTGCCTCTTTTCACTCTCAGAAATGTCTGTTTGGGAGATGGTACAGATGAGGAAATGAAAGCCTCCGGATGTAGGTTCTCTGGACCAGACCGCCGCAGCAGAGACCTGTGTTTTCTCCTGGGGATTCGGAAACCCCACTCCCCTTGCCTTCAGAGGCGCTGCCGCTCTCCATTGTGGGGCAGAGGTGAAGAAGCAAAGAAAGTGTCCTTTTCATCCTCGCCATAGAATGAAAAACAATTCATCACCACAATTACTCACCAAACCTGAGAGGAGGACAAAAGAAAACATGTTTACGTTACTTTTTCTTTCATTAAAAAGCAACACGTGTTTTTGCCCATCAGATAGAAAACACAGATGCAGAAAAAGGTAAACAATTCAAAGAAAACCCTCTCTTCTAGAAATACTTAACAGTTACTAATTATAAAGACACATAGGAGTTGCAGGAAGTGATTCTAATTCTTGATGTAAGAGAATATTTTCATGGCATGTTCCACATTGAGAAACCTGATCCAGTGACTCAGAATTATTTCTGAAACAATATCCCCTTCCCCCACCCTCTGCTCAATTTCTTCTAATTATAACTCTCTGAGATATTTGCCTCTGATAATCATAGGGAAAGAAGGGGAGAGGGAAAGGAGAAGAGAAAAGGAATATAGTTCAATTGCCAATATGCCAAAAGTGGAAAGATGGACCCGAGTCTCCTCTGGCGCAGTGTCAGGACTGTACAGCACACACTGGCCAGGCCCGTGCCAGAGGCCCATTGTCAGACACCATGGTGGGAGCATGGGAACCTTCTAAATGAACAGCCCTGCTCAACTCCTTGGGCCTCATGTGGGCTGGGAAAATAGATCTGATTCCACCCTTGTTCCTGCAATACTCAACACAATGCCAAGCCTGTACTGGGCGCCCAATATATTTTTCTTGAATGAGTTAATAAGGCTGATTTTCACAAATTTGTTGTTGTTGGGCTCATTCTAGTCCAAGTTACAATTATAGGCCAAAGTGTTTCAAGGTGGTTTCAAAATTATTTACTTCTTGCAAATGTGTACAAATGTCTAATTAGTCTGCCAGATACTGGAGATACCAGGGTAGATAGGAAAGGATCCCAGAGTCACCTAAATAATCAAATACTAGAGAGAATGTGGTGGAGCTGACCAATTTAGTGAAACAGACTTGGGTTCAAAATCCAGCTCTGTGTCCACTAGTTTTGGATCTTAGGCAAGTTATTTATTATTATTATTATTATTTTTAATATCCCTTCAGCAGGGCTAACCATAATGTTAATTCATATGTTGTTTGAGGATTAAGTGTGATAACTGATGTAAAGCCCTTGGAAGACTGCCCGGCACACGGCAAACCTTGGATGAAGGCGACTGCTACTGTGATTTAACAGCTGTGCAATCTTGGGCAGGTGATACTTGCTGCATCTGTTTACATAGGTGGAAAATGAGGATGGTAGTACAATGATTCATCATGATTTTTAAACTGCAAGACTTTTTATTGTTTGCATGAGACTACAAGGTATGGGTTTCCATCATAGCCCCCATTTTAATCATGGGGACACTAAAGCTCCAAGGCTTTAAGGTGGGTCATCCACTTAGAATCCAAAGCAAGAGTTGGAGCAGAAGCCCTGGGAGTGGAGCCGGAACACCTGGGCCCACATCTGTAGTGGGCAGTTGGTTGTGGTGCCTGGCCAGAGGCCTTTGGAGCCCTTTTTAAACCAGCTCTGTGCCCCTGTTTCCCAGCAGCTGCAAGCTCTGCTGATGAGGGTTCATTTACAATCTTCAGAGATTGCCCATGGGCACTGGAACATCCTTGAAAACACAGACAGAGACCCTTCACCCCCTTGACCAAAAACTCTGCCTTATAACTTACTGTTAAGAGCTCCCTAGGGAATCACGCAGAGGCTGAGACTTCACCTGAAATCATACCCTCATTTCACTTCCTTCCTTTCCCTGTCCTGCTCCCAGATCCCTTGCCAGTTTCTCCTGGGAGTGCCTCCTCCCAGTTGAACCTTGGGCAGGACAGGGTGTGCTGCTGAGAGAGCCTAAACTAAAACTGCACCTGGATGATGCCATTTACATAAAAGATCTCAAATTAATTCATGTCGCTTGGTCGTGCATCAATAAATCCAAATCCCAGGTGCCTTTCCTGGGAAGTGGGATTGAGCTGAAAGGCCAGGGTCCCCAGGAACAGCCTGTTTTAGTTCTCTTCCAAAAGCCATGAGCACTTTCTTTATGTCAAGCACACACCTTCAGGGACTTCACTTCCCTTGTTTATTTCTTGAAGGCACAGCACTGCTCAGAGCCTGTCCCAGAGCTCCTGGATGACGTGTGTCCAGCACATATTTGTGCTGAACAAATATGTGAATTCTGTGTTTCACTGTTACAACCTCATTACATCCTCAGAATAAACTTGAGAAGTAGGCACTCTGATCTCCACTTTGGTGTTGAAGAAATTGAGAGGTAGGGTGATTAAGTTCCTCCCCCAAGATCATTCCGCCAAAAAAGATGAGAGCTGGGATGTAAGACATGTCTGATCAGAAATTTATTTTATTAGACTTCATTATGTTCTTCCCATGAGCTTCCTAACCTGGGCACTGTTAAACATACAGATTCCTGGGCCCTTGAAACATACAGATTCCTGGGCCCCATTTCAGACCTCAGACAATGGAGTTTAGAAATGCCAAGTGCTTTTTCTGGCCACCAACATTTAAGAATTAGGGGAATAGCCAAGCATGATGGTGCACACCTGTAATCCCAGTTACTTGGGAGGCTGAGGCAGGAGAATCACTTGAGCCCAGTTCAAGACCAGCCTAGGCAACATGGAAAGACCCTGTCTCAAAAAAACAAGACACACAATTAGGGAAAAAAAATCATGACATCTAGAATGATATTTGAACTGCTGCTTGTTGGGATAAAACTGTGTAAATTTTAAATGTAAATGTACATATACTTTATATATATAAATGTAAATATATATAAGGTAAGTATATATATGCCTTATTTCTGTAAACTTCCACCCAACATGCCATGGGAACAGTAGGATGTGCCCAGACATGGTGTGCTGAGCTGATGGACTCCAGGACAAGGCGAGGACACCCAAGAATGAGCCTTTAGAGACCAGTTGTTAAACACAGTGCTGAAGGTTCCTAGAGTAACACACACTCCTGGGAGGATCATGGGTAAGAAGGTTGAGTTAATCTTAATTTCCTTTAGACACCAGTGAGAATCAGGGCTGAAAGTAATAAATTGTCTCTAAAAATAAAGAAAATTGTATTTTTTGCATATCTGCTCTTGTTCCCTGAGCTTGTTCAAAACGTGTGTGCGAGTGTGTGTGTGTGTGTACGTGTGTGTGTGTGTCTGTGTGTGTTCTTAGCTTGGATTGCCCCGAAAGCAGGCCTGTGACAAAGATGTGAGTGCAGGTAATTCACCTGGGAGATGATCTCAGAACACCAGGAGGGGAGTAGGAAAGAGAGAGAAGGGGAGGAAAACAATACAAGCTGCAGCATCAAGCATAGAAAGAGGAATGCACGGAAAGTGAATGAAACAGAGACCAGGTTCTCAGGAGGTGCACTCACAAGCAAATTAAAACAACAGGAAATGTGCACTTCAAATAGAGGAACTTGAAACAACCAGGATCCTTTGTGGCCAAGAGAAATGCAACCAAATACCCCACGAGCCCTTTCTTCTCAGCCAGGCGTTGGAAGCTGTTCGCGAAGGTTCAGGTTCAGGTCACATTATTGACTTTTGAGCTCTTGACTCAGATGTCAAATCCTGGGTAAGACTTTCTAGCTTCTTACATACTTAGCAAAAATGGCATTTGGGAGTCAGAGGGTCCAAACCAACTGTTTCTCCTTTCCTCATTCAACAGGAATTGTGTTGGACCCAATGGACAGCGGTGTTTTCTCAGTGCATCACCACTGGGTCATCTGAGGCAGAAAACAACAGGAGCTTCTGGCCATACGGAGTTGCCCAGCTGGGGAGGGATGCAGATGCCATAATGAGAGGCAATGTGATTGTCTCCTGTTCACACCCCATGTTTCTCTCCCACCTGGGCAATTGCTTGTTGTCCAAAGAGTAGGTTCTAGAAAACATGACAAATGTCTATAGATGGTTGCCTCTGTCACTAGGAAATTGCTCATAACAAAGGAAGATTTTTCCTATTTTGAAAAAGGCCAGTTTCCCTCCTCCCGGTGAGGGTGGAGTGTCTGCACCCAGTCTCTGCATATGCTGCTTTCTTCCCATTAGAAAAAGAATGTTAGGCAAACTAGAGTGGAATACAAATGTGGATTTTTAAAAAATGTTTATTTTTAAATCAGCAATGAACAATTCAGCCCTGTCTCTATTTTTTTTTTCTTGTTGATTAGAATGGAGATTTGGAGACATTGATGTTCTCCAATATCAAAGAAAGTTGCCACAAGTAAAGAAAATTACTGGGGCAGGAATGAAAACACAGTCACATAACAAAAGTGTGCATTAAAAAGCAACTTCAGATTAGATCTCATTTAATCAGAAAAAAAATTAACGAGAAAACCTTGTGCAAAGTATAAATTTGCCAGTACCCGGTGAATCTGGGTTCCTCACTCCTCTGTCCATTGAGGACTGTAACTTTCTTCAACCTCCTGGACCACACACAGGGCCAAAGGCAGGAATGGAGTCAGTATTTTCCCCTTTTCCTGATTTATGACTTGCATATATTCACTTCTTTTCAGCTTTTCGTTCCAAAGCAGCAATCCTTGATATTTTTATAAGAAAGCTACTCTATTTTCTCAAGCCTTGAGATCATGGAGGGCTGTCGAGAGAGTTGGAACAGAGCAAGGAGCCCCAGAGAAAAGCAAAGAAAGGGGATTCTCCTGCTGGTCACATGTATTGGAAGAGGTACAGGCTGTGCCACTGTAACAGGAGACCCCATATCCAGCGGCTGGCACAAGACAGAAGTTCACTTCTCCCTCAGGTAGATAATTTTCCATTCTCAAAGCCTGGCTTCTGTCTTTCGGTGCAAAGTGGCTGCTTTAGCTTCTTTATCCCTCAGCCAGTGAGAAGGAAGAAGAGGGCTCCTCTCCTTTTGAACCCAGAGGACTGTTCACATCCTTTCTGCTCACATCACAGTGGGCAGAATTTAGTTCTATGCCCACAAGAACTGAAAGGGATCCTGGAGCTGTATCTGCACCTTCGACTAAAGAAGGAGCAAATGTATTTTGACAAACAACTAGCAACTCCTGCTGTTTGAAGTCTTTCCTTTTGCTGGTAGTTTTAGCAAACTCAGGGTGGGAGGGCATGTCAAAGAGGCATCACCTCTTGGGTAACTCTGATTTATTGGCATTCACCACCCAGGGCCATTTCATTATGAGGTCAGTCCTGGCTTAGTAACAAAGAGAGTTGTAATGGGTAGCAGTGCCGGCCTTCAGCCTGGGATTGGAGAGGAGTGACAGCCACTGTATGTATTAGATGCTCCCTGTGTAGGGGTTAAAGATGTGTATTTGAGCATCTTGCTTTCACAGGGAATGCAATAAATGTGGTCACTTTCTATATATTAATGTACCTCACTTTGGTGTCTTTATGTTTGTTTCCTTGGTATCAATTTCCAAAGAACACAAAAGTCCTTAAAGAATAGAGTCTTAAAGAATAGCTCTCAGAAATATGCAATGTCCATCTCAGGTAAGATACTCATTTGCAAGTCAGTAGAAATTCAAAGCACTCTCTAAAAACATCATTCATTACTTACAATAAAAAGGAAACAAAGTGGCCAAACTTTCATCCACAGCCACAGAATGCAGTATAATCACGAGGATCTGCAGGTGTTTGGCTGCCATCCTAAATGGTTCCACCTCTCGTTCTATGGCAGCTTTTGGAGATTTTCCCACAAGTGACAAGGAGCAAGGAAGATGGCCTCCACTCAGTTTTCCAGCAGCTGCTGTGTAGTGCCTCTTTCCACCAGCACCAGTTTTGTTCCCTTTACATTCTTCCTTGTCAAAAAGAGACCACAGCACATCATTCAGAAACCTTTGTGTCTTCCTGTTTTTACATTTAGGAACAGTTGCATCCCTTGCCAGCTATTGTACAGATGCTACAAACTACTACTGAGGGACAAAGGAAAAGACAAAGCACTGTACACAGAAAGCGGAAGAAATCCAGGTGTTATTCTATCCAGGTGAACATCCTCACTCATCCTAACTGTAGCAAAGATTGGCTGAAGCTGCAGAGCTTCCACCCTGTCTTAGGCAGGCCCGGAGTATTCATCTCTTTGAGAGAAACGACAGACCTGAAAAATCATCTGAAGGTTGACTGCACAAAGCATTTTGTTTATAAAGTCATTCCTTCTCTGGCTTTCTGTTGTTTACTCTTGAACAACTTTAATTTTCAAAGATTTTATCCTCCTTTATAAGAGTGATTCATGCTCCTTGCAGAAGAATAGGATACCACATAAAGGTAGAACAATGAAAAAGATAGTCACTCATACTTTTATCTGAAGTCACTCCAAGCTCTTGTGTACATAATTTTTTCATTCTATTCGAGTAAAATATATCAGAGCAAATGTGTGTCTTTTTTCATTTAACATTTTAGCATAATTATTGTCTATGCTATTACAATTATTTTGTAAACATCACTCAAAATTTTGCCTGAATGTCTCTATCTGATGTCATTTCTTATGCTCCACTAATACAATTTTCTTATTCTGGTTAGCATGATCTCTACTCTGTCTAGAACCATCCACATTATTCTGGAATGCCCTAGCCTTCTGCACCACTTCCTTTATTCTTGGAGCCGGCTCAGGCCCACCCATGCAGTAGAGTGGGGGGCACTTGTATTCCAGGTGCAGTTCTGCACCAATTAACCTATGACAAGCTACTCAACACTTCAGTCATTCATTGTTTTGCTACAAAAGCAAAAGTTTTCTGATTCTCAATGCCAAGCATCACTCCTGCATAAATGAATACTGAGGAATCAAAACTTTCTTCTAATCTCTATGGCCCTGTACCAGGCAGCCCACTTTAGTCCCTTGCTGTAGAAATCACTGGTCAACTTCAGAGTCAAAGAGGAAGGGTGGGGGCCAGGAAGGGAAACTCCATGAGACCTAGAGGGAAGGAGGACCTTTTGTGCGACAGTGCTGCCACATGTGGGGTGTGAGCTGTAGCCATCACTCCTACCAGCATCTGGGAAGCAACACACTCAATGTGTAAAATACTAGAAAGGAGTCGGATTCGTCAAAAGTTGGTGGCCAGCTGCATTGTGGTGGTAAGAGGAAGTGGGCGATTAAGAAAATTCTGGAGACCACTGTTGTGCACTTCTCTTGGGGAAGTTGTTTCTTTTTCAGAAATGGAGAGGAAATATTTTGCCAGAGCAATTTGAGGTGCCATTCAGAAGTGGGTGCCATTTAGAAGATGTCATTCAGAAGGGGGAAACTCTGGTAGCCCAAAAATGACAGATGTCCACATGGACTTCCTTCTCTCTCAATCCATGATTCTGTGCTTGGCTTAAGAAAATCCAAATCTCATAACCCTGTGAAAATTGCACACTTTCTCTGTCTTGCAGCTTTGCCTGCCATCCTGACTCCTTGCCTTCACCTGCCCTCAGAAGCCTCCATCTGTAGACACTCTTGTCCACACCATTCCCTGCAGATTACATCACTTAGGAGAATTCTGTGGATGCAGTTGATTGTATTCATTCACTTTTTTACTGTCCCCTTCCCTACAAGAGGGTTATATGCCCCAGCCCCATTCCACGAGATGAGCAGGGCTTCCTCGGATGTGGCATACACATCGCTGCCCCTTGGCCTTTGGGCATGGTCTTGTCACATACCTGCCCAATGGGATGGGGAGAAAAGACCTGATGTATGCTGTGTTCAGGCAGAAGTTTCAGAAAGAATCCTGAGATGCCACCAGTTCTCTTGCATCTGCCCCTTGTCAAGAGAATGATGTTCCCTCCGTGGGAGGGGTTCCTTCAGCCTGAGTCTGGAAACAGAGGGCACATGGAGCAGAGGCACAGCACATTAGCAAGAAATGCATGTTTGTTTCTGGAAGTCACTGAAATTAGAGTTTCTGTTACTGCAGCAAAATCAGTTAATACAGTGCACAATGCAAGCATCTGGACTTGAGAAAGGCTTTTCTCCCATAGAAGCAAAATCCTTAAGGACAGGTGACAGCCACACCCTTCTCTCCCCCTTCTCCTAGTGCCTATGACACTGCTGAGCATGCAGTTTGTATTAATCAATGCTGGCTGTCCCAGGAACTAAATATCTCCCTCATCCCACCTCCACCCCCATGTCTAAGTTCTAAGAAACAAAACAAAATATAAAGGTAAAACACAACTTGGTAAAGACACAGAAACTAAGATGAGAAGGTAACATTAACGACTATATGAAAACAAATAGCATATTGTTTTAAAGTGACATCTACTCAATATATATATTGTGTAGAATAAAATAACAGATCACAACAGAAGGTCACAATAATCATCATAACTCAATACACAGTCTCTCTGTCTTAAAAAGACATGTCATGGGGTGAGACGAATGCCTCACCCACAATGGGAAGGCACAAGTGAGGAGGGCAGAGGTCGAAAGTTGTTTGCCTTGGTCACCATGCTTTTGGGAGCCATACGCACTGGCCTAAAACAAAACGTGAAAGGTCAGTTTTGTCTGCTCTTCTGGGCCCCTGCTTGCACCTGCCTGTATGACCCTCTGTATACAAAGGAAGGGGCAAGAGGCCTTTGGAAAAACCAATATCAAGCAGGCTGTTTCCTGCTGTAAAATGAAGCCAAGGGCAGACTTTTTGTTGAATTCATACCAAAGAAGGGTTATTCTTCATAGGTTTGGTTCCAAAACATGAATTGTTTTTGGTAAAGTTCCCAGAAAACACATTTCCAGGGAGCCTAAACCCTAGAGAGCATTTTATTTGCAACAAAATGTTGAATGGAGATAGGAGTCCTAGATTGTTTGCCTCCCCATGCAGGGAGTCTGAGCAACCCCATTAGCACATCCTGAAAAAACAAGCAAAACCCAGAAAACTAAAACCAGCATGGAATTCCATGTTCTTCAAATTAGATTTGTGTGTGTTGTGTGTGTGTGTGTGTGCACGCATGCACACCTGTGTGTGTTAGAACTAGCTCCATTGTAATGGCAACATCAAGGGGCCAAGATCATGTCCAACGGAACAAAGAGCTGTGACCATTGCTTCATTTGCAAACTGAGGATGAAAATAAAGATCCCATTAAACAAGATACAACAAGTCAACTCAGAAAAGTGTGTACTAGCGTGTTTTGCATATAGCTATCTCCAAGGAAATATAACCTCCTTCACTCTCTGAAGATCACACAAATAACATGTGCAAGGATGGGTATGGAAATGTGGTCACAAGGAAACATGGGCATGCTGTATAGTATGAGGTCATTACATCGATTTTATGAATTGCTTGAGGGACTAGTTTATTTCACAGTAATACAAGTATACATCTAATACATTGTGTATTTTTGTATCACTGGAGTTTACACACATGAGATCACTTGTGATTAGAATGACATTCTAATCACAAGCCCAAGGGATAGGTACAGAAGGAGACCCCCAATAGGGGCACCGAGGGGAGGCAGGAGGCAAAGGGAAAAAGAAGAGCAAGTTGGTAAAAGTAAATAATATATATTAATTTAAACCTCCATTTCCATATGCATCTTCAATTTACATCTGTAATATGTTTGTTGTATAGAAAAAATAACAGGAAGGTGGTACATTCAAAACTCTCTAGAATTTCCACATCTTCTAGCTAAGTGTGATTAGCCTAATTTTTTCACCTCAAAATTATTCTCTAAAAGACAAAATTTATAGGAGCCTGGAAACTTACTTAAAATTTGCAAAGGTATAAAAATTAGTTGGCCGTGACAGAGTATCTGAGTCTTTAAAAAAAATTTTAAAAACTTTAGATTCAGGGGGTACCTGTGCTTGTTTGTCACATGGGCATTTCATATGTGATGGTGTGGGCTGGGTTTCTAGTGTACACATCACTCAAATATTGGACATTGTACCCAATAGGTAATTTTTCAACCCTCATCCTGATTGTTTTAACATCACACTCCTGACTTGAGAATATTAAACAAAATGTAATTTTGGAAAGACCCGTTTTTTTAATAAGGAAAGGATAATGACAAACCTCCTTGGCTCTTAACCCAAAAGACGCCAGTGCAATAGCCCATGGTGGGCAAGAGAATGAGATTGGTCAAAGGATGAGGAAGGGCAGGAGGCGGAAACTGTTGCTCCAGGAAGACTCGTAAGTCACCAGTGTTCCATCATCATGTAAAGAAAGTAGTAGACCACCAAGCTCATGAATGACAAGAAGAGAATGAAAAGAAGACTTGGAAGAGGAGGAATCCATGTGGCTCTTTTCTAAGATCTTTTTCTTAGAAGGAAACATGGCCCTTCCCAAAATACCATTTAGTTTGATAGCCTCGGGTCAGGGTGATATTTGGAAGATACTAAATATGCAGAAATCCATTTCCTACTGTTTGTTTGCACGAAGGAATTAGTTAATTACTCACCACATATCTAGGACTCCAGAAAATGGTAGTGCTGCATATTATAAATTACATTCATATAGGTCAGAGATTGCAAACTGGGGCGTAAGGGCCATATCCAATCCACAGATAGGTGTCGTTTAGTTTGCTCAGTATTTGTAAATTAAATTAAATTAAATTCCTGCATTTTAAAATAAGACTATTTCACATAATTATATAGTGAATTATATACATTTAGTTGAAAAATGAGCAGGGATTGAATCTCACCTCTTCAAGGCTTCCCCCTTCACATCAGGTGCCTACATTACAGGTCTCCACCCATCATCTCCACTCACCTAAAGTCTCTTGAGTTTGCAAGCCCTGGTTTATAGTCTGCCTCCACAGGTATTAATTCTGCAGACATACGGCAGAATATCTACTGGGCTACATGCTCTCATGAAACCCACCCTACATGAGAAAACAAAATCCTCAGAGCTTGGGGGATTCAATGCAGTGGGAGGATGGGGTGGCAACTCTTGGCCCGCAGCATGCTCACCTTACCACACTGGGCTCAAAGAGTTCACAATGCACTGGACACGATCAGAAGCTGAATTAAATAAAGTGAAAAGAGGAGTGTACAAGGAGAGAGAATTCTGTTTCACTTGTGAGTCACACGTAAGATGTACTGGTTTAATTTTTCTTTAATTACCTTGTCCTTGGGAAGGGAGGTTGAATTTGTGAATACTAGGCATTTCACTCACAGTAAGTTTTTTCTCTTTTTAAAATTGTTGTAAAAGGTACAGAACTAAAACTTAACATTTTAACTATTTTTAAGTGTACAGCTCTGTGGCATTAAGCACATTCACATTGTTGTACAACCATCAACATTATCCATCACCAGAATTTTTTTATCTTCTCAAGCTAAAATTCCGCACCCATTAAACTCACTCCCTGTTTCCTCTATTCACAGCCCCTGGCAACCACCATTCTATTGTCCATCTCCATATTTGACTACCTTAGGTACTTTGTATGAGTAGCACCATACAATATTTGTCCTGTCGTGTCTGGTTTATTTCACATAGTGTAATGTTTTCAAGGTTCATCCATGTTGTGGTATGTGCCAGAATTTTCTTCCTTTTTAAGGCTGAATAATATTCCATTGTATGTGTATACCATATTTTCTTTATAAATTCATCTGTCAATAAACATTTGGGTTGCTTCCATCTTTTGTTTATTGTTAATAATTCTGCTATTAACATTGGTGTACAAATATCTGTTCAAGTACCTGCTTTCAATTCATTTGAGTGTGTACCCAGAAGTGGAATTTCTGAATTGCATAGTACTTCTATGTTTAACTTTTTCAGGAACTATTATACTGTTTTCCACAGTGGTGGCACCATTTTACATTTCCACTAGCAGTGTTCAAGGGTTCTAATTTATTCACGGTTTTCCTGACACTTGTTATTTTCTCCCTTTCTCTTTCTCTGTGTGTGTGTGTGGGGGTGGGTGTGCATGTGTGTGTGCATGTGTGTGTTTTATGCTGGCCATGCTAATGAATGTGAAGTCCAATGTCATGAAAAATTTTCCTTACACTTTCTTCTAAAAGTTTGGTAGCTTTGAGTCTTATATATGGTTTTCAATCCATTTTAAGTGAAGTTTTGTATATGATAAGGGTCCAATTTTATTCTTTTGCACAAAGATATCCAGTTTTCCCAATACCACCTTTTGAAAAGACTATTTTTTCCTATTGAATAGTCTTGATACCATATTGAAAGACCATATATACAAGGATTTATTTCTAAAGTCTGTACTCTATTTCATTAGTCTACATGTCTGTCTTTATGTCAATGTAGCACTGTTTTCTTTTACTGTAGTTTTGTACTAAGCTTGAAATCAGGAAATGAAATCTCATAATTTTGATTTGCATTTTCCTAATGATAAGCAATGTTGAACATCTTTTCAACTGCTTGTTGGCCATCTGTATATCTTCTTTGGAAATATCTACTCAAGTTCTTTGCCAATTTTTTAATTTGTTTGTTTTGTTGATATTGTTGAGTTGTAGGAATTCTTTATATATTCTGGATATTAATTTTTTATCAGGTATACAACTTGCAAGCATTTTGCATTATTTTATAATTGCCTTTTCACTCTGTTGATGGCGTCTTTTCATGCACAAAAGTTTCTAATTTTAAGTCAATCCAATTTATCTATTTTTAATTTTGTTACTGATGCTTTTGGTGTTGTATCTAAATAACCACTGCCAAATCCCATGTCATGAAAAATTTCTCCTACATTTTTTGTTAAAAGTTTTGGTCTTACTTACCAAAAACCATTTAGGTTTTTCACCCATCTTAAGTGAATTTTTGTATATGGTAAGGGTCCCAGTTAATTTTTTTGCACATAGATATCCAGTTTTTTCAATACCACCTTTTGAAAAGCCTATTTTTTTTCTATTACATAGCCTTGACACCCTTATTTAAAGACCATATATGCAAAGATTTATTTTTGAGATCTTTATTCTATTCTATTAGTCTATATGTCTTGTCTTTTTGTCAACACAGCCTATTTTAATTACCTTAGCTTTGTATTAATCAGGAAGTGTGAGCCCTCTTCTGCTTTTTCAAAATTGTTGTGGCTACTTGGGAGTCCTTGAGATTTCATATGGGTTTTAGGGTGAATTTTTTTTAACCTGTGCAAAAAGCAGTGTTGGAAATTTGAAAGACATGACATTATTTAAATTACTTTAAATAATATTGACATTTTAACAATATTACATCTTCTAATCCATGAACATGGGATGTCTTCCATTTATTTGTGTCTTCCTTAATTTCTTAATTTCCAGGAACATTTTGTATTTTTCAGTGTACAAGTCTTTCGTCTTCTTAGTTTTGTTTATTTCTAAGTATTTTATCCATTTTGATGTTATTGTAGATGGAATTGTTTTCTTAATTTTGTGTTCATATTATTCACTGTTAGTATATAGAAACATAATTTATTTTTGTATGTTGATTTTGTGCACTCCTAATTTGCTAAGTTTGGTTATTAGTTCTACCAGGTATTTATTTATTTATTTATGGAATCATTAGGGTTTTCTACATATAATATCAAGTCATCCGTGAACAGAGATAATTTTATTTGTTCCTCTCTGTTTTGGATGACTTTAATTTCTTTTTCTATCCTAATTGCTCTGGCTATAATTTTCAATATATATGTAGAATAGAAGCAGCAAAAATGGATATCTTTGTCCTGTTCTTGATCTTGAACAACTTCCAGCGTTTCACCATTGAGTATGATGTCAATTGTGGGTTTTACATACAGGAACTTTATTACGTTAAGGTACTTTCATTTCATCCCTAGTTTGTTAAGTGCTTTTTATCATGAATGGGTGTTGAATTTTATCAAATAATTTTTCTGCATTGAGATGATCATGTGTTTTTTTCTTCCATTCCATCAAAGTGGTGTATTACTTGACTGATTTCCATGTGTTGTAAAACTGTTGCATTCCAGGAATAAATCCCACTTGGTCATGGTGTATTATCTTCTTGATAAGCTGTTGAATTTAGTTTGGTAATATTTTATGGAGAAATTTTGCATCAGTTTTTTGTTTGTTTGTTTGTTTTTTGAGATGGAGTCTCACTCTATTGCCCAGGCTGGAGTGCAATGGCATGATCTTGGCTCACTGCAACCTCCACCCCCCAGGTTCAAGTGATTCTCCTGCCTCAGCCTCCTGAGTAGCTGGGATTACAGGCGCCTGCCACCACGCCAGGCTAATTTTTGTATTTTTAGTAGAGACAGGGTTTTCACCATATTGGCCAGGCTGGTCTCGAATTCCTGACCTCAGGATCTGCCCACCTCGGCCTCCCAAAGTGCTTGGATTACAGGCAGGAGCACTGCGCCCAGCCTTGCACCAGTGTTTATAAGGGATATTGGCTTGTGGTTTTCTTTTCTTTAGTGTCCTTGTCTAGATTTGGTGCCAGGTAATACCAGTCTCATAGAATGGGATAGAGAGTGTTCTCTGAGGATTGGTGTTAAATCTTTAAATGTTTGATAACATTTACCAGATAGAAGTAATCTTGTCCAGGACTTTTCTTTTGCGGGAAGTTTTTGATTACTGATCCAATCCTCTTACTAGTTAAAGGTTTATGTAGGTTTTCTATTTCTTCATGATACAGTCTTAATAGGTTGTTGTTTCTAGAAATTTGTTTATTATGAGATGGTTATTAAATTTGTTAGTATACAATTTTTCTTACTACTTTCTTGAAATTCTTTTTATTTCTCTAAAATAATTAGTAATGTGCCCATTTTCATTTCTGATTTTAGTTATTTGAATCTTTTCTCCTTTTTTCTTACACAATTTAGCTAAAGGTTTGTCAATTTGGTCGATATTTTTAATATCTTTGTTTTATTATTTTTTCTATCATTTTTCTCTTCTATATTTTATCTCTGTTATACTCTTTATTATTTTCTTCCCTCTTATAGCTAGGCTTAATTCATTCTTTTGTTATAATTAGGTAGGGTGTAAAGTTAGGTTGTTGATTGGAGATCTTTTTCTTTTTTAACATAAGTATTTACAGCTACAAATTTGCTGTTGTGTTTCCAATTTAATTTTTATTAGAAAAGATAGTTCCTAATTTCCCTTGTGACGTCTTCTTTGAACCATTGGTTATTTAAGAGTGTATTGTTTAATTTCCATATATTTGTGAGTTTTCCTCCTGTTATTGATTTCTAATTTTATACCACTGGGATCGGAAAAGATACTTTGTATAATTTTAGTCTTTTAAAATTTGTTAAGATACTTTGTATAATTTTAATCTTTTAAAATTTGTTAAGACTTGTTTTGTGACCTAACAAATAGCCTATCATGTGAATATTTGATGTGCATTGGAGAAAAAAATTGTATACTGCTGTTGTTGGGTGGACTGCTTTATACGTATCTGTTAGATCCAATTAATCTATTGTGTTGTTTATGTCCTCTGTTTCTTTATTAATCTTCTATTTGTTTTTTCTCTCAATTACTTATAATAGGGTATTAAAGTTTCCTACTGTTATTGTAGAGGTTTCCACTTATACTTCGAATTGTGTTTGCTTTAGATATGTTAGAGCACTGGTGTTTGGTATATATATGTTTACAATGGTTATAACTTTTTGAAGAATTGGCCCTTTTATTACTATATGACCTCTTTATTTGCCTCATTACAGTTTTTGACATGAAGTTTATTTTGTCTAATATTAGTATAAGTCAATCTTGTTAGATTTTGATTATTATATGCATGAAATATCTTATTTCATCTTTTCATTTTCAACCAGTGTGTTCTATCTAAAGGTGAGTTTCTTGTAAGCATCATATAATTGAATCCCATTTTAAAACATCCATTCTGCCTATTAATAATTACTTTATATGCCTACAAATATAATATATATGCCAAATTACAAAAAATAAGTACATACCTATTAATAATTACTTTATATGCCTACATGTACTTTTTTTGTAATTTTATTATTTTTTCTATATGCCTTCTCTCTCATTTCCTTTATTACTGCCTTCTTTTGTGTTTAGTTTTTTGTGTGTGTGTGTGCATGTATGGTGGCATGTTGTTTCCTTTAAATTTAAACTTTTATTCTAGATACAAGGGGTACATGTACAGGGTGTTTACATGAGTATAATGCACCCAGATAGTGAACATAGTACCCAATAGGTATTTTTTCAACCTATACCTCTCTTCCTCCCTCTCCCATCTAGTAGTCTGCAATGCCTATTGTTCCCGTGTTTATGTCCATGTGTGCTCAATATTTAGCTGCCATTTATAAGTGATAATATGTAGTATTTGTTTTTCTTTTCCTGCATTAATTCACTTAGAATTATGATCTCCAGCAGCATCCATGTTGCAGCAAAGGGCACGATTTCATTCTTTTTTTTGTGACTGTGTAGTGTTCAGTGATATATATGTACCATCTTTTCCTTATCCAGTCTATTGTCAACAGGCATGCATATTGATTCCATGTCTTCACTTCTGTGAATAGTGCTGTGATGGACATATGTGTGCATGTGTCTTTATGATAGAACAATTTATAGAATTGTTCTAGAAATGGGAACATTTATAGAATGGAATTGCTGGGTCGTATGGAAGCTATTTAAGTTATTTGAGAAATCTCCAAACTGTTTTCTGCAGTGGCAGAACTAATTTATATTTACACCAACATTAGGTAACTGATCCCTTTTCTCCATAGCCTCATCAGCATCTGTTGTTTTTGGACATTTTAATAATAGCCATTCTGACTAGTGTGAGATGGTATCTTATTGTGGTTTTGACTTCAATTTCTCTAATGATTAGTGATAATGAGCATATTTTCACATGTTTGTTAGCTGCTTGTATGTCTTCTTTTGAGAAGTGTCTGTTCATAGTCTTTGCTTTTTTTTTTTTTTTTTTTGACGGAATCTTGCTCTTGTCGCTTAGGCTGGAGTGCAATGGCACGATCTTGGCTCACTGCAACCTCCACCTCCCGGGTTCAAGTGATTCTCCTCTCTCAGCCTCCTGAGTAGCCAGGATTACAGGTGCCTGCCACCACACTCAGCTAATTTTTTATTTTTAGTAGAGACGAAGTTTCACCATGTTGGCCAGGCTGGTCTCCAACTCCAGACCTTGTGATCTGCCCAAATCGGCCTCCCAAAGTGCTGGGATTACAGGCGCGAGCCACCATGCCCAGATATCTTTGCTCATATTTGAGCGGGGTTGTTTGTGTTTTGCTTGTTGATTTAAGTTTCTTATAGATACTGGATATTAGACCTTTGACAGATATTAGTTTGTAAATACTTCTCCCATTCTGTAGGTTATCTGTTTAGTCTATTGATAGTTTCTTTTGCTGTGCAGAAGCTCTCTAGTTTAATTAGGTCTCACTTGTCAATTTTTGTTTTTGTTGCAACTGCTTTTGGTGACATAGTCAAGAATTCTTTGCCAAGGCCAGTGTTGACAAAGGTATTTCCTAGGTTTTCTTATAGAATTTTTATAGCTTGAATTCTTATATTTAAATATTTAATTCAACTCAGGTTGATTATTGTATATGGCAAAAGGTAAGGGTCCAATTTCACTCTTCTGCATGTGGCTAGCCAGCCATCCCAGCACCATTTATTAATTAGGATGTCCTTTCCCCATTGCTTGTTTTTGTTGGCTCTGTTGAAGATCAGATGCTTACAGATGTGCAACTTTTTTTCCTGAGAGTTTTCTATTCTATTCCATTGGTCTATGTGTCTGTTTTTTTTTTTTTTTTTAATTTTTGGACCAGTATCATGCTGTTTTAGTCACTGTAGCCTTATAGTGTAGTTTGAAGTTGGGTAGTATGATGACCCTAGCTTTGTTCCTTTTGTTTAGGATTGCTTTGGCTGTTTGGGCTCTTTTTCATCTCCATATGAATTTTAGAATAGTTTTCTTTGAAAAATGATGTTGGTTGTTTGATAGCAACAGCATTGAATATATAAATCGCTTTGGGCAGCATGGTAATTTTAATGATATTGATTCTTCCAATCCATGAGCATGGATTTTTTTTCATTTATTTGTGTTGTCTCTGATTTCTCTCAGCGATGTTTTGTAGTTCTCTTTGTAGAGGTCTTTCACCTCTTTGGTTAGCTGTATGCCTATGTATTTTATTTTCTTTCTGGCTATTATACATGGGTTTGTGTTTTTGATTTCACTTTCAGCCTGCACATTATTGGTGTATAGAAATGTTACCGATTTTTGTATACTGAGTTTGTATCCTGAAACCTTGCTAAAATCATTGATTAGTTCTGGTAGCCTTTTGGTGGAAAGTTTAGGGTTTTCTAAGTATAGAATTATATTATTGGCAAAGAGAGATAATTTGATTTCCTCTTTTCCTATTTGGATGCCTTTTATATTTTTATTTTGTCTGATCGTTCTGGCTAGGACTTCCAGTAATATGTTGAATAGAAGCGGTGAGACTGGGCGTCTTGCCTTGTTGCAGTTCTCAAGGGGGATGCTTCCAGCTTTTGTCCATTCAGTGTGATGTTGGCTATGGGTCTGTCATAGATGGCTCTCATTATTTTGAGGTACGTGTGTTCAATGCCTAGTCTGCTGAGGGTTTTTATCATGAAGTGATGTTGGATTTTATCAAAACCTTTTTCTGTGTCTATTAAGGTGATCATATGAATTTTGTTTTAAATTCTGTTTGTATGGTTTATATGGCGAATCACACTTATTGATTTGCATAGATTGAATCAGCCTTGAATCTAAGGAATAAAGCCTACTTAATTATGGTGTATTTATTAGGTTGATGCAAAAGTATTTGCGGTTTTGTGGCAAAAACTGCAATTACTTTTGCTTCAACCTAAGACTATTTGGCTATTTGCACATTGCTGGATTCAATGTGTTAGTATTTTGTTAAGGATTTTTGTGTCTCTGTTCATCAGGGATATTAGCCTGAAGTTTCCTTTTTTTGTGTGTCTCTGCCAGATTTTGGTATCAGGCTGATTCTGGCTTCATAGAATGAGTTAGGGAGGAGTCTCTCCTCGTTAATTTTTGGGAATAGTTTCAGTAGCATTGGTACTAGTTCTCCTTTATATGTCTGGTAGAATTTGGCTGTGAATACATCTGGTCCTTCTATTTTGGTTGGTAGGTTTTTATTATTGGTTTAATTTCATAGTTTGATATTGGTCTATTTGGGGTTTCTATCTCTTCCTGATTCAATCTTGGGAGATTTTCTGTTTCCAGGAATTTATCTATTTCTTCTAGATGTTCTAATTTGTGTGCATAGAGTTATTCATAGCATTATCCGAGGATCTTTTGTATTTCTGTGGGATCAATTGTAAAGTCATTTTCGTCATTTCTGAATGTACTACTTAGGTCTTCTCTCTTTTTTTCTTTGTTATTCTTACTAGTGGTCTATCAATCTTGTTTATTTTTTTGAAAAACCAACTCTTGGTTTCAGTAATCTTTTGTATTATATTAATTTTTGCATCTCAATTTGTTCAGTTCTTCTCTAATTTTAGTTATGTCTTTTCTTTTGCCAGCTTGGGAGTTGGATTTTTTTTTCTAGTTCCTTTAGGTGCAAAGTCAGATATTAATTTAAGATTTTTCTAACTTCTTGATGAAGGTCTTTAGGACTATAAACTTACCTTTAATACTGTGTAAGCTGCTACCCAGAGATTTTGGTAAGTTGTGTTTCTATTTTTGTTAATTTCAACATTAATTTTGATTTCTGCCTTAATTTAATGTTCACCCAGGAGTTACTCAGGAGCAATATACAGAAATACAAAAGATCCTCAAGTTGTTTAATTTCCAGGTATTATGTAGTTTTGACAGATCTTATATTGATTTCTGTTTTTATTTCAATGTCATCCAAGAGCATGTTTGGTATTATTTCATTTTTTAAAATTTACTGAGACTTGTTTTTTGACAAAACATGTAGTTGGTTTTCAAATATGTTCCATGTATAGATGAGAAAAATGTATATTCTGTGATTGTCGGGTGTTTTGTAGGTGTCTATTATGTCCAGTTGTTCAAATGTCAAGTTTAAATCCAGTTTCTTTGTTATTTTTCTGTGGTGGCATGTTTTGATTTTCTCTTCATTTCTTTTTGTCTATATTTTATAGATATTTTCCTTGTAGTCATAATATGGATTACACTTAACATCTTAAAGTTATAATAATCTGTGTTAAATTTATGCCTACTTAATTTCAATTGAATTAAAAAAAACTGTACCCATTCACAGATCAATTAACAACATTAATTTATGTTATGAATGTCATAAATTACATCTTTATATATTGGCTGCCCATTAACATACATTTATAATTATTCTGGTTCATTTGTCTTTTAAATCTTGCAGGAAATAAAGCATGGGGTTATAAACAACATTACGATAATACTGGTTATTATATTTGTCCATGTATTTACTTTAGTGGAGATATTTATATTTTCATATGCTTTTCTGTTACTACCTACTGTTTTTTCATTTCAACCTGAAAGACTCTCTTTAGCATTTGTTGTGCAATGGGTCTAGTCGTAGCAAACTCCCTCAGCTTTTGTTAATTTGGGCTATCTTAATCCCCCTCTCATTTTTGGAGGACAGTTTTTCCAGGTATAGAATTCTTGGTTGACACTTTTATCTTTCAGCACTATAACTTCTGACATTAACTACCTGGAGTTAGCACAGACTCCACAGTTTAAGGGCTCAGGCCCACAAGACTGCCTGCCAATCACAAGTGGTGGGTTTTCAGGTTACTCACAACTTCTGTCTGACTGAGCTACAAATCAGAGGCTTCCACAACCCAATTCTCATGTTCAATCATTTGCTAGAATGGCTCACAGAACTCAGGGAAACACTTACCCTTACTGGTTTATTACGTAATAAAGTAAAGGATCTGATAAAGGATACAGATGAATAACCAGATAAAAAGGTACATAAGGCAAGGTCCAAAGGGTCTCAAGTACAAGAGTTTCTGTCACTGTGGAGTTGGGGTATGCCACCCTACTGGTACATGGATCCAGTCTTACAGGGATTTTTATGGAGGCTTCATCACATAAGTATGATTATTAACTCAATCTTTAACTCCTCTCCCCTTCATGGAGAATGGGAAATGAAGCTGAAACTTCAAAGCTTCTAAGCATGGTGTAGTCTGTCTGGTGACCAGCCCCCATCTGGAAGTCCACCAAGAGTCAACTCATTAGAAAAAAAGATGCTCCTATCATGCATGCAGGAAGTTCTAAGGGATTTAGGAGCTCTGTGTCAGGAATCAGGCTAAAGACCAAATACTAATACAAAAGATGCTTCTAGCACTCCTGTTGCCTGGGAAATTATAAGGGTTTTGGAGCCTTGTGTCAGGAACTGGGGAAAGAGACCAATATATATATATATTTGTTATTCTTTCATGCTGGTTGTCACACATAACATGGTACTGAGACTTTCTGTGTCTCAGCTGCTGAATGAAGTGAGTTAATATGTTCTTAGCACTTGGCAAGTTCTCAAGAAAATGAAGCTATTATTATTATTATATTATCAATAATAATATGTATATCTCACTAAGGAGACCTCTGCTTCCTTCCACATATTCTGTGTGGTGCTGGAATTCTATACTATGTAGCTGAACACAGAGCTCCCTAGAATATGAGGTCTCATGTCTATTGGGAAGAGAATTCAGCTCTAAGCCCTGCCAGATTCTTGTACCCCAGTCAAGCAATGCTAGATGTTTATTGAACACCATTTATTTTATCAGAGAAACACTAATTGTGATATCCCTATGATTAATGACATATCTAACATGAAACTCAAAATTTGGTCTTCAGACCTATGACATCCATGTCACCTGGGACTTGTTAGAAATACAGAATTGCAGACCTCATCCCAGACATGCTGAGTCATAATTTACAAGATCTCCAGATGATTCATCTGCACATTCAAATTTGGGAAGCAAAATTTTAGCGCCAACTGAGAGAACCAAGGCTCCCTTAGCTGGAGCATGAACTTTGAGCTGAAGCCTTGTGAAAGCTAACCAGCCATGCTGCAGTGTGCCTCCAGATCTGGGCACGTGCATGTTCAGCAACCAACCCAAGATGAAGATGAAAACCACCTATACTCATCTGGATAGCACAGGGTCACTGCTAATATATTTAAAAGTAAATAAGAAATGATTTTAAAATTTCTCTCTTATATAAACTTCAGTAAAAAGATCAGCAGGGGCCTCTGATGAGTAATCATGAAGACCCTAGGTCAATCTTCAAACACTCACGAAATGATGTTTGAAGCCCTTGCGAAGAAATACAAAAAATGAGAGAGAAGAGGTTTAATGAGAAGCATAATTCTAGAATCTACCTCTGGTCCTACTGCCACCAGATCTGTGACTTTAGGCAAGTCACTTAACCCCTTTGAATCTCCATTGTGAAATGGAAATTTAACTGGTTAAATAGAAATTTGACTTGTTAAACAGAAATTATAATAGCTGTCTTATCTACTTCACAAGGTTGTCTACTGATGGATATCATGAAGTAATTCCAGTTTCAAAAGTTGTAAATATATTCTGCAAATATACCACAAAGAACTTGCAGCTTCCTATAGTCACCAAAAGTGTCTAAGCAAAAACTGTAGCCCAGGACCTGAGCTGAGGGATGACTACATTATAACAACTAGGAATTCTTGTCACCTTACTTTTTTAAGTCTTCACGTACATTGCACATTTAATACCTCCAAAATTATGAAGAAAAGTATTATTATTATTCTAATATTGACCTGGACATGAAGGCAGAGAATAAGTGTTATTCCAAAATCAGTATATTTGTCAATCATCATTCTCCATTTTCTCTTCCAATCTGACTCAGACATTTATTTCATAGGCCATAGCTCTCCTTGTGGAAACAACCATCGAAACTGTGACTTCAGACATTTTCAAATTGTGCATACGTGCTTTGAGAAAATGGAATAGTCCTGAGAAGTATGACTCCTAGAGAGATTGCTGTTTCGTAAACGGAATTTAACTCCCAGAGAACTGGACCTCACTTTCTCTCTAGCCCTCCAAGAGAAAGAACTTTAGGTGGAAAAAGACTTCTCAAGGTACAAACAAATTTAGCTATCAAAGTAGGTAATGGTGGAAATGAATGAGAATCATAGTTAATCAGGCAGACTTCACTGTTTTACAAAGAAATTCACATAATTTCCTGAATTTGGTGGATTTGGAACACCCTCCATCCAGATCTCAATTAGGAATAAGGTTTAGGATCATAATATTTTTGTGCTAGAGGTGACCTAGGTGCTGTGAGTTAAACTCTCATGTAACAGGGAAGGGAGATTTGCCTCATGGAGATCGAGTGACTCGTCCAGTTTAAAAATTTAGATATGATAGTTGTGGGATCAGAAAGTAGGACTTCCGAAACCCCATATACAGCTTTTTGTTTGATGTGATTGGAACTTGTTCCTAGGAGTCATGTTTATTAGGTTATAAAAGTGTCACATTATGAGCTGGTTCATTCCAGGCCATGAGCCCAAGTTAAGCCTTACATGGAAGTTCCAGAGGTCACCCTCAGCTCACTTGCTCTATTTTGCAAGGCTTCTAAAATTCCATAGTTATTAATTCTTCTGTGGATTTGATATCACCATGGAAAATATGTACAAATTGGCTCAGTTAAGACTGCATAGAATTGAAGAAGTGAAGGTAGACAGAAAAAAAATGTGAGGAGACGTAAGACAAGTTAGTTTAACTTTTAACCATTTCTCATTAAAAATGAACAGCTAGAACTTCATCAAGACGAACATCATCAAAAAAGGGGGGAAAAACAAACTTCCATATCAAATAAATTAGTCTCCATTAATCAACATATTTGTGACAACTTTTCTCCAATGAAATACTTGATCAATGACTTTCTTCTCTAGGTCTGTAAGTGGATGGCATTGGGACTATGTTTCCTCCTCTTTGTAAGGGCCAATCACAGATGGCTGGTATTTCGCATTCTATTTTCCATTGCCCCTGGGCTCCAACCGGCCCAGATGTCTCTTCCAAGAGTTGACGGTTAAAAGACTAAGATCAGTCCCAATATGTGGCCACTATTTTAATAAATATTTTCCTACTCATAGAAATATTCATCGATGCTTCTTTAACATTGAAAAGAGAGATTTACATTTTTAAATGTTGCATTTTGAATTAGGTTATAGAAGAATAACACGATGACCAATTTTCCACTTGCCGTTGGTTATTTGACTACTAATTTGATTGTAGAATTGTTCTTATGTTGTAGTCGTTGTTTAGGCTAAACTAAGCATTCAAGTGGGTTTTAAATTGCTGCTTTCAAATTGACTCACAGTCAAAATATACAGAAAATACGTTATACAGTTACTAATCAGATTCAGTAGTATTTTTAAAAATCCTTATATTCTATTTGAAAAATAAGATAATTGTAGATATAAAATGAAACGGTGTTTACTTCCTTTAGCTAAAAGAATAAAAAAATAAATGATATAGAAAAAGTATTATAAAAAAGAAAATGGCAAATATTTGCCTTTATGAATTTTTCTCTCATAGAATACACGTCTAATACAAAATGGGGACAATTCAGTGAAGAAACACAAATTTATAGCATTTTAGAGAAGAACTAAGAAATAGCTGGATTCTACAGCATAATCATGTCATCACATGTTTGTGGAAAGCAAACAGTTAAATGGAAATCAAAAGCTCAAAGTTTAGATACCTTCTAATCTTGAATACCTAAAATATATTTTAACTTCAGTTAAAAATAGATTGTAGATTTTGAAGAACAAAGAACAACTTAGTTAAAAGAACTAGCCCTAAACTTCCGGATTGAAGCTTAGTATTTTCCCCGACTTGGATACAGGACTTTCTATTTATCCCTGTGAGTGGGCAGGGCAATGTGTAGAGTTAACCACCTACTATAGATTTTGCCTGTAAAACTTCTGAGATTTATGGGCAGATAAGATCATATGCACCCTCTTCTGAAGGAGCAGGACCTTGTGAAAAGTTTTCAAACAGCTTCATACAGAACAGCCCCTGATGCCAGTGGGCCACCTGGGCAGCTCACTCTGTCCTCCGAGCGGCCTCTTCCTCTGTGTTCTGGCCAGACTCTAAGACCAAGCATTCGTCATTGGACAACACTTCTTTTCTGAGGATACAAGGAATAGAAATGATAAGATTTGCAATGTTCATCCATCCTTTCAGTCAACAGCCCAGCCATTTCACTGGCTATGCAAAGAGGCAGAAATATCGCTGAATGGTGAAAAACAGCTCCCCCATATTCAGCAGTGTCTGCTCTTCATGGCTCTGAACCATAGGATGGAGAGGCAAGGGTGAGCAACGGAGTCTTTATCCCTCCCCTCATGGAGTTTACAGAAAAAAGTTCTCCCTGTCGCTGTTCAGTCTGTGAATAGTAACCACTGCCTCTTCTGGAAGCTAAATAATTTACTCCTTTTGACCTTCACATAGAAATCTCTTCCAGCAAATCCCTTAGAATTCCATAAAAGAAACTTTATGAGTGAAATCCATCCAATAAATTCTCAATGAGCCAGTCATGGAATCATGAAACCGCTTAGGTGCCCAGCTTCCTTCTCTGCAGAGGAAAAGAAGGTTTCCTTGTGCTTGTCCCTTCCTTGGGAAGCCCAGCTCCTAGTGAGTGGGCAATCCGTTGCCAGCCCAAGCCAACACTCAGGGTACAGCCTGATTTCCACTCCCTTGAAACATAAACCTCTCTGTTCAGCAGCAGCTTCTGGCTCCAGAGTCTTTTTATTTCTCCAAACTGCTGCCTCTGTTTGGATGAAATAGCATTTTAACACATCTGAATTTTCTGTTTGAGGTATATTTTCAGACATGGAATAAAAAAAAAAAACACTTCCCTGCTCAATATATTTTTCTCAGAGTCATTTCGAAGATAGTAAGACAGATGTATTTTTTATGCCAAAAATAATTATCTCTTCCTATAAATTTTTTGGGACTGGATTTCAGGGTCTTAATAGCTTTCTTGGGATCCTTTGTATTTAGAGAATTTCTTCATGGTGACATTCCAAGTTAGTTTTTAAATCTATCAGCTATAGCAGAGGTGGAAAAATTGTGGCCCCTGGTGTAACTAAAGTTTCACTGGAACACATCCATGTATTCAGTTATAGATTGTCTATTGCTACCTTTCTGCTACAACAGCAGAGTTGAGCGGTTGGGACACAGACAGTATGACCCACAGAACCTAACAATTTCCTCTTTGGCCCTTTACAGAAAACATCTGCCGACCCATGTTGTGTAGCCGAAAAGCCAACCTCCCATTCCCTGCGTATACCATGTTCTCATTCTCACACTAAGTTTTCCACATTCATTTACTGTTCTTTTCAGCTCTTTTTTCTTATTCATCCTGGAGCTTTGGTTCATGATATTCTAAACACGGAGCCTCCTGCCTTTCCCAAAATGATTACTGATTCTACCCCAGCCTTCAAATTCAACTTATTGATGACTCTGCAGTGATGGAAGTAGTATGAGAAACCTACAGTCCCCAACCCCGTGCTCCACACTGGCTGTATTTTCTTGCCCAGAATATGAATATATTTTTAGCATATCTATGCCTTAGAATCTTTCCAGATTAACACATTCTTTAATCACTATCTCACGAATTTAATTTTCCATCTTGCCCTGTGCTAGATGCATTTCTAGGTGTTTTATGCTCCAAACACAGTTTATCATCAGTGCCTCCATGGCACTCCAAAGTTGGATTATTAAGTCCACTCTGTAGATGCCAGACTGAGGTGCAGGGGGTTAGGTAATTTGCTCAAGTTTACAAAGCTAGTAATTGGTGGAGCCAGAATTTAAAGTCACTCTTGCTCCCAGTTGCCTACAAAAAATCTTCATTACATTGCATTGCCAGAAAACACTAAAGAGTAAATTATTTTTACTATTCTAGTGGAAATACTTCTAAAATATTCTACATACTTCTCTGCCATTTCAATTAGATCATATTGAACATAAGTTAACCTCTTCAGGACTAGTTAATATCATAGCTATTATAAATGTTATAGTGGTATAGAAGCATTTGAATCTACAAAGTGACTTACTGGCTGCATAAACTTAGGCAACTAACAGCCTCTCTGAGGTTCAGCTGCCTCATCTGCACAGTGAAGTTAGTCATATACTCACAAAAGATAACATAAAATGCCATGAATGAATCAGGCACAGAGGAAGGATGCACTAGGTGGTTATTATTATTAGATTATTGGATTATTGAGGATACTCTTTAACTTGGCTGCCTGAAGACCATTTAGACTTACTTCCTCAGTGCTTAGAACTACTGCCAAGAACATCAAACAAGTTTAAGTGATAAACTGATATTTGCACTCCTGCGGCCTATCTCTGGACTAGATTGTGTCTTGTTGGAGTTCAGTGCCTATGATCTGTATATTTTCTGCTGCAGCTGGTATCTCTAGTACCGAATATTGTTTCATGAGGATTTACTCTGGCTGTTGATAGAGACAGAAAGTCTTGTCTTTAGCCCTGGCTGTCACGTGGACAACAGGCATAGATAACAACAGTCAGTCCCAGTGTCTAGCCAGCCTCAGCTCTCCATGGGACTGCCTGGGAAATAAGCAAATACCCATAATTTTAATAACACCCGAGTTCATCAGAAAAGTGTGAAAGGACCAGCATCTTTGCATATTGATACAGTTTCATGTGGCCTCTCCAGCAGAGAGGTAGGTCCAGGGCCACTCTGTGGATACTCTTCCTTAAGGGTGTGATTCTGAACCTACTAGAGCTCTTTGGGAAGAAATTGGATATAGGATCAGGCATGCAGGTCGTTTCAGTGTTCCAAAAATCCTTTGCAGAGAAAGAAGCTTAATCTTTTCTCTGAGTGGCTCTGTAATGTGTATAATGTACAGGCGAGTGGAAATTAAGAGGAAGCATGTTCCTTCTCGCCCCACGGAAGCACTGTTGAAAAACTCTTCCCAGAGGACAAACTCCTCTGATGTGACACCAGAGTCTTCCAGTGGGGCCACTCTCAGGGAACTCATGCATTAAAGAGGTTGAGGGAAGGTCCTTTTAATTCTGAAATCCTCTAATTTAAGACTTTGGAAAAGTTATCCTGTGAATTCTAACGGACCACAGATCAAGTCATACGGCTTATGCTTCACAGCATTCTGGCAAAGCTTTTCAAGGCACTGCTCTCAGACGTGAGTGTCTATTCAGATCACTTGGGCCTCTGTTAAAATGCAGATTGCTGGTTTACCAGGTCTGGGGTCTGTGAGTTTGCTTTTCCAATAAGCTTCCAGGTGACCCTCGGTCCAGGACCATGCCTCAAGCAGTAAGGTTTTAAAGGGTATGTGAATTAGGAAGGGTTAACGGGCAAGCCCCTTGGTTCCCGCATCCAGAAAGCAGACGTCTGCACTAGCTCCTGCTCGCTCCTGCCTTGGCCCCCACTCACCCAAGCTGAGTGCTCTGCTTCTCAGTGAGGTTACTCTATTGTTTCTCATCCAATCCAGGACAATTTTGGAGTAAAACAGGTTTTATTATGGCGGGATATAAATTGGAACTCAGATATTTTTTCCTATAAGACTCTCTAATGAGGTTTCTTTTGTCATAAAATTAACGTTCTTACATCTTTCTTTATTCCTAGAACTGTATTTCTTGTTTTTAAATTTGTTTCTGTGGGTAAAGAAAGCGTTTTGGGTTGTCTGTCCAGAGGGAAATAGGACAAGAAGCAAAAAACTGTTCAAACGGTAAATAAACTATTTAGGATTTGATGTGTATTCATGAGTCATGGGGGTAGGAAGAGGAACTTAACTGCACTAGGTCGGTAAACCACAAACCCTCTGAATCAATAGTATTTCGTTTGCTGTTCTAATAATGGCAAACACCAAGGTGTACCAGAGTGGGTGTGAGGGGTTTCTTTCCTTTTTTTTTCCTTATATGATGTGTGAACATAGTGTTAAGTTCATTCAAAGGAGGCAGGAAAATTTTCTGCTTCACTGTCAAGGCATGGGAGTGGGGCTCTGCCTGGGACTCTGGGAGAGAGAAGTGTGGGAGAAATAGGATCTTGTCACATGAAGGACCGGGTGTCATCTGTCCTGCTGGACATAGCTGAGATCACAGATCCTCACAGAGTGGGTAGGGGTGTTCTTATATTTCATTTAATTATCACAAAGACCTATCGGGCTGCCCATACTTACTGTAAGAGAGGAGGAAGCAGTGCTTCAAATCAGTGAACTCCCATGGGATGTAGTTGGGGTCTGAACTTGTGCCTCCAGACACAAAAGATGTTGATCACATTTGTCAAAAAATGACTTTCAAATTGCAGGAAGCTGCTATCATCTTCCATGCCTTCATCTTGCAGATGAGAAAACCTGGTTGAGAGGCCTAGGGATTTTACAACAAACATAATGCACCAAAGAACAAAGGAGAAGAATAAGAAGATGCTTCCGAGTTCTGGATTTATGCTCCTTCTGTTCCACAGTGGTCCCTTTAAAGCTTTCATGGAGACACAGTGGGATAAGAGGTTACCACTATCATTCGTGTTTGCCCCCAGCATATACTAGTGTTCATGCATACTAGCACTGTGTGAGCATGTATGTATGAGCGAGTATCCTTGTATGTGCAAGGGTGTTCTTGCATGAGAGTGTGTGTTGCGTGAATTTGTACATACACATGAGTGTATATGCATTTTTGGTGGTGAAAGGGAGAAAATAGTATTTACTGAGCCCCAAGGCCACGCCTAGTATAAACCAAGAACTTCCTTTAAATTATTGCACACATTTAGGTAGATATTATTATTACCTGCATTTTTCAGATGACAAAAACTTTGAGTTAAATAGTACATATTACCAACTCGCAATATAATACATTGTTTACAGGAGTCATAAAGGGTGTAATCTAAGTTTTCCTAGACCTGAGAATATACTCTAAGAATCCTGCAATGATTCACATGAGAAATGGAGGTTAGCATCACAATGGAGTACAGAGATGTGCTAGTTAATAAATTGCTGGTTACTTCAATGTCTAGCCACCATGGTCTGACAGCACAGACTTTGGAATCAGTAGACCCTGCTTTGCTCTCATGTTCAACTACACACCAGCAGCAAGGTCCCTGAATAAGGCCAAGAAGCAAGGGCTTCTATCCTTTTTAAGACATCTTGCCATTTTCAGAATAACTGTTTTTGGTAGCTGTTCTTGCATATACTCAAGGGTGCAAAGCACATTTCTTGCCTGGGTTAAATAAAATACAATGTGACAATGCCATGCAATGTATTAGGTTACATCATATAAAATTGCCGATATCCAGTTATTTTTTTCCTGCAAAAATGATCATTTTATATGGCTCAACCCAATCCTTTATTAAACTGTAAGAAAGAGAGAAATAGCCATAGAGAACCCGCAAACCATGCAGGAAAGTTAATCTAGGTAACAAGAGGCAAGAGTTATGATCAGCTTTCCAAAGCAGTTCTTAACAATCTGCCACTTTCAAAGGAACTCCCCTGCTCTGTATTTATGGTGAACTCAGCTTGTGCAAGAAACAAGGTCTGTAGGATGAGATTCAGAATTAGGGGATCAATATTTTATGCCAAATCCAAGCTTCTGGTGGATGGGAATTGATGAGGAAGGACGAAGGGGAGACCAGGCAGCTGCAAATGTGGCCTTTGTGGATCTGACCTACTTGTACATTCAGGGTCCATCCTGGCCCCAGCTTCTGTAAATGAATAATTTAAAAAACCCTCCTTGAATCCCTTGTTAGGTAACTCTTAAGGCTACTCTTTATCTTTTAGTATTAATGTCTAGACAGAGGTTCTCAAACTTTGGGGTCTCAGGATCCCCTTATACTTTTAAAATTATTGACAATGTAAAGAGATTTGGTTTGTGTGGGCTTATCTACTGATAGTTAATGTATTAGAAAATATAACTGAGATTTAAAAATGCTTATGCATTAATCGGCCCAGTGCCTTGACTTAAGCCTGTAATCCCAGCACATTGGGAGTCAGAGGCCAGCGGATTACTTGAGGTCAAGAGTTCGAGACCAGCCTGGCCAACATGGTGAAACCCCGTGTCTACCAAAAATACAAAAATTAGCGGAGCGTGGTGGGGCTTGCCTGTAATCCCAGTTACTCGGAAGGCTGACACAAGAGAATCACTTGAACCCAGGCAGAGGTTGCAGTGAGCCAAGATCGCACCACTGCACTCCAGCCTGGGCGACAGAGAGAGACTCCATCTCAAATAAATAAATAAATAAATAAATAAATAAAATAATACTTATGTAACATAAATGAACAGTTTTATGAAACATACTATACTTTTCCAAAACAGAAGCTGGGCGGAAAGAATTTCACCTGCTTGCCTTCTATTTAAAGACTGGCTTAACAAGACACCTGGAATTTCGTGTCTGCCTCTGCTTTTGATCTGCTGGAACATCCCATGTGCCCTCGCCTCTGGAAATCCCGAGTACACTAGTGAATAAAGCAAGTCATTTCTCAGGAGCACAGTATTAGGAAAATAGTTTTGAATTTATGGACCTCTGAAAAGGATCCTTAGGGCCTCGAGGGTCTCTGGACCATATTTTCAGAACCACTGGCCTAGGGTGATTTTTAAAAATTATTAGACTTTACTCTTAGATCAGTTTGAGACCCCAAAAGGCCCTCATTCTATTGTGCAGCCAGGGTTGGGAATCGCCACTGTCTGTTGTCTTATTGTCTAAAACGCATCTGCGATCCTCCCTGACCACCCCCAATGCCCCCACCCGGCTCCCGCTTTCAGAGCGAAGGTCGCCGCGCTCCTTCGTCGCGGGGCCCTCCTGGTGCCTGAGTCAGGTCCCATGCGGAACGTGGGCGTGCGGGGACAGCGGGAGACCAAGGCAAGGGCGACGGCTTCCGGGAAGCAGAATATGCTGCCATCACATCCTGGACCAGGTCAACTTCTGTCTGGACCACCGGCAGGAGAACGACCCCCTCCACGCCTGCCTCCAGTAGCCGCTGAAGTCCAACCGGAAGAGGCGCCTTGAGTTCCAGCAGCAGCTCCGGGAGGTCCCGGCCATGCCAGTCCCTAGGTTCCGGGTGCCCCGAAACAGGCCCAACCGTGTCCCCTGGGCCAGGCTCCGGCTTGGGCACTCACCTCTTGGCTTAAATACCTTCTCCAGGGCCAGCCTTCAGGGTACCCTGGTGGGTCTGCAGCCTGGGACAGCTTCCCACACCTTCCCACAGTCCCCTTTGCCTGTCTAAGCTGGTCCCCACCGCCTGGCATCCCCTTCTGGGGCCAGAGGTGGGCCTGAGTCCCACCCACGTGCCTGCCTGCTCAGCCTTCTGTGCACTTCCTACTCTGTCCAGGCCTTGAGCGTCCACATTCAATGGATCTCACACACACACACACACACACACACACACACACACACACACACATCAATCAATTGCATCGGGTGTCCTATCAAAAGTCCAAACTCCGGCCGAGAGCGGTGGCTCACGCCTGTAATTCTAGCACTTTGAGAAGCCGAGGTGGGTGGATCAGGAGGTCAGGAATTCGAGACCAGCCTGGCCAAGATGGTGAAACTCCGTCTCTACTAAAAAATACAAAAATTAGTCGGGCACGGTGGCGGACGCCTGTAATCCCAGCCGCTCAGGAGGCTGAGGCAGGAGAATTGCTTGAACCTGGGAGGCAGACTTTGCAGTGAGCCGAGATCGTGCCACTGCACTCTAGCCTGGGCAACAGAGAAAGACTCTGTCAAAACAAAACAAAACAAAACAAAACAAAACAAAACAAAACACCAAAAACAAAACGTCCAAACTCCTTAGCAGGGTAGAGTCCCTAAGACCTAATAGCCTTCTTTCTGTCTTGTGGTCCCAGGTCTCCAGGGACAAGCGTGGTGTTAGCCTGACAATATTCAACTGAAGTTCTCAAGCTTTTTCCTCTGTGCAGCACTGGGAGACTTGCAGCCCTCTGCAAAACTGTCCTCTTATTTCTACCTGAGTTCCCCAGGTGGGGCCCAATAAACCCTGCTAATAATTCTCCACCAAAAGATTGTCATTTTAAGGAGTGCAGAGAAAGTGTCTTTTTTACAGGACTATTGTCAGCACTTCCTTGCAAGTGGTAGCTCAGTAAACATTTATCGAATGAATGAATGAATGAATGAATGCCACATGAACACAGCCACAAAGATGCCGAGTTCACCATCAAGCTACTCTGTTGTTCTATGTCTTGTTTTATGGATTTTAAACATGTGCTTCTCCATTCTAACGACTCATTGAGTGGGGAGTGTGTGTGTGTGTGTGTGTGTGTGTGTGTGTATCTCACGGAACAAGCTTGTGAGCCTGTCTATTTCACTCTAAGGAAGTTCACCAAATATATGAATTCTTGTCAGCTGGGCCCAGCCAGCCCTCCGCATGTGCCCTGAGCCATTGAGGCAACTAGAGGGTGTCCATGTCCAGTCGGAAGGTTGAATGCTGGTTGGGTGCTGTGTGCTGGTGGCCTAGGACAGGGTCAGGTTAGGAATAGCAGTCCCTTTAGGATTGTTCCTTCTTCTACACCCCTCAGCTTGCATGCATGTGCAGGTGTGTGTGTGTGTGCGCGTGTGCATGCATATGTATGTGAGAGAGAGTGTATGTGTATGTGCATTTTGAACCATTTGAAAGTGAGCTAAAGATAGCATCCCCTCTGCCTAATATATATTTTGGTGTCTATTTCCAAAGAACAGGATATCCCTTTCCATAACCATAACAGTTACCCAAATCGGCACATTTAACTTGGATACAATACTTTCAATCCACAGACTGTATTTAAATGTTGCCAGTTTCTCCAGTGATATACTTTAGAGCTATGCTCCGTCTCTTCGGTCTGCTTTAATTTTGGACAACTCCTCAGTAGTTTTTGTCTGATTTGACCTTGGCATTTTTGAGAGGTGCAGGTCACTTTATGTTATAGCCGATATATCCATTTGGCACTGGTCATGTGAATATCTAAATAATAAGAAGTCCTGGTCCCACGTATAATGGGATAAGCACATGCCACTCATCTTGCTCAGCGGATGTCGCTATAAAACCTGAACATAAGGCACAGGGCAGCTGTGAGGACTCTGAAAAGTGACTCATAGAAGAGGACTGGAACTTAAAGTGCTGAAACTGCTGGTGATTTTTTTTTTTTGTCTGTTACTTTTATCCCTCGGCACTCGATGCAGATGCAGTTGCTGAAGTACACACAGAACCAAGTAACTAAAATTCCAGCTTTGTTGCCAGAAGACCTAAAAAGGGACTCCAGGGAACTAGAAAATCCTGGGAGCTCATGGAGAGGGAGGAGTTCAGAGAGTGGCCCACACAGTTGACATGGGTTTGACGAAATACACACAGGAGATGCTAAGAGTGGAGCAAGAGAGACTCAGGCCTGGACCAGCCATGGTGGGGCACATAACTGATCAATGTAAAAAACACTGCCAAGGCTTTTGTTTCTTTGAGTTCTTAAATAATTAATTAATAGACTATTTTTAGAGCAGTTTTAGGTTTTTGGAAAATTGAGTAGATGGTATCAAGTTCC
The DNA here is from genome assembly GCF_000001405.40 of Homo sapiens. Taxonomy (NCBI): domain Eukaryota; kingdom Metazoa; phylum Chordata; class Mammalia; order Primates; family Hominidae; genus Homo; species Homo sapiens. The sequence goes on along the minus strand of NC_000020.11, from coordinate 22,341,218 downwards.
CATATGCTCCTGCACCCCCCCACTCCCCTTATTATTACCATCTTGCAATGATGTGGTACATTTGTTATAATTGATGAGCCAATATTGTTATGTTATTATTCATTAAAGTCCATAGTTAAGTCCAGAGTTCACATTAGGGTTCACTCTTGGGTACATCCTATGGGTTTTGACAAATGCATAATGACATGCATCCACCATAGGGTACCATACAGAATACTTTTAACTGCCCTAAAAATCTCCTGTGCTAAGCTTGTGTGGTGGTGTGTGCCTGTGGTCTCAGCTATTCTGGAGGCTGCAATGGGAGATCCCTTGAGTCCCATAGTTCAAGGCTGCAGTGAGCTATGATCATGCTTCAGCTTGGGTGACAGAATAAGACCCCGTCTTAAAAAAATAAAAATTAAAAAATTGTCTCTCCTGTACCTATTCATCCCTCCCTCTACTCATCCCCAACAACCCCACCCCAGCTGAACCTCTGACAAACACTACTCTTTTTACTTCTCCATAGATTTGGCTTTTCCAGAATGTCATATCGTTGAAATCATACAGTATGCAGCCTTTTCAGATTGACTTCTTTCTTTATCAATATGCGTTTAAGGTTCCTCTATGTCTTTTTCTGTGGCTGGTTAGCTTTTTCTTTTTATTACTGAATAATATTCCATCGTCTGGATGTACTACAGTCTGTTTATCCACTCGCTGTTGAAGGACATCTTGGTTGTATCCAAATTTTGGCAATTATGAATAAAGTTGGCATAAACATTCTCATGTAGTTTTTTTGTAGAGACACAAGTTTTCAACTTATCTGGGCAAATATCAAAGAGCCTGCCTGCTGCTTCACAGGGTAACAATATGATTACTTTTGTAAGAAACTGCCAATCTCCCTTCCAAGTCAGCTGAACTGTTTTGCACAGGCTTTGGACTTGGAGTTATGCAAGGGTAAGCTGAAGTCTCTAAGAGGGCATGATAGGGCTGGTTTTGTGAGTTTTGGAAAACTACAAACATGATTCAGCTGCAACAGTGGGAAGGAACTGCCACTGCTGGGTGGAAGCGGCCTTGCTGGAGAGATGCTGGGAGGAGGAGGAAGTCCTCAGGAGGAACGGTCGGGCCCCTCTCCCTCCAGATTTGCGGCCTCACTCTAGCGTCCCCTTGCCAGGAGCATCTGGCCAAGCCCAACTGCAGTTTGCAGAGTCCCAGTGCTGGCATCACAAGGCAGGATATAGAAAGGTGGGTTTGGAGCCAAGAGAAAATCATTTAATAATGGCATTACTCCCAGCCCCCGCTGGGATAAGTCCCTATCTTATTAAAGCGATAACACAAAGCAGTAGTGAAATTAACAGCACTAGACATGCCACTTTCTCTCTGGACATCGGCATTTCTGTAGGGCAGTAATTTCTACGATCTAAGATTGCCTCCCTGCTGGACTCAGAAAAGAGGTAACAAAAGTGGGTAAGTTTCTATTTAGTCCTGCCAGTCCAGCCTTACTTGAATTGAGGCTGAGCCTGGAGAAAGCTAGATTCCTGGAAGCAGCAGTCCTGCAAACCCTGAGCAGCTGAGCACAAACCACAGCCTGTCTAACGTTCTATTTACATTATTGCCTGCCTTTTGTAATGGAGGGGGGCAGAGAATCACGACTCTGCTTTAAAGTTTCAGCAGAGCTCCCCACACCTCAGCCCCTGCCCGAAATTCACAGGTACATGACGCAAGTTTACAAAAACGGAAAAAAAGCAACCATTTGGTTTGAGCTGAATTGAAAAGCAAAACAAAACAAAAAAACCCTCAGAGTTTCTTTTGAAAATTATAATCCTTCTCTTTATCTCTCTACAATCACTTTCAGTGAGGCTCACGTTCATCTTTAACCTTTAATCTTCCGAAGTGTTCAAGGATGGACGCTAGTGACGAAGTGTCAATTTGCTGGTCTAACACGCCTCCTGGTGGTCAAAACTATCCAAGATCTTAACAGGTATTAGACAACTCCATGGCCTTAAATGAGCATGGAAAAAAGTATGAAGCCAGAATATGACACAACTGACTGAAAAAAAATACATGACACCATTTGTAGGGATAAAAATGTGTCTCTGTTTAGCAAGAAAAGCCACACCATAGGTGCTGTCATTCCATTTAAAAAATCAGATTATTCACATATTCTGGTAGTTTTTATTACAGCTTCAACTTCTAGCTTCTGTTTTGTGATATTTTGCCATGTCATACAGTTTTGGTTGCCATATAAGTAAGAAGGAAAGCCATTGTGGATTCACTTCTGAATATTAAAGATAAAATAAAGGCTGCATAGGGACCTATACTTTGATATAAAATAAATGTTCTTTATTGTTCAATAAGCCCTACTTATTTTCTCCTCCTGTCAAGGAAAATTTAAAGATAATTAAATAAATTAAAATTCATTGACCTATAGGTTAATAAAGTCCATTAATATTCCTACTGTTTATAAGAGCTTGAGAGATAAGCCAAATGATTGATAGTCTATGATATAGTATCTTTCTGGAATCATCCTCTGTAAATTTCCACAAGGAGGATTTTCTTTTCTTTTTCAAAAATCACTTTATTGAGGTAAAATTAATATGTATAAAGCTATACATAATTAAATGTCTAGACCTCTCGAAGTTTCTTCTCACCCCTATTATTATTATTATAAGAACGCGTCATATAAGCTCTACCCTCTTAGAGAATCTTAGGAATGCAATACTGCATCATTAGCTGTTGGCACTATCCTGCACCACAGTCTCCAGAACCTACTCCTCTCGCCTGGCTGAAACTTTCCACCTTTGATCAACACCTCTGCTTCCCCCCGCAGCCCCTGGAAACCACCATTACACCCTTGACTTTTACAGTTTCACTATTTTGGATTCCATGTATAAGTGAGATCACGTGATATTTGTCTTTCTGTGCCTGGCTGATTTCACTTAACATAATGTCCTCCAGCTCCATCCATGTTGTCACAGATTACAGAATTATCTTCCTTTTTGGAGGTTGAATAATACTCCACTGTAAGTGTATACCACATTCTTTTTATCCATGCATCACAGATGGGATTTAGGCTCTTTCTACTATACCTTGGCTATTGTGAATAATGCTGCTATGAGCATGGGGTCAAGTATCTCTGTGAGATCCCAAGAGTCCTGGTCTTCCCTCTGTGATGACCCTGCTCTGGGTATTTTACTGGGAGAGCAGAGAAGAATGGAGTGGAGAATGTTCTTGACTGAGTGTTACCATTGCAGAGGCTAGGAGTTCAAAGAACCAAAATTTAAGTCTCAACTTCAAATCCCAGACCCAGCTTTCACTTATGTGTGGAAATTGGAATATCATTATTCATCTCCCGTTCTTTTCTACACTGTCTAATAAGAACAGTGGCTACCTAACAGGGACATGGCTCCTTGAGAGCAGGAATCTTGTCTGTTTCTAGCTACTGGTCTGCCCCTAGTGCCTGAGAACTGAAAGCAGATGGCCTTGGTAAACAATATGGAGAACAAGCAAAAATGACTTACCTGCAATGCTGAGAACAAGCAAAAATCACATCCAGGAATTTCTCCTGAAATTAAGACTCTGCACCAATTACATTGTTTCCTTATCAAGACTAACACTAGTTCATTTCACTTCCTTCATCTTGCTGTGCTACCAATCTATAGTTGGTCAGAAACTCTGCCCAAACCCAGTGGCTTCCCACCTTCCAAAATCGACCTTAAAAATTACTACCGCCTTCTCACTAAAACCCAGTAAACATCCTTTCCTGACTTCCCCGTTCTGAGACCCTATGCTCAGAGGCTCCCCCAACTGCCCTCCGCAAATGCAGCAGGTGAAACAAATTTCGCTTTGCTGGATCAATAGTCTTTTCTGGTGTTTCTGCATGTTCAAGAGTAGACATATCTAACTCACAGTAAGCCCTGGCAAACATTGGTTTCCTTGCCTTCCTAGACCTTTCCTGCAAATGAATGGCCTTTATAGGACAGGCCACGAGATGACCCTCATGGTGGATCCTGTTGCTGTGACTTACCAGGTTCATGACCTTGGGAAATTTGCCAAACCTCTCCAAGGTTTAGTTTCTTCTCTGTCAAGTGGGGATCAGTAATAGTCCACATCTTACATATTTTCTATAAGGATTAGAAGAGCAAAGTCACATTCTAAGTTTTGGTTGTTATTCCTCAAAATTAATTTTCTCCTTTGGAGTCTATCTAACCAACCAGGCTGCAAAGGAAGAGCAGGCATTTCAAGGATCTTTGACTTTCATAATTATCCACGAAGTTTTACTCTAAAGAGACATCCAAAGACCCAAATTAAATTCTAGGTTAACTTATAGCCAACCTGGAGACACACAGTCCCCCAAACCTCCACACTGTCCAGGCAGTGAGCACACAGATGGGAATAGATTCAAATAGGTGGAAACATTCTGAAGCCCAAAGATAGGGGCAGTGATGGATCTGAATTTCCCCAGAAAGCAAAGCCTCCAGGAACAATTTACACGACTTGGCCAATAGAACCCTTGATGGTAGCTTTAGTTTTGTAAAATGGAGGTTTGAGGAACCATTCCAGAATGTGTACCCATCCATGTCCAAGAGAATGCTACAGCCTGTGGAGTAGCTGGGTTTGCACTTCCAAACAAGGTCGTGTGGGCCTAGGATGTGTAGCCTTTTCTACAATGAGCTTTGTGCATTAGAGTTCTGGTGCCTCTGTCCTTATTCCAGAAAGTACAGCTTATTCACAACTTGTCAGAAAGGCCTGGCCCCCAGAACTCTTGGCTTGAGGTTGTGACGTCTAAGTTTAATGTAAGCTCTAAGAACTAACTACCAAGTTGAAAGTCAGAGAATTCAATGGAAACTGGCAGAGCATCTGGAGACTTTACCTGAGGTTCCGCAGTCTCAGCGGGACCAACATAATCCTGATATTCTCTCCTAGGAACTGCAAGGTCAAGCTCAGAAATATCTTTTCCCACTCAAACCCACCCAACAAGAGAGCTGTACTTGACAGCCAGGTTCTGGGGGTTTCCCAGAAGGTTATTAAACAATTTAAGAAGTAAAAATTAAGAAATAAATAAATAAAGGAAGAAAAAAATACAGGGAGGAAGGACAAAGGAGAAAGAGAGAGAAAGAGGAAGCAAAGTCAGGGAAACAGAAAAAAAGAAGGAAGGAAAGAAAAAATGAAAGGAGGGAGGAAGGGAGGGACAGAGAGAGGCAGGGAGGGAGGGAGGAAGCTGGGGACTTGATTAAGAATATCTAGAGTTCCTATTAGTAGTATTTGATTCTTACAACAAGCTGGCAGTTGGTAGAAAGGACACTTTTGCAATAGAACCTCTGCTAAAGACAGATTTGTTAGTAGAGGTGAAAAGTCTCCCAAAAGCCCCTTTCCCATAGACCCATTCAGTGAATCTGGCATAGAGAATTTCAGATTCCCCATGAAACCCAAAAGCAATTATCTGAGATTAGCAGGAGATCAGAAACAGCTTACCTCAAGTATTGTTTTCTAAACCCAGAGGGCTGGAGAAATTATTATCTGGTAAGAATTCTAAAAACTCTGAAACTGGTAACATTTGTTCAGACTGGAGGGAGAAATATAAGACCATGACAGGACAGACATACCATTGATAGCAGAATATGGTTGGAATGGACTTTTCTGAGATCTGTTTTCATTTCTGAAAAGTGCACAAGGACCCCAATGAGAGCTCTGTCTTAGCTCTTGGATAACTTCTCAGCACCAGGTGGATGAGAGAAAGGTTTGTTGAGGCTCAATACCAAAAAATTGATGTCTGGAAACAGCTCAGTGATGTCTGCTTACATCACATGGTCATGCTTCAGATATTTCAAAAAGACTGTGCTGTTGGAAGGAGAGCACGTGGTCTTTTTTTTTTTTTTTTTTTTTTTGAGACTGAGTCTCGCTGTATTGCCCAGGTTGGGCTCACTGCAACCTCCATCTCCCGGGTTCAAGGGATTCTCCTGCCTCAGCCTCCAGAGTACCTGGGATTACAGGTGCCCACCACCACGCCCAGCTAATTTTTGTATTTTTAGTAGAGACAGGGTTTCACTATGTTGGCCAGGCTGGTCTCGAACTCCCAACCTCAAGTAATTCGCCTGCCTTGGCCTCCCAAAGTACTGGGATTACATGTGTGAGCCACTGCGCCTGGCCCCACACAGTCTTTTAAAGTAAACTAACTCAAGCCTCTGAAAGATAGCAAAGGAACAGTAAGTATTGGGCCAGATATGAAATTAGTCATTTAATTGTGATAAATTCCTTTAATTTAAATATCATCGCATGTATATTTTATGAGATAAGATGAGATTTGCAAGTGAAAGTCTATAAAAATGGTAAAGAGCTAAGAAGAATTAAGGTCATGAAGGTTTCTAAATGTTTTCCAGGCCACCGACGACATGAATAGTTTACTTATAACCATTGACATGGTACTTCTGGTGAAATTAGGACCACTCAGAGTGTTCTCTTATTTCAGATCAGGCATCACTTGGTTTAGATATTGGACTCCTGACAGCCCTAGTGTGGCATGAAATGCCTGGTGACCGATGCACTCTAACAGTGTGCTTCTTCCAGAGGAAGCAAGGTGGTGGTCCCCTGGCCCCCAGCTGATTCTCCAGGGCAGGCAGGGGACTGACTTCAAGCCGGTCCTCTGAATTCCCCAACCTGAATGGAAATAACATTTAAATCTAACTCCTAGACTGGCTTTTCTGGCTAGAAGAATCTCACCTGAAAATCTCTTTTATCTCAATAACAAAATATCAGATCACGTTTATTATTGTATTTACAGAAATTACAGATTTGGGCAGACATTTATTATATTTGGTGTAAGCTGGCAATTGAGAGGCTGTGGGTTGGTTTTGAAGTGGGCTCTAACACAGATGTTGTTCTATGGAGCCCCCACGTGGACACGCATAGGTATAACCGCTCTGCAGCGCACCCTCATCTTAAGGAAAAAGGTCCCGTCTGTGTCTGAGGGTGTCTCCTGAGCCATCAGGAGAAACATGCACTGTGCTGTGATGGAAAGGATTGCCATTCTTAAAAGCCAGACCTCACGGAATCAGAGTTAACACTGACGGGTGAAAAAAAATGGGCTGAACCTAGGTGAAATTGGCATTTTCAGCCACACATTCGTGTAGGATTGAATATGCTCTTCTGCAGCCGATTCCTCGCACAGTCCGACATTCCCCACTGGCCGCGTTCTGACTGGCGCACCTGCGTTCTCACCGTGACCAACCTGTTTGCATCGTGGAGTAGATGATCTGTTCCTTGAGCAGACCTTTTCCTAGAACGTAGCAATCTCTCTAGAGTTGAAAATAAGTTCTGCACATGCTCACTTCATCCAGTGCACATTTGATCTTCTGAACAACAGCATTAAACAGCTTTTGCTGTTTTGTAAGATTTTTGGAAGATAATTCAATACTCTAAATCAATCAGGTGTTGGCAAAATACAGAGAGTAAATATTTTCGGCTGGTAGGTCAAGAGGGAAAATTCCAGAATATTATCTAGGTACTTATATAACCATTTCAAATGTAACCATTCAAAAGCACCATTTGAGTTTCCAGGCCATCAGGAAAGAGGTGGCTGGCTTGATCTGGCCTGTGTGTCCTAGTTTTCTGATTTGTGACCTAGAATATGATTTCTTATGCAGGTTAGTGTAAAAGTGTTGTAACTAAATGTTTTTGCAAATATGGCAGCTCTTTTGTTTTCAAAACAGTCCATCCTCACAGTGGGCAAAGACAGTGGTTGTCCTTTACCTCACAAACCAGAGTTTGGCCTCTTGGGCCACGGGAAGGGTTCTTGTATTAGCCTTGCCTATTTCCTGAGCACCTGCTATGCCCTAGTGAAGCCAGATGTCTACGTCCTATCTCTGAAAGATACGACCCTCCAATTGGTAAAGCGAGAGGACTCACCTGAGGAGATGATGAACAAGCAGATGTTAGTCCAGACTGAGCAGAGGCTTGTAGTGGGCTGGTCTATCCACCCAGGATGCCACGACACGGAGGACAGGAATTATATTTGGCTGACTTTGGCCACAAATACTTGCACTCATGTATTCATGCGTTAATACTAACGGAGAATCTACTTTGTGCTCGCACTGTGCCAGGTGCCGGGATAGAGAGGTGAGCAAGGCAGAGAAAGCACTGGATACCACATAGTCTACATTTATGTAGGGCAAAACCAACAACACACAAGTGGACACAACTTCAAGATGATTTCAAATCGTGATGTGCACTGGAAGAAAGTAAAATGGGGTGATGTGACAGTGTCACTGGAACGGGGGGTTGAGGCTGGAACTTTAAAAGAAGCAGGTTATGAGAAAGAGCAGGAATACTGAACAGCAGAGCTACTGCAAAGGCCCTGAGGTGAGTTAGGGGGATTTGCATCAGGAAGCCTTCTCCAGAGCAGGATGTGTGGTGGAGCTGGAGGCATGGGATGAGAAGGGACTGAGAAATGCTGCCTGGAGAGTGAAGTCTTCTAAATCCCGGGAAGTGGTGTGAGCAAAGGCACTGGATTCTGGAGCAATAGTAATGTGGGAAACAATCAATAGATCAGGCTGGCGGGCACCAGTGTTTGGAAATGTAGGAGTGTATGGTAACAAGCAAAAATGGAGGGCTGGCACAGAGGAAAGCGGTGGGCCACAGCCGAGAGCTCAGACCCTGTCCTGGAGGTGATAGAAAACCAGCCAGGAGGCTGTCCAGCAGTGAGTTCTGGCAGATTCACTGTTCAGGATGGGTTGAAATGGAAGGAAAATGGAAGTTTTTTTTTTAAACGATTTTGTGATCTCTAAATTTAATCAAAGCTCTGGGTCTGGGAAGGCAAAGCACCAACAATTCCCTGAGGCATTTTGGGCGCCTTGGCATGGATGGACCCCCAACTGCTCTGCACTGGGGAAGACGACTCCTGTGACTGACTCTGCCACCCTGGGCCCAGAAGCTTGGTTTTGATTCTCTGGAGATGAAACTCCAACATGTGGCTCAGAAAGCTCCAAGGACAAAGGGTCCACATTATATCCATAGGTATTTCCAGATCTGGTAGAAGGAAAAGAGAAAAAAAAGAAGGACTGAGGGAGCTGCCCACGTGGGGCCACTGGGTCAGGACCCAACATCTTAGGCTCCAGCCTTGGCTTTAGGACTTGCTATGCTGTGGAACCTCTGAGTAAGTGACTTAACCCCTCTGGGCCTTGGTTCCCTCTCTGCCTAGGCTCTTCCAACCCTGATTCCTAGAATATAGAGCAAGGATTGGTGTTGATGTGTATCCACTGAAATTACTTGGGAGCTTTAAAAAAATACCAGTTCCTGGCCTCACCCTAGAAGAGCTGAACCAAAGCCTCTGGGGGAGGGGCCCTCCATTTTCCACTGTAAAGCTGATGATGCTAATTCACAGGCAGGGTTGAGGGCCATGAGGCAAAGGTGCCAGGGGGTAACCAGCATTCTGTGTTCCCAAGGGAGCATCAATGTCTAGACCAAGTTGGAGAATACACAGCGCTCATCTCCGCTCCCTCTGATGGCTGCAAAGGAGACCTCGTGAGGTGGGACTGGTAGTGCTGTAAATTCATTTCATTATGATTTTTGTCATTAAAATGTAAATGGGTTTATTTATTTGTACATTATATGATATTAAACAGAGAGCCTGAAGGCTCTAAAGTGTATCATTTCTTTGCCTAACCCCACTGTTTCCTGCAGCTCATGCCCTGGAGTCTTAGAAAGGGGAGCGGGTGAGACTGTCCAGCCACACCTGGCTCTGCACGGAGGATAGGTCCTCAGACCTGGCATCAGGGGCTCATCTGGTGCCCAGAGGGTCAGGTCTAACTGGGATAAAGGTTAACTTTAATGTGTTGTCTCTGCATCTGAGAAAAACCCTTTATAGGGTTGTAGTTACGGTCTTAGAAAATTCTGCAAATCTGCAAATCTGCTCAAGGAGGAAGGTCACAGTGGGAAGGTTCTCCAGAGTTCACGGAAGGTGGGAGATTCGGGCATTTTGAGGGGCAAGTGGGAACAGTTTCTTCCTGCTCCAGCAATGCCGTCACTTCCCTCCGTGCCTTGCTCTCATTCCTGACTGCCTGTGCTTTGCTGGTTCTCTGTGTCTCACTTCTCCTCTTACGTGAGTTTAGGAGCCTGGTTTACCACCAAGGAAGGACCAAAAGGAGGAGGCTCAAGAAAAACCACTTTAGCTCCACTGAAGAGAGAGTGCTGGCCGGGCCTGAGGCCACACAGGACAGTAGAAGATCCCTACCTATTCATCTTTGTTTCATGACATGTGACATCTTATTTGATTTGAGTTCCATCCCTAACCAGTTCAACCTTAGCTGGGGTGATTTTTTTCCTTCTGGGTTGCCTTCTGAAACACTCAGTGCAAATAGGAATTAGCAGGGAAGCAGAATTACTGCAGGCAAGGGGAATGGCTTCAGGGATGGGGGCAAGTCAAAGCAGCCTGGGGCTGGTGGTAGTATCCAGCCAGACTGCACAAGCAAGCAGAGGACAACCACACCAAGCCCAGAGAGGCTGCGCACAACGCAGGACCCGAGCAGAACAGGAGACCCCATCTCAGCTTCCAGAATGTCAACAGCTGTTCCTTTAGGCTGGCACATAGGAGGCTGTTACATGCTAGAACTAGTAGATAATCCGGATGAGCTTTTTTGGTTTTGTTCTTTTATATTTTGGGTTGATAAATAATAACTGCATATATTTATGGGGTACAATATAATGTTTTAATATGTGTATACATTTGGGGATGATGAAATCAGGCTAATTAACATATCTATCATCCCAAATATTTTATCCTTTCTTTGTGGTGAGAACATTTAAAATCCTGGAAGATGGGATTGTACTCCTGTCTAACTGAGATTTGTACTCTTTGACCAACATCTCCCCTTCTCCTGTCTACCCTCTTCCCCAGCCCCTAGTAAGCACCAGTCTACTCTCTATTTTGAGTTTGACTTTTTAAGATTCCATATATACCTGAAATTATATGATATTTCTTGTATATAACCCCAAAAGCAAAAGCAACAAAAGCAAAAATGGACAAATGGGATTGCATCAAACCAAGAAGCTTCTATACAACAAAGGAAACAATCAGGAGACTGAAGACAAAACCCACAGATTGGAAGAAAATATTTGCAAATCATACATGAGGTAAGAGGCTAATGCCCCAAATATACAAGGAACTCATTCTACTCAATAACAAGAAAACAAATAAACTTATTTAAAAGTAGGCAAAGAGCCTGAATAGACACAGTTCTCAAAAGAAGACTTGCAAATAGCCAACACATATGTGAAAAATGCTCAATACCTCTAATCATCAGAGAAATGCAAATTAAAACCACAGTGAGATGCCCCCTCACAACTGTAAGGTTGGCTATTATCAAAAAGAAGAAAGAGGCCAGGCGTGGTCACTCACGCCTGTAATCCCAGCACTTTGGGAGGCCGAGGCAGGTGGATCACTTAAGGTCAGGAATTTGAGACCAGACTGACCAACATGGCGAAACCCTGTATCTACTAAAAATAATTTTTAAAAAATAGCTGGGCATGGTGGTGCACACCTGTAGTCCCAGCTACTCGAAAGGCTGAGGCAGGAGAATCACTTGATCCCAGGAGGCAGAGGTTGCAGTGAGATAAGATCATGCCACTGCACTCCAGCCTGAATGACAGAGCAAGACTCCATCGCAAAAAAAAAAAAAAAAAAAAAAAAAAAAGGGGGAACGATAACACATATTGGTGAGGATATGGAGAAAGTGGAATTCTTGCATGTTGCTGGTGGGATTGTAAATTAGTACAGCCACTACAGACACCAGTATGGAAGTCCCTCAAAAAGCTGAAAACGGAATTACCATAAGACCCAGCAATCCCACTTCTGGGTTCTATCCAAAGGAAATGAAATCAGTTTCTCCAAGAGATGTCTGCATTCCCATGTTCATTGCACCACTATTCACAATAGCAAGATACGGAAACAGCCGAAGTTCGCACATCAGTGAGGAATAAACTTAACAAAAGGGCGTCTATACACAATGGAATACTATTCAGCCTAAAAAAAAAGCAGAAATTCTGTCATTTGTGACAACATGCATAAACCTAGGGAACATTACACTAAGTGAAATAAGCCAGGCACAGAGACAAATACCACAGATTGGTTTTTGTCACCTAGAGTCAAACCACAGTAAAGTGAGAAGAGAAGAGGTCTGAGAGTAAATGGTGAGATTCAGGTTAATCAGACCAATTGCTGCAGGGCTGTATTCATCTGTTCTCATACTGCTAATAAAGACATACCCGAGACTGGGTAATTTACAAAGGAAAGAGGTTTAATGGACTCACAGTTTCACATGGCTGGAGAGGCTTCATAATCATGGTGAATAGACAAAGGAAGAGCAAAGGGATGTCTTACATGGTGAGAGACAAGAGAGTTTGTGCAGGGGAACTCCCACTTAAAAAACCATCAGATCTTGTGAGACTTATTCACTACCATGAGAATAGTGTGGGGAAACCTCCCCTGTGATTCAATTATCTTGACCTGGCCCCGCCTTTGACACATGGGGATTGTTACAATTCAAGGTGAGATTTGGGTGGGGACACAGCCAAACTGTATGAAGGGCTATGGCAAGGTTTAAGGAGATGAGAGATATAGTTCATCTGGAGGGGGAATTGCATGATGACAATGCTCCACCCGTGTCCATTTCCTGCTCTCAGATTTATACTTCCATCATTTGTGGGGTTTGGTCAGGTGCCCAGCACTATTCTGATTGTGGAGACTCAGGCAAATTCAGTTCGCTTTGCCTTCTGGGGGCTCACGGTCAGCGCAATGGTCATGCAAGCGAATTAAAATTAATCCACCTATTCAATTTTGCTGACTTTTCAAGGCTCAGTTTAAGTCAGCTTCACCCACAAAGTTGACTCTGATTCCTCATCCTCTTTGTAAATTTCTTGAGCTCTCAGCTGAATGTGCCCTGCAATCACATGCAGTACAGTTGGATCCCAGGCAGACCTCATAAACCCAAATTCTTTGTAGCCTACAGATTTAAAAAAATGATTAGTTTACCCTCGTGATCCTCTGCCAAAAATAAAGTTTATTTGAGGTGGCTTATAAAACAGTCCCACTATAATAAGGTAAAAATAAAGAGGAAGAAACCTGGGCAAAGAAAGAAAGATGGAAAGAGACTGGGGAGGTCAGTCCAAGGTGGAACCATGTGAGGTGAGACACCTCATGCTCCCGAATTATTAAATCCACTAAGATGAGTTGCTGGATCAATGTAGCCTTTCTAGTGTGTCCCTTACTCCCAAGAAACACTCTGTCCAGAAAAGCAAGGAACCTGTTGGTCAATCCACCTCAAACTTCATATATATATATATATATATATATATATATATATATATATATGTATATATATATATATATATATATATATATATGTATATATATATATATATATGTGTATATATATATATATATTTTTTTTTTTTGAGTCTTGGTCTGTCTCCCAGGCTGGAGTGCAGTGGCATGAATCTCGACTCACTGCAACCTCTGCCTCCCAGGTTCAAGCGATTCACCTGCCTCAGGCTCCCAAGTAGCTGGGACTACGGACACCCACCACGAAGCCTGGCTAATTTTTGTATTTTTAGTAGAGACACGGTTTTCCTGTGTTGGCCGGGCTCCTCGAACTCCTGCCCTCAGGTGGTCCACCCGTCTCGGCCTCCCAAAGTGCTGGGATTACAGGCATGAGCCACCACACCCAGCCTTCATTGACAAAACTTCACTCTTTCACATCCATGCACATGTTCTACATGTTCTATTTTTTTAATTTCTCCCAAAGACCATCACCCATTTCTACTTATTGAAATCTTGTCTGCATTTTAAAGTCCAGTTTAAGTGAACTTCACCCACAAAGTTGACCCAGATCCTCATCTTTCTAAATTTCTTGAGCTCTTAGCTGCAGGTACCCTCAAATCACATCCAGTCCATCTGGTTCCCACCCAGACCAACTGAACCCAGTCTCCCGGGGTAGGCTCTGGAGCCTGCAGGGTAATTCATACACAGGTGATTTCAATGAGCTGCCAGGGTTAGAAACCTCAGGACTAGTCCGTGTCCTCATTTTAGGTATGAAGAGATAGAAGCTCAGAGAGCTGAGGGTTCCATGGCAATAACGGTGGAGGTAGGAATTGAGAGCAGGAGCCTAGTCCACAATTTAGTGCCCTTTCTACCTCGCCTGACATACCAATATCAATGCCAAGTCAGTTACTGCCATCACAATACCAATAGAACTATATCAAAAGCTTACAGAGGCATAGAACATTTAAGGCACTCATGAATTTTGCAAGATCTCAGTAGAATTCAAAATAATAATGACAATGTTATGGCCCAATATGACCTAATACTGGAGATAATATAATATACAATAAGATCAAAGAATTCTAAGAACAGAATGGAACAACCACAAAAAAAGATAAAGCCCAGGAACATCTTCAAGGTAGGCATAATCATCAACCAGCCAGTCTCCATCTTTGATAAGCCAGGGTGGAGATGTAATTATGTGCAGAAGAAAGGATCTGGTCCATGCATAAGTAGAATCAGCCTGGTGGTAGAATGGGTAGAACAGGGCTTCCCTTGAAATGGAGTTATTTATGTTTTCAGTTTATTTATCATGATTTAAATGTAGTCCTGTTGCAAGAAAGAATTCATTTTTTAAAAATAATTTAAGATTCCTTTGACCTCAGGTAAGGGTTTCTTATAGAAAAATACTGCACATTCTGTTTTATTCATATGAAGCAAGTGCAAATTTCCAAAGTGTTTCCAATTTATTTGGGACTTTTTCTGAAAGAAAAGTTAATTGACTGAAGGGCAAGTTGTTGCATGAACCTCTCTGTAGACTCCACTGGGCCACATGGCTTTGCATGTTCCATAGCAGCCAACCAAGCCTGGCTTCTAATATCCATGTAGAGGGGTTAGTTGTCCCCCACACTGTGATATATGAGGAAAGATGAAAATATACATTTACTCAGCTCTTCCTTGTCAGACATTTACATATAAGTGACTTTTGTTCACACACACATTCACTCACTTATCCACCATTAGTTTTATTAAACAATTTTTTTTTGAGAATCTATGATGTAGAAACATTGTGTGAAAATAATACAGGCAAGACCCCCATCCCCACCTTGCTTATAAACTTACACTAGTAATGATTTACCACACCTCTGCTAAGTATTACCAGGAGCAGTGCAGGGTGCCATGGGAGCAGGTAACCAGGAGGCCTGGCCCACTGCAGGGATCAGGGGAAACTGCATGGAGGTGAGGGATTTGCAATAAACTGAAAGATGGACAGAATTAACTGGGTGGAGAGTAGAGTGGGTGCTGTTGGTTTGTAAGAGCACTCCTTAGGAACGGTGATGATGGTCTCTTCAGGAACCCTGCTCCCGCCATCTGGTTTCCCCATGAGAACCATATTTCTATGACCATCTTGACCACTGAGTGATAATCTTAGGAATTCTAGGGGTTAGAAGGGAACTGTTCTCAAATATATACCTCATTTTTCCCATTTATAATCTTGCTATCACAGCTACGCACATCAAGAGACTTCCAGTTTCTTGGATGGAATGCTTTGAATTGATTTACTTGCTTGTGGAAAGGTGGTATAGAGAACAACTTAATATTTCTCAACTAGACAAGATTCCATTTGTTCCAGTCTGTCCTTACATGTTGTATAAATGTAATACTAAATGGCCTGACTTTTAAAGTTTTATGAAGGAGGGGGAAAGTATCACTATGATAGTTAACACCACCTGTTTACTCAGGCATTATATTAACAGGCAACTCTTAGCCTCCGATGAACATGAAGGTATCTGATTAACTTGGGCATTGACCAAACCTCCTAGGACAGATTTGGGAAATTCAGTTGTAGACAACTGGCTTTGAGAATAACTGATTACCTGTAGACCTATTTGGAATAATCTTTCTTGGTGTGATATCCTAAGGATCCAGACAAGACTTGGTAAATTTGGGTGCCATCAAAGTTACAAAATCAATGAATCCAAATTTTGTGAGGCTTATTATAATCTGCCTAATGCTTCCATCCAGTTCCCCCCTGTGGGTAGAGTCCATGAAGCAGAGTCTACTTTATCAATGTTCGCCTGGGCACAAGTGCCAGTGTGGATGTGGGTGACTTTGAGATTTATGTGTCTGTGAGCTGAATAAATGTGGGAAAAGGCAGGAGCAAGGTGTTGAACACAGGGGCCCCCATCACTATTACTTAGGAGTGGGTGCTCTCACAAACGAACACCATCCACTCCACAGCACCACTAAGGCCATACCCGACCAATGCACCAATTTCTGGGGCATCAAGGTTTCAGGTCTTGATGAAAGCTTTAGAATCACCTCTTTTTAATTCAGGTGACTGATGGATTCTCTAGCTTCAAGAGAAGTCCAATTTCCAGTTGGTTAACTTGAGATAGAAAAGTGTGTTATTCTAACCTTACCCCAAGGTCCTGAACACACAAGTCCTTCTTTCTCCTTTCTGAATCATAAATGTGCTCCACACCCTCAATTCTCATATGAGAGATCCATGACTGTGCAGCCACCCATAACATAATCTTGTTCCAAATCCACAGCTGCTTTTGTTCTTGGCAAAACTAAGGCCTGTTTGAGTACGATGTAAGACATAACTGCTCCCTGCGTTCTTTTTGTTTCACTTTGAAGATGTTGGCCTGATAGCAACTCCCACCCCAAGATGCAAATTGGAAATATAAGAAATAAGGCTACTTCATCCACACACCAAAACAAAGAAGGCAAAAGAAATTTCAAATTAAAACAGGAAAGGCAAAACTTTTTTTCATTGTTCTAAATAATGAGCATTTTGACACTTTTTAGACTCATCTTTAATGCATTTTTTAAAAAACTAATCAAATGTTAAAAAGTTTTAACAATTATTATAGGCACAACAATAAACGAATACATTCCTAACAAGATGAAAATGTTCTGTCCTAGGGCAGCCTGGTAATGTAAGATTGTGTTGATTGTGCTTCATCTCAGCTGTGGGAGTCACTGCGCTTGGTAAATGGGATGCCAAGATAGAGGAGATGCTTAGGTACATTTTGAATTTGTTGTTTGAAAATATTACTCAAAGAAATTCCGTAAGATGAAAACAAAAATACCATTATATTGAATGTCTTCACTCACACCACATTTTGCAAAATCGCTACCTAAATTACATACATTTGCAAAATTTTAATAACGATGATCAAAAAGTACAACACTGGATTCACTTTACTCATTTTTCTTTCAAGTATTTTTGTATAGTTTCTTTTCTTTTCATCTTTTTTTAGAGTTTTCAACTCTTAACTGTATAGCAGTATTCCTGGACGTTAGAGAATAGAGTTCTTTGCCATACAGTTTATTTTCACTGTTACTTTGAAGAGTTTGAAAATTGCTTTGAGTTTAAATAAAAAGAATCTAAGCTTTGCCATTGATATTTTGTTTTCCCTTGGGGGAAAATGCAGTTGGATTGGCTCAGTTCTGACAAGATAGTGAAAGTCATTCTAATTTTTATTTAAGAAAAAGCAATTTTCATAAATGGTGTACCACTAATGGATCATGATCATCTATAAGCCCCACAGCAAATTACTCTTAATCCAGTTTGCTGTGTTTCCTTACCTGAGGGAAATAATACCCACCCTTCCTCTGGGCTGGCATACTGCTCACAGAGACTTCTTCAATATATATTAATCCCATCATTTATCTTTGTCAACTGAGAACAAAAATAATTTGTAGAAGAGTAAACAGAACCACAGAGAAAAAGGGAGCTCGGCATTATTAAACAGCGGAAAGCAGGTGCTCACAAAGCCAAGCTTATTTTTATTGCAAAACTTGAGTAATTCTCCTTCTGCATCTGTGCATAGTAAATAAGAGCAAGGGAAAAATCTAATATTTTAGAGGAAACTGAAATCACTTCAGCAGAGGAATGAGGGCAGGCACTGGCATTGTGGCTGGCTTTTTAAAATCAATCTGAAAATAGGAGATTAATGGCTTCCAAAGGGCAGGAAGGAAAATAGAAGCGGTGAGAGTCAAAGGAAATTTTCATTTGATTTGAAAAATGCAAAATAATAAAACAAACTTCTGATATTCATTTTTCAGGACCAGATGTGGGTCTTGGCTGCATCTTTTCTCTTACCTACAAACTGTCATGATTATTAGAACTTCCAGCACTAACACTTGTATTAATTAGCATTAAATTTAAAAGTACTAGTATTATTAATGTTACTAAGATTACTAATAATTACTAATTACTTTCTGTTAGAGTCGCCATGTGCCATACACCTTTGAATGCATTTTGATTGCCCCCACAGTATTGTACAGGCAAGTAGAAGGAGGAGTTGAGAAGGTAAGTGAAGGTCAGAGAAGCTAAATAACCCTTTGCATGGTTAAAATGGACACTCAGCCTTTATGAGTACATGCTATGTGTCAGATACTGAGCTACCAAACCTTCTGAGAAGTTATACCACGTATTCTCACTTTACAGATAAGGAAACACAGGGTTGGAAAGGTTTAAAACATACCCAATTTCCCAAAATAATTTAGCTGAGTCAGAATTCTAAACCCAGGTGTCTCACCAACTTCTCACTATTCCAGCAGTTCACCGTGAGGTTGGTAGTGATCTTCAAACCAAAATTCTTTGGGTTGCAAAATCCATTTCTTTCAACTAGTCTGTGGTGTCTTATTTAGGAAATTACAAAACCAAAAAAACACTCCTGATTATTAAAAAACAAAAACAAAAACAAAAAAAAAAAAACAAGGTCAATTCTGCTCAGTGCTATGGCCAAGCATATCTTGGGAAATTAATATCTTACTCCCCCACCCAGCATCACTTCCATCCTTTACCCTCATATCTCTTAGTTTTTGTTTAAATTGTGGTTTGTGCCTAAGTTGGCAGTGGTCTCTACTAGCAATGAATCCCAGCTGACCTCTAAGAAGTTTCAACTAAGAGATGAAGAGTGTCATCAAGAAATGAAGAGCTTGTACTTAGCAACTTTCTGGTCATTGAGAATGAAAAAATAGGTCAATAATGCCTTTTGGCAGAAATAGAATATCTTAGCTGCAATGAAAATGAGCAGGGAGCACTACACAACTAGCTAAAAGCGGGGGATCTTGTTTTAAGACAAATGAAACTGAACTAGAAGAATAGAAAACTTTTTGTTTTTCAGTTATTCTCTGCAGAGTTAGGTTGTATGATGGAGACTCAGGCACATTCCTATATTGGTAATATATTTATTCATTAATTTGTTTACTTAAAAACTGTTTATTGAGAATGAATAACTGCAAGAAACCAAGTGAAATAAAACTAGATCTTCCTCTCAAGGGACTTAGAGTTTATTTTGTTTAATGTCTAATCATCACAAGCCATGCAACTCACCCATAAAATTAGGCGTGCACACACAACTGGTCTATGTCTCTTGTCAATCAAGTTCAAGTGACAAATCAGTATGTGATGATGACTGTGCAGCATGCTTACTAACATCGGTGGTAAAAAGCAGGGGAAGGAGGCCTTCCTTGGGGTGTCAGTCTTTGTGAGCAATTGTTTGATACTCTAATTGAAAGAAATTAAGCAAATGTTACAACCGATCTCTGTGGGAAAAGTTTTTTCATTTTTAATTTTCAAGATCAGCAATACAAATGATACAGCCCATCTGACCTTGAATATCTGCACCATCAGGTATCCTCCCTCAGCATACCCTGTTCATCCATCACATGTAATTCAGAATATCCCAGGAAGTCTCCAGATATGTGCTTTTAGCAACGTGCAATATTTGTAAAATGCAATCTTCATTCCTAAGAGAAGCCAGGGAAAGATAGTAATCCCACATGAGTTTTACAATGGCTGATATGCCCTAATGGAAGTTCCCTCTGCTTGATGCCCTGGAGGGCTTTCTACTCAGGAGTAGGGCAGCATAGTCTGATTCAGAATGGAGTGGGATCTGGGCAATTGCAATGAGCATTATGGTTGATATTAGGAAACTTTGTAATGGGAGTACAGGTATGGAAGTTGATTTTCTTATACTTCCCTTGAAGGAGAATCTGTGGGAAAATGTTTACATTCATCTAGGGGCCTGAGTACCCCAGTTTGAAAATCACTGATCTAGAATACATGGCCTCATTTTTCCATGGTTTGTGCTTCAAAAAAAGCAGTGTCTCTTATTTCTATACTGGGGACTCAGGACAAGGAATATAGAAAGAGAGAAAAGAGAGGAGCAAAAGCTAAGATGGGAAAGGCCAAAGACAAATTTTGACTGCCGTACCTATGCTTGCTCATTTGTGAATCTGACATTTGAAACAGTCATTTCTACAAATACCGTTGAGCTATGCAAATGCACAATGATAACCAGCAGCTCCACACCCCCTGGCACACACACTGCATTATGAAGGCTCAGGACAAGGATGCTCGATGGCAGGTGAGTTGTCCTTGACATATGGCCACTATCTGCAGATCTGGTCACATCTTGCAATTCTGCTACCAGGGCTGGCTAAACACATAGCCAAGGGCCTTTCCCAAAGCATTCTGATTATAAATGTCAATTGAATGACTCACCTTTTCTCATCTTTGGGGCTTTGTGATCACCTCCACATCTGAACTCTAATATTATTATAGAATTGTTACCTTAAAAGATCTTCCAGTTTTTGAACTCTTACTCTGTGCCTGGTTCTGCCAAGTTATTCACAGAAATAATTAATGGATCTTCAGAACAACACCTTGGGACAATTCTTGCTGTTTCCTTTATGCAGATGAGGAAACTGCTGCATAGAGAGGTTAGTCAACTTATTCCAGATGACACAGTGAGCGGCTGTGAGCTCAAATCCAGACATGCCTGATGGCATGTCTTGTGCAAAGTAGGATGTAAGCTGATACATATTTTTGAATGATTTAATAATAAATTTTTGGAGACTCCACTCTTAGTTCTAATCCTCATTAGTCTTGACACTCAACTAGACAGAAATTGTGATTGTTGCTGTACGCTTGTTAGCAGATGCCATCCAGGTCTTGTCAGAAATCCCATTTTTCATGCTTTCATTTAATTTTTTAGTTCCAAAGAATTCTTACCACCGACTGGGCTCCAGGCTCTGTTCTGGCATCAGGGCAAGAGCAGGGAAGAAAGCAGACACTGCCCTGCCCAGTGTTAAGTATATTTTAATGGAGTGTTATTAATAGTATAACATCATTAAAAATAAAGTTTATTGGAGAAAGATACAAGGCTTTGTGTGATTCTAACTGGAGGTCAAAATACCATAAAATATCTGGGTTTGACTTTAGAATTTGATTATGCAACTAAACAGAGCAAGAAAGATTTTATGTTAGGGAAGGAGAAGAAGAACTCTATGGACTGAGATTGCTTTTGGACAAATGCCATATGTTGCTTGATGCTGTAACAGCCCAGATTTATGAACTTTTGGTATTTTATCTTAGTAGAACACCTCTATTTTCTCAAGATGGAAATTTAAAACATTTAAAAAATATTGCAGTGAGCACAGGTCTACCCACCACCTATGCCATATTAACATTTGAATATACTTACTTGCTTTAGCACACATCCATCCCTCTGTTTATCCATCAGTCCATCTTATTTTTTGGATGCACTTAAAGTTAAGTTGTAGATGTTAATGCCCTTCACTCCTAAACACTTCAGCAATCATATCATTAACCAGAGCTCATTTGTTTACACTTTTCCTTTCTCTCCTCCTCTTTTGTTCTCCTCCTGCTCTCCCTCCTCCTTTTCCTCTTTCTCTTCATTCTTCTTTTTCTTCTTTGAGGTAAAATTCATGAAGAGTAAAAAGCACACATCCTCAGTAGACCACTTCATGAGTGGTCTACTGTACACCCCGAGAACACATTTACTTGTTTAGGCCCATCCCAATTCTGGGCCTAATAAAATTGTGCAAATCCAGTGAGAGAGCCCTCACCAGAAACCAATGCTGCCTGCACATCGAGACTTCCAACCATCAGAACTGTGAGAAATAAATGTCTGTTGTTTAAGCCACCAAGCCCGTGTTATTTTGTTATGGCAGCCTGAGTAGACTCATACTGCCTGCCCCATCAATCTTTCCTTACTTCTTTACTTTATGGCTCAAAGTGAAGTTCCAGGCTCATTTTGATCTCTCCTTCCCCAACCACTTCTCTAAAGATCTCTGATTCCTTTTAAAGGAGAATGGAATTTAGTAACTGAGATCTATAAGCTAGTGTAGTTATTATTATTTGGGATTCCTTTCCTCAAGCCCGTCTAAGTGGACAGAGCTGGGACAAAGCTCCACCACTTTCAAAGGAAGACCTCTTCACACACCAAAATCCTCCTGATTTTAGCTTCTTGCAGTAAAGTATGAGGTGCTAATTCCTCAAACAGTGGTCTCCTCTAATTTCTCATTTTTCAGACCATAAAGAGTTCAAACTTTATTTTCAGTGTGTGTGGAAACCGTCTTTCAACACAAACAATGTGCACTCATCTACACACTTGATTTTGTCTGACACAATTACACAAATCCAGTTGGAGAGGCAGTAGGGAATTTATTTATTGATTTTTTAGTTGAACATCCCCTCTACATTTAAAACCCAAATACCGCACACTGGCAGAGGGCATGGCCAAGTGTTGACAGATTTAAGTTTTGTTGAAATAGGTGGAAAAACAGAGAAGAATGGTGTGAGAACAGGAACACAGGAAACTCAGATCTTGGCATGGAGAAGAAAAGGAATGCTCAAATGCTCCAGCTCTCCGCACTGGAGGACTTGACTTAGAGAGCGATGACTGGCAGTGTTCAGCTCCATCTGGAGGAAGAGCTTTAACCTACAGAGAAGACCACCCAGGAGCTACTGGAGTCACCCATCTTCAGTTGGAACACACCTGATGTCCCCCAGTGCCTTCCAGCCGAGAGTAACATGACCAATACTGGGAACATTACCTGGAAATTGATAACCTTGGAAGCAAAAGATTATGACTTATCCTCTTTTGTTAAAAAGAAAGGAAGGATATTTGGCAGAATGTGCCCCTCTCCTCAAAGCCATTTTTACAAAAGCACACACAGGCACACACACATCTTTTCTTTTTACAACACTTGAACGTGGTCACTGCTCTCACCAATATCGTGCAAAAGCACAAAAATTGATTCTATAATATCTGAATCAAAGAAAATCTTGACTAAAAACAAGAAACCATTATGAATATTTCCTCTATTTAACTGATACTTGTGATGGCTGGGAGCAGCAGCTCATGCCTGTAATCCCAGCACTTTGGGAGGCAGGAGGATAGCCTGAGCCCAGGAGTTCGAGACCAGCCTGGGAAACATGGTGACAACTCATCTCTACAAAAAATACAAAATTGGCTGGATGTGGTGGTGCGTGCCTGCAATCCCAGCTACTGGGGGGCTGAGATGGGAAGATCACTTGAGCCTGGGAGGTGGAGGCTGCAGGGAGCCCTGGTCATGCCCCTGCACTCCAGCCTGGGCAACAGAGCAAGACTCTGTCTCAAAAACAAAAACAAAAATGAAAAAAGATCCTTTCTTTTGTTAACAATGTTCTAAAACCATTTGCTAGCTTAAATCAAGACAACTAGTACATTCCAGTCATTACTCCCCGCCCCCGACTTAGATTGTGCTTTATAACTCCCAATCCCATGTCATTTGCACACCTCTAATTCCTGAACATAGTCCAAGTTTACATCAACACTTTACATCAACACTTTTTTGTTGTTGTTGTTTGTTTTGTTTTTTGTTTGTTTTTGAGATGGAGTGTCGCTCCTGTCGCCCAGGCTGGAGTGCAATGGCTTGATTTTGGCTCACTGCAAACTTCACCTCCCAGGTTCAAGCAATTCTCCTGCCTCAGGCTTCCTAGTAGCTGGGATTGTAGGATTACAGGCCCAGGCCACCACACTCGGCTAATCTTTTTCAATTTTTAGTAGAGACAAGGTTTCACCATGTTGACCAGGCTGGTCTCGAAATCCTGACCTCAGGTGATCCACCCGCCTCGTCCTCCCAAAGTGCTGGGATGACAGGCATGAGCCACCACGCCTGGCCATCAACACATTTTTATAAAACCCATTTTGTGATGGTATTGGGGCTGCACACAATAGAACACTCCTATGTGATTTTGCTTTTTTCTCTCATTGACAGATTAGCTAAAGTTGAGTCTAACATTTAGCTGTAATATTTTTCTTGATTACATAGGATTCTGTTATTTGTTTTTCTTTGGAATCCACTGTACAGAAAATAATATGCAGCCTCTTTCATCTGAGTCACTTCCCCATGCCTCCCGTTTCTTCAGACTCTAGGAGGCAGAAATGCAATCAGGTTTTATCTTCAGCACAGGCCTCTGGTACATGGTCAAGGCCCATGATGGGGTCTGGGGAGTGGAAGGAATTTAGGTTAACTCTGGCACAGAATGAAGGAGACTTCATCTCTGAAACTCTGATCTCTTAAGGTTGATTCTCTTGAGGGAAACTCAGGATGGAGCTTTGCAGAGGTCTCTCCCAGGCCTGGGGTTCCCATGCTTCCATATGGGCTTTAGGTGGGGGCATAAATCGCGCTCGTATTTGGTTAGTGTTCTGCAGGGTGAATTAACCACTTTTCTCTGACCCTAACAAATGGTCAGGCCTGGTGGACACCTTTTCCCTCTGCTATTTCCAAAGTCTTCAAATGTCTGCCCCAGCAATGCCTCCAGGGCATGCCCATGTTGACGGGGACAAGCTGAGCCAGGCAGGGGTCACTCATCCCATTTGGAGAAAACAGAATCACTCTCCCCAAAAGTTAGCAATTGGAATAGAGGGACTGCCCAGTGATTCTCAACTTGTGCTGCATAATGCAATCATCTGAGAGCTTGGAAATATTGCAGATAGCTCTACCTTCAAATTCTACTTCAAATTGTCTACTGTGGGCCTTTAGACTTTTTTTGGAGGGGTATTGTTTAAATGTTTTACTTTTAAATTATGAAATATTCTAAACACTTAGAAATACACAGATAATACATGTAGCACATATCCATGAATCTAGCACCTAGATTTAGCAATGTGGTACTTTGTTTTAGGAAAGGGAACAAGGGAAGAAAGAAGAAAAAAAGTAAGGAAGAGAGGGAGGGAGGAAAAGAGAAAGAGGAAAGAGCAGGTAGAAGAGTTAAAAACGGAAAGGAAGGAACAAAGAAAAGGAAATGACATCTCTGTCTACCATGGCTGGGCTTTGTGATCCGTGGTTTATACTCTCGATTTCATTGAATTCTCATGCAAAATGGGAACAAGTTGCTTCTTGGATGGCTCAGCACCATTTCTGTGGTCACACAGCTCTCAGGTGGCTGCAGGATTTGGAACTCAGGTGTTCCGGCCCCAGAGGCCCCTCAGTCTCCCTGCTGTTCGTGCCATGCCTTGCAGGGAGGAGGATGAGCCCTGGGAACAGGCAGGCAGATGTCTGCACCTGTCATGGTGACCACCAGCTCAAACACTTCCTGTGGGTTCTAACTGTGGCCCCCACTCCACCCAGGACCTCCAGCTACAGAAGGAAGCATGAATGGAGCTGGGAGCCATCTTGGCTGAGCTTTCAATGACTGTAACTTCAAGTTGTGGTCAAGAGCTGCTTGGTGAGATGGGGCTTTAGATGGCATTTCCTAAGGAGGCTCCTTAGATCTTCTGTAAAGTAGACTGGGGATCACCTCTCCACCACAGGTACAATCGAGTGATCCCCACTGCCCTCCAGTGTCCTCAGCCAGGACCACCGACAGGATTTTCATCTCTACCACTTTGGCTATGAAATCAGCAAAGGCCAAGGTTATCAAGGAAGAAAAATAAATATAATAAAATGCTTGGCAAAGATCCACTGGGATCTGAAAATGAGTTACAATGAAGAAACGGGGGAAGGATGTTTCCCCTAGGAGGTCACAGGGATTAAAAATGACCTGCCAGAGAACACCCATGTGAGTGGACATTCCAGAACATTATCCTTCACATGCATAATGTGTGAAGATGCAGATGCAGGCAGCCACAGACAAGGCTGCCCCTAGTTTGGTCAGAAGGACTTACTGTGCTTGGCAGTGGGGGAAATGGCTCAGCATATTCATTCTCTCACTCCCTGTCTCTCTCCCTCTCTGCCTCCCCCTCCTTTTTTTCTCTCTCCTGCCTTCTCCGCTCTATGCATTATCTTATTTTATTAAGTGATAAGCTGTTGAAAATGCTCCAGATAAATGATTTTTCTCAATTTGAACTACATTCAATACAGCAGTTTAGAGCTCAAAAACATGACTTTGATTGAAAACAGCAAATTGCAAAATGATGTGTACAGTAACATCCCACTTATGGTGTCAATACTACCAGACAATACTACCAGAGAAAGGGCTTCTGGGTGGCATTTGCTTCCATGATTTGGGTGATGGTGTCGCAAGTTTGTTCTTTGTGGAAGTGCACAGAGCTGTACACTGTGGACATGGCCCTTTTCCATATTTGTATTATACTTCAATAAAGTTACAACAAATTATAATGAATACACATGCAAAACAATGCTTGTAACATTTATGGACATGCAGTGTAGTTAAAAGCACAAGATCTTGGGGAAACTGAGATTCAGAGAGGTAGAGCAACCCCAGCTGAAGTCTGTATGCTCAGGAAGTGGTACACATGACATGCCAATCCAGGCCTGGAATATTTCAAAGATACAGCTCTTTCTGCAAAACTATGATGCCTCTACTAAGGGATCATCTTGGATCAAACCAAGGAGCTGTGAATGTCCATGAGACAGTTGGCCTATTAACTTACACCAGCTCTGTCCAGGACTAATATCTACAAAACAAAATAGAGGTGCTGTTATTTATATGTGAGCTCTATTGTCATCATCAATAAAATGTAGCTTATAGTACTTCCTCCACATCATATGCAAAGTCATTGTACAAATCTGATGAGATAATGTTGAGAGAAATATGGTGAAACTGAGAATTATAGTTGGCATACATGATACAAATCCCTAATTACTGGTTGCATTTTTATATCTGACTTTACTTCCTGAAACATACAGATAGTTTCTCTCTCCCAGCTACTGGAACCTTCATCAGTAGAGGGTACCCTGTCTCCCTCTTTCCCTGCTTTCTACCATACAGGGGTTTAACACATTCTTAACCTTTAGACTATTGTCTACTTTGATCCTCAGAGCATCCTAGGAAGGGAGGCTAAAGACAGCAGGTGGGAGAATATCCATTTCCTCTTATAGATACGGGAGATATAGAAGCTGATCTTCCATATCTATAAGATAGATCTCATCTACCAAGATCTAACTCTAAGACAGATCTTACCAAGAATCCCAGCCCCTAGCCAGACAGCCCTAGACAAGGACAGGGAGCAGAAAACATGATACTTGGGACTTCCCACCTGTACCTATTTTCTTTTTGTGCCACCTACAAGCAAAGTGACCTCAATGCTCTGTATCCATATGTTGATTCAACTCTTGCAGATTTTCTTAAGGCATATATTTCCAATGACCAAAGACATTTTCTTACATGCCATCATATTATTATGAAAATAAGAAAATTTAGCATGGATAGAATGCTATTGTTTAGTCCCAAGTCCATTTTCAAATATCATCACTTGTCCAAACAATGTCCTTTTTCCTATTTACCCCAGTCCAGGATCCAATCATACTTGGGTTAATGTCTCTTTAGGCTTTTTTGTTTTGGAACATTTCCTCAGGATCTCTTTGTGTTTCTTCACCTTGATGTCTTTGAAGAGCAGAGGCCAGTTATTTTCTAGGTTGTTACTCCCTGGATTTCTCCAGTGTCTTTCATTTTTGGCACGAAACCCACAGAAGTGATGTTGGGCCCTTCTCAGTGCATCTTTCTAGGATCCTCATGATGTCTGTTGATGGTGTTAACTTTGAGCTCAATTAATTTTTGATTCACATTGAATGAAATGACCTTGGGCAACTCCCACATTTGGAAGGCTGATTCTAGATTACCTGAGGGCTTATTTTACTTTGGGGGTTGGGAATGATGTTGGATAACGTCCTTTGGCCTCTAATATGTACTTTTAAAATATTTGCCTGTAACTGAAAAATGAAAATGAAAATTATCAGCAAACTAGATCAACTTAGTATTTCCTAACAAATTAGTCTAATAAAGGATTCAGATTGAAGGTCATGGATAAAATAGTTTTTGTTTTATATAAAGTGAGTGAATATTTAGTTTAAGCAGCAACTGTTAATCTATGAGACTCTGCCCTGACTCAAGTTAGAATACAGTACATTTGCTAAAGGGAATTTCCATGGTTGTTTTTTTTTTTGCCTTTTTCTAGTAAACTGAAATGTGTGGAAAGACCATCAGGTGGCGCACTGGTTCCAGTCGTTTTATCAGCAAATTTCCCACTGGGAAGGAAATTTGCTTGCTACTGGAAAACGCTGATTGCTCAAAAAGCCAACTCAATGAGCTTTTTGGAATCTAAAAAGAAAAATCGGTTTGAGGAAAACTTTCATACATATATTTTGAGCGGAGGTTGGATTTGTTTTCATGAGAATGTTTCCCTTTTCCTCATTTTCTGGCTCCAAGTTTAGGAAAACATTTAGGCGCATGAGTAAAAAAAGAGGAAAAAGAAAATCAGAACTAACTACTATCCTTTACACCTTTAAGTCTTAAAAATCCTTAACTCTTTTAGAGATGTTTTGCCTCTACCATTTCCTGGAGGAAAAGAAATATTCAAAGAAAAAAAAATCCTGACTCTTACTTCATGGGTGGCAACATGTGTCTGTGGTGTGTGTGTGTGTGTGTGTGTGTGTATGTGGGGGGGGGGGGATATGAGTGTGTGCGCTAGAGAATATATGGGGAGGAAGGGAAGAACAACAAACAGTTTTATAAAATCCCTTCCCATTCTCACTGAAGTTTTATGTAATTTTAAAACTTTTAACCTCTAATAGTTTCAGTTGTAGGTATGTGACATGATTTGGCTGTGTCCCCACCCAAAGCTCACCTTGAATTGTAATAATCCCCATGTTTCAAGGATGGGGCCAGGTGGAAATAATTGAGTCATAGGGGCGGTTTCCCCCATACTGTTCTCATGGTAATGAATACGTCTCACGAGATCCGACAGTTTTATAAAAGGGAGTTCTCCTGCACTATGTAAGGCGTGACTTTGCTCCTCATTCACCTTCCACTATGATTGTGAGGCCTCCCCAGCCATGTGGAACTGTGAGTCAATGAAATCTCATTCCTTTATAAATTACCCAGTCTTGGGTATGTCTTTATTAGCAGCATGAGAACAGGCTAATACAGCGTGGGAGGATCTCTAACCAAATTTTAACACATTGAAGAGGCAGACAGCTTCTTTCTCACATCTGATATGGACTGCAGGAAACTCTTTCACCTGCTGCAACCTTGTTTTTTTCCCTCTGTTTTTTGGCTTTTTGTAGACTGACATTTTAAAAATCAAGTATAAATCTATTCATGTGATTTCACTCTACTACTGAAGAGATTGACTTTTAAACTCCATTTAATGCTTGGCCAAAGTTTTAAAGTACTAGAAAATTCCAAAAGTTCATCTCCAGATTTCTCCAAATCAAGGAATAGACCAAACTGAATGGTTGCTGCATGTTGCTTGTACCCCTAATTTTTGTTAATGGTGTCATTCGAGTCTCCTAAATGAATAAATGGGTCACAAAAATTTCTGCAGTGTGTGTGTCACTGCACCTCTGGAATGGCATAGGGAAGAGACTGGAAGCAATGAAGTAGCCACCGAGTAACCCCTCTGCCAAGAACACGTGGCCAGGCAGTTCCACACAGATCCATGGATCAGTCAGCTCCACTTAATTTGCCTGTTCAGTCATTAAAGGGCAATATCTGGGGCTGTGTCTCTTTTGGAATTCTGCCCTGGCTGATAGCTTACACTTACCAGGGACACTGGGTGGCTCCCTAATTAGGAGGAAAAAAAAGACCTCAGAAATCCTTTTAAAATTTTTTGTCAATCCTCACATAATTATAATTTGTGGTTCTACTTCTTTAAATACAATAATTTTAATTTTTTAATTTTACAAATAGCAACAAAATCCTCTTACATTTGACAAATTATAGTACGCATATGTGCAAACCAAAGTATTGATTCAAACTCCAGGCACAAATGGACTTGCAGATCCCGGCAATAACTCTTTGCTTTTTCAGGAATATTGAGGACAGGGGAAAAATGGTTTTCACTTGAGCTAAGTGAAGTTCACATGTATTATTTCAAGATATGCAAGCCACAAAACTTACTGTTTGTGATGGGGTATAGACCTGCGCAAGCCTTTCTGTCGGCTTCCAAATTCCCTGTTCCACTGACACTGTGGTTCTAAAATCTGGGGACACATAAGAATGATCCAAGGAACCTGCTGAAAAAGCAAGCCTGGTAGAGTTGATTCAGGTCCAGGAAACTGCATTTTAACAAGCATTCGAAGAGATGTAGAGCACGCTTTAATAAGAGCGCTTTGCATGCAACAGCCAATTTTCATGATTGATCATACTTCATGTGCATGTCACTTTCAAGTTTACGGTGTTTTCAAGTAGACCGCAGGTTTTAACTGTGCCTGCTTTGTGCCTTAATGTTTCCAGCAACTCCTGAGAAGACCTGCCCTCAAATCCTCAAGCACTATTGAATAAGAGCAACTGCCTTCGTGAGTCTCACATGGAATTCACCTTCTGTATCCACTGGCTCCGCAGGGTAGACTGTAGGACTTGAGCATCCTCAGACTTTAGTATCCATGGGGGTCCTGGAACCAGCCGCCTATGATGGATACCAAAAGACCCTTGTATAACCTGAAAAATAGCAACAGTCAGCCACCCTGAGGTCCAGTTCTGGCAAAGAATAGCAACCAAAGAAACACAATCCAAAGAGAAGACATTTTAAATCTTTACTTCATTTTCTCAAACAATGCCCTAAGGGTGTTTTATATATAAATATATAGATTATTTAAAACCTATTTTTAATTCTGCTCACAATTGGCAGCAGTTGCACCAGAGCCCGTTTTCTTGTCTGAATAATAAAAAAGTTTCTCTCTTGAATACAGAGTAGATTCTTATCTGTTTTTCTCTGCTTCATTTACTTTCTTGATATATCCTTTCATTTTTAACTAGCAATTTTACTTTTCCTATTAAAATACTTAGTTCCATTGGTCAGCTGTGGTGGCTCACACCTGTAATCCCAGCACTTTGGGAGGCCAAGGCGGAAGGACCACTTGAGTTAGAGACCACCCAGAAGTTAGAGACCAGCCTGGACAACATAGCAAAATCCCGTCTCTACAAACAACACAAAAATTAGCTGGATATGGTGGCATGCACCTGTAGTCCCAGGTACTTGGAAGGCTTAGGAAAGAGGATCACTTGAGCCCTGGAGGTCAAGGCTGCAGTGAGCTGTGATCATGCCACTGCACTCCAGTCTGGGTGACAGAGCAAGACCCTGTCTCAAAAAACAAACAAACAAAACAAAAGAAAATTTAGTCCCATAGACTTCTGCAATTTCCTCTCCTCTATTGTACTCTTAACTTATTCATTACCTTGATTCTTTTACACAACAAATTCCAAGAGACACTGGGAGGATACAGACTCCATAGCAGATGAGGGAGGGGATGGAGGCATGAGTAACCGTAGAGGAACCCACCATTCACAAATGTACACACTGAGCTTCCACAGAGGGGGCCTTTGGACAAAAGCCTCAATAACTTAAACTGAAGCTCACATTTGAAGACACCGACATATATTATATAATTTAATTTTTATCAAACTTTCAAAAATTGAGTATTATTAACCCAATGTTCCAAATGAAGACACTACATTTTATAAAGATTAAATAAATTCTACTGCCAGAAAATAAAAATCCAACATTCTCTCCACCACAGACACAATATCATTCAAACATTAAAAACTTTACGGTATTATATAATTTATTGAAAAAATATTTTTTATATGATGTATCTTGTGAAAATATTTTCAACAAAATACATAATAAATGTTGAATTGAGTTTGATTTAATGTAATATTATTGTATATTAATGGTTTATTAAACAAATAGCGTCTACTTAACAAGTGAACATTATTGCTAGAATGTACTGTTATCTCACATTCCTTGACATTGGCTCCCTTTTGAATGCTGGCTTTGTCTTAATATATTTCTCCATTTCTGCCCAAAGGTCACACTGACACTATGGAGGCTCCAGGTTTATACAAGCAAGGCTTAAGCTTGCTGGCCAATCACCCATAGGTATTTGGCCCACTGTTCCCTTTTTCTTCAATGCCTGGGAAAAAAAAAAAAATACCTCCACTAGAATCTTCATTTTACAGATTGGGAAGAAATGCTGATGCTATCTAGGAAACTACAGTCAATGCAGTTCCATTCAAAATTATCACAGAACTTAAAAAGCATGAAGATTTACTTAAAAAATATCTATACACACACTTGTAGGAAAAATGACCAAATCAGAAAATAAGACAAATTGTCTAAAGCTAAAGTAACTAAGATAATGTTGTATTAATGTAGGGATAGACTCCCCCTAAAAAATCCCAGAACTGAATAGCGGTTCTAGAAACATATCTATGATTATATAAGCAACCCTGACTTGAGGCAGAGCTTGTACTGCAGATTAGTGGAGAGAAAGCACTTCAACCAATGATGTAAAGGTGATTGGGCATCCATCATAGTCTATTCCTGCTGCTATAATGAAATGCTTTAGGCTGGGTAATTTATAAACAAAAGAAATGTATTTCTCATGGTTCTGGAGGCTGGGAAGTCTAAAGTCAAGGTGTGAGCAGATTCAGTGTCTGGTAAGGGCTGCTCTCTGCATAACAGATGGCATCTTTTTGCTGCATATCCTTAAATGGCATGAGGGGGAAGGGACAGGGGCCAAGTTATTTCTCTCCAGCCATCTTATCACATCACTAGTCCCATTAGAGGGCTCTCCCCATCACTCAATCATTTCCCAAAGGCCCCACCTCTTATTACTAGTGCATTGGTAATTAAGTGTCAATATATAAATTTGGGGAGACACATTCAGACCATAGCATCATCTATGTAGAAAGAGCATGAGGTTAACACTGTACTTCACACCATAACAACAACAAATGGTGATGCACACTTATATATGAAAATGTAAAATGAATACTTTCAGCAGATAATATGAGATCATTATAACGTTGCAATAGGAAGGAGTTTTTAAACAATTCATAAGAAACACAAACTGTAAGAAAAGAGATAAATTAATTTAATTAGATTTTAATTAATAACTAATGTGAAAAAAATCAAAATAAAAAGACAGACTAGACAGACTAGGAAGAGATCCTTGTAGTGCATGTAACTGACAAAGGGTTAGTATATTGGATATTTAAATTATGCCAAGAATGTCCACAAAAATAAAAAAAAAGAAAACAACCCAACAGATGAATAAAAAGAACATTTGAAGAGGAACTTTATAGAAGAGAAAATTTGGATGGCTAATAAGCATATGAAAGAAGTTCAACCTGATTAGGAAAAGGGGAACTGCAAATCATAAAACCAAATGAAATACTATTTCACATTCATGCAGCTAAAACAGGTTAAAAACTTTGGTTAGTATAGACGGTTAGCAAGAGTGTGAATAAATGGGAGCAATTATATAGTGCTGGGAACCTGTCAACTACTACAGCTTCCATGCAGACAATTGGATTTTATCCAGGAATGTTGGCAATGCAAACAAGACCAATAACTCAGGGCCCAGGATTTCTACTCTCTGCATAGATTCCATAGAGAAATGCAAGCTTTTATACTTGTGCAAAAGCACTCATAGCAGCTTTGATTTTGATGCTGAGTGTGCACACATGTGCACACACACCCAAACCAGAAGGACCAAAATGCCTACAAAAAGAAAATGGCAAAGTAAACTGCGGCATATCTGGAAAAAGCAAAATTTTTCATTTGTGTCATTGGATAAATGACAGCTTCATGGAAATTGTGAACAGATTTCAGGAACATAATATTGTGAGAAAAGCAAGTGACTGCAAAGATGATGTAAACTCAGTAATATACAAAAACTAGATGCTATATTTTAGAAACACTTTCATATGCAGTAAAACTATTGAGAAAACTTTGGAATGTGAAGAATGAAATGAGATGCCTGAGGTGTCCACAGGATCCCTCCAAGCTGCTGCTGCTGTTCCTTTTCTTCATCTGGTTGATGGGTCGGGAGTGCTTGCTGTATTATTGCCATTATGCCTTTTATCTATTTTACTTATTTTTCTTACACGTATTTTATAAACTTCTTTTACATTTACTTAATAAAAACAGGGTATGAATAAAACAGAAATTTAAAATATTTTTAAATGCCTTTTCAACTTATAACTTACTCTGCCTTTCTGTGTCCACCACCCAAGGTTTGTTCCCATCCCCATAGACAAGTGCCCTGGAATGCAGTCCCCCAGTGACTTCTTTGATGCTAGTCTCTGCCCGTCCTAGTGCATTATCCACATCAGTCCAATATTGACTTCAAACACCGGTGTTCTTACTTTAGAATCTACAGTGGCTGTCCAATGATAAGGACCTCTGCTCCCATTTCTCCCACTATGTGGTCTCTGCTCCCCTCTGTTCCAGCTCAGGGTACAAATGCACCTTTGAAGATGCGGGTCCTGAGTGAGGCACAGGGCATTCCATTCCTGCTGAGGCATGCATTGTTTACCTATCTCCCCTCAATACCAGCTTTGCTGGAGGGCACTTCCATTGGCAAGCACTGGCAGACTCCTTAAGGCACAAAAAAAATCCAGCACTGAACGGGCGAGGCACAGCTTGGAGGGTAATGAAGAGGATGTTGGTAGAAATACCTTGAGCATGTGTGAGCCTATAGTGGACGAAGCAAGTTAGTGAGGGGACAGGAGCACAGGGGCTAGAACCCAAGTTGGAGACAAGGGGGACAGATTTGCAAGAAGGAGGTTGGAAAGCTAAGAAGGGGTTCATGTGCTGTGTTTCCCAAATAGGGATTCTTGTGCTAAGAAGCAGCAAATAGTCTTTTAAGCGCATAGAATGCAACACAGATAAGCCCAAGAAATCAGAATTTAATTCCCTAGCAGAGCTCTGGAAATGGCATGAGGCATCCCCAGAAGTCAGGCCACTTACTAATGCCATGAGGGCCTCTGTGTGAGCAGGCAGCCAGTGCTGGACGACGTCCCCAGAGGGGATAGGACTTAGGCCCAGTTCTGATGCCATGTGTTCGCTTTACTGTTTTCTCTTATTTTGCTTCAAGTATTCAAGAGCTCACCTGCAGTGCAGCCTTTCCCGCTCCAGCCCCTCAGCCATTCCCTAAGAAGTGACATGGCATTTGAATGCTGGTTCCAAACACAGAAAGATTTTTCAAAAGGCATTTTAAAATGCCATTGCTTTTACGAGTTCTAGAAATTCTGCAATTAAATGAGAATTGACTAAACTATTTCAATTAATTTAAAAGGATAACTAGCTAAGAAATATAATTAATTCCCTAGCCATTCTGAAATGCTGTTTGCCGTCATCCACCTGTTACAAGAATGCCCTGAATAAGATATTCTTCCATCAGCTTAATGGTAGCCCACAAATCAAACATTTGCAGTTTGCTGAGGCAGGATCTTAACATTCCTCTGTGGGTGTTTCTTTCTGTGTGTGGGGTAAAGATGTGGGTAGAACTTGACATTCCTTGTTTATGTTCTTGCCTTGTTTTTATATCTTTTCTGCTCTCAGTCCAGTGAGACAGGCCGACCTCCTTAAAGCAAGCCCCATTACACACAATCTATTTTAAAGGGCCATCTCATAAAATAATGTGTGACAGGATTAGACACCTGCCTTTAAAAGCACTTCCTCCCTGTCATGTACGACATGATTTAGCACTGGTGCACAGGATTGTCCTGACAGCTTGAGCACCTTATGAGACCCACATACAGGTGCAAAACAGATCTTCCCAGGCCTGTGCGCTGATCTTTAAACAGAGTACAATGAAGTGTCAACCAACTGTGGCCATTCTCAGTGAAGAAATCGCTGGGGAGGAGGAAGGATGATCCAGTGTGGCCAAATTTTCAGGGCTGAGTGCAAATTTTCCTCATTTATACAACAATGAATAAATATCTGTCTGGCAAAAGCAGGTGACTGTATACACAGGTGTCTACTTGGCTATTTCTTATTTTATTTATGCACATGAAGAGGGGCTCTATAGAAACACAGATGTGCCTTTGGGCTCATTGGCCATGCTTACTGTGAAAAATGTAGGCCCCAAATCTGGATGGAAAAGAAGAAAGAGGAAGGCTCTCTCTTGGGATCCCAGTGGGTTGTAGCCACAGGCCATTGATGAGCTCCTGAGAGGTCCAGATGCCTAGGCCTTGATCACGTGGACCTGAGTGATCTTTCTGAAACTAGCCCCCATGGAAAGGCTCAGAATTACAGCAGAACTATAGCACACAATTTGCATAGTGTCCTCTTTTTAAAGTTACTTGCCTGCTAGGACTGATGAGCTGAAATTTAGACCCAGAAGTTGCAGACAGCATGGACTTTGAGATTAGACTTACCTGGCTTCCATCCTGCTACCCAGTCTAACAGCACATCCTTGGGAAAGCTGTGTAACATCTCTGAACTTCAGTTTCTGAATCTTTGAAATGAGTGTTACCCCAGCCAACCAATTGAATGATTGAATGTGATAATTAAATGAGATGATATCTGCAAACACTTAGCAAGAGCCTATCACATCATAATTAGTAATTATCTGACAAAAAGGAGTGCTAGTAGATTACGTTCTTACTGAATGACAGTCTGACATTGTAGAAACTGACCAAGTGTTCAGTGTGGAGGTTTTCCAACCTCATCCAGAATTTGAGGGCATCTCTTTGCATGACGTTGAAAAGGTCTGATTCTACCTTACACGATTTGGTAACGGAGGGGGAAAATAATGACTCCTGCCTGTCTGAAGACAGGCTCTTTTTATAGTGCCCCTATCCAAGGGCTCATAGAGTCACAAAATGTAGTAGTGGGGAGGCCTTGTGAACTACCTAGACTAGATACCTTAAACTGGAGTAGTAGTCACTGCCATGGGGAGCCCTGTTTTTTGACGGTGTACATGGGCCTGGAGAGCTTTAAGATAGCCAAATACCTGACTTGCACGTGACCTCCTAGCAAAAAGTTGATGCAATTGAGACCATGTCTGCTGGCAAGATAGCATGCTGGGTTTCCATGCCTACCTTCCCTTTTGCGGTTTCCCTCTTCCACTTCATTCATTCACTCATTCGGTATTTATTGAGGAGCATCATCTATGCACCAAACACCATTCCCAACGCTCAGGATACAATAGTGGAATGAGTAGATAAAAATTTCTGTGTACATGAGCGGACAGACAATAAACAATGAAATCAATTGGATTTTCAGTATCAGCACATGCTAATGAGAAACATAAGAAAAAGGGATTGGAAGAGTGGAGGTGGGAGCAGTTACAAATTTAGATAAAACATTCAGGAAAAATCTCACTGGGAAGGGGTCTTGGTAAAGGCCCAAATGACGCAGTTTTCAGGAGTAAGAACATCCCAGGAAGAGGGAAAAGGACCATGTGTTCCGAGAAGAGAGAGAGCCACCTAGAGGAGGTGAAGGACTTGCAGGGAAGCAGCGTCCAGTCTCATAGAGCTTTTTTTTTTTATGGTGAGATCTTGTCCAATGGCACAAATTGGGTACTCCACTCTTGATTGCCCTTTCCAGAAGGACTGGAATCAGGAGAGTGTCTGGCAACACCAACCCTTCTTTGGGTCTGTGTTCATTGGCCTCTTTTTTCACCTTCTCCCAACACAAACCCAGGACACAAGTGGCCATGGACATCAGTTGGAGGTCACTGACGCCTTTGTAGCTGCTCACTCTCAAAAGTGTGCAGTTCCTGAGGATGTGGAGAAAGGAACCGAGCCCACAAGATTCATTTGACAGTGGGATGCTTCCTGCCTAGGGACACGGACTAGGAAGAGAAGGTTCTTGTGGAGGTGAGGTGGCCTGCAAGTTCTGAGTGGGCAGGGGACTGCGATGCATGTTAGACAAACAGGGGTCCTTGATCACATAAGGAAGGCAGAGGATGGCCACAGGGAGCAGCTCACTGCTGGGAAACCACAGTGGAAAGCTGATGAACAACTTGCAGAAAAGGGAATCCCTCAAATTCCA
The DNA here is from genome assembly GCF_000001405.40 of Homo sapiens. Lineage (NCBI taxonomy): Eukaryota > Metazoa > Chordata > Mammalia > Primates > Hominidae > Homo > Homo sapiens. The sequence goes on along the minus strand of NC_000020.11, from coordinate 22,303,142 downwards.
TTTGCTTCCGAGCAAACATTGACGAGGGGAGCAGACACCTCAAATGCCTGTTACAGGCAAGACTCTGGAATACATTACTCATTCTGCTTCACTTTTAAAAGGAATCTGTGATCACAAGAAGCTAGCATGAATTCACTGAGAAATAGCAATTTCACACTAAACCCTATTTCTTTTTCTCAAGAAATGCTGGATTAAACCATGTAGTAGGTATTATGTTATAGGGAAATTTTTGGCCAAAGATCAGAGAAGACCTTGCTCTTCTTGACATAAATAAATCAATAGGCTTATTTATAAGGTAGTGAGTGAAAAAAAATCACAATTCTAATAAGAAAAGATGACAAAGACCTTTTTAATAAAACCTAAAGACAGCATTAAGAATTACTCAGCCCTCTGGTAGAGAGATTTTCTGTTTCAATAGTCTCAAAGGTGTAAGCAGAACTAGAGATCAACCTCACCCTCTATTGTTACCTCCTTCTATATTAGTAGTGGTACATGAAAAAAGTTTGTGTAAAAGAGTGGTTCTCAAATTGTGGCCCCCAGATGAAGAGCAGCAGCCTCACTTTGGAGTTTGTTAAAAATGCAAATTCTCAGGCACCACCCAGACATCCTGAATCTGAAACTCTGGAAATGGAGCCCCAAAGGCTGTGTGCTCATAAGCTTTCCCAGGGATTCTGAGTTCAGCTCGTCCAGCTAGAGAACTCTATTAGTAAATTTCCAGGGACACTGTGTGATGCCTGTGTAACTTACCCTGGGCAGTGGCATGCCCGGTACTGCCATACTCTGCTCTTGGGCAATAGTTCAATAATTCTCCTTCATCCACTGGTGAAGAAGGCATTTCCCCTACCTAATGGCCAGGAGGCTCTGGACAGCAGTGGCTTGCTAGACTAGTGTTAGTTATTTGACAGGGTGTGTCGCAATGTCTTTTACAAAATGAAGGGAAATTAGGAAAGAATTCAATCACAATTTTTTGGGTCAGTAACTAGTTGAAAGATGGAACCTCTAATATTCTATTGATGGAGCAGTGTCAATCTAAAAAAGGACTCCAACAGTGGCTCATGGTTCTGAACTCTCTCCTTTTGATTTACATGTGTTAGTAGTTACTTAAATAAAAATTCCAATGGTGCATCTCTCAGATTATCTACTGAGGCAATAGGTTATTGATGACATTGTCTAACAAATTTAGGGGTCAAATAGTGATAAATTGCTTCAAACAATTGGCAGGAATAAATGATATATATATATATATATATATTTTAACATTTGGGACTCAAACACCAATAACACTGCATAAAAGTGGTAAAGCAAGAAGTGTCCCAGAAGCTAAATTTCTACAGAACTTGTGGTGGTGCTTATTTACATAAGATCTTTAGGAGGAATCATAATACGTGGCAACCACAATTTTGACTTCAATATTTGGTTGCCATAAGAGAACAATTGGATCTTGAATGAAGAAAGTTGTTGGTCTGCTCCACTCTGTCCTGACACATCACACTTGAAGAATTACACTCAGTGCTGGGCACTGTATTTTAAGTGATATAGAAATCAATGAGATCTCATTCAGAGGCACCAGGCCAAGGAATGGAAGATGCTCAAAGCCATGTCTTAGGAGGTGGGTGGCCTGGAGAAGAGAAGATTCAGCGGACCTTGCTAATCATCTTGAAGTTCTTGAAACACACTACTGTAGGACCAGATTTGTTTGGTGCAGCCACCACAGGTAGAACCTGAACAAGGAAAACTGTGAAGACATAGGCTTCCATTCAACATATACAAGATTTTTCCTAGAAACATAAAGGTTTCCTCAGGTTGTAGGAAACTCTGTTGTTCAAGTGTTGAAAATTTGGAAGAGCGTTTGGGGGATGAGATTGTGGGGATTCAAGCAGGGTAAAAATAAGCTATACTTAACGTCTATTTAATCCCCCATGAATGTCTACATATCAACAAGTGTCCTGCTAGCACGATGGAGAGGACATCAGAAAAATATCTAAACCTTGCCCAGCGCTTACTGTGCCAGGCACTGTTCTAGGCACTTTATATAATCACTCACTAATTATCACGATGATCCTATGAGGGATGTACTATTATTGTCTCTACAGATGAGGAAAGCAAAGCACAAAGAGTGTGAATAACTTGCCCAACATTATACAGCTAGCACATGGTTGAGCTGGAATTCAACCCAGGCAATTTGGCCCTGAGACCACACCATGCCACCCTGCTCTTCATCACAGGGATGAGCTCTGGCTGGTCCTCAAATGTACAAAGGTCAAACAGGTCAAATCCCATCATGGGTAAGATATGTGCTATACATATACAGATATATAAACATATACGTATTTGTAAGCATGAGACCCTTCCTTAAGTGTGATGCACAATCCTTGCCCTAAACAAGAAAGTCTTGGTATAAGTCATTATTTAGTCTGGAAATGCATGCTAAACAGAGGGCAGGCACCTGCTACTTTTGTCTTCTTAAGGGTTTTGCTTTTGCTTTTCCCCCTCCTGGAGCACTTTTCCTTGTGCTCCTCTGGAGACAGGCTCCTCACTAGGGAGGCCTTTCCTGACCATTCGTTCCTCAGTGATGTTATCCTGATCTATTATTTAATGCTTCTTATCATCATCTTGTTTCATCTTATTTATTTACTTTTTATTTTCTACCTCTCTATTTAGACTACATCTGAATGTATGAAATCTAGACATTATTTCAATTAGTAACTGATTGAAAGACTGTAACCAAAGGGTACTGATTATCAGATGTGACTACAGTTACTCAGTACCCTTTGGTTACCTTCTTTCAACCACTTACTACATATTTAACCGATGTTTATGTAAACATCGGTTAAATATTTAGTTGAGTATATGAATAAATCAATGAGTCAACGAATCAGTGAGCTCTGAAAGTTCCATATAATTAAAAATATCTCCTTCACTACTGTCAAAAAAAGAGTAGAAAGAAAAGAGAAAATAACAAGTGTTGGCAAGGATGTGGAGAAACTAGAACTCCTGTGTGCTGTTGGTAAGAATGTAGGTGCAGTTATAATGGAAAGCAGTACGATGGTTCCTCAAAATTTTATAAACAGAATTACTATATAATTCAGCAATCCAACTTCTGGGCTTATACACAAAAGAATTGAAAGCAGTGACTCTTGAGATATTTGTACACTGTGTTTAAAGTAGCATAATCATAATAGCCAAGGAGTGGAAGCAACCCAAGTGTCCATGGACAGAAGAGCGAATACACAATATGTGGTATGTACATACAGTGGAATATTTTTAGCCTTGAAAAGGAAAGAAATTCTGACACATGTAACAATATGGATGAATCTTGCACACTTTATGTTAAGCTAAATAAGTTAGACACAAAAGGACAAATACCGTATGATTACACTCCTATAAGGTACTTAAAGTAGTCAAATTCATTGAGACAGAAAGTAGAATGGTGGGTTCCAAGGCCTGAGGGAAGGGAAGAATGGGGAGTTGTTTAATGGGTACAAACTTTCAGTTTTGCAGGATAAAGAGTTCTGGAGATGAATAGTGGTGATGTTTGCACATGAATGTGAATTTACTTAATGTCACTGAACAGTAAACCTAAAAATGGTTAAGGTGTCAAGTTTTGCCACCTTAAAATAATGTATATTTTACCACAATTAAAATCTAATAATACTGGATATTAGCCCTTTGTCAGATGAGTAAGTTGCGAAAATTTTCTCCCACTTTGTAGGTTGCCTGTTCACTCTGATGATAGTTTCTTTTGCTGTGCAGAAGCTCTTTAGTTTAATTAGATCCCATTTGTCAGTTTTGGCTTTTGTTGCCATTGCTTTTGGTGTTTTAGACATGAAGTCCTTGCCCATGCCTATGTCCTGAATGGTAATGCCTAGGTTTTCTTCTAGGGTTTTTATGGTTTTAGGTCTAACGTTTAAGTCTTTAATCCATCTTGAATTAATTTTTGTATAAGGTGTAAGGAAGGGATCCAGTTTCAGCTTTCTACATATGGCTGGCCAGTTTTCCCAGCACCATTTATTAAATAGGGAATCCTTTCCCCATTGCTTGTTTTTGTCAGATTTGTCAAAGATCAGATAGTTGTAGATATGCGGCGTTATTTCTGAGGACTCTGTTCTGTTCCATTGATCTATATCTCTCTTTTGGTACCAGTACCATGCTGTTTTGGTTACTGTAGCCTTAATTTACAAGAAAAAAACAAACAACCCCATCAAAAAGTGGGCGAAGGACATGAACAGACACTTCTCAAAAGAAGACATTTATGCAGCCAAAAAACACATGAAAAAATGCTCATCATCACTGGCCATCAGAGAAATGCAAATCAAAACCACAATGAGATACCATCTCACACCAGTTAGAATGGCAATCATTCAAAAGTCAGGAAACAACAAGTGCTGGAGAGGATGTGGAGAAATAGGAACACTTTTACACTGTTGGGGGGACTGTAAACTAGTTCAACCACTGTGGAAGTCAGTGTGGCGATTCCTCAGGGATCTAGAACTAGAAATACCATTTGACCCGGCCATCCCATTACTGGGTATATACCCAAAGGACTATAACTCATGCTGCTATAAAGACACATGCACATGTATGTTTATTGCGGCTCTATTCACAATAGCAAAGACTTGGAACCAACCCAAATGTCCAACAATAATAGACTGGATTAAGAAAATGTGGCACATATACACCATGGAATACTATGCAGCCATAAAAAATGATGAGTTCACGTCCTTTGTAGGGACATGGATGAAATTGGGAATCATCATTCTCAGTAAACTATCGCAAGAACAAAAAACCAAACACTGCATGTTCTCACTCATAGGTGGGAATTGAACAATGAGAACACATGGACGCAGGAAGGGGAACATCACACTCGGGACTGTTGTGGGGAGGGATAGCTTTAGGAGATATACCTAATGCTAAATGACGAGTTGATGGGTGCAACACACCAGCATGGCACATGTATACATATGTAACCAACCTGCACATTGTGCACATGTACCCTAAAACTTAAGGTATAATAATAATAAAAAATAAAATAAATAAACACACACAAAAAAAAAAAAAAACAAAAAAAAAAACTAGTAATACAAATTGAACATCCCAAATCTGAAATCCAAACTGGCCCACAATCCAAAACTTTTTGAGCACTTACGTGACTCTCAAAGGAAATGTTCACCGGAGCATTTCAAGTTTCAGATTTTTAGATTTGGGATGCTCCGTAGATAGGTATTAATGCAAATATTCCAAAATCCAAAAAAATTGAAATCTAAAATACTGCAGGTCCCTAGCACTTCAAATAAGGGATATTCAACCTGTAATTACTTAAAAGGATATCTTCCTCATGAGCCAGTGAAAGCTTTATATTTTTAATTTGGTTGAAATCACCACTTTTTCCTTTGACGGAGCATCATGAGTAAATGTCTTGTGAGACAGACCCATCTGTTATGCAATCAGTATCTAACATTTGCCTCCTTCAAAATTCTGCAGAACTTTGGTCATGGCCTTACCAACTCAAGTTCTTGGCAACTTTCTTTCCTTGGCAACTTTCTTGCCACAAGAGTGATGATGAAGACTCTAGGAAAGATGTTGCCTACCGTGCTTTCTTACTTGAAAGACACAATTTTTCCAGAATGAATTTAGACCAACAAACCTGTCAGCATGGAAATCTTACCTCTCTTCTTCTGCATACCTTTTTGGCCTGCTAATAGGCATTAATTTTGAGGTCACATAACATCTGCTGCTTATGCATATAGTGATTCATTTTCTTTTGTCTGAGTAATTTATAAAGAATCTTAGGTTGGGATTAGTTTCTTCTTAATTTGTTCAGAGAGAATGAATGCCGTTTGAGTCCCATAAGAAAGATCCATCAGCATAAATGCAGGGCTAACATTGCTCACATGGCCTGGGTGGGGTGGCGCTGTCAGAACATGCTCCCTGCTGTGTGGTCAACAATCACACATCACAGACTGAACAGCAAATGCCCTGGTGGGTTTTGGCCTTGGACCCCTACTGTGAGTGTATGTACTTTTGCCCACACACGTTGTCTCCTGGCGTCCTGTGCCCGGGACAGTCCCTGCCAAACAGCTAGAAGTGGATTCCGCCGGGCGGGGCGGCTCACGTCTGTAATCCCAGCACTTTAGGAGGCCGAGGCGGGCGGATCACAAGGTCAGGAGATCCAGACCATCCTGGCTAACACGGTGAAACCCCGTCTCTACTAAAAATACAAAAAAAAAAAAAAAAATTAGCCAAGCGTGGTGGCGGGCCCCTGTAGTCCCAGCTACTCGGGAGGCTGAAGCACGAGAATGGCATGAACCCGGGAGGTAGAGCTTGCAGTGAGCAGAGATCACTCCACTGCACTCGAGCCTGAGCGACAGAGCGATACTCTGTCTCAAAAGAAAAAAAAAATAGAAGTGGATTCCTCCCATCCTTTCTTTTCAGATCTCTCCTGGCTTGACCTTCCTTCCATCTGTTCATCCTGCCTTGGTGGGGTGCTCTTCCTGACCTCACTCCTGGCCCCAGCCCCACATGTTGTATGTAGATAGCATGTTGTGTGTTTTTGTTTTTCCTGTCATAGCTTCTCTTTAGTTATTTGGCATGGATGTGTCCCCAAGGCTGCATAGCAGGGACATCTGGCACATATCTGCTGGGCAGGAGTCCACCTTGCTTTTTCTCTCCTGAGAGCCCGTTAGCTCCCATCTTTACCATCTGTGTCACTCTGCCCCCTTCTCTCTAGGACACATTCTTTCCTGAGTCATAGAGGGCTTAGAAGTTTAGGAAGAGGTTGGACTCTGACAACAGCTTCTATCCCTTTACACCTTCTGTTTTGACCTTCCTCTTGGATGCCTAGGACGGGGCCACAGCTCTGGCTGATGTCACCATGCATGCCCCACTCTGCAAACACCCAGGAACACACTTCCCATTCTTGCTGAACAGGTTCCTGAAAACTCCACAAAAAAGTAGCAAATTAACTTGCAATTAGTTGTTCCTAAGGCAAACATGCTTCAGAGGGCTTCTCACATTCTGTGTCCATTCTGCACATTTCTAGAAGAAAGTCTGACTTAAGGCCCAGTAGCTGCCACAGTTCTCAGTCCTCTTTCTCACTTGCTAATTCCCCTTTGCACCCATCTCCCCTAAAGACATTCAGCCATTGCTTCACAGGGGTACACTTGCCTCTGCATCTGTTTTCCAAAACAATTGGCGAAAATGTCCTCCCAGCTCCACCTCTGCTAGCTGAAGAGGCAACACTGTGTGAATGTGTTAGGTTGCTTATTTCTCATTGGCTGTTCTTTCCTAGAAACAACCCATCTCAAGCGGAAGTCTGTTTCATTGTTGAACAGAACAAGCAGAATGGAGAAAGTCCTCACTCTATGATTCTCCCTCTTTCCCTGGCCAGCAGGGAAACTTGCTGGAGAATCTGATCGGCACAATTAAGTGACTGAAACCATCCAGCTGGTTGTCTGGCTTTGGGCATAGCCACCGAAGCCATCGCCTGGACTTTGCAGAGCACATGCATATTTTCTCAAACTAGCTCTCTTTTGCCTTGTGTTGATTAAATTCAGAAGAGTCATAATTACTTGGATATAAGTATGCTCAACTGTGGAAATCCTGTCCTTAGAACAATCTGGTGTAACCTCCTGTAGTCAATCAAGGGCTTCAAAGAAAGCAATGGGGGCATCTAAAGTGACAACAGTTGCCTGACAAATTGCCATTTCAAATCCCTTTGAACTAGAAGAGTGAACTTAATAGCTTTCAGCTATTGATTGTTATTCTTTTAACAGGACTTTTCTTCTTGTCTTTTGGTTCGTCTGCTAAGCCCTGCTTCTGCAGCCTTGGAGACTGTTATTGCTTCCACTTTAGGTTAAAACTGAGATATTTCATACTGTTTAGTGGCTACCATCTGAATTTTGTCTTTTACTGGCTAAGTCAATCATGGCACTGGAAGGATGCCAAGAATGCCATCACTACCAATGGGGACTGCTGGTGGCAAGCTACACTAGAGCCAAACACGCTCCTGTTGAAGAGGCAATCTTAAATGAGCATTGGATATAGAGACCTGGCTTATGTCACCAGGATCTCACTTCAGGGCTGGGGAACCAAGATGGATGGAGGACTGTTCTGTGCCGGACACTTTAGATACAAAGATGAATTCCCTTTAATCCCTAAAATCATACTTTCAAGAAGCATTCTCCAATAGGATAGCCACTAGTCACCTGTGGCCATTTAAATTTAGGTTAATTGAAATTCATTTTTAGTGAATGAAGGAGCTTTCGTTGAAGGAGGTTTCAACGAAAATCTTTCAATGAAAGCTTTCCTTTCATTGAAGGAGCTCTGGTAGCTCCTTCCCTTCTGTATTAGTCCATTTTCATGCTACTGATAAGGACATATCCAAGACTTGGCAATTTACAAAAGAAAGAGGTTTAATGAGACCTAACCATTCCACATGGATGGGGAGGCCTCACAATCATGGCAGAAGGCAAGGAGGAGTCACATCTTACATAGATGATGGCAGGCAAGAGAAGAGAGCTTGTGCAGGGTAACTCCCGTTTTTTAAAACCATCAGATCTGATGAGACTTATTTACTATTGCAAGAACAGCATGGGAAAGACCCACTCTCATTATTCAATTACCTCCCACCAGGTTCCTCCCATGATACCTGGGAATCATGGGAGTTACAATTCAAGATGAGATTTGTGGGGGGACACAGCCAAACCATATCACCTCAGAAGACGCACCTTAGTTTCTCAGCCTCAGTAGACACATTCCATGTGCTCAACAGTCAGAGGTGGACAGAAACTACTGTACTGGGCAGCCCAGATATGCTATTTCCATCATCATCCCAGGAACTTCTATTGGACAGGCTGCTGTAAAGTAGGGTTTATTGTTTTCACTCTTCAGATGCAAAAGGTGAGAGGCAGAGAAGCTAAACGACTCAACTAAGGTCACTTTGCAAAACCCCTGGAGTTAGGAGTTCTCTGCTGGCTTCATTCCACACTTTATCCTGCCACAGGGCCTCTAGCACCACGTCCTTTCCTGGCCCTCCCCGGCCCCACTCTCGACCCTTCACTTGGTTAACTGCTACACATCTGTCAGCTCTCAGGCCAGTGCCACTTTCTTGGACCATGCCCCCTGACCAGAGTCTGGACACTATCTCACCCTTTGTGATCTTCCCAGTATGTACTCCTCCTTTGCCTTGTGTTAACTCTGAGCAATCCAAATGGTTTTTTGGCTAACCTATGGGAGGGAGTTTTTGTGATCAGTTTTTTATGTGAATACATATGTACACATATAAACACATATACGTATGCCCTTTCATCCTTCCATACTTTATGTAGTCAAGCTGCCTGGGCTTTTAAAGAAGTGTTCCAGCTAGATGTAAATAAGATCCTTGATGCAGGACTGACATTTTTCTGCTTCTTGCCAGCAAAAGAGTCTACAACTAACTCCATGCATTGCGTAAAGGTTAGTATTTATACTCAAACTTTGTTTTCAACCCAGTCATCATCATAGAATTTTTTCTCAGCTAAAGGCTCCTGTAGCAAGCGCTCTCAGTGTCTATCCTTTTTATTTCCTTTGGCCTGATTATGCCTACTTTAGGGCAGAATTTCAAGCATCCAATGGCTGCATCTTTTTACTTGGGTCTTTCTCTGGAGCCTTGAAAGATGACTCTGTCTGAGAACAGAGCAGACTGGAAGTGCCCTGGGACAGCTCTTAGCCCATGACTGATGGGGGTTGGTGGTCCCAGGCCCTCAGGCTGGATAACTTCGGAGCACATGCTTTCTGCCATTTTCTGACTTTCTTCACAACATTAAGCTCTGATTACCCATGGTAAGGACTTGCTTGCTAACTCTGGTAGCTCCTTCCCTTCTGTATTATTCCATTTTCACGCTGCTGATAAAGACATACCCAAGACTGTGCAATTTACAAAAGAAAGAGGTTAAATGAGAAGTAACAGTTCCTTCCACATGGCTGGGGAGGCCTCACAATCATGGTGAAAGACAAGGAGGAGCAAGTCACATCTTACATGGAAGACGGCAGGGAAGAGAAGATAGCTTGTGAAGGGAAACTCCCGTTTTTAAAACCATCAGATCTTGTGAGACCTATTCACTATCACAAGAACAGCATGGGAAAGACCTGCTCCCATGATTCAATTACCTCCCACCAGGTTCCTCCTATAACACCTGTGAATTTTGGGAGTTACAATTCAAGATGAGATTTGGGTGGGGATACATCCAAATCATATCACCTTCTCAGTCTCATTTCCACATTCTCCTCCTGGGACTCCCGGGGAGCACCTCTCAAATAAATGACTTGCACTTTGATTCTCTCCTCATAAGTAGCTTGCAGTGTAGTCAAACAACATGACACACAGATTCCCCATATAAAAAATAATGAATAACATGAGGAAAGCAAGGAACAGGGGAATATGTATTGAGAGTCTGTTCAGTTGGGCTTCTGAGATCCAATACTTCAGTTAATCTTTATACACAGCCTTGTCAAAATATCAGGCTCATGCACCTGAAGAAGAAACTGTGGCTCAAGTAATTCAGGTAAGTCCTTCAGGATCACAGTATGTCCTGGGGCCAGGGTTTGAATCAAATTCTATGAAACCATCCCAGTGATCTCAGCCCCAATGGCTATGTGATATTATTAAATAGAAATATGCCATATAATTAATAGGTGATCAGACAAGGAGGGAATGTTCAGGGTTGGAATGACCAGATGGTGTTTCTTGGGAGTCCTAGCCTGGGGAATGCTTTGGTGAGCGGGTAGACAGGCTTCAAAGAAGCAGGATTTACCTACACAGAAAATCAGAGGCCAGAAGGCACATTTTGGCTTCACATGTTTTCCTTTTTTTTTTTTTTTTTTTAGCATATTTTGCTTTTTGCTTCTCAGATGTTAAGAATTTAAAAATAACATATGTTGAGATACTTTATCTTCTCTGCTGTTGCTTTTGGGGTTCCTAAATTAACACACATTAAAAGGAGATGCATCTTGGGGAATTCATGGACCAGTTTTGAATAACACATAAAAGAAGATAGTTGTTATTTTTAGAATCATGTAAAGAAAACAAAGCCAGTTGGGGTCATCTCCTCATCTTGAAAACATTGGAGTGGAAGCAAAACCATCACCTCCATTGGGAGTGGAAGAAAGGATCACATCAGCAAGTGTTCTGTGGCTAGCGCCAACAGAGCATGTGTTCTGATATCAGATGCCTGCGAAAGCAGGTAGCACCACTAACATTACTGGAATGGTGCTGTCACCAAGAATAAAAGACTATTTTCTTAACTTTGCAGCCCCATTGGCTGTCTGAGAGATGCGCATCTCATTTTAGCCAGCAGAACTACTTTAGCCTGTAGCCAGAAGAGTATGCTTACTCTTCTCTTCAGAGTCATTAAAATTAGCACATCTAGATCCGAGGATCTTCAACAGATTTAGAATAATTCAGAATGCAATTATTATGACAGAGAGATGGCATGGCCCATCTTTGCAACCCCAAAAGAAAGCCAGCCCTTTGTCACAAGGGAACTGTCTTTTTTTTATTTTATTTTACTTTAAGTTCTGGGCTACATGTGCTGAACGTGCAGGTTTGTTACATAGGTATACATGTGCCATGGTGGTTTGCTGCACCTATCAACCCATCATCTAGGTTTTAAGCTTCACATGTATTAGGTACTTGTCCTAATGCTCTCCCTCCTCTTTCCCCCCAGTCCCTGACAGACCCCAGTGTGTGATGTTCCCCTCCTTGTGTCCATGTGTTCTCATTGTTCAACTCCCACTTATGAATGAGAACATGCAGTATTTGGCTTTCTGTTCCTGTGTTAGTTTGCTGAGGACACATGCACACGTATGTTTATTGCAGCACTATTTACAGTTGCAAAGACTTGGAACCAACCCAAATGCCCATCAATGATAGACTGGATAAAGAAAATGTGGCACATATACACCATGGAATACTATGCAGCCATAAAAGAGAATGAGTTCATGTCCTTTGCAGTGACATGGATGAAGCTGGGAGCTGTCTTAAGTTGAGGTCCCTGAAAGGAAAATTTGAGGTAGAGATTCTGGTGTAGGTGATTGATTGAGAGATTTCCACAGGAGACACCTGGAAGGGAGAGGGGAGAGGATGGAAAAAGGGAAACAGAGCAAAGGTGTGGCTTCTGGTGAAATGGGACTGAATCAAATTCCAAGGGGAGCTGTTCTGGAGCACAGCTGCAGGAGAGAGTCTAAGTTGTTTAAGGCAAGGGAGCTGGGCTTTCATACACTGCCTCAGTCCATCAGGGTCTCCAGGTGCTCCAGGGTGGAGAGGTGTAGCTCAGAAGTCCTCTGGAGAAGTCACCACTGAGAGTCTTCATAGCAGCCCCCAGAGCACCCAGAAAAAGGCACCTGGAGGTCTGGTCCAGCCTCCCACAGCATCTGCTCCAGGGTGCTCTGTGCACACTTCCCTATCTCTCTCTGGTCCTTCAGCATGCAGATGGGGGCAGGAGTGGGAGGTTGCATTGAAATCTCTCTATGAAAGTCTGCTCTCTGCCCAAGGAAACATGAGCTCTTTCCCAGAAAGTGACCTCCTTCAATCTCCCCAAAGTCTGAGTCTTGAAGGGTGGCCCAGCCCAGTGTGAGCAACCTGGCCATTGTCCTACACCCTTACATCATTGTGGATGAGGAGTTTTATTCACATGGGTGACATTGGACACACTTGCTCCATTTGAGTTTTTTTTCTCTCTCTCTATTACCACTGAAGAGAACTTCAGCACTGTTCAGCGCCCTATTACCACTAAAGAGAACTTCAAATGTCTTTGACCCCCATTAAAGAAAGCACACCTCCTAAGGACAAATATTACTAATTATCTAGAGACGATAAAGCCCAGATCCATATTGAATAACAGCTAGGTTTGAAATTAGCAGGGTGTCTGCAGCTGTCTTGCAGTCATAGCACTGAGTGTCATAGCTGATTTCTTCCCCACTCCTTCAGGGGGCTTTCAGCATCCCCTGCCCCACCAAACACATTGCCTTCTGATTGCAGTCTCTGTTTCCCCCTGGGAAAATGCTGTTCTTGATGAAATTCTTACTAATTATGCAGTTTGCCTCTTACTGTATTGGCGTAATAATGATAAGCTCTGACATCTGTGTAGAAAGAGGGCATCGTGAGTTTCTGTTCTTGTTAAGATGGCCCAGGAAGGCTGATCTTTTGAGGCTCCATTCACTTAACAAATACACATGAACTATGTCTTCAGTGTATCTCTGGACGAAAAAGCAGAAAGGCTAGAAGGGGAAGGAAGGGGGAAGCACAGGCAAAGGTTGGGGCTGAAGTGTGGCAGGAGAGGCTCCAGGGTGCTTTAAGGAAATTTCAAAAGATTTTACAAGTGTGGATGTGGGTAATAAATTTAGTTCCTTAAATAGTAAAACGGTAGACAGAAACTACAAATGGAATGCCTTTTTAGTTATTCTGCAGTGACTGGCCTGAGGGTCTTTGTGTTCACTTCATGTGGAGAGTGGATCACGTGGAACGTGGATTATTGCCATGTGGATTTAGGTACACACATATACATACATGTACACATGCACACATATACGGGATACATATGTGTATACATATACAAATATATATGTATGCGTATCATCTTATTTAATTTTCAGCTAACCCTATGATCTAAACTTTTCACTTTGCAAAAAACCAGGACTTCATGATATTAAACAGCTGTGCACTTTTCTTCAAATTCCATACTTTTCTCACACCATTCTTCTGAAATCTCTTGACTTGCTGAGAACCATCATTCTCCCTCGAAAACTTTCATCCAAATTGAGAATATATTAGATACGGACTTTCAACAGCACTGTATAGGAATCCCAACCCAAATAGCTTTAAGCAAAGAGATAAACGTGCTGACGTGTGGAAATAGCTGATCATGACCGGGCAGCAGCAGATCACAACACGCCCCTCCATCGCGCAGCTTCATGCTGATTTATCCTTAGGCAGTTCTGGGTAAAGATGGATTAGAACAGATGAGAGGGTGTGGACATTCTACTGCCTGATTCATTGCTTTTGGCAGCCACCTCCCATGGGGAGAAATCAGAGATGAAAACTACCCTGAAGCTCAGCAGCCTGCAAGCCACATTCCTTCTATACAAAATCCAAATGGTGGTGCTTCATTATCTCATCTTCCTTCTGATGCTCTTTCCTGAGCAGACCTCTACACTTCCCTCCAAGGCAGGAAGAAAGTTTGATCTGCCCCCATTTATCCTTCACTCCATCCACATGTGTTTTTTCTAATTGTAATGTAGGAACAGCATATCCCTACATTGAGCCTTCACTCCACGCAGGTGTGTTTTTTCTAATTATAATGGAGGTACAGCATATCCCAGTAACCAGGGGTGTAGCCAGTCAGGTTTTATCTTTGACAAGGCCTTGATTATACTCAGTAAAATACTTGGTTCTCAGCTCTCTTGATGCTAACCATTGCAGGAAGACAAAACAGCCCATGAGTCCACTGGCTTCTCCCCTAGTACTGGAGGCCACTCCCACTGTCTGCTTGACCTGAACACTCTTCCCTCAATAACTAACTTACCACATTTTTTTCTGCCAGCGAACCTTGACACCTTTCCCCCACAATGCAATGGATTCCCCACCTGGCCCATTAGTAAGTGCCAGTCAGCAAAACCCATCGTTGTTCTGGAAAGCAGGGAGTGGGGCTTCAGGCAGGCCAGACATGGGGGAAAGTTCTGAAAGATGATGAGTAGATGGGAATGCATTGAGAAAAATGCTTCAGAACCAAGGGACCTGAAGCCCCGCCCAAGGAACACAGTGTACTTCCAAACAAAGTGTTTCCCTGGAGCACCCCAGGGTAACAACAAGGTCAGAGGCAGTGGGACTGGGCCAAGGGGACCGTGGGCAGTGAATCACTGAAGGGTAGAACTTCTGTGCTAGGCTCCGCTTCTCAGAGGGACTGAGATGAAGGGGTTATGCTTACGATGGGGTAACATTTATAAAATGTTGAGTAAACTTGCCTGAGATCAGCTCTCAATAGAATCCTCATCTCATGATCTGTCTTGAGGGTGCACAATCTGAGACAGCCCCTCTCTCTAATTCACCATAATGCAAGCACAAGCAAAGCCTGAAAGAACAAACAGGTGACAATCAATCCTGTCTCTAGTTGGGATTCCAAGGTAAACTTCCCAGCCATGGGGGCATCAGAGCTGAGGGAAGAATGTTTACTGGGGAACTGTGGAGGTGAGAAAGGCAGGAACGTGAAGCAGAGAGGCAATATCCACGAGCTTCCTCTTTTCAAATATTATTTTTTCTGTATACATACACATACATATAAATTTGTGTGTATCTGTGTGTATCTGATGATATTCAAACTAACTCCATCTATTAATGTCTTCTATTAAACATTCAAAGTAAAGATGAAATACTGGATGTTTGATCTATTTCATCCAAGTGAAATGGATTTGGAGTTTACTTCTATTTCTGCTCATGGTTATAAGGAATACAAGAGGAAAAAGAATCATATATATTTATAATTCTGGAGATTCTTGCTAAAGATGTAGAATACTTGTAATTGGAGGGTCCTTTATGGTTTAATGGTGAGAAGGGATGGGGTATGCATGGCAGTGAGTACTGATATGTGGCCAAGGCTGTGGGGAAAACCACCCCTATAAAGCCAGGAGAAGGGTCAGAGGGGAGTCCAGGAGCAGAGAAGCCAAAAGCCGAAAGGCTTGGCAATGCATTAAGGAAAGAGAAAGATTTAAAAAGTGATTTATCTTCTGCATGGCCAAGAAGGAAGACCTAGGAAAAGTTGCTTTATGGAGACCTCCACTAACTATAGTGCCTTCACCCCTAACAAAATCTTCAGGAGACTCTCTATCACTGGCCACAGTTGTGGTGTAAGAGCATTCTTCTTGGAAGCATATATGGTGAGGTGGGGCAGGGCAGATAGTCAGGAACAATCCACACATACGAAGGAGGCATGGGAAAAACACCAAGCATGAACCAGCCCCTTCAGAAGACACATTTCAAGTCTAACTCTTCATGCGCCTGTTCCTCCCTCTTCCCACTATGCTGCTTCCTGGATTCTCACTTGCTTCAGCAGCAATTCTGTATTCATGGGGCCCTAGCCCAATGGTTCAGCAACTCCCCTTATCGACATGGATCCCAAGGCTAAAGCAGGAGACCCCTAACATGCTGGATGGCAGAGTTCCCAGAACTAAATCTCTATCACATGTAGTTTCCACATGGAAAGGAGGATTGTGACTCTCAACCTGGGGAATAGCCTGAGCTAGGAGACACATGAAGCCCGGAGATAGCCACAGAAAATTTATGCTGGAACATCAATTTCTCACAAAATATGTACAAAAAATTGTTGATAATTTTAACTGGTAATTTTAATGTTTAAAAATACTAAATGAAATGTGCATGAATTGTAGAAAAGTATGTAATTCATAAAGATTTCAGAAATACACTTTAAAATCTTGCTACTGGAAGGCTACTTTGGACTAGGTCCCCAGGACTTGAGGGAATGTACTTCTGATATTAGAAGAGGGATGATCTGGTTGAAAATTCTGAGAAATGCAATACCTTGGAGAAACATCCAATCAGAAGTTGGATGCTACAAGTTCTGTGCCTGTCCCTTAGTTATGTGAGGTTATTAATTGGCTTAATTCCTTTTTAAGTTAAATGAAAATAATGAATGTGCCCGTTAGACACCACATCTTGGGTCTGCTGAGATGAATACAATCCAGGCTGTGCTTCTCTGGGGGACACAGGCAAGTTAGCCTCTGTAGAAGCCACTGTCAGTCCTTGGACAACACTGGGGGTCCCTGCAGACTGTTTCAGGATATCTCTGCCTGGAAGCATCCTCTGGCTGAGGACAGTGCTTTGCTCAGAGTTTGAAGGGGCTGGAAGTGCCAGACAGTTTATGTTCCAGGAGCAGGCCCCCCAAAATGAGGCCCCACAGTTGGTAAATAAATGCACCAGCTTTCCTGCTCTTTACTGCCCTGAGGCGTGTCTTTCTCAGGCTATGCATGGGGTCCCAGTGGGATTGAGCCTCCATTGTGCATAGGCAGAACCTGCTCAATACCTCATCCTTTATAGATTTTCATCCCTCCACATATCCCACTCGTGGTTCCCAGGGTTGACTCCCACATCCACTGCTGTCATTAGGAATCCTTGTCTTAGGATTTGCTTTTGGGAAGGGGGGCAAACTAGGACAGAATCTGTCTGTCTGATACACTGTGAGAAGCTGTAACAGAAGTGCTGTGAAAAACTAGAAGTCCAAAGAGAAAATAACAAATTCCATGGGAGGGGCAAGAGATGGGGGGAGGGAGCAAAGATAATTTCCCAGAAGTGCCCGTATTGCTCAGCAAAGAATGGTGAGCTGGAGTTGGCCAGAAGGGTGCAGTGATGAGAAGCATACACAAAGCAGAGGGCAGAGCACACATGAGGCTATGAGGCCTAAGGACCCTTGCTTGGCCTGACAGCAGCAGGATCCTTTTGGAGACCATTTCTTTCATCTGCACAATGGGGCTATGGGGCCAAATAACCTTATAGAACCTGTTTGTCTCCAATACACTGTAATTCCAGTTCTAACTCTCATTCAGGGGAAGCAACTGGAGGCCAGGACTGAGGATGATCAACCTTGCCAAGAGTCCCTTAAAGAATTCTGTTCAGCAACATGAGCTTGGAGCAAAGGAGAAAGAAGGAGGGCAGGCAGGTGGCGGCCCTCTCCAAGGGGTCTGCTTTTAATTGAAGCCACATTGAGTGACAGGGCTTGGCTGACCAGAATGCACAGGGAGGGGTTGGCAGGGTACCCATGGCTATGCTTTCCAGGATGAAATTGAGTCTGGAAGAGGAGGAGAAGGAATCTGGTGGTAGGAAAGTGTATGAGAATGCCCATTTCCAAATGAAAAGCTTGTTTCCAAAAAATGAGTGAGTTAAATGGAATTATTAGCAGGAGCATAGACGACAGCTGTATCTGGAGGCTCTGGGGTATGCGGTGGGCAAAGATGGCTTCATACTGCTGTCCTTGGAGTGGTCCTCCCTCATGAAGGAAATACTGCCATGCTTGCGGAGATCTTGCCACGGTGGGTTTAATAGCCATGAGCCAAGGTGCAGAATTTATACAATATTGAAAAGGAAACTTCTGGGATTTATTCAGGTGCATGCCAGATGTTGTGCTGGCAGTGGCCCCTCAAGGAGTGACTCTTGGAAATCAACTGCAGACCCTGGAATCCCACACTCTTTTCCCCAGTTAACCCTTAGAAGACCACAGGGGCCAATCCTGAGATCATCCTTAGTCAAGAGGCGCTGGTGGTCATAGTATTTATTCAGTGTTGCTACCTGCAGAGCTATGGCCAGGGTACAACAGGCAACGTGTTAGAATTAGCATGAAGTATCTCCGTGCTGTAATAAATTTGTTCACTTGGTGAAGTAAGCCCTACATACGGGATAGATGGTTGGTGACAACCTGAATTTTGAAATTCATTTGACTATTTTGTAAGGTCTTCTATTTGGAAAAATGTCAAATGTGCCCCTGTGTTTTTAGAGTTTGACGTGTGTGGCTGCAGAGCTGGGACTGGAGGCTCACAGGGGGCAGGAACCATGCTTTAAGCCTCCTCTACTCTCTATCCTACTCAAAGGGCCCAGCGATGGATGCACACAGCAGGCACCTAATTGATGTTTTCTGTTGTGAAGTTCCTTAGGGGATCTCATGGGCTGCATGGCTCTGTTCATGTCATGTGACATCTCTGGGGCTCGGTTTTCTCAGCTGTAAAATGACTTTCCAGAGATGAAGTCTTCCCTTTACTCTCTATGAAACACACATTAAATCCAAATCTGTCCTGTGAAGGCAGCCACCATTGAAGGCAGACTGGGAGGGAGCACAGTTGGACTGGCCGTGAGCAGCTCTCCCACTTTTGCAGTCGGCCTAAGAGTGCTCCTTCTGTGCTGTCCTCATTTTATTTGGATGTGAGTCATTCAGCATGATCCCCATCCAGCCAAAATTACTACAAGGCAAGGATCCACTTGAAAACTGGCATCACTGACCACAGGAGAGGACATGGCACTATGATCTCAACAAAGCCCCTGAACCTTCATGTTTTGGGTAATGTTTGGAGCAAGTATTTGCCTTCAAGAGATACATAGGCCAGAGGAAAGTTCAGAGGATGCTCAGGTATTTGAAATAACAAGTAAAATAATCATTAGAATTGGAAAACCAAAAAAGGATTCTGTAACCGAAGAAAATTCTTTACCGTGCAACATTTGTCAAGGCAAAGCTATCTGAGGCTGGAAAATTCTGGTATGTTGTGGCATAAAGCCCTTGTGGCAAAATCAGAGTATATCACATCTATGGTTTTGTCTGTCCAGAACAGCCCTTCTTGTTTTTCAGGTAAAATGTTTACTCCTCCTGTTTACTTGTTTGTTGAGGTTGGAACTATCAATCATCATTCTCTGATACCCTGGACCCTGGTGGGCACCTGACCCAGGCTGACCCAGTCAGAGTTCTCTATGAGGACTGTAGCTGGAATCAATGTGGAGGGTCCTGTTTCCTCACTGGTCCCTGTAATGTGAAGAGGCAAGCCCCACGGTTCCAGAAGGAGCCATTACCCCGGCTTCACTCTGACAGTCGGCCAGGGAAAACGAGGCAAGCACCAGAGAGAAGCGGATGCAGGAAGCAGAGGACCGGTCCCCAGCCATCCTTAGGGCTGGCTCCACGTCCCCACCCAGCTCCACGTCCCCACCCACACTGCTTAGGGTTTTGGCTTCTGTTTTCATCTCTCCTATTTTTAAAGTCTTTTTCTTTTAATTGCAAATGAAAAAGGCTCCAGATCACATGTAGAGTATTCATAAATGAAAGAAGTCCTACTCTGTATGTATGTACACACCTTCCTCAGAGGTGCTGGAGCAGATGCTTGCTATTTATTGTGTTCCTAAGTGTCTAGTTTGTTCTGCCTCTGGCACAACTTGTGACTCTGACCTAGGAAGGCTGGAGGAGAAAAGTTAAGTGGGTTTGCTCAGGGAAAAAAGAATGTTGAACATGTTTCTGTGAATGAAAATTTTTTTGAAAAGGAGTTTGGAGAAAAGAGATTTTATTCTGGTGTACAGTCTGCAAACTGGGGACATGCAGCCTTCAGTGTAAAAACTAAGTTGTGTACCAGAAAGCGAAGGGAGAGCTCTGGTTTTCTACTGAAAGTTCCTGCCCAAGTTCCCAATCAGGTTCACCTATGCAAATAAACCCTGATTGGTCAAGGCAGCTGAGTCCTGATTGGTTGAGGCAGCTGAACAATGATTGGTTGAGAAAGGGCTCAGCTTCAACCGAGTCCCAAAGCTGAACACAAGTGTCGGTTTTCAGGGAACTCAAAGTGTGTGTGTGAGACATCTAGTCAGCAAATAGCTACTTGGCTTTATTTTAAATTTGGGCCCAGTTTACTAATATAACTCTATTTACATTTGGGATCCATCTTTATGAATTGGCTCTTTCAGGTTCATATTTAGTCACATCTTATAATGAAACAAACCGTCTCTAGAACGTATGCATTTGAGCACTCCAGTACTCGAGTATCCAAGGAAGGTGAACCAGCCCAGGAGTCCTGTAAACAGCCATCCTTCCAAGTCAGCACATAAAGTTGGAGGTGCAGCTTCAGAAGAAGGCTAGATCTGCCTTTACCCAGAACAGTGAGTGACGTTTGATAAAAATGAAGAAATAATGACAAGAGAAAATATTGTCTCAATTGTATCAGATTAACCGAAACCATTAACGTCAGAGCTTGATGGAACAATCACCCATCATTTTAAACAAAATGTGAGTCTACTTTGGTGGCTTCCCCATAGGCCCAGAGGGTGCTGGATGCGGATCTTGTCATTCATGTCCTTGAACAGGGAACATTTCTCATAAGATTTCCAACTGGCAGATATGGAGGGGAAGAGAACATTCAGCAAATTATAGCCAAGAAACTAAGGACAGAAGTGAGCCACCCACACCTGATTCTTAGCCCTTAATCTCCTAGATTCCTGAGATCTGAATCAATAAATATTTGAGGTTATGGCCGTTTTTTAGAACTTTTGCTTAAGCAACTTGTTTAAAGTTCAAGAAAGAAGCAAAGTGAATATTTCCCTATTAATGAAAATTCATATTAAAGATTTTGAAGGCTTTCCACTGTTTACAGAGTAAAGTCAGGACATTTCAGGAGGACCTGAGAGGCCTTTCATGGTACTGCTTCTTAGAATCCCCAGCTGTATCTTGTTAAATTTTATCTGTTTCCTGTTCTGCCCCTACCTCCTTTTGAGGGTTTACTCTTTAGAATACAGCAAAATAGGAAAATTCTCTGCTAATGGTGGAAATAGGAAGTAGTATAAGCACTTCAGAGGGCAATTTGGCTATCATCTAGTAAAGTTCATCTTCATGAGATACTCTGAGACCTACCCATCTCTCTTCCAAAAATAAGCCGTAGAGAAACCTCTGCCTTGCACAAGGAGGAAGGTATGAGAATGACCACTGAAGCTTTTAAAAAATACTTTAAAATACAATCCAAATGTTTATTCATTGGTAATGGATAAACAAATTGGGGATATGTTTTAACTACTACACAGTTGTTAAAATAAATACACTAAATCTACTTATTTTAGCATAGATGAATTTCTAACATCTAGTGTTGGGAAATAAAAGCAAGTTGAAAATATTATGCATAAAATAATTCCTTATTCATGTAAACTTTAAAAAACAGAAAGCAACACCATATACAATAGTTACTTACACATGTTATAAATTTTAAAATATGATTTGAAAAGATGCGAACCACCTTCAAGACAGAGGTCAGAGGTCTTTTTGGGTGAGAGAAGCCAGTGGGATGAGGGAAAGTTACTGTGCCAGCTAATATTGTACTTTTTTTAATGTTCAAACAAATATGGCACCTTTATTTTGAATATTAGTTTGAAAAATCTAAGTGTTGTTATGAGTGTTTGTAATATTAATCAAAAAACTATTTAAAATTTTTGAAATATTTGATAATTGTAAAAAAACTGTAAAAGAACTAAACAGATTTGATAGAACAGTAAATAGAAAAAGGCAGTGGTTGCAATATTAATATAAAATAATATAGAATTAAAAGGTTAAATCCTAAATGGAAAAACACTTTCATTTTGTTTCCACCTCCTATTTTAATTTGTATCTTCTCTGGCTAGAATTTTATTAATTTTTTAACCTTTTATTATATTGTATGTGTTTTTATATACCAGCTCACATCCTTTGTAGAATGAGGCACAATATAAATGAACAAACAAGACATCCAACTCTTTTTATATCGGCATAATTGAAACAAGTCTGACATTAATCCTAGTGCTTTTGAAGTGTGTTATATAACTTCTACCATCATTTTTGTTGTTTTAATGATGTAGAAAGGATCATTGTCCCTCCTGGCTAATGGATAAATCTTTCCAGACACTTAGGATACAGTCAGCAAATCTTTTATCTAAACATGGTAAATATTTTAGGCTTTACCAGCAGGAAGGTCTCTGCGCAACTTGATGCTGCTGTTGTTGTGGGAAAGTGGCCATAGATAATATGTAAATGAATGGGTGTGGCTGTTTACTAATATAGCTTTATTTACAAAACCAAGCATCAGGCTGAGTTTGACCAAGAGCCCGGATTTACCACCTCTGAATTAGGACATAGGACCCTCCGAGGGATTTTACAAGCCATTCTGAGGAACATTTTGGGTCTTGTGCTCAAGGAAATGGCTTCTTCAAGGATTCCACAAGATAAGTTATACCCTCAGTTCTTTGCTTTACATGGACAAGAGCTTTGACCTCCAAAACTGGGTGAAATGAGACATTTGCTTTTATTTGTTTTTATTTTAAGCAGCTCTTCATATGTATAATTTCCTTTTGCCCCATTGAGAAGAGTACATTATAATTTCCAGAGAATTCAAACTTTCTTTTCAGTTTTTAAATCTGTGACTTGGATACATCTCAGGGAAATTCTGCCCAAGAACCAGTGGAGACCAAACTGGGATGAGAAGACACATTGACAGTGATTTACCCAAGATGGGGTTTATTTAGTAGCACCAACTGCCAGTCCTTCCCATACAGATGCCTATGGGGCAGACAGATAGGAAGACAGCAAGCCACTCACAAATATGAATAGAAAGGGAGAAATGCTCGTTCATTCCTTGTTTCTTTTATTCATTTCACCAATATTTACTGAGCACTTACTATGGTCCAGACCATGTTGGGCATTGAGGATATGAAGCGAACAAGACAGTCGTTGTCTTTCCCTTATAGGACTTACACCAGTATCTCTGCTCTAGGGATTTGGATAGAGAGTGTCAAATATGAAAACATGCCAGGGGGCTCATTTAGTCAGCAGTTTTTACCCAGATTAATGGCTGATCAGAAAAGAAAGGCCAAAGCACAATTCAGCTAGCATATACATAAGCCACAAATGTAACAATTCAAAGCCATCTAATGGACATGAACACCAAAATGTGAGGATTTGAGCATACTAAATAAATTGTTAATTCTACTGTAGAAACTCCTTCTATCTGGAATTCAAGGAGAACTTTTACTTAAATATTAGTAGAAATACTTTTATGATTATTGCTTAATGTATTAGCATACCAGCTGACCTCAGGCAATTTGGTCATGCAAAACTCTTTTTTGTTTTGTTTTGTTTTTGTTTTTGTTTTGGTAGAAAATGGCAGCTTTTAAAGAGGTTAGAGGTGGCTGAGCATTCACTTCTCCCCCTACAATCTGGCTAGTAGACTCTAAGGAAAGCTAATTTCAAAGAAAATTCTGACACATCCAGCTCTTTTCGGTTGAGGAGTTATTATCAAGCAAGCACAGAAGCAGCTCATACAACTTGTTCTGTGAGCTCACTGAAGTCTCAGGCTTCTGTCCTGTTAGGTGTTCAGACCTTGCTTGGAAGGTCACTTGAGATAGACACCCGCAATTCCACAGAGGGGCTTCTGCTAACCGTGTGGACAGCTTCAGGCAGGCAGAGCCCTGGGGATTCCTAGCTGGACACAGAACCATAAAAAGATCAAGATTCAGGCAAAATCACCAAATATCATTGATCCTTTGGTTGTTTACACCCTGTTATAATACAGGGGAGTATTTCCATAATATTTTAGCCAATCCACATACTTTGATTACCTTCAATTTCACCAAAAGAGGACACTTTTAAGCATGCATCAGCTTATTAACAAGCCACAAGTTTAACCCAAATCTGCATGCTAATCAGACAAGCCAAAGTAAGATACAGATAACAGAAGCTCTGCAATACTTGTTCCAGCAGAGGGGTTTCCTCTCTCACCTGAGGCAAGTGTGCCTGCCTGGTTGAATTCTGTGAGGGCCTGAGTTTTAGCTCAACCCAAGTAACAGGCATGTAATCCCACAGTGTCTGTGCTGCAGTATTTAAAGTAAATTGCAAGTGATAAAATAGTCAAGGAAGCACTATTATTACTTGCTATTACTTATTAATAATAAAATTAGTATTAATTACTATTATGGATTACTATTTATGTTTTAGTTACTTATTTATGCAAGTACTGATAATTTGGGGAAAACTGTATTGTTTTAAGTGAAAGTGAGAAGATAGGGCATAGTAGTAACCAAACGAAAGGAAATAACCATTAAGAAACCCTTCACACAGAGATAGATAGATAGATTGGTAGATAGATTGATTTACTTTTTTTTTTTATTATACTTTAAGTTCTAGGGTACATGTGCACAATGTGCAGGTTTGTTACATATGTATACATGCTCCATGTTGGTGTGGTGCACCCATTAACTGGTCATTTACATTAGGTGTATCTCCTAATGCTATCCCTCCCCCGTCCCCCAACCCCATGACAGGCCCCGGTGTGTGATGTTCCCCTTCCCGTGCCCAAGTGTTCTCATTGTTCAATTCCCACCTATGAGTGAGAACATGCGGTGTTTGTCTTTTTGTCCTTGTGATAGTTTGCTAAGAATGATGGTTTCCAGCTTCATCCATGTCCCTACAAAGGACATGAACTCATCCTTTTTTATGGCTGCATAATATTCCATGGTGTGTATGTGCCACATTTTCTTAATCCAGTCTATCATTGATAGACATTTGGGTTGGTTCTAAGTTTTTACTATTGTGAATAGTGCTGCAAGAAACATATGTGTGCATGTGTCTTTATAGCAGCATGATTTATAATCCTTTGGGTATATACCCAGTAATGGGATGGCTGGGTCAAATGGTATTTCTAGTTCTAGATCCTTGAGGAATCGCCACACTATCTACCACAATGGTTGAACTAGTTTACAGTCCCACCAACAGTGTAAAAGTGTTTCTATTTCTCCACAGCCTCTCCAGCACCTGTTGTTTCCTGATTTTATAATGATTGCCATTCTAACTGGAGCGAGATGGTATCTCATTGTGGTTTTGATTTGCATTTCTCTGATGGCCAGTGATGATGAGCATTCTTTCATGTGTCTGTTGGCTGCATAAACGTCTTCTTTTGAGAAGCATCTGTTCATATCCTTTGCCCATTTTTTGATGTGGTTGTTTTATTTTTTCTTGTAAATTTGTTTGAGTTCTTTGTAGATTCTGGATATTAGCCCTTTGCAAAAATTTTCTCCCATTCTGTAGGTTGCCTATTCACTCTGATGGTAGTTTTTTTGCTGTGCAGAAACTCTTTAGTTTAATTAGATCCCATTTGTCAATTTTGGCTTTTGTTGCCATTGCTTTGGTGTTTTAGTCATGAAGTCCTTGCCCATGCTTATATCCTGAATGGTATTGCCTAGGTTTTCTTCTAGGGTTTTTATGGTTTTAGGTCTAACATTTAAGTCTTTAATCCATCGTGAATTAATTTTTGTATAAGGTATAAGGAAGGGATCTAGTTTCAGCTTTCTACATATGGCTAGCCAGTTTTCCCAGCACCATTTATTAAATAGGGACTCCTTTCCCCATTTCTTGTTTTTGTCAGACTTGTCAAAGATCAGATGGTTGTAGATGTGTGGTATTATTTCTGAGGGCTCTGTTCTTATCCATTGGTCTATATCTCTGTTTTGGTACAAGTACCATGCTGTTTTGGTTACTATAGCCTTTTAGTATAGTTTGAAGTCAGGTAGCATGATGCCTCCAGCTTTGTTCTTTTGGCTTAGGATTGTCTTGGCAATGTGGGCCCTTTTTTGGTTCCATATGAACTTTAAAGTAGTTTTTTCCAATTCTGTGAAGAAAGTCATTGGTAGCCTGATGGGGATGGCATTGAATCTATAAATTACCTTGGGCAGTAAGGCCATTTTTGATTTACTGATAGATGATAGATAGATCCTACTAAATAAATATGGGTTCTAGGCAGGGTGGTTTGCAGTGGCTGTACCTAAAATATGACAGCATTAAATATTAATAGAGGTATCATCTTCATAAGTCTACCTGGAACGATGGAAAATCTGAACCTAAAGCCACTTCCTGTTAGTCAATCTTTGTCCTATAGCAAAATCTGAAAAAGCATAACCAGACAAATAAGTTGTGTAGTGAGTTCTTGTTGTGTGTTCAATGCTTCACCTCCACCTCCTCATCGGTCTGCTCCACAGCTTCGCATGGCTGGCAAGCACCTCGGTGCCCACGGAGGAGCTGGGCAGGTACTGAGCTCTCTGCAAGGCCATCCAGTTGGTGAACCACTGAGCTGGATTACAACCTGGTCCATGCGACCCTAAGCCCACGGTCTTTCTATTCTACAACACTGAGTTTCTGACAATTCTTGGCAAGTAAGGGGACAGCCAAGCTTACCTATCTTTTCTGAGGCCATGTGTGGGTGTTGGCCATGACATGCATGTTTCTGTGATGCGTATTGCTCCTGTAGATGTTCCAGGTGTGTTTGCAGGTCCCCTGATCATGTGAACTGGTTCCAAGGCCAGCTCCATGTCCTCCCAGAGTCATGGGTATTTGAACTTAGAATATGGTAAATGCTCAATGTTTTGCAAGAGATCAGTCAATTAGCAAGTTTGCCATAGATCTTTTTGTTCCCTTAAGTTATCATTTCTAAGCCCTTTCTCACAGGGGATGAGCTCATTATTTCTGGGAAGATTGAAATTTACCATTTTTTATTATGAACTTTATCAACTTCCTTTATTTCCAGTTCAGATTCTATTATTACTGACCCCTTCTTTGCCTGCCATATTTGAGGATTAACTTCCTCTTTCCTTGTCAAAGTGAACTCTTTGCCCTTGAACTCAGCTGTCTTTCCTTTTTAGGACCATGATCTATTTGTATTAGTGTTCATTCTTCAATCTTCATTTTTCTTTTGGATCCTTCTCCTCGACCCTCAAAAGATGATGGCTCCTGTTATAAAGCAGGATTCCTTCTACCCTGTGACTTCCTTCCCCTGTTTTCCCCTCTCTAGTCTTTCTGTCCCTACACATTTTGCTGTCACCCTTCCCGAGGGCTGGTGCTACGTCTCACTCACTCATGATCCTCCACTTTCCCATCCCCGCTCAGGTCACCAAATTTAGACTGAAGATATTCGATAGGCAACTTTGCTTTTGTGCTTCCTTGAATTTAGCTTTTCTGTTATATCAACTTTTAAAAATGAGTTTGAACAGCTCCAAAAGGGAGGGCATATGTATGGCTTGTTCACTGCTGTAGAGTCAGCGTACAGTAAATGTGTGGTCAACATTTGTTGAATAACGTTGTATTCTTGTAATTTTCCATTTGTTTGTTTCCCCATCTTTGCATTATGAGCTTCTTGAATATGGGGGCTATATTTTATTTACCTGTATATTTCCAGCACTTGGCAACCACAACCCACCAGGTGCTCCAGGAGCTCTATTCATGTATATGAAAAGCTCTATATGCCCTTTTAGATGTGTTGAATTCCACATATACATTAGTCTAGTTACTGCTTCAAAAAAGAAATTAGCTTGGCAAGACTTGCTGTTAATGAACACATATTGAGTCTTATACAAAAGTACTTTCTTTACCGATACACTATTTTTTTAAAAAAATCACACTATAAAGGCATCCTTTTAAATAACTGCATAATATTATCTCACAAAAATACACCATCACGGGTGCAGCAAACCACCATGGCACGTGTATACCTATGTAACAAACCTGCACATTCTGCGCATGTATTCCTTGAACGTAAAGTATAATGAAAAAAATATGCCATCACTAATTTAATGCCTATTGTTGAGCATTGAGGTTGCTTTAAATTTCCCTTGGTTTTAAAATCACATTCATGAACATCCTTTATATAAATCCTTGACAATCTCTGATTGTTTCTTTAGAATACATTGCTTAAGGGTGACTTATTTCATTAATGAGCACTAAAGTTTTAAGGATAGAAAGATTGTATCAATTTACATTCTCATCAGCAGAGAAGGAGAATGTGCATTAGAATGTACCTTTACTTTGATTTATTTTTAATCACTAGTGTAATAATTTGTTGATTTTAAATAAGCAATTTTATTATTTAAATCAGCAGAAAATTGTTGAATAAAATACTGGATAAGAAATGAAAAGAAAAATCATCAAAGTAAGACTAAAAAACAACTAAATTGTTACCAAATATGTAAATAGTTGGTACTGTGAAACAGTATTCCCTGATTGCTTTTCCCATTTGTTCAACTGTTGCTGGCAGTGATGACGCAACCTTGCAGGGGCTTCCTTGACGCTCCTGGGAACAGGAACACGTGGCTCCTTGAGAGCAGAACTTTCCTGCTTTGCTCCCTTCTGGATTCGCAACACTAACATCATACTTGACAACTGGTAGGCACTCAGTAAGTACTTGTTTAGTGAATGAATTAATGAAGGAGAGTAATAAGGAAGCCTGTGTCCCTTCTTCCTCTCTGTAGATCCCAGTCTGGGCCCTGGGAATCACAGGACAGGGAGAGTCAGACATCATGTTTGGTGCTTTCAAAGCCGCTTATAAACCTGAAGTGTGGCCAGCTGCTCTTCCCTGTGGCCAGCTCAGGCCATGAGTGGTCATGATCACAGAGGAGGCCACATGACACTTGCTCCAGTGTGTGGTGGCTGAGCCTGCATGGGAATGCAGAGCTCCTGGAGCTGTGCCTGCAGGGACACACGGTGTACATTTAAAAATTAGAAATAAAGAGCTAAAAATGTACTATAAATTAAACAGCAACAACAATTTGAGCACCAGACAGAATTTCTATCTGGTGACAGAAAGTAATCTCTATTACAGAAATTTATAGACAAGAGGAATCTTTGTACTGGAGAAGAGGAGCTGAGATTGATACCGGAAATATGGCCTGGTACACAGTAGATAATGTACACACACACACAGGCACACACACATGTACACACATACACACTTGCACATGCAAGTACACATGCTGAATCAATGGCTGCCTAAGTGATGGATGAATGGTGATGTCTAGATAGAAAGACAGAAGGAAAAAGAAAAGTACTCCCTTATTTCCCTTATGTGGAAATAATATGAAACACTTATTAGATATACTGGACAACAAGAGAACTAAGTACTCTAACTCTACTGTGCATTACAAAAAAAATCATCCCTTCACCACAGTGTAAGATTTAATGGCGACCTGCCCAAGGATGCATGTTAAATAAAACAGCAAGATTGCTGCTGCCCTGCCAAGTACTTCCAATCCATACTCAGGTCCTACTGAAATATAGGTGGTCCCAATTAGTTTTATTGAAATAAATCTTTAAAGAAAAAGATAAAGCATTTTAAAAGACAAGTCAAAATGCATCAGGAGCCACATATCCAACAGAAACTTTATCCTCAAATGAGTTATGTTTGCCTCGCACTAATATCTTTTATTTCACTCAAATTAGAGCAATAATCTTCCATACCTAAGTATCTTCCCTGCCCAATAATTCAGAGAAAAAAAATCCAAAATGATTAGTAAAGAAAAATATATGAATTAACAGACCCTTTAAATTTGTTTTAAATATTTTGAAGATTTAAAAAGTGTTTAAAATTCTCTTTCCTAGTCAAAAATTGCCCAACTCTGTGTTTGCTTTCTGCTTGTTACATTTTTCTCCCTTACTTTTCTTTTGCTAAAGACAGGCTTTTTCCACCAGCATCATCACTGCTATCATCATTAACAGCGTAATTATACAAGCATATTTAATGCTGAGTTTAATTTAATATGTAATACATATGGTAATTGTAGGGTAATACCCACAACAACTGTAGTTTCTTACTTGGCCAAGAGAAAGCTTATTTAAGTGTTAGACTTCCATTCTGGCAAAATCTTGCCATATCAGAAGACATTGGAAAGAGGGATTCCCCTTGGTGTTTGGTCTTCTACTTAGAAAATACTTATTGCAGTTAGTTTATCTTCTAGTATTCATCTTTGTATTCTGAAGATAATAAGGTTTGAATTAAATTGATATACACAGAGCGGAACCAGTTATTTTTTATCCAATGTGAATCATAAATGAGATAATCCACAGTTATTCATTGTGGAATTGTTGAGACTATGAAAGACTCATTATCTTTGTATTCAGCTCTTCCTTAAATAGTGTAACCATACCCCCACCTCTGCTTGCTTTCTCTCCCTCCCCTCCAATGATAAAGAAAATGATAAATTTTCTGTTGTGCATTCAATTCTTATTTTAAATAAGACTAAGTATAGGCATTGTAACTGACATTGCTACATTTCTACCAATGTTTCAATTTAAAGTGCTAGTGTTTAAAAACATTTTCAAGGGATAAGACCTTCCGTACTTTGTTTATTTGAAGAATCAGTGGTAGGAGCAGCGAAGTAAATTCTATGGAGTACATTTCTAAAATAGCACCTTTCTGAAATTGTAAATAAGTTTATTCAGGTTCTAACCCTTTGCTGTACACAAGCAGACAGAAATGCATCTGTTACATAAATGAGAAAAAGCTATTATGCTGATGGAGCATGCTTTTTAAATCCTTTGAAAACACTCACCATATAAACTTGCATTTGAGCTTGTGTGTTCTTTTTGTTAATGTGTAGAATTCTCTGTTCTCGAAATTGCCAGTGTGTCCTTGGCTTAACTCAAGAACAGTTTCTTCTGGACTCCTTATTTGATTTATTTAACCTAATTATATTCTGATATTGCAAATATTACCATAAGTGGGTAAAAGTAAAATTCCTCTTCTGAAAAAAAAAAGGAAGACAGAAGGAGAACCGCACAGTCCTCACCCGCAAAGGGCAGAGTCTTGATGTTGGGCGCCTTTACAGTACCGCCTCAAACAGAAGTTTAATGTTGCACTGCTAGTCTGAGTCAAGATTAAGACTGAATTACCATGGAAGCATTTCCATCCCCACCACCACTAACCATCACAGTCACATTCACGGTCACGCTACTGTAGATCCATCCATGCATCCCATGGCACAACAGGTGCCTGGGGGTGACCACATAGACCAGCAGCCCCACCACCAGCCCTGGCCCCACCACCAGCCCACAGAGATCTCTCCACCCCTCTGTGCTTCCAGCTCCAGCTGTCTTGCTGCCATGGCACTGGGCTGTCCCACTTGGATGTCATTTTCACTGAGGGATGAGGGGAGGGGTGGGGCTGGCCATGTTGTCTCAAGACACACATCCCGTGGGACACTTGGGTTTGGCTCCTGCCATGAGCCCTCTTCCCACTCTGTGCAACACTATCCACTGGCACTCAGTTTGAGGAGCTAGGACCTTTTACCTCTCTCTCTCTCTTTAGTCTGATGTGCCTTTCAGCCCCTCCTGGCTGAGTTAATGGGGACATCTGTTACCTCAGGACCTTGGAGAGAATGGCACTACAGAGAAGATCACAGGGAAGAGAAGAGGACCTCATAAATCACGCCTGTGTTTGTGTTTCTCATTTGGCATGGTTCTGGACTACTGCAGGCAGAATGGAGTGCATTTTCTGTTGGGGATGTCAGATATGAGATGAATACTAGGAACAGAGGAGAGAAAGAAACATCCTATCTTCTTGCAGACAAATCAGAGCAGATGGGGATCTAGGCAGCTGCTACCTTTTCTTTGTTTTTCAAATTACTTAATCAAATTTATTTTAAATCTCTTTAAATTCATTCCATTTAAAGCTTCCAAAGCAGGTTGAAAAAGGGAAATTTGTGCAGGAAAGGGCCTTGAGTTGAGTTAGAAATGGGAAATTGTGTCCTAAGCCTCCACTCTAAGTCTACTTTAGATGAGTGGATTTCAAATGCATTCCCAGAAGCAAACCTTTGGAAAAATCCATGCTCTGCAAACAGGTCTCCTATACACAGCTCTGACACTGGCCATCTTCCATCTGGCAAATAACATGTTCTGAAAGTTTCTGGGCACCACTTCCATGGATGGCTCTAAGGGAGGGGAAGCAGCAGCAGTAACAGAGGACACCAGCAAATGGGAAGAGGGAATATGAGGTGCCCTTGACCTTGGAGCTCACAAAGCATGTTGAGAATGTAAGAAGCAGAGAAGGAATCAGAAGATGTGAATCACGTGGGAAAGGGAGATGTGGAAATGAGGCTAGAAGTGGAGTAGGCTTCTGAAAAATGTCAGCTGTGGTGTTGGTGAAATGTGGGCCCTAGGAGCAGCAGAGCTTCCAGCTGAAATGTATCCTGGGCTACCAGCTGTCAATCATAGGTCCACATTACTACAGTGGCCCCAGTGAAGTGAAAGAAGAGGGAAAGGCACCATGTGCCACGATTGGCCACGATTACTTGTCTCTATTGAGACAAGAACAACCACAACACAGGACTGGGTGAGAATTCACCAAGATGATCCAAGCAAAACACAAAAGTCAATACCTAACTCACAAGCTCCTCCAGCAATTTCCAAGCACAGTGTCAGTGTCCGAGCACTCATTCATTTATTCACTCAACAAACAGTTACTCATGGCCCATTGTGTGCCAGGCACCATTTGAATTAGCAGGGCAGTGTATTGGACTGAATGTTTGTGTCCTTCCAAATTTCATATGTTGAAATCCTAACTCTCAATGTGCTAGTATTCAAAGGTGAGGCCTTTGGGAGGTGATTATGTCATGTGATGGTTAATACAAAGTGTCAATTTGATTGGATTGAAGGATGCAAATATTGTTTCTGGGTGTGTCTGTAAAGGTGTTGCTAGAGGAGATTAACATTTGAGTCAGCAGACTGGGAGACACACACCTACCCTCAATCTGGGTGGGCGCCGTCCAATCAACTGGCAGCACAGCTAGAAAAAAGCAGGTGGAAGAAGGTGGAATACGCTGGCTTGCTGAGTCTTGTGGTTGTGGTCTTTCTCCCATGTTGGATGCTTCATGCCCTTGAACATCGGACCCCAGGTTCTTTGGCCTTTGGACTCTTGGACTTATACCAGTGGTTTGCTGGGGGCTCTTGGGGCTTTGGCCACAGATGGCTTCAGCCACAGATGGCTTTGCACTGTTGGCTTCCCTACTTTTGAGGCTTTGGGGCTTGACTGAGCCACTACTGGCTTCCTCACTCCTCAGCTTTGCAGACGGTCTATCATGAGACTCCACCTTGTGATCATGTGAGTCAATTCTCCCTAATAAACTCCCCTTCATATATACATATATCCTATTAGTTCTGTCCCTCTGAAGAACCCTGACTAATACGGGTCATGAGAATAGAGCCCCCATGAGTGGGATTAATGCCTTTATGAGACCGGAATGAAATTGGATCCTTATCTTATCCAAGTATGTGATAAAGGGTTAATACCCAAAATTTGTAAGAAACTCTTATAACTCAACTGCAGAAAATAAAATGGCCTGATTAAAAATGGAGCAAGGTCGAGACCATCCTGGTTTTAGTAGTGAAACCCCGTCTCTACTAAAAATACAAAAAAATTAGCCAGGCGTGGTGGTGGGCGCCTATAGTCCCAGCTACTCAGGAGGCTGAGAGAGGAGAATGGCGTGAACCCAGGAGGCAGAGCTTGCAGTGAGCTGAGATTGCACCACTGCACTCCAGCCTGGTCAACAGAGTGAGACTCCGTTTCAAAAAAAAAAAAAAAGGACCAAGGACCCGAACAGACATTTCTCCAAAAAAGATATAAAAACAGCCGATAAGTATAGGAAAAGGTGTCCAAGATTACTAATCATAAGGGAAATGCAAATTAAAATCACTATGAGATATTATGTAATATCTCTGACTCTCTGAAATAGCCAAGCTGTAAGGATGGCTATTATCAGAAAGGCAAGAGATAATAAATGTTGGCCAGGGTATGGATAAAGCCCTAGTACATGGCTGGTGGAAGTGTAGATTGGTACAGCCATTATGGAAAACAGCATAGAGGTTCCTAAAGAAATTAAAAATAGAGCTGCCGTAATACCCAGCAAGCCCACTTCTGGCTATATATCTGATGACATCACCATCTTCTAAAGGTATCAACATTCCCATGTTTATTGCAGCATTAGGTGCACTACCTCAATGCCCATCAATAGAGGAATGGATGAGGAAAATGTGGTATATACACATACACAGGGATATAATTCAGCCTTTAAAAAGGAGATTCTGCCATTTGCCACAACATAGATGGACCCGGAGGACATTGTGCCAAGTAAAATAAGCCAGACACAGAAAGAAAAATATGGCATGATCTCACTTATAGATGGAACGTTTTTTAAAAGCTCAAATACGCAAAGAATGAAACAGTAGTTACCACAGGTGGTGGTAGGGGCGGGGTGGGGGTAGAAGAAATGGGAAGATATAAATGAAAGGATATAAAATAGCAGATATGTAGTATGGCATGTCTAGGGACCCAATGCACATCCTGGGGACTAAAGTTAATAACACTGCATTGCATTAGAGATTTTTGTTAAGTAAGTAGATTTTTGCTGCTCTTGCCACAAAAAAAGTAACTAAGTGAGATGACAGGTTAAACTGCTTCACTGTTGTAACCATTTTACTGCGCCTATCCCATAACATCATGTTGTAAGCCCCAAATATGCATGATAAAATTTATTTAGAAGAAGCAGCAGCAGCAGTGGCCAGAGAGCTAGCTAGCCAACTCCTTTTGTGCCGTGGAAGATACAGTGAGAAACTGGCAGTTTGTTTCTTGGGAGAGGGCCCTCAACAGAACTGGACCAAATAAAACATACATGTCAGGAAATAAAATGTGCTATGAATGAAAGTGAAGTAAGGCAAGTGAGAAGAAGTGGTGGGAAGCTCTACAGGACAGGTCCTGAGATGCCACAGGGCAATGCCATTTGTGCAGAGACCAGCATGAATGGAGGGGCTTCTGTGGGTGGAGGATTCCAGGCAGAGGGAGCAGCCCTGCAAAGTCCTGGGGGAGGCAAGTCTGATGTCCTTTAGGAGCGGCAGCGGGGCAGGTCCTGGGGAAGTGGAGGGAGACAAGGAAGGTCTGAGAAGTCAGTGTGGCTTCTCAGAGGTTGATGTGATATTTAGGGACCTGGTGGCCACTGTAAGGACATTCAGTTTTATTCTATAGTGAAGCTGGAAGTCATTGAGAAGTTTGGGCTGGGATATCACATATCCTGACCCCTGTTTTCAGAGGAGCAGTTTGGCTGCTGCATGGACATCAACAGTGGTGGGTGAGGGGCCTGGAGGGAGAAGCAGAGCCACCTGCCATGGTCCAGGCAAAGGTGGTAAAAGTGATGGCACTTGGTGAAAGCAGGCAGAATTTCCTGCTGTATTTTGGATGAGGAGGGTGAGGAAAAGAGTTAAAGAGACCCTCAGAAGTGGAAAATGCTGGGCACGGTGGCTTACGCCTGTAATCCCAGCACTTTGGAAGGCTGAAGTGGGCGGATCACCTGAGGTCAGGAGTTTGAGACCATCCTGGCCAACACTGCAAAACCCAGTCTCTACTAAAAATACAAAAGTTATCTGGGTGTGGTGGCAGGTGCCTGTAATCCCAGCTACTTGGGAGGCGGAGGCAGGAGAATCGCTTAAACCCGGGAGAGATCGCGCCACTGCACTTCAGCCTGAGCAACAGAGCCAGACTCTGTCTCAAAATAAATAAATACATAAATAAAGTGGAAATGTCATTTATTGAGATGAGTAATCCCGAAGGTGTGGTGGGTTTAGGATCTGGCAATAATACTCCTATGCTAACAGCCAGGTACTAGAGTGGAGCTCACCCTTCCAAGGCTTCCTTGTGTTATTCCAGAGCTGGGCATGGTGAAAGGCGGCAAGTTACTGCTTCCTTCCCCTTCAGCCTCTGTAATTAGCACCTTCATTCCAAAACATTACTGTATATTTGACTTACCAGGATAAATTGTTAAAAACAGATTCCAGAGGCCAGCAGAAATTCCCATTCAGTAGGCCTGGGGAGGTATTCAGAAGTTGAGTGCTTTTTATTTTTTTTATTATATTATTATTATGATATAAAACAGGGTGTTGGTCTGTTGCCCAGGCTGAAGTGCAGTGACACAATTATAGCTCAATGCAGCATTGAACTCCCAGGCTCAACCTTTCCTCTTGTCTCAATCTCCCGAGTAGCTACAGGCATGAGCCACCATGCCTGGCTAATTTTCTTTTTTAAGTTTCTTAGAGACAAGGTCTCACTATATTGTCCAGGCTGGTCTGGAACTCCTGGCCTCAAGTGATCCTCCTGCTTTGTCCTCCCAAACTGCTGGGATTGCAGTCATGAGCCACCATGCTTGGCCTTTGAGTGTTTTTTAGCAACCACCCAGGGGAAGCTGATGCAGGAATCCAGGGACCACACTCTGAGAAGTCCCATCATGGAGGGGATGCTCCTGATGGTTTTGCTGTTGTCAAAAACAACCTGAAGGACACATATCTCCTGGGCTGCTGAGGTGACCCCATCAGCCATCAGCTGGTCTCTCCTGGATCACCCATGACAGACAAAGATCCCACAGACAACGAGATCCTGTGTAAGAAAGGAATACATAGATGCAGTCCGGGCCAATGCCTGGAACACATCCTTCCAAGCCTCGGGCTAGTATGTGGAGGTGGTGGGAGCAAGCCCGGCAACACCTCTCCATTGTTAACCCACCAAAGTGCCAAGCCAAGAGAGGAGTAATCATGGGGTTTGTTGATGACATACACTGAAGACATCCTTCAGGGTCTCTTAGATAACTGCTCTAACTTTTCTAATCAGCAGGTATTTGAAGATTGTGGGGCATAATAAAAACCTCTAATAAGGCCCTTTTATTATCCATATATCAACCAAGATGAGTGCAGTAATAATCACATCTGGTAAACCGTATGTAACCAGTGACATTGCATGGGATGGTAGTAAGTACAAAAACGGTTTCAACTGTAACCAGACAGTGGAACTGTGCATCATTTAGGGAGTTCTCATACACAGACATTCTTCCTCTGGCCTGATCCTATATGTTAGAAAATGCTATATATGCAATGTGTGTTCCATAGCAATGCATGAGCGATGCTCATTAAAAATACAGATTCCCAGGCTCTAGGTTGGATGTTTTGAACATTTGAAAATTACAGAGGCTCTGTAATTTTAAACCAGCTTCCCTGCAGTGCCAGACTTAAGCACTACTGATACAGGTTTTTTCTAGATGCTCTACTTGAGACATGACTTAGAAAATATAGCAGCTAGCTTTGGATATATAAATGCAACTGTCTCATCTTTTATAAGAAGCTGGTTCATGTTGGAGGATGACTTAAAAGCATCCAGCAATTCTTCCTCTACCTAACCCTTCCTTATCAAGATGAGATGATACTATGGATCACTGCATGGACTATTTTGTAATTTAATTGTCATAAAGAGGTAAATACATGATTTGCGTCAATATAAAAGTCTCTCATGGTAGTAGCAGAATATGCTATGTATGGAATCTCCAGATCGGATCATCGTGAGGCATCAACTTCAGTATAATTCTCCAGGCTTGTAGGCTGGTGTGAGTCATAATCTTTAATCATAAGAAACCAAGGCTGAATTATCTACAGCAATATTGGGAGGCCAGCACCTTAGAAAAGATTGGGTTCAAATTGTGAGTAAAAGGAGGCAAAGATAGTTTTGTAACTGCATGAACTGTAGACAATAATAATAGTTTCTTGGTAAATATGTACAAACTCCCTTTTTGGGGGGTACATGGCTCTAGAACAAAACACCTCTATGACTCATTGGCACGTGGCATTTAAGAGACAAGCACAGTTTCAGAATGTGAAATCGCCATGGTAATGCTCTTCGTAACATACTGGCTCAGGCAGAGAATGGCACAGACTTAACTTTCTGGAATATAAGCCGCCTGCTGTTGACATGGAAAGCCTCTGAACATCTTTACTAGGGAGGTTGTAAAGATGATTAGAAATGTCTGCTGATCCTGGAAGTGAAGCATCACTTGAAACTCTCCATTTGCCTTTTGGAGGTGACTAGGTATGCACTGCATAGAGATTACCTTGGGCTGCAGAACCTTACCAACCTCAGCACCTGTGGAGGGGTGCTGGGGGTTCCTAGTTCCCATTTTCCTCTCCACTCTGTCCCCACCCCATGCCACACCGCCGCAGTAACTGATTCTGATGCCAGACTCACTGGAGTCTTTCTGAATCTCTCATTTCACTGATCCACTTCAGACATAATACCTTACATTTTAAAGATTTTGAATTGTTGTATAACATACCTGAATAAACCACCCTCTTGATCTTTAAATGTTGGAGAACCCTGCAGCTCGGCTCTGGGCCTTCTCTCTTTCTATTCTCTTGCTTTGTGACCTCTTGCATGGTTATAGCTTCAATTACCAACTATGTGAATCTTTCCTGAATTTTATTCTAACTGTGCCAACCTAGTATTTCCACTTTTTCAGGCTTCTGAGATTGAACATATCTCATTAGAAGGATAGCTGTAGGGTTTTCTGCAGGAAAGTTTTGGTTCATAGCTACATGAGACTTTCCAATGACGTCCCCTGGGTAGTCTTTGTCCTAAAAAAGAATAACAGAATCTTGGGAGGAAAATTGTGGGTGGGAATGCCCCGATGATGGATTCTCTAATCATGTGTATGTTACCCAAGTTAACTTCCATCCTGCCATCAAGCTGGGATTTGGTGCCTGTGGAAATATTAAGAGTATCTGGAGCCACCTCCTCAAAATCATGATGCTTCTTTTGCCTCTTAAAATAATCTACAGAAATGGCAATGAAAATGAGAGTAGATGCATAAAGAGAAAAAGTTCTGGCGAGAGTTCCAGGTACCTTACATGGAAGCAGCTGGGTAAACAGTGATTTTGAGGCATTAACACATCATATTTGTACAGCAATGAGAGTTTTGAAAAACATTCATCCTTCACACTCAAAGTGAAGCCAGACATAACATTTACTAAAAAGCAAGAGTCTAGTACAGTGTTGGAGATGCATCCTGCCTCGCCCAAATTTCCAAATGTTTGCTCCACTATTCTTTACAAACATCTCAAGGAAACTTCAACAACTTTTCAGCTTGTTTAATGTTAATGAAAGTGAATATCCCAATGTTCTGAAAAAAGCAAAAACTGTCTTTCCAGCTGCTTGGCCTGATGGAAGTATAAAGGCGGGTGAGTAAATTCTTTAATTTCATATTCAAATGTCCTGATGTCATTCTATGAAGAGAGTTATAATCAACACATTTGTAAGTCACCCAATGAACTTGGTTTCTTCAGGTCCTAGGTTGGAGCTTGGAATCCTCAGCTAAGTTTTAGTTCCGAGAGTTCATATATTTTCTGTTAGGAAATCATCTAGAAATGTAAAAGTGCAGTTTTCCTTCAACATTGTCCTGGGCTTTATTCTGCTTTGGGAAGGTGAGAGCTGTTCTGGGGAAGAGCTGGTTAGGACAGGAAGGGTGGGGAAGAAGGGCAGGGAGGGCACTATGGAGAGTTTTACTTAGAAATGGATTTCAGCCAAAAGACAGGACTCTGAACTATTTGAAGATCATTCTTTCCTCCAACATCCATTCA
This sequence comes from Homo sapiens, assembly GCF_000001405.40. Taxonomy (NCBI): domain Eukaryota; kingdom Metazoa; phylum Chordata; class Mammalia; order Primates; family Hominidae; genus Homo; species Homo sapiens. The sequence continues at coordinate 22,263,372 of NC_000020.11, read as the reverse complement.
AATTAAACAACATTTTTCTGTTCCTCTTTCTCCTTTAGGCTTTTAGTATGCAGCAAAGCTGTGCGTGATGTCTCTGATTTTAAATGTTTCACCCAAAATGTAATACGACTATGTTTATTTTTTTCTCTTTTACATGAGGGAAGTGTTTCCATAAGACCTGGAAGACAAGACATAATGTGGGGACACAAAGGCAGATGAAGACTTATTGCTCATTCTTCTTTTTTCCACTTCCTGAAATAGACAGTCCTTCCCTCCTGATCCAAACCCGATTCATTGTGTCATATCTAACTAAAATGGCACCTTTCCTAAGAGTGCTTGTTCTTTGTGACTCCAGGACGTTCTATCAGCCATTGTTGTGGATACCCTTCCCCACACATTTTAGAGCTCCAAGTACAGCACAGTGATGGCATTTCATGCTCCTTGGAACCTGTGAGGTGGGTGCCACATCGTCTTCACTTTTTGGATGTGAAAGCTGAAGCTCAGAGGTCCTGTCACCAGTCTATGTGTCAAGGTCATACACATCAGTTAGTGAACAGCCAGGGTCTGCAGCCTCACTGTCCAGCTTCGGGGGGCTCCACGCGGAAACTCCCTGCAGTTCTCTGTTCTCCGCGGTAACCTCACTCGTGGATTCCTTTAAGGCCTATTCTTTTATCTTCAACTAAACCATGAATCCCTTGATGACAGCTTTTGTCTTGTACTTTTTTTTACATCTGGATAGCCACTTCACAAAAGAATACCTGCAGGAGTCTATCATACGTGCACTGATTGAGATGGATCATGTGAGGATATGTAAAACCAGAGACTCAAAAAATAGCAAACTGAACATTTAGATAAGGTAATCATTCTATGGCTTATTGGTGGTAGTTTATATTAATGGTCATTATAATCATGTTGTTTCCAAGCAAATAACACAATAAGAAAATAATCCAGTAATACCCCTAAGCTTTGTGAATGTGTTATGATCAGTTTTATGTAAGACCATACTGTAGTAAGTTATGGGGGGGGTTGTCCAGTCACTCTCATGTGAGTGGTGTCAAAACACATACTCACCCCCACCCTGAGTCGCTGCCTTGGGTCCCATCCAGCAATGACTGTGAGTGCCCCAACACCTGAGCACACAGATGCTCTTATTTCAGAACCCACCCATGTCAGGGAAGCCCCTGTCTCCCAGAGGTCCTTTCAGTCTAGCCAGTTCTAGGGCATGGTCCTTTCCCAGGATGCACACTGTGGGCATCTAGGCATGGGGAGGGAGAGTGGCCACTATTTGTATGTGTGGAATTGGCCACCTGGGAGAAACTGAGAAGGGTCTGAAAACGTCTCTCCACATTCAGTTATTATGGAGCAGTAATGCAGGCAAAACTGTCCCTGGAATCAGTTCATGGTATAACCCAAGTGTCACAAAGAAAGGATCAGGGCAGAGAAAGTGAGCTTTGTTGGAACCTGGGGTGAGTGGGAAGAGCAACTGGGAGATGAGCGACACAGGATAGGGCAGGGGCTAGAGCAGAGAGAGGGGGAGGGCGCTGGCCCAGGAGAGATGACCACACCAGACTATGTGGACCCCACCTGAGGCACAGCCCTAAGAGGAGTTGCAGCAAGGGGAGCTGGTGTCCCCATTTCAGGAAGGCTCCCTTGACAGGTAGGGAATGTGGACTTTCCGTAGAGTAATGCTCTGTTCGCCACTTGTCCAAATAGTAATAAATCACCAGTAAATTCCTGGTGCTGTTTGGAAGCCTTGGACTTCAAAGCCCCAAATTCACAAACAGGAACCTTTCATTAACTCTGGAAAAAGAATTTCACTTTATTTCAATTTGTGTATTTGGTTATTTAGTGGAAGCATATATTGCTGACCAACATGACATTCCGTTTTGAATCAAGTGCCTTTTATTCTAGAGCCATCAGACATTGAAATTATGTGTTTAAATGCTTGACCAGCCTTCATCTGTACCAAATGTTTGAACTTGCTTTTATAAAAGATGAGACAACTTTGTGTTTTAGTTTTTTTTTTAAAGCTGGTTTTATTCACAAGATACATAAGACCAAAAAACCCCTCAGAGCTGTAACATTTTGATTTTCCTGGAGTTCAAAGTACTACCTTTCTCCATTAAATAATTTAAAGCATCTTTTTTGAGAGAAGGGAATAAAAGCAAGATCTAATCTGGAATTGAATGCCTTGTGGTGTGTTGTTTTGCTGGGGCCCGTCGCCTTGTTCTGTCTTTATTTCTCCTCTTTTCCTCCCTTCTCAGCTATGCTTGGGTATCCAATGTCAGAATTATTTCTTTCATCAGACCCATGCAAATGGAATAATATTCTCTCTGCTGAATGTCACTGTTGCTTGGACCTTTTAAAGTTAAGGTCAAACATCCCTTTTTGTTTTTATTAAGAAGCATTGCATCACACAGAGAAAATATTACACACTGATCTTTAACAAGAGTACTGTAAAGCAAATTGGGATCGATCTTATTTTCAGCTGGGACAACCATTTCCTTCAGGCTTGACCTGAGGATCAGATGTTTGACTCTTCTAGGAATCAAGGTGAAGATGGATAAACATGCAAGTTTGAAAGAAAGCAGGAACAAGGCAATCCAACTTGTATTTTCTGTAAGCTGGCGGCAGAACATTTAACTGCCAGCTCCTGACAAGGTTTGGAAAACTCATCAGTGGGAAAGCAGCCAAAACACTGCTCAAGCATGGGTGGTCACCAGCAGCAAAGGAGGGAAAGCAAGCCAGAAAGAAAGAAGGAAAGAGAGAGTTTTTATATAAGTGCTTTCCCATGATGTTCTAGCTATGTGCTTTACTAAAGCAGTGTAACTGTCACCATCCTGCTGAAAGCTCAAATTAAGGTGATGCAATGAGGAAGCATTTCATATTAATAACGGCATTAAACAGAGACAACACATTATCATCTATGCAGGCTTGGCTGGGCTGGTGTGCACCTTACTTCCTAGTTTCAAGAATAGAATACTCACACTGCATCATATGTCATGCCTCCCAAAACTCGTGGTCAGATGAATTTGAATGTCAATCTGGGGAAAAACTCCTTTCCACTCTTGAAATTTTGGTTTTGGTTTTGTCTGTTTGTTTGTTTTACTGTTAGACTGTCTGCACATAAACAGAGAGACCAAGACAACAGTAAGCAATACAAATGTCAACCAACTCAACAGCTGAAACAGCTAAATCTAATACCCTGTAGAAGCACTCATGTACATCACCAATTTAAGAATTTTGTGAGAAATAGAGTACATTTTTTAGGTAAGAGACGAGTTCTCTATTAGGTTAATCATGATAATAACATTGATATACTTCAGGTCTTTTTTCATATAAGTAGTCTGCAAACACCTTCCTCTTTGATTAGTAATTTTTTTATTAGTGAGATACATGATCATCAAAAAATATGTACAGATGTTTGCCTCCCTTGAGAGTTGGCCAATTGCTCTTGCAAGGCAGGCCAGTTTCAAGGCCATTCAGACCTCGGGCACTACAAGGGGCAGCTCTATTTTGTGACAGGATCACTCCCTGTACTAGTATCAGAAATAAAGCTTGAAGGTGACATCTCCCAAGTGAACATTTATCTTTGTACTCAAAGGGCTGCTTTTTCATGATGACTGCCTCAGAGACTTTTTTCAAAAATGAAGCTCTCTGCCTCTGTTACCAAAATCCAAGGTTCTATGACAGCCTCATGCTTATAAAGTTTTCTATTTCTTCTGTAATATGTCTGTAATTCCGTAAGCCATGTCTCCCTCTCACTGTACCTGGCCCACTTATAAGGATGCAACTGAGGGTCCTATGTCTTCATTTAGAGGGCAGCAAGACCAATGCTCATCTTCAAACCATGAGCAGCCTCACTTAATGAGATTGTCTGCTCTACAGGCCCTGGGCAGTGTTCAGAACATGTTCCCAGAGACGTTATCTTTGTCTTTGTCTGCAAACTCGCAACATTCAAACTTGAGAGTCAGGAATGGCCTGTATTTTGGGATGCTATACATGGTGACATAACGGGGTTTCACTGGATTTGCTCAACATATTATCCAGTTGTATGACTGAATTGGTCCCATTTTTGCACAGATGTGGCTCCCAGAAACTTACAATATTTTTGAGTCATTCCATTGCTTTGGGTGCCACACATCTTGAAAGGAAAACACTGCACAGGTCAAGAAGTATAACTGTTAGCACTTGACCTCTGCTTTTGCATCAATTTCAAGCATTCACTTTGGTAAGTTGATATATTTCTAACATGTGGTATTGCTTCATCATTGAAGCTATATTTTTTTCTTACATTGTTAGTTCGGTAATAACATATTTACCTGATATTGGAATAGAACACAGGTTCTGGTTTAAGTCATACAGTAATGACTGGCTTTTGGTTTTTAATTGTACAATCTAAGTTAATAGCAAATCTCCTTTGTATTTGTGTATGTGTCTGTGTGTGTACATAATGATTAATACCACATATTGCAGCTATTTTGTTAAGAAGACCGTGGTCCACATATTGGTGGGGGAAAAAGAAAGAGAACATTACAAGCATGGAGATCATCAGAGAATCCTTGATTTGGGTCCTAGTTTTGTTTCTTGTTCCCTGTACAACTTTGGAAAAGTTATGTTGCCTGCCTTATACAGATTGGTTTAAGGATTGAGTGAGATAATTCATATTAAAATTTAGCTCAGTGTGACAGTGAAAATATTAGGAAGTGATAGCTAATATTAAGAAGTGTTATATAATTATTGTTTTTGTTACAAAATGAAGTTCTTATTCCTGTATTTGAATGTGCACATTTCCAGATGTTCAGTAAAACCATGTCTCAATGCAGACTTCTTTTGGGGGCTACCAGCTAGGGATCTTTAAGACACTATTAAGGCAAAATGTTCTGCTTCTATGTCTTCTGGCAATTTTTACACAATATAAAAATATGAATAAAAGTAAGTTAAATAATGTCTTTCTTAACACTTCCTTTCCAAAATGATAAAATAACTCATTAAGCACTTTCAAAACCTTTAAATGCAATGAAACCAATATCCTTGCCTAGCAAACAGACAGGAACAAGGGCAAGGTATCACAGAAAAAATGCTTTGCTTAAAACCCAGAAGAATTGAGTCCAAGGCTTTTCTTTGTCCCTGACTAGCTGTGTGATTTGAAGCAAATTAGTTCTCCAAGTCAAGCTTTTTATTTATTTATTTATTTATTTATTTATTTATGTATTTATTTATCTGCAAAATAGGAGAAAACATCCCCATATCCTAGGAATGCTGTGAGAGCTGCGATAAGTGTTGCACAATCACCTTTCTTATATTATGGAGAAAAGTCATTGTTGAAGCTGAAGGCGATTTCAGATGGTTTATTCAAAAAATGTTTTCGTGGTAGCCTCATCCTTCTAATGATACACATCCTCACAGGGTGACGACAAAGCATGAATGACAATGTGAGCCACTCGCACTGACGTACTTCAAGGGAAATCCTCTCATGACTTTATTACTTTCACAGTCTCAAGCCTCAGACCAGCTGTTAATAATTATTAAACTCACACTCTCCTTATATCTTTTTGGATTTCAAAAATATTTAGTATTGTGATTTGTGGTCAGGATTCTCTTGACTACAAATAATAGAAAACCCATTGGGGGAATTTTGGAAATAAAAGGAAGGAGAGATTTGGTTACCAGGATATGGGAGCTCTTGGAAGCAGGGGACCAGGGAGCCCCTTGGTCCGCCCCACTGCAATGAACCACAGTCCTCCTCTCTGATTGGAACCCAGGACATTCTCTCTTCTGTCTCTCAGCCTTGCTTCACTCCAGGGGGGAGTTTTAGTCTTCATCATTGCAGATGAGCCTTCGATTTACCACCTGATGAAAAGAAAAAGATCCTGGCATTCTTTTTCCAAAATTATATACCCTGCAGTCAAATACAGCCAAGTTAAAACTAAGCTCTTTCACTCTCCATTTCTGGTAGTTTCAAATGGAAGAGGCTCATTGGCCCAGCTTGGGTCAGATGCTTTTGCCTGGTCCAATCAGTGTGGCCAGAGAGGGTAGGAGGGTCTCACTTTATAAACGTGGCTGCCCCACTGTAACCGCGTGGTTGAAGATCTGGAATTTGGAGTTTGACTGTAAAACTTTACCTACCTGTAGTCGAGATGGTCTATGCATGCTATGGTTGTGGAAGGACAAACATAACTTCCTTTGCTTCTGTCCATTTGTTTTTTACAAAGCAGAGCCCCACACTCACCACTGAGATAGGGAGAGTTTTGACCTTGTAGTTTTCCATGAATATTGAAGTTAACTTGCTCATACTAAAGTATCTTTGTTGTCCCAAAACCATGCAATGGGGTCATTACGTCAAATGAAAGGAGAAAATAGTTTGATTTTCTAATTAAGAAGATATTTTTGTTAAGTAACTCACAAGTTTAAAAGGATTGTACCTACTTACAGTTTACTATGTACAAACTGTAAGCAGTTTAATATGTACAAAAAGCTTGATTCTGCAACATAGGCATGTTCTTTTTTGTAAAAAAGAGTGAAAGTTCTTTGCATCACTGTGGAAAAAGACATTATTTCATTCATACATATACAGTAGACTGTTTACTAGAACACAGTAGAAAATTATACTTTTGGATAATGAAAAATAGAAAGTATAGAATATAAAATCATATGGTTCAGAATTTCATGGGCATCAGTGAAAATGCTACAGGCAAAGCAGAACATTAAGCTCGTTATCATATGTGCAGTGTTCTGAAAGCAAACAAGCGACAGCACAGAGTAAAATTAAGTAATTGCTTGTTGGACATGATGCGTGTATTCAGGTGTGTAGCATGGCTACTTATGTAGCAGTTTTGTCATTTTGCCCATTTTTAATTGACTAACTTAAATCAATATGTAGTATTTTGGCTAAAGCCTGATGAACGTTTTCTACTTGTTCAAATCAAATGAAAACTGGATCCTCTGGCCCAGTTGTGCATATGAACATAGATTTATTCTCTCTTTATCGTTTCATGTAGGAGATGGCAGTCCATAAATCTGGGGTCTCAATCTTAGAGATACTTCGAGAATAATGAGATTACCTTTAAGACACCTCCACTCATTTAACTGTTGCTGAATCACTTTTTTTTTTGTATTATACTTTAAGTTCTAGGGTACATGTGCACAATGTGCAGGTTTGTTACATATGTATACGTGTGCCATGTTGGTGTGCTGCACCCATTAACTCTTCATTTACATTAGGTATATCTCCTAATGCTATCCCTCCCCCCTCCCCCCACCCCATGACAGGCCCCAGTGTGTGATGTTCCCTGCCCTGTGTCCAGGTGTTCTCATTGTTCAATTCCCACCTATGAGTGAGAACATGCGATGTTTGGTTTTTTGTCCTTATGATGGTTTGCTGAGAATGATGGTTTCCAGCTTCATCCATGTCCCTACAAAGGACATGAACTCATCCTTTTTTATGGCTGCATAGTATTCCATGGTGTATATGTGGCAATCATTAAAAAGTCAGGAAACAACAGGTGCTGGAGAGGATGTGGAGAAATTGGAACACTTTTACACTGTTGGTGGGACTGTAAATTAGTTCAACCATTGTGGAAGATAGTGTGGCGATTCCTCAAGGATCTAGAACTAGAGATATCATTTGACCCAGCCATCTCATTACTGGGTATATACGCAAAGGATTATAAATCCTGCTGCTATAAAGACACATGCACACATATTTTTATTGTGGCACTATTCACGATGGCAAAGACTTGGAACCAACCCAAATGTCCAACAATGATAGACTGGATTAAGAAAATGTGGCTGAATCACTTTTTTGACCAAGGGTTTGGTTTCATTTTCTGATGGAATGTTATGCATTTGTATGCTCACCTTCATTTTCTGTTTTAAAAAAACAAAACAAAATATCTCACGAGGTTTGGTGTCCTTAATTCCAAACGGTTTCTTGATCTTGAAGGACTTCAGGCAACCTGAAAGGAGCCCTTGGATCAGGGACATTGCACACCTCCACTGCTGTGGGAAACCATAGAAGAGTACAGACAAGTCTGTGGTTAAACCAGTGGCCAGAGCTTGATTAATTCCATACAGTCCACAAAATGAGAACTCAAACACCATGGAAATTTTCAGGAGGTACAGAGACCTAGGCCAAGCAGAAATGATACAATTTTTTCCCTTATTCATCAGGAGCTGGAGTCTTGTGTAGAAACCCTGGAGATGACCATTGTTGCTCCATAGCTAATGGGGTGGACTAGTGCTGTGCACTGACCGCTTCTACTTGGATTATCCGTGTGGATGTTCTCAACTCTGCCAAAGAGTCCCAGAGGGGGATTGGGCTTCATATGAGGGAAAATGCAGTTGTCACCTTTCAGTTATAATATTTTAACTATCAAATTATCATATAGTATTAATAATGATGTTAATTACACATATGTGTGGCAAAATTCTGTCGACACACTTACCAATTACTTTTACAACAGCTCTAAAAGCAGGTGTTGTTATTTTTATATTGCAGAATATGAATCTGAATCTCATGGAAGTTAAATAATTTTCCAAGATCTCTAACTAGTAAATAGTAGAGTCAGGATTTAACATAAATCCATCTAAATGTAAAGTTTGTATTTTTCTCACTGTGCTATATTTTCTAGTTTTCTAAGCCACAATCTCTTGAAAATTAAAATGTTATTTATATACCATAAATTGCCCTTTAAAGTGTACAATTTCATGGTTTTTGGTATACTGCAAAGTTGTGCACCATCACCACTATCTAATTCCAGAACATTTCATCATCCCCCAAAAGAAATTCAATACTCATTACCAGGCACTCCCCACTCCCCCTCCCCACAACCCCTGGAAACCACTCATCCACTTTCTATCTCTATAGATTTGCCTGTTCTGGATATTTCATATACATGTAATCATATGATGTCTGGCCTTTTGCATCTGGCTTCTTTCACTAAGCATGTTTTCAAAGTTCATCCAAGTCGCAGCATGTGTTAGTACTTTATCCATTTTATGGCTGAATAATATTCCCTTGTATGGTGATGGTTACAACACATTTTGTTTATCCGCTCATCAGCTGATGAACTTTTTGTCTATTATGAATAATGCTATGAATATTGTGTATAAGTCTTTGTCTGAATACCTTTTTTCAATTTGGGGAGGTATATGGCTAGGTATATTTTCTTATTTTAATAAAATAAATCTTATGTTTCAAAAATTCAAATCTGGGTTTTAATTCAGAAAATATTTGTTGATTGTCCACTAATAACAAGCACATGGCTAAGCATCATAGGTCAGAGAAAGAGAAATAAAAAGGCTCTCTGCCTTCCAGTGAGTCCCGCCCTCTCATAGTCTTACGGTTGTTGAGTGGCAGGCGTTTGCACATGCACGCTCTTCTTTTCCCTGAGAAAAAAATAACTTTTGATATGTAGACAAGTCTGAAATTGGCTTATCAACAATAATTTGGGAGCTGCCAGATTGTGGTACAATTTTGACACTATCTTTTCAAAGAGATCTGAATCAGGCTCTGTCATTAACTGCATAGGCCTTTAGCCATGAAAAAAAGTATCTTCATCCAAAGTAATGAATAGACAAATTAAATTTCATTAGGAGTTTAATGATTCATAATGTATTACTCTCTTGGTAGTCACTTAGTTCAACAATTTATTCATTCATCTATTCAATATACATGCTCACAATGACACTGTGCTAGGTGCTGGAGAGGTAATGTAGAAAGGGAGGAGCCTGGAGTCCCTGTTCTCTCAGAGCTTTGAGCCTGGAAAGAGATGCAGTCAAGCAAACAGGGGACTGTAATGGAGTGTGATTGAGGCTTTGGTAGGGAAATACAGGATGTTATTAAACCCCAAAGGAGAAGGCACTTACCTTGATTAGGGGAGGCAAGGAGACATTCCTGGAGGAGTGATGCCTAAGCTAGACCTGAAGAATGAGTTAGTTTAGCAAAGAATTCATAGGAACTCATGAACAGTGTTTCAGGGAGAAAAAACCACATCTATGCAGGACTGCACTTTTGTTGAACTGAAGAAAGTTTATTGAGACCAAAGTTCACAAAAGCCTGAGGATGAGAAATGGGACTGAAAACGGTACCTGGAGCAGATCATTCAAATGCCTTAAGCTTTGCTACAGGTACTGGAATTTATTCTAAAGGAAGCAGGGAGCCATAGAAAACTATATGTAAGTAAGTGAGATGATCAGACTTGCTCCGGGTCTCAATATGGATAATAATTGGAGACTGGAAGCAGAGGGACAAGTTCAGAGCCTGTTGTATTAAGCTACAGGTTAGGGATTGTGTCCTGAACAAGAGAGTTGGCTTTGGATACGGAGAGAATTTGACAGATATCTGCTATATAGGATGTAGAATCTGCAAGACTTGGTGGTTGATAAAGGGACTGGAAGGCATGAAGGAGGGAGAAGGAGGAGTCAGAGGAGGCCCCCAGATTTCTGGACCCCTCCCATATTCCCTCAGCCCTTGTCATTTGGTGCTTGCCAGCCCAACTTTGAACTGCCAGCATTTGCATGTCTTTGCCTGAGGGGCTGCCAGGCTTAAGTTTAAGAGAATTAACACCCCCAAGGAGGAACTCTCAAGAGGAGAGTTGGCAGATAAACACCCCACTTCCCTCACTTTCTGGGTGGGTCAATGCTAAGGCATGTTCTGTGTGGTCTCCCAGGTTTCTCCATAGGGTGAACCCTAGTTACCTACAAAAGGAACTGGCTTGATGTGCACCTTTTATTGGCTACTTTTTCTTCCCTATCTCACTTCTTTTCTCCCTTATTGGTGTATTCTAGAGTTGCCTCCCAAATAAACTACTTTCTTGCACATCCTTGTCTAAGCATCTTCTTTTAGGGAACCCAATCTAAGGTATCCGCGTTGTAAACGTGGATAGAAGACCACCCACAAAGTCAGGGAATGCCCAGGGAGTGACCAGTTTGTGTTGATGATGGTAGTGATGATGAGTGGAGTTCAAAGAAGTGGAAGCAAGTATCAAAAAATCATTTTCGTAAGCGCTAAGGCTGAGATTCCAGGGGACATGCAAGTGAAGGTGTCATCTGGGCAGTTGGTCTAAAGTACAGAAGAGAGGGCTCAGCTGGAGATGATGACTGGGGGGTTTATGGTAAGAACAAGTGGGGGAAGGGTGCCAAGGACAGATCCTTGAGTAAAACTGCCACTCAATGGGGAGGGAAAGAGTCATTCACTAAGGAGACTAAGAGGGAGTGGCCAGAAATAGAAGGAAGACCAGGACACGGGGGTGGCACCAAAGGATAAGCATCTCCAGGTACATGTTATAGGGATGCATTTAAACTGTCAGCTCCACAAGCTTCTCCCAGCACCTCTGTGGACTCCGTAGGTTCAGTCCTTACATCTCAATGTTTATCACAGTTCATCCTTTCCCGGAACATAGTCTCTGTTTCCTGATTCTGCTACAGAATCAGGAAATACAATGTTATTATACTGCAAATTTGTAGAAAAGCCATAATACTTGTGCTGCTTCCTGCCTTTCATTTTCCCCCTCCAATAACTGAAAGAACATGAGAATTACAATAACAAATTTCCTCTGATGCAATTACTTGCTGGTTAATGCACATAAATCAAGAAAACATCACCTTTCTTTTATTTTTTAATATTCAGGTTTATTTACTTTTATATTTTTAATTTATCTTGTCTGAAAAATACAGCTCAAAGATTCAGTATCAATGGTAATGAAAAACACAAAGTTCACTCTCAATCTTTTCCTGCCCTGATTTGAAATGTGAGTTTTATCATTTTTGGGATTTTTATACAAACTTTTGTTTGCTTTCTTTTTCTTCTTTGTCAACCACTTACAAAAAAAAAAAGACAACTTTTTTGTGCATTTGGTTTTCCCAGTGAAAGGTGCAGTGCTTCTGTGAATGTGCCGAGAGAACTCTGCGGCTCCTGTGTCCCAGCTGCCTTCGTCGGCTGGGCTGTTTGTAGCTCCTCTGTCTCCTGCAGGACACAGGCCTTCTCTAGAGCAGAGCTCCACTTTTGTTTTAAAATCCCAGATGTGTTCAATTTTCTTTTTGAATTTCTCTTGTTTTGTTCGTTTATGCTTATTTTTGTGCTGCGGTTGGCGTGGTTTGTGCATTTGCTCCCTTTTAGCGACTGTGGCAACCTTTTTCTTTACTTCATATCATGCTGTGCAATTGCTTTTGCTAATGTTCTGTGGCCATTGAGGGGCAGAAGTGATTGGTGTGAGTGTGGGTAGGGTCAAGCAGTGGAAGTATTTTCTTATATACATGACATTTTAAATCACAGAAAGAGAGCTCAGAGAGACACTTGCAGAAAGGGCACTTGTTTAAATGTGCACTGAACAGGTAGATTCCAGAGTCACACAGCTCAGGTACAAAAACTGGTTTATTCACAAGTAAAATCCCTTGGAAGTTGTTTGACTTCTCTGTTCTGCAGTTTCTGCATTTGTAAAAACAAGTAACCCCTTCCTAATAGTGAGACAGAGGAGAAAAGATTGATTTAAATCCCATAAACTTGCCAGCATTCATCCCTTTTGGCCTAGAAGAATGGCAGTTTCATATGGATCTGCCTAGTCATACCTCAGCACAGTTCTGGACCCTCTGCAGCCCTTGACCTTCATAGCTGGTGTCAGGATAAAAGTTAACCTTGAGAGCCAGGACTCTTTACTCATAAACAAAATCCAGCATGCCTTGAAGCCTACAAATGCAGAGCCACTTCTTCCTCTCTTCCTCCACTCTTCCCTGACCCCTCCACTCCTCCCTCTCCCTCCTCCTGCTCCAGCCCTCCCCCTATGCTTCTTCCTCCCTCCTCCTCCTCCACTCCCCCTACTTTTCTTTTCCTCCTCACCCACTTCTTCCAAAGGCCTTGACCCCAAAGGGCTTCAGTTAACTTTCTAGAAACTAGGCCCCATCTCCGATCTGTTCCTTGGAGCCTTTTCTGGGCCCCTGGTCCTCCGATTCCTTATCTGTCAGATGGAAACTTCGCACCAATTTCCTGGTGTGCTGTGAGGAGGAAATGAGGTGAAGAGCAAAAGGTTTCAAGCCATAATGTGGGCACCTCCCTTCCACTCAGGCCTCCATAGCAACCATGCATGGAAGCCGACCCACTGAGCCTTGGAACCGGCAGGGACACAGGACACTTGTCCTGGCCCAGGCAATGGGCCCAGGGGAGGGTTCTTTCTCATTTCCCTACTGATTATCTTGTATCATCACTTGTTCTGTGTAGCCTCAGGTAAGCCATTTATCACCTTTGAACCTGAACATCTTCACCCATTCACTGAAGAAATTGGGAAGGCCCTTTCACCTTTATTCAGTGATCTGAATTATTAGTAAATTGTAAAACACATAAGTAAACAAAGGAAATGTTATTGAATGTTCATTACAGCATTATTTTCAGTCACAAAACAATGAAAGCGATTTAAATGATAGATTGTGATAGATTTATGACAGAATATTGTACATCTCTTAAGTCATATTTTAGAAGAATGTGTAATACACATCTTTATCACTTTAAAGCAAAATAAAACAGATTCACAAAATACAATAGTAATTTTATTTCCAACTCTGTAGTAGTGGATAAAGAAATAGAGGTGTGGCAATAGGTATAAATAATAAAGAATTACAGGAATACACATAAAAATATTGGACATTATCATTGTCATGTAGTAGAATTGAGTGGTTTAATTATTCCTTACTATTTTTATGTATTTCATAAATTTTCTAAAGTGAATATACATATATGTAACAGCATATATACATATATATATTCCAGCACATGTCATTATGTCATTTAAAATACATAGAAAAAATGAACACGAATAGCCTATAAGGATTTGTCTTCTTAATTTTCAAACATCACCATTAATTATTTTGTTGCATTATGGCCACACCTTCATCTTCCAGGAGTGGGAAAGGTGACTGGGGGTAAGTGAACTCTGTAAAGTTGGCGGAGAAGATCTCTTTGTCAGTCTCAGCAGCTTACTCAGCCCCATAAAGTAGTGGTTAAAAACCAGACTTGGTCTTTCTGGTTTCTGAATGTGACACATACTGTATTGCTAAAAATAACAAAATTCATCCTTTTTTCCCTCTGGTATTGATAAAATAGAAATTAATTCCAGTAGTCTCACCCTGAAGTTTTGGAGAGAAAACCTAAATGAGTTCTCACATCACCACTGTGTCATTGCATTATGTGACAATGTACCCCAGTTCTCCTTTTCCCCATCTGAGAGTTTCTCTTGGCTGTACTTTTCCTGATGGTCAGGATCTTTTTTTCTCACTCTTTGCTTGATTCCTCTGCTCTCTCCTTCCACTGAGTACCATGCACTGCCAAAGTCCACCCACCTCCATTTGCCTAGTCTTTAGACGCTGAGTGGGTCCCTACTGGGCAAGCTATCTGCATCACTCTTGATGGAAAATAAACGCAGCCAAACAATGGGTATTTGGTTGTTTTCCAGGACTCATTCTTTTTCTACAAAAATAGCCCACTGAGGGGGCTGGTCAGGTGCTTTGAGGACTTTGTGGCTGCTCTGGTCCATCTGGGTTCAGGTGTGGATTTCAGCAATTATTCAGAAGCTTGCTGTTATTAATTTCTCTCAGGTGGAGGGACGCTGCCCAGTCCAAATGAGGGCTTCTTAGGCTTTTGAACCTGGGGATGTAGCATCAAGGACTTCTGACCTCAGAGTTAGTTTGGCATTTACCAGCAGTGGCCTAAGACCCTCTGCCTGACCCACCCCTTCAAAACCAAACATTAGACAGGCAATGAATGGTTGCAGGTATTTCTGGACTGCCCTGGTAATATTGTGCTAAATAACAGGACATTTCAAGCCATAGGAGTAATATGCCTTCTGATATTTAACTAGTGGGTGAGTTAATGTGGACATTTAAATGTGTGTATATCTTTACATTATGTGCAATATTACGCATCTATGAAAATGATCGTTTGCTCCAGCCAGAAAATAAGTGGTCCAATTTGAGGCATGACTCACTGGATCTACATCATGATACTCTGTTAAGCCCCCTTCTAATCATGAGACAACTTAGCACCTTTTCAAAGACCTTGGGAATTCACAACTGCAGTTGAATTAACCACACATAATACAAGCAGTTCCCAGTTTTCCACGGGGTTTTTGTGCAGTATCTTGGATTGCCATTAGAGGTCACCAGTAGTCAACTCGCTGAGAGGCGGCCCCCTCAGTGCCAACATTTTGAAGTCTAGAACATTCCTCAGGAAAATGTGTCTCTAGTTTTAGTGTTCTCACCTATAATATTAGTAGGTCTATCAGTAACTTGAGCTTCCTTGATTTTTACATTTAAGGCTTACTTGTAAGACAGTATATTCAGGACTCAACAATCTATTAAGATGCTAGATTTTCATTAAGAGACCCGCTGGTGCTGATAAGGGAACCTGTGTCCAAAAAAGCAGCTCAAAGTGCAATCTCTGATAGGGCCTGAGGGAAGCCCGGCCATAAAATCCATAATACAACACTAATCAAAGCAAGGATGAGTGCTATCGTTTTAAATGCCTCATGGAACACCTGTGATGTAGATGACTCTACAGCCACTGAAATAATTGTGAAAGGAGGCCACAAATGTATTGACATGAGAAGACGCCCATGCTATACTGTTGAGTGAGAAAACTAGTTGAAGGAAAAGCCTGTA
This sequence comes from Homo sapiens, assembly GCF_000001405.40. Taxonomy (NCBI): domain Eukaryota; kingdom Metazoa; phylum Chordata; class Mammalia; order Primates; family Hominidae; genus Homo; species Homo sapiens. The sequence goes on along the minus strand of NC_000020.11, from coordinate 22,247,745 downwards.
AACTATGATCTCATTATGTATATACCTACACATATATCTTTTTAATATAGATTTTTAGAGTCCAGAACCTAACAGTAATTATGTTAGGGAAATGAGGATGTGTTGGGTTTCTAAAGTTTATCTATGCCTCTGTATGCTTTAGACTTTTTGCAATTGTGTACTTCTTTCATAATTAAAAACATTTCCTTTTCAGATGATGGAGAAAGTGTCACCTTTCTGATGACTTTCCTGGGACCTCCAGGAGGTCTGGGCTCCTTCCCTGTGTCCCTGGATAATAAGCCTTACCTCTGCTACACTTCCACTCATGTGGCATTCTAATTGTTCCATAATTTAGTCTCCCCAAATGAAGTCCAAGGAACTCAAGGTCAGGGACTGAGTCCCACCTGCTACTGTGGCTCCAGCATCCATCATACTTGCTGACAGGTGAATGTTCTAACCTTTATCTGCTGAATAAAGGAATGCCACATGGGATGTGTGAAAGTTCATCCACCCCTGCCAGGTCTGGTGTGTAAGCCAACCACGGAGGTGCCAAGGGGGGCTGCTCTTCTTTCCCCTACAAACCCCCCTCCCCCCTCTGAAGTCTCCCCGTGGAAGATTCATTCACGGAGACGACAGTGTGGGAGTGATTACTCTGGGAGCCTCTCGGTGCATGGCAGGTGCAGGGGTCATGGGGGTGACTGCTCTAGTGGGCAGGACCAGGTCCAGTGCATGTGGGGCATGGCTTGAGTTGGCTTTCATCTCTGGGCTTCACACTTACAAAGGCTGGCTCCCTTATCTCAGCAGCCCTCAGCTTTCAGCACGTCCTCCTGATACTTCAGATCTTTACGTGAGCTGAAAACACTGTGTTGCCTGCTGGGGGTGCAACTGGGGTCTGCCCATCACTATTCCTGCTTCAGAGGGCAACAGTCAACACATACAAGAAGTATCAGTATACCAGTGAGTCCATAATCCTACAACTCCACTAACAGGTGTTTGTTCAAAGAAAACAATGTATACACTGATATAGGTGACACCATTGAGAAAAACATCAGGAATTGCCTAAGTGTCTATCAGTAGGGCTCTGAGTAACTAAATCAGGCTCTGGAATACATTGAAGTATTCCTGGGCAAAATAAAAATGAGGACTGTGAGAATCGTGAGAATCACCAGGAAGTTTGTTAAAAGCAGGCTGTCAGTGTGCCTGGGGTGCAAGATGCTGATTTTATAGAATAAAGAGTCTAGGAATCTTCATTTTAAAATTGTATCTTGGACAATGTTACTGTATACGTCGTGGGAACCCATCTTTGGGAAACACTAGTGCAGCTGTGAACTAATGGATGTAGAACGGTAAGCATGCCAGAAAAAAAAAATCTACAGCCTGGACATGCACAGAAAGTAAGTATCTGAATGAGTGCAGGTCCAAATTTTTATTGCTGGTGAGTATTAGTGGAGAATCTTTACAACTAATTCATTTATATATATTTTTTGGCTTATCTGTGTTTTGTAATTTTTAACAAGAAGCTTGGGTGACTTATGTAAAAATGAAATGATAAAATCTAAAACAAAAATCACTGTTTTGCTTCTCTGGTGGGCATTTGTAGCAAGCCAGAGGGACCTGAGGGAGGTGGAGGCAGGGCAGGGGACTCTCACCTCCTCACTGCTCTCCAGTGGAGAGCCGGAGTCCGAGCGGGGGATGGTCTCTGACTCTACTTCCTGAAGACATAGTGGTCCCCAAGCTGGACATGGGGCTTCTGCTATTACTCACTTTTAGAGATCACCTTTTTCCTGGGACACAGAAAAATCAAATCAATAGATTTTTCTCAAAGTTTTTCTGTTTCTCTCCTGTAATTGTAAAAGTCATTGAACACTTCCTAAATGGAGTGTACATAAGGTGGTATCTGATTTAACATGGAATTGTATATTCAGCTATTGTAAGCTTGACCCATCCAGTATTTCCACATGATTCACACACCACAAAGAATGCCCGGACCATCCAGGTTCTCTCACATCGGAGCAATTCGAGAAGCACCAGTACAATAGAAAGAGCAAAAACCGAAAACAAACATGAATTCCAACCTCAATTTTGTCTGAGTAACATGGGAACACAGGTGCGCTTAACCTCTCTGAGTCTGTTTTACCTCCATATACACAAGTGTAATTATGGATAATCCGAAGGGCTGGGTGCTCGTCAGAATGAAAAGCGTTGGTGCCAAGCTCTCAGCAGCGTCTCTGATACTGAGTGGGAACATGGTAACTGCTAGGTCCACTGCTTGTCCTGGAGGTTGGGCCCTTCCCCCTACAAGGACAGAACCTCTGCTGTGCTGAAGTTCACCTCAGTGACACACGTGCCTGGCCTTGGTGCTCTGCTCAGCAGCTGTCCACAGTCCAAGCTCCCTGCCACACACCCCTAGCCCTCCTGGCCATTCCCAGCCTCCTCCTCACCTGCTTATTTTCATTTGCCCCCTCCTGTTTATCTAGTCTGGGTGGCTTCCGCTATTGGATTCTGCTCTCCACATCTCCCTGTCCTCGGCCTCAGAATGTTATTTATTGAACAGGGAAAGAAAAGGAAGTACTTCTATGTGGGTCTCTCTTGGGGCCCCTAAATGCTTGATATAGGGAAGAATTGGGACAAAATACATCATTTCTGATTTTCCCAGGGAAATGCATCTTGCAGTCTGGGGGCAGTTCTGGACACAGGGGACATGTCGATTGACCCTAAGGGTGTCTCCAGCACCCTGTGTGGATACAGAAGCACAGGTGCCCCCTGGGTGGATTAAATGCCAGCGGCTGAGAAATACTAAATACACACACACACACACACACACACACACACACACACACAAAAGAAAGAAAAGAAAAAGAGAGAAAGTGCAGGATGTGATTAAGAGCCACGTTGGTTACCAAGGTGTTTTCTCTTCATGGCAAAGTACCTTTGGTTACCAGAAAGAACAAGAGAGGCACGAAGTCATAGTCCATGTGCTTGAAGGATCTTAAGGCCTTAAGGCACTGATGTGCCCTCATCTGCAAAGCTGACAAAGAAAGAGCCATGGGAACCTCAGAGCAGTCAGGGTGACTTCAGGAAGGGGCATGGGTGGGAGGCTTAAGAGACGGCACAGGGCATGGGCAGGAGGTGGGGCAGGTCTGTGCACGCCCAGGAGGGGATTTGGCCTTGGCTCAGGATGTCATAAAGAGCTCGTGAAGACCATGGCAGTGCCGGAAAGAATGGGCACTGGAGAAGCTCTTTGGCAGTGATGATTTGACTTCGAGAGCACCAGTATTACCACAAGAGTTAAAATCCACCTTATGAAAGTGGAGCGTTGTTATTATTTGCGGTTAACACAGAGTAAAGAGCACTTTCTTAAAATGTTCATCCATTGGTCCGGAAATGAAACCTAATGCCCTATCAAAACCCCTGTGCACCATAACTAATCCTTAGGCTGATCATTCACGGAGCACTGATTATTGTTTTTGCATAATTTGGACATTAATGTAGAATACTAGTCCTGCTTTACTTTAATAGAAAAGACCACTGCAGTCTTCCCTCTGTCATGTTATTCAATATCCTACAGTTTTCTCTTATTATTTTCGATGCTCAGTTTTCCTAAGGAGTCAGAGCTTAGCTGCACAGGTAATCCCTCCAAAGGCAGTAAGAAACATGCAATAAATACACCGCTATCTAAAAAAAAAAACAAAAACAAAAAACAAACAAAAAAAACAGGACAAGTCAGAGATTAGCTTTCCTTCAATGATTAAAACCTAGGCAGAGGTTTTATTGTTTTAGATGAGCAGAAAAGTTGGGGGAAACTATCCGTCATCAGACCCCAAATCTCACTGTCACCAGGAGTGAATATTCCCATCCTTTCCTCCTAAGTGTGTCGCTGACCCCTTCCTTAGGGCCTGGTCAAAAATATGACAAATCAGTTCACACCACAGTGTTGTTCTCTCTATTAAGGGTGCCACTACTTGACTAAAAGGGAACAAAGGCAGAGGGAACACTTCCAGGGTGTTATGTCACCAGTGGAAGGCCACTTGGCCAACTGGCCAGCCACTTGTCTTAAGGGCAGCCCATGGCCAGGCCCTCAGAGATCACCCCCCTCTTACTAAGGCCCTAAGATGCTTGGATGTGGGAGACATTGCCCATTTCTACCTAGTAGATGCGTGTCAGACCACTAGACCCTCCCTTCCTCTGCCTTTTTAGTGGATAGGTAAAGTACGCTCTTACCCAAAGCTTCCTTGGTAAACGGGAGAGCAAGCAGGAGTGTTTCACCCAGGCCAGGGGGCTGCCTGGGGTGCCTAGCCCACCAGATCCACACACGTTCTCCAGAACAGCATTTCTACCAGTGTCTTCCGAGGCTGCAACTGCAGCTTTCCGTCCACGCATTCTTTTCTGTATCTTAGTCATTCTGATTTGGCTCCAGCCCTCTGAGTCTTGGCTAGAGAGTCAAGCTGGCTTTTTAAGGTCACTGAAGATGCCTGATCTCACTCCATTGGGGGTTGACTCAACTGGTTGAATATGTGGAGTTCCAAGGTTGAGAAAGGGAACAGTATCTCCAGGGGAGTTATTGCAGGACAGGCCATTCAGGTAGAGGAGCTTTTCAGGATTGCCATGGTAGCTGACCATGAGACTCTGACCCACGTGGCTTTTTTCATATCTCAACTTCCATGTCCATGTATAATCATTCACTTGGCAGTCAACAACCCACTGCAATCAAAAACACTATTGCTACAACCCCTAAAATGACAGGAAGAAAAACAACTCACTCACTGTGTTCTTATTGAATGCCAGAGACTGTGCTAAGCCTTCACATGGACTGTCTCACTTAATTAGCATCATGTACACACTTGGCCTCATTTAAAAGGTAAAGAGACCGAGGCCCAGAAAGGTTCTATAACTTACCCAAGGTCACACAGCACTCAAGGGCTGGCTTTAGGATTTGAATCAGCTTATCTAACTTCAAAGTTTTTGAACCGTGCTCTATGTTCTTTGAAAGGTGGAATCATGCAAATCACAGATAATTAGAGCTAAAGATGGGGAAAATGAAGTCTCAGAGAGTTCAGTGACTTGTCCAAAGTCACATGGCTAGATCTGCTAAAGTTAGTTTTCTTTCATACCCTGGCAAGGTGGACTAAATTACATTAAAAATGCCCCTGGCTCTTTACCCCTCCACCCCACCCCACTGCCAGAGGCCAGAAGGAAGTGCAGTGGCCACCCATCTGCGGTCCCACATTGCTTTCTATGAAGGCAGAAACTAGGACTTGTCCCCTCCAAAAGGCTAAGAATCAGAGTGGGAAATTTAGTGTGGAACTTCTCTGCCTTTTCGTGTCTTTTACGGATTTGTTAACCATTCTCTTGAGAAACTGCATTCTTTTTTAAACTGCATTTTTTCTTTAGCTCTGGAGACCAAGTCACATAATTATGCTGACCTAGTCAGCATAGACCACATGGAATAAAAGAGCCTTTGAATGCATACGTGTGTAATGCTTATTATACACACAGCTTTCTTTAAGTATTATTAAAATTATCAGTAATGGCAGCCTAATAGTGATTTCCTGTCAAATCTTTTCATAATGGTATTTAAGTAAAATTATTATTATAATTGGGTTGTTCTCTACTGTCCCTAGAATGAAGAGGAGAAACTTTTAACCATCATGTAACTTTTCAAAATAGAAGTCTACTTTTCAAATATTATTTGTTTCTTATTTTTTCCGCTTGAAAGAACATTAAATAAACTGTATTCCAAAAAATGGAATTAAGTTAAATAAGCATATCTTCAGTTGGTGCCATTAAATGATCCTTAAATCAAATCTTGAATTGACCCTTTCTTGAAGACAGGGAAAAAAATCTTTGTGGCTTGTCTGTGAACTCTCCCAGGTTTCTTTCTGCCAAGCAGGCTGGGGGATTCCCACAGTGCCCTGCCATATGGAGGGTTTGCTGGGTTCAGCAGCTATTGTTCTCTTTCAATACCTGTTTCTAAGAAAGCGAGAACACTGTCTGGTTCCACAGAAGTTACCAAAAGTAACAGAGTACACTGTGGGTTGTCTAAGTTTCATCAGGCATTGCAAGCCTGATATTCAATCTCCTCTGTGTTTTGATCTTTCTGGATTTTCTCCTCTTCTCTTCACCAAGGAACCAGTCCAAACCCTTAACCTTTCCTAACTCAAGAGAAACTCACAGAGGCAGCGTCAAAATTGGATATCTAAATTGAGACTGAGAGCAGGAAGACATCTAGGGTTTTAAGAGTGGCGAGGACTTATTGTTCACTCCCTTGTTGGCCCCTGGGACCAGAGAATGACAGGACCTTTGGAAGACAGAGCATGATTGTGGGGGCACCTCATAAGGTTGGACTTGGGCCCTAGGGCTCAAGCTGGCCAAGCTCTCAGCATGGCGGGACCTCCAGACTTCAAGAGGTGCACTGGTAGTAGGAATCACAAAGGTGACCACCGTAACCTGAAGACAGAGGGGACCTACAAATATTTTGCTGAGCATGATATTTCTGCAATCTTTGTACAGACCTGAGGGGTGCAAAGAGATCCCAGCAATGGCTTTCACTGGGTTTCTTGCCAGCCAATCTCAGGCATCCCAGAGTCACATTTAATTTAACTGAAAAAAAGAAAATTAAGTTCCAGGACTTGATTTTCATTCCCAAGTTTCTGGACAAAGATTCATGCTCACCCCACATGGATGTGTGATGAGTTTTGGATCATTTCAGGTTTTGGTAGGAAATTTACTTGTACTCTAAAAGTTTTAACCAAAGAGAATTTAATGATGTGACTCTCTACTAAAGTGTGTGCACAGCTGAGAAAATCAAGAAGGAAGGTTGAGGCATGCAAAGACAAGCAACATGGAGAAGCTGTTACTTACCCAACATTTTCTTGCTGGCTGCAGCCCGAGGCCACTCTCGGCCAGTGGAGGCCACCCTCAGTGGCTTTCTCTCTGATGTGGCAGTCTCTTTAAGTATAACAGAAGAGTCCCTCTCTTTTTGCAGTGTGCCAAGGTGGAGTGTTGTGTAATGTAACCTGACCACAGGAGTAACATCCCATCATATTCATAGGTCTCACTCACACTGGGGAGCAAAGAGGGTCATACAGGGTGCACCTTGGAATTCCACCTACATGGCCCCCAGGAAGTCTGGAGCTTATATCAGCAACTTCAGTATGAGAAAAGAAAATGACTCTTCCTCTCAAATTAGGAAATCCCAGTGAAGGATTCTGATTGGCTCAGATGAAGGCTGCAGTCCCTTGATCTGTGGCCATGAAGGCAGAACTGTTGCAAGAAGAAATAGGGTAAAACCAATTGTCTTTACATTAGGGAACACTGAATCACCCAGATTCTTTAGAGCTTTTAGAGCTAAACTCAACATATCTGAAACAAAACACATCAATTGCCTATGGAAGGAGGGAAAGGAAGCAGCAGTGGGCAGAGGGAGAATGGGAGCTGGGAGGCTTGCACAGGGTCAGTCTTGGACAATAAAGCCATCAGTGATGGGCTAGCATGGTCTTTCTTAGTTGACTCAAGTTGGGCAGAGATGGCCAGCCCTTGATACTCCCAGAGTGACCAGTCATTACACATGAGCCACTGGAAAAGGATATGGTTTGGGGCGAGGTGTTTCTCTGAGCTCTTCCCCTACCCTGAAACTCCTGAGAGCTGAAGGGTGTCTGCCCCAGCCCTCTTAGCAGGTAGGACCACAAGACCTTCTGTAACGGGGGACTTGGGTGGTGCATTGTGGTCCCCACCACAGACCCTCAGGTTTAACCCTCTGTGCGTTTGCAGAGAGATCACCCTATGCAGAACCTTAACATATATTCTTCACTCTCTTGTCTACCAGGATCCCACCCTCCCCAACAAATGCTAAATCTCTTCTGTTATCATGTGAAACCACTGTTCAAAAACTCTATGGCTCCCAGTTTCCCAGGGTTCAAGTTCCTAAATCTTAGCTAAGCTGGGAGACCCTTTACAATCAGACCCCCAACAAATATTTCCAGGATTTTCTTCAATTTTATATATCAACTGACTTCTTCACCACAATATCAAGTTTCTGTTCTCTAAGGCCTCTTTTCCTCATCTTCTCTCCTTTTTGACATTTTCCCCTTTCGTCTCATCATATACCACTATATACCTTCACCATATACCACTGTGAAAATCCTACTCATCCTTCAGGGGCCTGCCATAAAAATCTTTCCTCCATTGAACCATTATGGGCCAGAGTAATCTCATCCTCCCCAGAAATATGAAATCCTTATCTTGGGCAACATTAATTCTGTGCTCCTGACTTAATGCCATGGACCCTAGGCTATCAGTTTCGGTTTAGTGCGGGTCTTCCTGAAAGCAGGCCCAAGACAAGAACATGGGTAGGTGGCCTCTTCTGGGAGGTGAGATGGGGAATGCAGTGGATTGAAGTGCAGAGGAGGGAGGGAGGGAGGAAGGAGGGTAAAGAGAACAGGGAGAAAGGCCCATGACACATGTGTGACTGAGCAGATTACAGCATGGGCACCAGGGCTGGCTGCTTTCTGCCCAGGAAACTCTGAGGAGTCTCATAGACTCATCTCAGGGTTGCCCACCAGAGGACAGGGAGCCTGGGGCCTTGACCCGGTGACTCCCATCCACCACCTGTTGTTTTCAGGGGTGTTAGTGCCATTGACCTGCCAAGTCGCTTGTGTCTGTGAAGGAGCAAGTCAGAGAAAACCCTCTGGCAGAGAACACAAGAAGCCATTTGCAGTAGGCAGCTGTTGATGTACTGGGAATGTGGATGGCAGAGCAGGTGGACTGGGAGGGGGCTGGCAGGATATAGGTGTCAGCCATGCCTGCCCCACTTTTCCCAGAGACTACAGTCCTTGAATTCATTCTTGCTACATTCTCCGCAGCACTTCGTTTTTTTTACCTAACAAGCACTCGAAGAAAAAAAAAAAAAAACACTCACCAATGTTGGATGCACACCTAGGGGCCAGAATAATGCCTCTTAAGCCAGGGGTCTCTCAACAACTCCTTCTTCAGTAGTGTCCATGACTCCATGGACACTCGGCTCCATGACACTACTTTCAGCTGATTAGCTCCTAACTCTTTGACCAATCTTTTCACTTCTCCATTGTAAGCTTTGATTCCTCTTCTCTGCCCATATGTGTCACCATCCCCTGCAGTGATCCTGGCCTCCTTTCATCAAAACATGGTTATTGATTGAGTTACTATTCATTCATTAAGCTGGCTCTTACTAAGGACTATTTGGGGCCAGGCCTTGTTCCAAGAGTGAGAACACAACACTCACAGGGTTTAACTTCTATTGTTAACAAATCAACAAACAAAAATACAGTATAATGGCTGGGCACGTTGGCTCATGCCTGTAATCCCAGCACTTTGGGAGGCTGAGGCAGGCGGATCACCTGAGGTCAGGAGTTTGAGACCAGCCTGACCAATATGGTGAAACCCCGTCTCTACTAAAAGTGAAAAATTAGCCGGCCGTGCTGGTGCATGGCTGTAATCCCAGCTACTTGAGATGCTGAGGCAGGAGAATTGCTTGAACCTGGGAGGCAGAGGTAGCAGTGAGCTGAGAGATCATGCCATTGCACTCCAGCCTGGGCAACAAGAGTGAAACTCCATCTCAAAAAGAAAGAAAGTGAGAAAGAGAGAGAAAGAAAGAAAGAGAGAGAGAGAGAGAAAGAGAGAGAGAGAGAAAGAAAGAAAGAAAGAAAGAAAGAAAGAAAGAAAGAAAGAAAGAAAGAAAGAAAGAAAAAAAGAAAGGAAGGACGGACGGAAGAAAGGACAGAGGGAGGGAAGGAAGGAAGGGAAAGAGCGACAGAAGAAAGAATAAAGAAAGGAAGAAAGAAAGAAAGAAGGAAAGAAAGAAAAGAAAGAAAGAAGTCAATGGTAAGCATAAAAGAGATAAAGAATTTTTTTTTTTAAAGAGGGGAGATAGGCTATTACTGATGGAGTGGCTAGGCTAGGTGTCTCTAAGGGTTTAATATTTGAGTAGAGAACTACCTCCACTTTTAGTTGAGAAAACTGAGGTTTAGGGAGCGACGTGTCTAAGGTCATACTGTGATAGTTGAAATTTGCTGCCAAGCCTTTTCACCAAAGTCCCAACCTACAAAAGCTATCCTGAGACCTAGGAGTGTGGAGAGGGACAGATAGGTAGAGGTTCAAGCTATCTCCTGTAATGAAGGAAACGGAGAATTTTTTTCTGTCGGTGTCTTCAGAGAACATAATGTCTCTTAATAATTTACTGTTCATGTTTAAGACTAGGAAGCATCCACAAGTTTCACATGATGAAGGAATTGATCATTTAACAGTAAGCTTACCTGCTATTAAAAAGAGGAAGGGGAAGGAGGAGGAGCAGGGAAAGGAGCAGAAATCAATACTTGTCTTGGATGCCAGGCCTCACAATTGAGCTGATGGAAGAAATGCTCCCATTGGCCAAGGTAACCTGAGCATAATATGAACACCGACTTCCTCTGCATATGCCGTATTCTGGTATTTGTGGCCTCAAATGTCAGCACAAGAGAAGTCCTTTAAATTTCCAAGCTTCCTGGTTATGTGATATTGATTAGTTTTTTTTATATTTTATGTCCTGTAATTTCATTTTCAGGCTCATAAACTATATAGCACCAAACCAAGGCTGTTTCATATCTAAGAGACTTTTCAAAACCTTAAAAATAATTCTGTTTTTTTATTCAGCATCATTTTCCACTAGCTATATACCATCTTATGTTGAAAAACCTTTTCAGATGGTTTTGTTGGATGCTTTCTTCAGCTCCTGTATGGCCTACGCATGTCCATCTGGAGTTCAGGCTTCCCATCCCATTGCCCATTGACAAGTTAAGTAAGGACATGCCAGGTCTGTTTTGAGTTTATAAATGTATGTGTGAAGCAAATTCAATTCATTAACAGCTTGTGCTGAACTTTAACTTTTATGAGCATTGGATGTTTTTCTTGCCTTTCCCTACCAGGGAGAATCACATTTCAAAAAGCGAAAGCGAGAGATAGGAGAAAACAGGCCTAAGAGGCCAGCTCCTATGGAGAACGGGCTTGTGCTCTTCATGGTGGCATTTGCCAACCCCTCTAAATGCTACCTCAGGCAACCCAGGAGACACCAGCAGATAGCTTATGGGGAGAGGTAGGCTAGGAGAGGCTACTGCCCAAGGAGGATGGGAAGGGAGTTTTCCTATCTGCACTTCTATTTGTTGTTAGCTCCTGTATCCATGCAGAGCAAGGGTAATATTCTGTGGTTTCTCCCAAGTCGACCCCCTGGGCTCGTGGGCTGTCAGCAGGGTCCCTGAGAGATCCAGCCCCGGGCCTCACGTGGTCTTGGTTACACACTTTCCCAGGTGTGCAAAGAGACATCTGCGTCCCACTAGGAGTGGGACACCTGGGCTAGACTGCTCAGCCACTGAACAGAGACCAGAGGCAAAGTCCTGTCTTTCAGGTTCTGTTCTCGCCCTCGAGAAAGACTTGCCTTTGAGGTTTCAGCAAACCAGGGGGATCCCGACCTCCAGGAAGGCAATAGAAGCCGCCTGCTCCCTGGCACGCGGAGCCTCCGAGCCCTCCGCTGATGACATATGAGCTGCTGACAGTACTGCCAATGTCTGAATTAAAGTTTATGTACTGACACACGGGGCGAAGAGAGAATTTTAGAGTCAGGATGTGAAAGTTCTTTTTCTTTCCACATTGGAGGTAATTACAGGCAAGTCCCGCTCCGAGCAGAAAGGAGGGCCCAGAGCAAGCAGTGCTGTTTACTGTAGTTCCAGGTGAGCTTCTTGCTGAGAGCTCTCCATTTTCATAATGGATGTAACTAAATCAATTAGCAAACAGAATCCAAATCATGTCTGTTACTCAGGCTGAGGAGTCGTGCCTGACCCATCCTCCCTCAACTCGTTATCCAAGCTATCCTAGGCTCTGATTTGTTATCACTTCCTATTTGCCCCATGTTTTTGGACTCCCTGCAGCTTTCCTGTCACTTCTGCACCTGTCCTACCTGAGGACTGGAATGGCCTCCTGCTGGTGTGTCTGTCCATTGTCTGTCCACAGGGAGCTTTAAAGTAGGAATATCCAAGCCCGCCCCAGTGATTCAATATAATTGGTCTCAGGTGCGGCCTGGGCAGTTTTTAAAAATCCACCCAGTGATTGAAACGCACAGCCAGGGTTAGGAATCACGGAACTAGAACCCACAACCCTGTTTTCAGTTGGTGCCTCCTCCACCAACCAAACCGTGAGAGGCTTGTTCAATGTTACTTCCTCCAGGAGCCTTCCAGGTTGCCCAAACCAAACCTGTTTCCAAATCTTGCCTTTCATGTTCCTTCTTACAACATTGCAATTGAATATTCACAAATGCCATTTGTTGTTTAATAGTGATTTCTGTGTCGGGTATCACACCCACCATGTTAAATGCTGGAGTTTTCCATGGCCCGCAGAGCATCCAGCATATGGTGGGCATTGCGCAGGAGGATGCAGCCTATCCTGGGTAGCAGAGGCTGCAGACTCACTTTGTGCCCTTGTCCTGGTGCATGTTTCTAAATAATAGAAAGACACCTGTGGGCTGTGTAACCATGAACAGGTTCTTTGTGAAACTGGAGTTGAGGATAGGGAAAGAACTATGAAGGGAAGAAGGACTGGGCAAGGAGGAAGAGGAGGCTGAACTACCTACTAGCAAGATGATGCACTGGAAAGAGGGCAAACTTAGAACCAAAAGATATGAGTCCAAGGAGCAGCAGCCACAGTGCACTTGCTTTAATATGAAAATGACATTTCAATATTGAGCAATAGCAGCTGCTCCAGAAAATGTGTCTTGTCTATACCCCATATGTAGCACGTCTATTAGCACTGTAGCCATTTTTAACAGGCATGCTCTTTAGAGACTGTACATTCCACAGGGCTGCTAAGGTGCACAGGGAGAAGGAGTGGGCTGCTTTTCAAGAGGCAGCTGGAATTGTAATTTAAATTTGAAGCTCTAGACTCAGAAAGACCTGGGTTCAAATCTTGTCTCCACCAGGCACTTCCTGTTGGCTTTGACCAAATTACTTAATCCTTTTAAGCATCTGCTTTCTTTCTCATTCATAAATTGAACTATTTTAGCAGCTCTCCTGGAGAGCTCCTTGGGAGAGTAACTTGAATCGGCTCCCTTAAGAGGACTTTATCCCACTGCCTGGCACATAGTAAACCTTCAATAAATGCTCAGCAGTTTAAAACAGGGAAAAGCCAATGCAAAGTACAACAGCTTTTTAAAATTCTGATGTGGTTGATCATGCCAGCAGGCAAATACATCTGGGAGGTACGAGCCAACGTTCCTGGTCATGTTTCTGATTAGGAATGGCAGTTCCACCATCCCAGTTCAAAGGAGAGCTAATCTAGGGGTGTGGTCTCCAACCTGCCACTCTTCTTTCTCTGGATCCCGCCTTGGAGGAGTCCAAATAGATCAAAAGAATGTCTCTTGCAGCATTCTATGAAATCTCTTGGCTCCCTTTGTTTCTTCCCATCTCCTGTCTTTTATCTCTGCTCCCACCTTTCAGCAGCCCTGCACGCAGAGACGGATGCTCCCAGTCAGTTGATTCAGAGGCTGCAAGACACAGTCTGCAAGATGTAAATATTCTGGATTCAAAGCTGGCTAACATTATATTTAAAGTGAACGTTCAGTTATTTTGGAAGGAAAAACCAAACTCATTTACTTATTGTGCTTACAGACACCAACATTTAGACTCTTTCTAACTATAAAGGTTTATCTACGCAGTTATCACCTGCACTATACCATTTAAGCAGGGAGAAAAGGAGCCAAATTCCAGATGCAAGTATTTTGAGGGAGGGATCACAGCACTTGTGCTGCCCTTTCTGTAGCAAATGCCAGGAGCATGACCCGTGGGAATTAGAGAGCATGAATATTGTGTTCAGGAGAGCATATATGTGCTTGTGTGTATATGTCTGCATGTGTGCAAGTATCCATATGTGAGTGAATGTGTGCATGCATATGCATGTGTGTGTATTTCTGTGGGTGAGTGCTTAGTATGCATAGCTATCTTAGGCCTGGGTTGCCCCAGACACACAACCTGAGGCCCAGATTCAAGAGCAAGAAGTTTAGTTGGAAGATAACCCCAGACATTTCTGATCAGGGAAAGAGGATCCTGTGAGATAGGGCAGAAAGCTACAAAAGGTCTGCCAACAAGCACTGTGGGTAGTGGAAGCTCAGTTCCTCTGGGGAGCTTTGGGAGACAATGTAGACTAAAGAGTGATATTTCTAGGGCCGGGCTCAGTGGCTCATGCTGTAATCCCAACACTTTGGGAGGCCAAGGCAGGTAGATCACCTGAGGTCAGGAGTTCGAGACCAGCCTGGCCAACATTGTAAAACCCCATCTCTACTAAAAATACAAAAATTAGCTGGACATGATGGTGGGTGCCTGTAAATCTCAGCTACTCGGGAGGCTGAGACAGGAAAATCATTTGAACCCGGGAGGCAGAGGTTGCAGTGAGCCAAGATCACTCCACTGCACTCCAGCCTGGGCAACAAGAGGGAAACTCCATCTCAAACAAACAAACAAAAAATGATATTTCTCTATAAACTTTCTGTTTGTCATTGCCTTGTGGCCTAGAAATAAGCCTCTAGGCAGAGACTCAAGCCATAGCAGCCATCCCCCTTCAGCATGTAGAAGTGAGTACACCCAGGGGAAGCAGCATCTGCTACAAGGTTCAGGTCTTGTGAGTTGAGTGCCACCCAAATGTTTCCTAGACACATGCAAAAATAGTAACAAAGAGAAAACATCTGGCCCTGCAAATGGGACAGTCAGATAGTGTGCACAGAATGAGTCTGCCTGGGTCTTGCCAGCATCAGTAATCTATCTTTACTCTTCTTAATCCAGACTCCTTTTTATTCCTGAGTCCATCAGATATATGACTCTGGTTTTGTAGCTGAAAAAAAAAAAAAAAAACCCAATTTAACATCATAGTGGGGAGTTGCCTTACCTTGTGCTGAATGCTATCAAGTTGTTTTTGCTTTGTTTTGTTTCTGTTTCTGAAAGCAAGACTTCATAACCTAAGTCTTCAAAAAGAAATACCAGCAGATCACAGGGAGAGAACAGGAGGGAGACCTCACAGGCCACGAGGGACAGGAAACGCTGCTTCCCCAGGGACTGCTCCGGCGGGGCTGTGGCATCCTGGGGCCCTGCAGACTCACATTACCCCCGCCCCCCACCGCCCCCCAGCAGCTGCACTCATTGCCTGTACTGCCCTGGCCGACTTGAAGATGTTGCCCTCCATTCCACGACTTGCTATGGTTTGATCTGCAGTTCCGTACTATTAGCCTTTCTAAGTCTTGCATGAAATAAAGCCAGATGAGTTTTGTTAACCCTTCACAAGAGTTTGTGTGGGAAATAATGTGTACTTATATTTTTCTAGGATTTGAGGAAGATTTAATAGCTTTCTTTTTGTAATTAACATACAGTAAAATTGACTTCTTTTTGGTGTACATCCCGTGAGCATAAACACACGTATAGATCCCTGTAACCCCTAGCACAACTAGAATGCAGCATAACAACTTGTAAACACTTCTTCTATCTCAGATAAACAGGTATTGTTTTCCTTTTCATTTATTTTATCATACTTTAGGAAAATGTCTAACTAGCATAATGAACCTGTCTTTGTCCTGATCTTATCACTTAGGAACCTAATAAAAATAGTTATGGTAAAAACTAATGAACAAAAGTATAAGCATTATTTAGATATGGCAACATTTATGGAGATGGAAGACAAGCGAGGGAACTCTTGGAAATGACATTCTTTCCACCTTGTCCAAGGTCAAAATGATCCAGCCCGTGCTGGGGGTGGTCTGGGTTGGGGAGTTGTGGGAATGAGAGGTGTTCCCCTCTGGGAAGGCGGGAGTTTAGTATGTAAGAGTCAGACGGTTGATAAACCTGTGCACCCAGCTTCAGTTCCAGAGGAAGCCAGTGAAAATTGGGACACTATGTGTTGCAGAATGAGACACAGCCACAGACAAGGGCTGCTTCAGCAGCGCCTCTCATGCAAAACCAGGTTTTTATGTGACTTGAAAAGCATGACACTAACAGAAAGCGTCATTCATCTTACCAGTTATGGTTGGCTGTAAAACAGAATGAAGAATTATTTCCCTTTGAAAGACAAAATGTTTATCTTCTAATTCTTTGGTATTCTTTCTTTTAGCCTTTTAAATTCAAATTCCCATCCTTCCTTCACCTAAGCTTTACATTTAAAATTCTAATTTAAAATAAGAAGAAAGCTGAGGCTTTCTGTTTTTACTGTCTTTGACTGAAATTGGTCCACATCAGAAACATTCAATGATTGAGCCACATTTCCTCAGGCTGTGATATTAAAAAAAAAATCCAGCTGGTCAAACTCCATCTGTGGTTGTTCTATTACTTATAGGAAGTTCTGCAAAGCAAATGGAGAAAGCTTTAAGCCAAAAGGCATGAGGGCTGTGCTCAACCCAGCTTGGCCACTGAATTCTCTTTTGTCCTTATGAAAGTCCTTGCCTAGGCCAGCATTGCACTTTCCTGGTTTGCAGAATGAAGATTGGACTAGATAACTTTTTAAAGGTCTTTTCCCATCACTAAGAGTGCATGATCATGTATTTTGCTCAGCCTCTTTGCTTTCTTGCTTCCAGTGTCAAATGGCAGGAACCATTTTAGAGGCACTTTCTGCATAAAGAACTGTGGAATATGCCTTATGTGTGTGACCTCATTTAATCCTCAGTGTTAGCCTGCAAAAGAAGCATTCTTTCCTCTAGTTTGAAATGGAGAAATCAAAGCTCTGAGAAGTTAAGTTGGGCCCTCTAAATCATGCGCCTCATAAAGGATGAGGGCAGACAGAATTAAAGCCCAGGCCCCATGTTTATATCACTCTGCTTACTGCCACTCCTTGCCTTTCAAAGACACATATCATAAAGGAAATGACATTCCAAAACCAGGGACCCCAGGATAGTTTATTTTTCTAAGGTGCCACAGGCAACTAATGTACTTTGGGTTTAGAATAAACTCCTTGGGAGTAGACCCCACATGAGGGGGAAATTATTCCAAGTTGATATGCTGCATGTGCAAATGTCATGTCCACAGCCTCTTCCCCAAGGGAGCAGCTCTCTGAACCTTCAGTTGACTAAAAATCCAAGGGGAATGGTTGGTACTTGGGTTTGTTCAGTTTGGGAATCAGGTAAAAGGAACACAAAGACCTAGGATTGTTTCACAAATAAAAAGCATACAAGTGGGACAGAACCTTCATTCTCCCATACACACTGTCAGGAACAAATGGGGAGTGGATTGCATGGGGCAGCCTCTTTGCCAAGTTCCCTCCGACTCCCACCATCTGAAAAGCGTTTGCAGTAACTCTCAACACAGAACATGGAGAATCACGGAATGAAGTATTCCCACTGAGTGTTCTTGCGAATGAGATTAGCCTGATACATTTTTGTTGTTGTTTCAACGCCTGCTGTTAATGTGATTCGAGTCCAAATATATTTATTCAGGTTATGAGAAATATAATTCCATTTTTATAAAGGAGAATATAGATATGCACCATATTTTTATGGGCATTTATAAAATGCCATCAATTATTAGAAGAATTATAATTTTATGTGCCACTAAAGGAAAAATGTTAGCAATTACATTTGATACAATTATTTCTTATTCCTTAGAATTTTTATAATTAGTGAGCTTTTAAAGATTTTTTAGGCATAGATTTTAACATATATCACTTTTTGATGTATGGGCAAGTGTAAATATAAGTTAAGTAAATAGGTCGATGCTTTTTGAAAACCTGTTTGCCTTCTGAGTTTGACTTTTCGGGATCACTTTTTGACACAGAGACGTGAATGTTCTTGTGCGGTTGGTTGGTTTGTTTTTCCACACAGTATCATCCCCTGTGCCACTGAGAACACTGGGAATACAGCAGTTCTTCAAAGAATCTTTCATTCTTGTCTTCAATTTTTCTTCTAACCAAAGACATTTAATCTACAACTTTGCAGAGCATGTTCAGGAATGACGATTGTATCTTTACTACTGCCTGGTTGACCAGAATTGTAGAATGCATTCCAATTTCAGAGGTAGTAAATGACTTTCAAAAATGAGCACTGACACAGCATGTAGGAGTGTAAATAACTTGGCAGAGTCTTTCTCTATGACAATCTGTCCCATCAAGTGCTCTAAAATATCCAGAGCTCCTGTTTTCCTTGAAGATCTGATGCCTCGACCTCACCCTAGCACTTTACACTATTATCTTCCTGATCTGGTCCCCACTCCCTTTCTTTTCTCCAGACCTTTGCATATGCTTCATTTTGCTAGAAGAGTGTCCCTTCCTCCCACCCACCCTTAACTCACAAAGACTTCTGTTGCCTCCCCAGTACCCATTTGTCATTAACTCTGATGCCCTACCCTGGAGCCCCACCTCATTTCCAATGCCTTGAATAGATGCCTCCCCTAGTGCTCGCATCCCTCCATAACACTATGGTGTGACTGGCCAATGACCTGTCTTATTCACCACTGGTCAAGTAGGCTCTGACAGAGAAGGTATTCAGCATGTTTGGCTACCATGATGGCACACAGGGTGCAGGCTCTCAAAAATATTTATTAACAATTTTTAGGTGTTATTTGTGACGTTTTAAAGTGTTTGTTTTAAATATATGTGAGCATGATAAATATAATAAATATGACATACATAATAGAAATAAATAGTACGTAATAAATACTTACGTATGTATAGAAAAATACATACTCAGCAACAAAAGAACAGGCAGTCTCCTTCTGCTAACTCCTCCCTGCCCCTGCCTCACTTTTCAATACTGTTTTTAGTTAACATGGTTGCTTTCTAATCTGTTTGTTTTTTCACTTTCTGGGATGTAAATATTCCCATCATGGCCAATCTCAAGCTTCCAGCAGTTTAACAAATGACTCATTAAATTCTTGAATTTTAACAAAGGTAGACAAAAATCCATTGGTTTTTCACTATGAGAGGTATCTCAATGCCTTCTTTCTGCTTGCTTCTTCCTCACAATGCTCAATAATTATAGTACTTTTAGTATTCTTTTTCTTCTGTTTACCATGAAAGGCTTTAAAAATATTCCTATGACTTTATCCTTAATTTTAGTCAATTAATGCCTTATTACTTATCAGTAACTTGACACAGATGTCTCCCACACAAGAAAAGGCTATTTTCTGTCCTTCCCTCCACCTTTCCACATCTCCTTTGCCAAGGATTTCTATCAGCTCTAATTCTACATGATCAAAGTCATTAGTGTTTACCTTTTATTTTGTACTAACATGAAAATTAATTTTCTTGCTTTGTTCATAGTTATGATTAAAATCATGCCACTTTTTAATTTGCTTTCTATTTGGAGAATGATTTTCATTTAGTTTTTGTGTGTTTGTTTGTCCTGGAGTTTTTAATTGTTATTCTTGTTTCTTGTTAGCAAAAGAATAACTATACTTTCCAGTTGCTCCATCTTCTCATCTTCTTGGTCAGAGAATCCTCAAGTGGCGTACCTTCCCCTCTTCTTCTTTACCTGAGACGCTCCCTCTCAGCGCCTGTGTCCTTCAGACCCAAAGCTGCTGGCACCTTGATCTCTGACTTTTAGCCTGTTGTTTAAGCCTCCCGGTCTATGGTACTTTGTTATGGCAGCCCTAGCAAACTAATACAGAACTATTACAAGTGGTGCTGCTAGGAGCATTTTTGTATATGTCTTTTGGTGACCATTTGTATAGATTTCTGCTAGAAATACACAATTCTCAGGAGTGAAGTTGTTATGTCAAAGAGTATGCATATTATCAGCATAAGTAGACACCAGAAACGTTTCCAAAGTTTTTCTGTATTAATTTATGCTTCCCTGAGTCCTTCTAGACAAGTACTTAGCCTAAAGCCTCCCCACACCTACAGCCTATACTTCTGTCCCTCTGTGCTTTCTAACTTCTTCCTACCCTGGTTCTTCATCACTGGGTGCTCTGATAAGCCCCTCTGTGCCATCTTACAATCAGACTTGTCCTGGTTTTCTATGTTTGGACTTTTTTCCATGCTTCTTTTTTTCGCTGATTGCCTTACTCCTGGGATAACTTTTTTCTTTCATCAAAGCTTACCTATCCTGACTTCAGCTAGGTGACAGTGAGTAACTATAATCAGATAAATTATTTGGTACAAATGAGATAGACTTCTAAAGTATTTATGGCCTTATACATGGGTTATAATTACATCCCGTTAAAGTTTAGAAATACTGGGCAGTCTTTGGAGCTTTCCCATATGAGACATTTTCATGAGTCTTAAAGTCATGACGAGTAGGGCAGCTGACTGTTCTGGGAATGAGGTCACTTTTGGGCATGGAATGAGAATTCATAGACTTTCACTTCTCCCAGCTCTGAATGTCTTCTTCACCTCTACAAACACATTCATCTTCATGCTTCATTTTACCAGGTTTCATGCCAACATTTATTCAGATGTCCAAGAGGCTTAAGACAGAGTGTGATGCTATTAACACCACCAAAAGAAAAAATCCAAGCTGCAGAAGGGTAATGTTACTCATATCCCTTACAAATCCAGACAATTACAATCCCAAATATGTGAGTCAATTCCTGGGATAAAGGAAAGTCTGTAAGGGAAGAGACAGTTTTCAGAAAAGCCTTTTACCTCTGGGAGCAGTACTTGATGGATGACTCAAAACAAAACTACAGAATAAGAATCAAGAGTGTACAAATCTCAGATAACACAGCAGAGAGAGCTAGTTAATGCGTGGGGCGAGGAATGCGGAACTGAGCTGGTGCAGGCCCCGCATGCAGGCACATGGCAATGGGCTTCACATTTCCACCCTCTTAGACTCCCACAAAGCCATGCACCAGTACCCTCCCTTTCCTAACGAGGAAACCAAAGTTTAGAAGAGTTAAGTCACCTGTTCCAGATCACACATCCCTAACCTGTGATGCTGGGACATGAACCTAGGCTTGTCTTGCTCTAAAATCCCTGCCCCTTTCACTCTAAACATCCACTGATATGCAAAAGGATTTGAGGAAAGAGACACTGAAATAAACATGGTGCGGTTAGAAAGAAATAAATGTAAAATCATTTACTTTGGTTTAAAAATATGTGATTGTACAACTGCAGGACAGGGACATTTTGGAGCAGCTCGCATTCTTAATATAAGCCCTCAATATGTCACAGCCGCCGATTAAAAACTAGTATTGTCATCTCAGCCAATTGGAGCAGTATATTCATAAAACCATACTCTCTCCTAAGGAGGATAACATAATGGTTTAACATGGAAGATCTGTCACAAACCTTGCTTCCAACACATATGAGCCATGTGACTTTGGGGCAAGTACTTCTCCTTGGTGATACCCAGCTTACTAATCTAAAGAATGGGGATAATCATAGCTCCTAATTCAGCGTTGATGTGAGGACCAAAGAGCTCAATGTGTAGCACAATGTGTGGCATGTATGGCTAAATTTTTTAGCTAAACATTTGCTGGTGTTATTATCCCCTCTGGAGTTCTGTGCCTAGTTTCAAAGTCTGCAGGTTAAGAGTTAAGAATGCCTCTGCGTTGCCTGGAGGAGAAGGAAAGCAGAGTTTGCCACCTGGTTCTCATCTCAGTGACTCTGAAGAGCAGATAAAGCCTGCCAAGTTAAAGGCCAGGAGAAAAGAAAGATCTTTTTCTTTTTTATTTCTTCCATCATTTAACATTTGTGTTTGAGTACCATCTACATGCCAGGCATGTTTTAGGCACTGTGAATAAAATGGTGAAGGCCTTGGTACCTGAAGTGAAGGGACTTCCATCCCAGTGGAGGAAACAAGCAGAGAACGGCCAAATAAAGAAAATGAATAGAATGATTGCAAATGGAAGTGTTATGAAGGAGCAAACCACAGGCTGAGATAGAGATGGTAAAGGGGTGGATTGCATTAGGCAGAGTAACCACAGAGTACTATTGAAGAGGTTGCAATTAATCAGAGATGTGAAGGCTAAAACATGGGCAGAAAGCATGCTCGGCAGAAGTAACAGCATGGACAGAAGCTCCAGTGGGAGAAAGCTTGGGCTGATCAGGAAGCTGAGAGAAGAACGGACACGTGCTTGAGACCAGGGAGCAGTTTCAAATGGGGTTGAGAAGATCTGACAATGTCCGTGGCATGGCCAGGAGTTTGGATTTTATTTTTAGGGCAATGGAAAGTCATTGAAAGGCTTTAAGTGGAGGCCAACGTAAGCTGGTGACAAACCTCACATGGAGCCTGGTACTGCAGGAGGATGTAGTAGAACCTTGATAATTTACTCTAGAGAGGACAGGGACCTGGACAGGGGACAATGGCAGTGGAAATGGGGAGGATGGATGGATCTGAGACAAGTCTTGGAAAGAAAATTCACAGGAAGTATCAGACTGTCCAACTATGACTAGGATCCTCCCTGAATGTTCTATTCAAACGATGGATAATCATTTGATAACTGGTGAAAAGGTACAGCCAGAAAGATTATTAGAATTTATCTGGTGTCAATCAGTCTAGGATTATTGAATATCTGAAATTCTTTATCAATTGCTCACTTTGGATAGATATAAAAATTATTTCATGTTAATGACATTAGACTCATATATTAAATTATCATATAGGAATGTTTTTGGGCTGAGCACAGTGGCTCATGCCTGTAATCCCAGGACTTTAGGAGGCCGAAACAGGCAGATTGCTTGAGCCCAGTAGTTCAAGACCAGCCTGGGCAACATAGCGAAATCCTATCTCTACAAAAAATACAAAAATTAGCCAGGCATGATGGCATATACCTGTAGTCTCAGCTACTCAGTAGGCTGAGGTGGGAGGGTCACTTGAGCCCGGAAGGTTGAGGTTGCAGTGAGTTGTGATCACACCACTGGATTCCAGCCTGTGTACCCGGTTTCAAAAAAAAAAAAAACTTAATTTTTTTGTTTTTAAATAGAAATACTTTTGGATTAATTAATCAGGACCAATCTAATATGGCATCTCGCAGATCTGCGGGAAAAAAGACTGGAGGGAAAAGTTCAGTCTGTAGATTTTTATTCAAGTAGAGCTGCCCTTCATGGCAGAAGGCTCTGGACCTTCAGGGAGTTATGAGCACCTGAGAAGGGGATGCAGAAAAGGGGAAATGTGCTGTGCAGGAACCTCACGACAAGGTCTGGCCCTGGGTTTTCCCTCATGTGACATCCATGAAAAGTCACTTCTCTAACTCTTGGGTCAGAACTAGAAGAGGTTCTTAGACCAGTGGTTTTGCCGATTAGAAGCTCTTGAAGAACTTCCAAAACAAAAACAAAACTATACCCAGGTAGAACTCAAGGAAGGGGAAGGGGGGATAAACTGTGTATTTTTAGTATTTTTAAAGAGTTCCCCAAGTGATTGTAATGCTCTCGAGGTTGAGAAACACATTACAAAGCTTTTGACACTGTCCTACTCTATTGTTTTATTGAGAGACTGCTATGGGCTCTAAATAAAACAATTTTTATGTCCTCACAAAATTTTTATGCTCCTACAAAATTCATATGTTAAAATCTTCAGCCCTAAGGTGATGGTATTAGGAGGTGGGCTTTTGGGAGGTGATTCGGTCATGACGGTGCAGCCTCATGAATGGGATTAGTACCCTTATGAAAGAGACCCCAGAGAACTCATTTGTTGTTTCTACTATATGAGGACACAGCAAAAAGATGCAATCTATGAAGCAGGAATCAGGCCCACACCAGACACTGGACCTGCTGGCCTCTGGATCTTGGACTTCCCAGCCTCCAGAACTGTGATAAATAAATTTCCATTGTTTATAAGCCCCCAGGTTATGGTATTTTGATGTAGCAGCCAAGAACAGACTAACCCTTTCTCTTCTAAAACTGGCAGGTATTCACTTGAACAATATGCACATATAGTAAGGGCAAGAGAAGTTTCACAAAATGAAGTAAGTGTATAAAAGTGAAGAGACAGTGTCTTGTCTCCTTTGCACTGGCCATGGATGGGGAGTGGATTCATGCCAGCTGTGCCTGTAATTTTCTCCCTCCTGATGCACTCAAAGTAACTGTTCAGTAGCTGGACAAGGCGATCGGCGCCCGAGTGGGACACAGATGCCCCATTCACTGTACTCCCAGGGCGGCTCTGCCTTGCCTTTAGTCTGATCTTTATTTGTAGTCTTAAAATTTTCCATTTCAACTTTTAGTCAGTAGATTCTCCAACTTCAACCCCTCTCAGATGACGATGGTGATGAGGAAGAAAAATACCTACCTGAGCTTTGCAAACATTTTTAGCAAACCCACACAGAGAGTGGGTAGAGTCTACAGCACATAGCTAAGCCCTTTGTCAATACGAGGCCTGGCTCCAAGTGCACACTGCTTGGCTCATGATCAAAATGGCTTCATCTTATTAGAAATCTCCAAGGCTTACAGAGTCAAAACTTGGACATTTACTGTACACATTAACAGAACTTATTCCACAGGCTCATAATAAATCTTTATAACCACATATGGCCCAGTTATAAATATCAGCTGGGAAGAGCAATAAAAGCACAGCGCACAGAAAGGTCTCTGCTCAGCTTGGAAGCACTTTAGACTTTATTAATTTACCTATTTTATCGAACTGTAACATTTCAGATGGTAGAGGGAACCTAATTCACTATTGAAGTAAACTGGAGAAAGTAATAAAACACTAAAATCTCTACAAGAAAAATAATGCAACAATTAGACACTTAGTTCATTCAAGTCCAGTTACAGTTCTTCAGACAAAATGAAACACAGGAAATTCCCCGTGAATTGTAAATTATTTCTTTGTGCCAGGCAGGTGGTAGTGGTAGGTTTCATTCCATTTGTTGTGGTTCTGATACCTCCCTCTTGAAACAAATGAAAGGTTGAGTTAGAGCTTCATCCACTTGGAAATGGAAGAAACATAACAAAGGGAAAAAGAATAGCTGTTCCTTCGACTCATCTCAGACACCCTAGCATTAATGCCGGGCCCGGCTACCTTTCCGATTTTCTACAAACAGTATTTCTGGGCAATACTGGTGGCATGCTGTATGCATGAGGGGCCTGTTCAGTCGTCTCCACTGGGGGGTCGTCTTCTCTGTCCCAGGCTCTGAAAAGTCACCTGTTTGTGTCTATTTACACATGAAGAGTGGGAAACTAGACTATTTACTCCCACAGTCACACACACAGTTTCAAACCTGAGAGGCCCATCTCAATTTTAAATATTGTTTGGACACACTGTAATTGCTGACATTATAGCTTTAATCATTGCTTTCTTTTGGTTGGAAAGTGATGGCTGTATTTTTTATCAACCCCTTTCTACAGCAGTTTCTCTCCCCTCTTCACCATTTCAAAACAATAACTTAAGTGTCACCTTGACAAGAATAGGCTTTGTGTCAGGAAACTTTTTTAGACTTAAAAGAAAAAAAATTCTCAAACACCAAAGATTTAAATTTTAATTAAATTGGTTATTATTCAAAATTACCACTCCACTTTTACTTTCTAACATTCTTATACTGGAGAACAATAAATACAGGTACTTACACTCTATTGTTCATCTTTAAGATTGCTAAATGGCTCTAAAGAACTTTCCTTTGACTTTTTAACTCAGTCTCACAGCCTTGTTTTCTTGGGACATATTTGCAGCTGAGTTGAAGATAGGATTTAGGGGCTTGGGAAAAGCAGAGTTTAAAATCTGGCTTTGGGAGTTAAACCCACAGAATTGCTCGATTACACAAACTTACATTAACTCTAGATTAGATACATATAGAAGATATTCCATATCTTCTGTTTTTAAGGATAAAAATTACAGCCAGATAGGAGGAATAAGTTCTAGTGATCTCTAGCACTACAGGATGACTATAGGTAACAGTAAAGTATTGTATAGTTTTAAATAGCTAATAGGAGGAAATTGAATACTCCCAAAACAAAGAAATGATAAATGATGATGTCTATGCTAATTACTCTGATCTGTTCAGTATGCATTATATGTTTCAAAACATCACTATATACCCCACGCATACACACAATTATTTGTCAATTTTTAAAAATTCAGTTAATTTTTAAAAACAGAATAAATTTAAAAATCACTTTTCATGTAATATGTGTGAGACTCCTAAATTTATATTGCCCATGAAGTGAATAATCATTCAAAACTATAAAAAAGAAATATAAATATAACATACATTCAGGCTTCGCATATTTTGGTAGCTTCTTAAATGTTTATATTATTTTTTAAAAATCCAGAAGTCAATGAGTTTTCAAAAGTATAAATTCCTGGAGAAATTTTAAAGAAATTAAGAAAAATATTGTTTTGTTTGCTTCTGTCAGAGAAATTTTAAAAATTATTTTCTTTGTAATTTGGAAATATTATAGTACTTTAAACTATGTTTGACTCAATAGTTAAAAGCTAATATATATGTAGTGTGAAATATATGTAGTGTTGTAGGGAAAAAGAATACATATATTTTACCAGTGTCAGGTATGTGCTAGAATATTTTCTATTTCTTATATCAAGAATATGTGTTCTTAATGCTGAAATAGAAGTTTTTGTTTGCATTAAAATTAACTATTCAAATACTATCCTGTAGGTCTTTTTGTGTTACAGTGTCTTCTCAGAAAAACTGATCCATTTTTTTTTTTCACGTGAGCACAGCTTACATTTCAGGAAGTTAACAGTGAACATTAACAAAAGTAAAATATAATGCCACATATCATTCCTAATTACAGCTTACAAGCATTGATACAAACTATGCATTTAATAAACACTATGCCTAAACTTTGACATACTCTTACATTATTTTTAGGTAAATAAAAATTATTCCAAGACAGTTGTTATGAAGCAAAATTATTAAAGACATCCTTACTATTTTTGAACCCCCTGCACTTCTGGGCACTTTATACAGTTTATATATTCATTCAAAGAGCCCTCTGTGGTGTATAAGTTAACACCAGACATTCTGGAGTTCTCCAAGAAGAATTTGTGGAAATTGAAACTATTATGAACCGTAATGACATATTATACATTGTACACATGCTATATTTCTATACAGATATTGTCAAAGGTCAACACTAGTCGTTTAGTCTTCAAGTTATATCATTATTTTTGAAATAATCTAGTTACAGTTTTAAATGGTAGATTTTCTTTTAAGTTAAATACTTATTATATACCACTTCATCCTATTATAGACCACCCTCCACCTCTTTTATCCTGTAGGATTTAAAACAGAAACAAATTCTCAAAGCCTTACCTAGTCAGGCTGCAATTGAACAAAGTTGCTTTCAGAGATTGGTCTGCAGTTTAGGTAGGATTTGAAGCCTGTGTCAAAAAATCAAGATACACATGGAGAAGAATGAGCCATTACTCACAGTTCGCAGATCTCGACAATATCTTAAGCCCAAAGGCTTAGTTTAAAAAGAAGACGCTTTCCTAACCTGGAACTTCCTGGATGGGGCGGTTTTAAGACAGGCTTGAAGAGGTATAATAATAACATAGATAACCCATGCTACCACGGTATCATTATGGACAATAAGACAGAATTAAACACCAACCTTTGCTAACAGTATTCTCAACCCTGCATTTTAGAACTGGTGGCATTTCGCTCCTTGGAAATCTATGCTGGCACTTAGGTCAGCTCATAAACAATCTGCCTGGATTTCAGACAGAGGCATTTTCTTCAAAGCCGTGATTAGGCAAATCTTTGACTTTCACTTGGGCAACACATAGCAAATCTGTGTCAAGACCTTTTGAAAACATTTTTACTAAATTAACGTCCCACTTTAATGTATCATCTCAAATAATCATCTCTCTATTGCCAAATAAAACACCTGCAGAATCACGGCAAAGTTCTCTTAAGGAAAGAGGATCTGGAGAAAGATAAGGAGCCAGGAAGAAACTGAGCACCAACCTGTGCATTTTGTTGCGACCTATGAATCAGTTCTATAGATTTCATCTTTTTTTTTTTTTTTTTTTGGCTCCTAAGAAATAAAATTTAAGTGTACAGCACAGGGCTCGAAGGACAGGCACAGAAATACCTGTTGGCTGACTGATTTAGGGCAAAACTTTGAACATGTTTTCAACTCAAACTCCAAATTAACTCCCAGTTGGGGGAGGGATTCTGTGAGTTCAGATATTGGAACAGCCAGTTTTATAGACAGCTGGAGACCAGGCTTTTGCCCCCAGTGTCAGTTAACTTTTTTTTTCTGGATGGAGGAATGTTTATATTAAGTTCTATTCCTCTCTGAATAAGTACTCCCCTCTCAGAAGCCAGCCCAGTTGGAGAGAGACTCCTAAAAGTAGCCCTAGTGTAAAACATATGTGCTAAAAATAAGCAGCCCTTTCAGCACCGTGTTCGCCGGAGCCGGTTCAATTTTAAACGCACTTTTATTCTCCAGATCCAAAGCCTTCAATGGGGGGAATTCAGGGATGAAACCAGTGAATGTTAGAAAAACAGAGGAAAGAATGGGAAATTAACATGCCTGTTACTGGAGAGATGAGGGGCCGGGGCATGGAGTGGTCCTTGGGTAAAACTTTGAGGCATCATAGATTTGCAGGGGATCTCTTGCTTAGAATTATATCCCCAGAGCCTACACTAGGGGCCACGTCCACAGGAGGCACTTAACAAAGATTTACTAAATTGAAATAAATTGATAACAAATCAGGTGACTATTTTTATTGATTTATTAATTCACCTATCCACTCTCTTATGAATAAAGAGTGGGTATTAACGCATATCTAATATATGAGATATAGAATAACTTGGAAGTAAAAGACACAGTTCTTGGGTCCAAAAGAAAGCTCTAGGAGGTGAAAGTGAATGCATGAGAGAAAAGTCACCAAGTATAGTGGCCTTCCGTCAACTTGCTGCAGGAGGTGATGTGACCAGAGTCCTAGGGACTCCTAGAGATAGTCTGAGAATATTTTGCAATTGCTGAAACACACGATGGCTGTGAAAAAGCAGATTGCAGTTTTCCTCGTTTGCAAGATGGGATCACCTGAAAAGTTTACAGAACCTTGCTTCTTTACTTTAATCTCAAACTTGGCTACCACCCATTGAAATTACCTGCAAATTTGAATAACTGAGATTGCGATTTATTGGTCTTGGATGTGTCCAGGCCATGGGGATATTTAAAAGCTCTCCATAACCCTTATGCACAGAAAAGTTTGAGAATACCATCCCGTTTTCAGCTGATTCAAAGTCGATGACTGTTTATTCCCCTCCATCTCTTATTTTTCCTACATTTTTTCCATAAAAAACAGGAAGGCTTGTACTTTCTATCACTTTGGCAGGTATACTGTAAGGATTTGTGAAGGGTAAAAGTGCTTAAAATACTTTGTGTATTGGCAAGGAGCAGAGTGGAATTCTGCCTAAATAATTTGCTATTCAATCCTTTATCTTCCCAAACCGAAACAGGTTCTGAATAGCTCTTCTTACCCCTCTTTAAATCATTTATAAAAGAATATGCAGATGCATGTATGTGGATTTTAAAATATAAATCTCTAGCTTGCAATTAGCACCCAACTCATACCAGCAAACAAAACAAAACATTTGTTTTGTCAACTAATGAGCAATCCCAAATGAGCAGGCTTTTCCTGATGGTGTTCACGAAATGCAGAATTAACACACACAGATGCTGGAAGCCTCAGCCAGACTTCTGACTTGGCCCAACCAGGCCTGGCTGCTGGCCATAGTGGTGTATCAGTTGAAGCCTGCAGAGACTAGCTGCCAGTTATACCACTGTGCAGACAGAATCTAACTGATTTGTTCAATGGAAGGTTATGTTTGGAAACATTCTGCCTTGCCTTGGCTGCCAAGCATGCAGACATGGCTCAGTCAAGCCTGGGTAGGGGAGGAAGCCCACCTTATGGAACACAGGTGCTGTCTGGCTGCCACTACCTGCTCAGGCCAGAGCCAGGGGCCAGCAAGGGCTCAGCATAGATGGTATGACCTGTGTGTGTTCTGCAATCTGGAAGCTCCTGTATCTGGTGCTGAAAGATCCTGTCCTAAGACATGTCAGCTCTACACCTACTTTTCTTACAGTATTTGGGGCACAATTCCATGACCACCTACTGACTTTGAGGTTTGTCAGCCACACAGAAGAATAAAAAAAGGCACGTAAGACATGAATTAGCATGGTGTGAAAACAAAAGTCAGTAAAAAGAGCCCGGGTGTGAGGAGGTATGAAAATGAAAACATGTTCTGCAAGAAAAGGGGTTTTTGATATGCTGAGAGACAAGTGCTGGGGAAATTTAAATTCCCATCTTTTACCAAGCAGCAACCCTGATTTTTATTGCACTTGCTGTTTAAAGAATTCAACAAGCCTCAGTCCTTTAACTCTAACAGTCTCCAGCTGACATCATGTGAAACTGCAGCAATTAATGGCAGCAAATTATGTTTTTAAATGCAAACATTGATATTAAGCTCTTCAGCAAAGTGCTTTCAATCACGTTTATATTGAAATCTGTCCTTACCTTCATATCTGGATGCTTCTAGTGACGCTCACTTACTCCTAGTGCAAGAGAAGGGGGAGAAATTCTATCCATTCTCCATCTGGAGACTGTTCCTTGGATCAAGATTTACAATATCCAGCCCCAAACTGACGCTCTTCTAGAGACGTTCTCCTGAACCAGAGAGCGAGAGGGGGCCTGACAGCAACGGCTGGCGGGGGTCGGCCTCTGCTTTGGCCACCTGACCCACTCACGGCTAAGCTGCCACGGCAACTGCAGAATTGATGGGGGCGAAGCGCTCTTCCTCCTAATTCCACCACACCCACATACACCTGGACATTTAAATGAAACACTTACAAAGGGAAACAGAATGGCTTCTGTATAACTTAAACCAGAGATAAAAGTACATGAAATGGCTTGTCCACACATGCAGTAAAATAAAACAAAAATCTGCTAGCAGGCAGCCAGAAAGGTGAACTATTTTGTGATTTGTATTTACATTGGCACATTGTTTATTTTTTCTTATTAGAAAAATGAAATAATACATGTTAGACTTCAGAAAGTATAAAAATTCATTACAAGGAAGTAGAAAATTATCTATAATGCTTCCCTTCAGATAATCACTATGACCGTTTTTGATGTTTACCTCTATGTATAAATTTGTAAGCTAAAATTCATATTGTACATGTAGTTTTGAATCAGTTACGTTTTCCTCTTTTTCTAATTATAAATATGGCTTATTTTCTGTACAAAAGTAAATCACTGGAGAAGAGAAAGCATAAAATTAAGTCTGTCCTATAATTCCACTCCCTCCTATAACCATCAATGAAGGTTTAGTGCTCATTCTGACAATTGTTTTTCTCTTTTGCAGACGTACACATAGGTGAAATTTTTATCTTGGGATCTTTGCATGTCACGAAGTGCGTTTTGGGAATACTATGCTAATGGTGACATAATGAATCAGAAATGCTTGAAAATTAGGCAATCCTCCCCCTATTGAGTTGGTTCCTGCAGTTGGATTATTTCACATCTTTTTCTGTTACAAAGTTTCCTTCTGGGCAGACCCTTTTTATCGTTTGCCTCATTGCTGATGATTTTCCTGGATATAAAGTCTTTGAAGAAGAATTAGAAATCACAGGACAAGAGTTTTGATATATGTTACAAAGCTTGATATATATTATAAGCTCTTTCACACATATAAGCACTTTCTACATTAAGCATATACATTTCGTTGCAATCGTAACCAATTTATGATCTTTTAATTTAGTTAAGAATTTTTTGACATTCCAGGTAGTCAAATCTTCCTATTACTTTTCCCTTGTGATTTTTTTTATGTTTAGAAAGTCCTTCACCAACAGAAGACAAATTAGACTTTCAGGTATTTTTCTGGTTTTATTTTTTAAATTTTAGTTTCACTTTTTCGATAACTCCTTAATCCAGGTGGAATATATTTTAATATGTCATATAATATGAGAATGCTTTGTTTTATTTTTCCAAATAGGTAAGTCATCTTTGAATAATATCATATTCCTTGACAGGCAATGGTTCCTCTAACACACATTCATTCCAGGGCTCCCAGTTCTGGTCTGTTGATCCACCATTTATGCAAAAATGCTACGCTGTTCTGCTTTTTGTAGTTTATAGTATAGTGGGTAAGCAGGTGGGTACTAAAATTAGATAATGCTTTGCTAAAGTCCACCATTGAGTTGGTGAGCTGGTGAAAAGGTGCTCAAACTCTCTGGCCTCTGCCAAAAACAGGTAGCTACAGCTTCTTCTGAATAAGGTTGTTGGAAGAGGAGAAATGGGAAAACTCACCAAAGACAGAGAACAGTGTTTGCCACAGATCAATTATAAATAGTAGCTACTGTTACTATGACTCCTGTTACATCTCATATCTGCAAGGAGGGGCCATAGCCAGCGTTTTTGGTTTTTGTTTTAGCTTTTTAAGTCTTGGCTATTTTTGCCTGTTATTTTTCCAGAAAATGCTCTTTAATACTTTCAAAAGAAATTTTATCAGATTTTGATTAAAAGTATTAAACTGTTATATTTCTTCATGAAGATTTGACATTGTGCCATATTATCCTCGGTACCACATGATATGTCTTTCTAATTGCTAAGATTTTATAATCTTCAGGTAAATTTGATATTTTATATTTTGCCTTTTCACATTGAGTCATAAAATTGTTCCTTGTTTTGGGGGGACTTTTTTGGTCATGTGATTCATACTTGCTTTTGAATTATGCCTTTGAACAAATTATTGCTTGCACTTGAAAAGCTATGTAACTTTGCTATATTGGTTTGAGATTTGGCAACATTACCCTATGTTAATATTAGGTCTAAATTTTTAACTGATTTTACAGGCTTTCTGAAAATTCAGTTATATCATCTGCAGATAATAATAACTGTGACTTCCCTTACAGAATCAGCTATTATATCTAGAACAACAGTGAAAACAGTAGTGCTGGAAGTCATCCTGGATAGTGGGGTGTTGGAGTAGTAGTTTCTTCACGTTCCATCACTGCCACATGCTGAGTGGTCCTGCATTCCCTCTCCCCTGTGCCTCAGTTTCTTCATCTATTTAAGACAAATAATAATAGCACGTATTGCTGAGTCACTGATTAACCCTTCCTGTAACTCTTCATTGTGTCTGCCTGCACCTTCTCTCGTTCTTTCTCACTTCTAACAAATTGACATTTTTCTTCCACCTGGACTTCTTTCCTGTCTTTTGCACTGCTGGTTTCTCATTTGGTCCTTATTCTCAGGGCCAGTGTTTTCTGTCTCTTGGAAACTGCTCACTTTTTCTCTCTCATAGAAGCACAAGTAGTTGCCTGTCCACACTAGTGAGCTGGGAGCTTTCTGCAGAGGCTTCAGTTCAAGGTTGGGGATTGAAAGGAAGAACTGAAACCTCTTTGTGGTTTGGGACATTCAAAATTGCGGCATCTTGCAAAGATCTTCATTACAGGAATTCTAGAAAAACATGGTCTGTCTTTGGACACCGTGATTTTAGGGAACATCAAATATAAGCTGTGAGAGATTAGACAGCAGAGGATTTTTAGTCGTAATACTTTCACATTTTAATATCCTAGACATCAACCAATAGCTGTGACTACTGTATGATTCACAAATATTTCTCCTTTTCACCCCTTCCTACTAATTTATCTCTGGAAACAAGATAAATTGGAACTTATTTGAGCATTCTGGTCTTAGTTTTAGGCCACATACAGCTGTCTTCATGGTTTATCACTGTGATTCTCATCTCATGGGAAATAAGAGTTATGTAGCAATCTGCTGCATGATTAATTCCACCCCGATGTCTCTTCTCTTCAATTCAGCAATGCCTCCATGGTGCATCAGTCCATCAATCAAGTATATAATAAAGAGAGACGACAGCAAATTGGATGAAGCTGAGATATAGATATAATAATAACCTTATTACCAGATTTTATGTTTGAGCATAAAAGTATATTCTTAAATGAAAAGACTCAAAAGTCGCAAAAAATTCCTCTGGGCAACTTGCTTTAAACTGGGGGTGGTTGACATGTGTTGAAGCTGTTGGGGGTTCGTGGGGAAGACTGGATATGGAAGCCCTTGAGGCCAAGAAAGGGAATATGACAATTATCCCAAAGGCAGCCCGGTGCTGTGCTGAGAAGCAGTGGCAGCCGGGCTCCCTAGCTTCCACATTTACTGTCTGCATGACACCAGGAAAATTACTTATTTTTTCTGTGCCTCAGTGTCCACATTTGTAAAATGGGGACAATAATAGCATACATAGGGTTATCACAAGAATTAAAGGCATCAATGTCTGTAAAATACTTAGGCTAATGCCTGGCACAGGGTCAGTGCCAAGTAAGTGCTGTTTTACAACTTCCAGTGAGGCTGCTGGATGCTGTATGGCTTGGGGACAGGACATGGTGATGACATTTCAGGGCTAAGAGGAGCCTGTAAGATTTTTCATGTTACCCACGCTAGGCCAGCGGGTACATCTCCAAAACAAACAGAAAACAGCCTGCTGCCAGGAACACGGACGT
Organism: Homo sapiens; assembly: GCF_000001405.40. Classification (NCBI taxonomy): domain Eukaryota; kingdom Metazoa; phylum Chordata; class Mammalia; order Primates; family Hominidae; genus Homo; species Homo sapiens. The sequence goes on along the minus strand of NC_000020.11, from coordinate 22,213,371 downwards.
TTCACAGCAAGAAGAAATGAGCAAACAGAAGGCAGGAAGAAGATGAGAGGAGAAATACTGGGAAAACACTTTTCTTGACTTTATTTGCTAAAAGTGGGAGTCTAAAAGAAATATCTGTGAAAGAAGAGAATTCCACTAAATATGGAAGTATATAATTTATATAGAATAAGCTACACACAAAAAAATCTCCCTTTGCTGAATAAAAATGTATTCTATTTATTCAACAATTATTTCAACAATGAAGTAAAATATGACCTCATAATATTTCTCTTTTTTTATAATTTTTGAGATGATAAATACATTCATCATAATTAAGCTATGAATCTAATTTTTCCTAATTCAACAACAAAAATATAAGTAGCCCAATTAAAAAATGGGCAGATGAGATGAGATGCATTCAGGTGGTATGACTGCAGATATTAATTCATTGTATATTTCAAAATAGCTAAAAGATAATTTTGTGAATGTTCCTAGTATAAAGAAAAGTATTTAAGATAACGAATATTCCAATTAATCTGATTTGATTATATAAGTGTATCAAATTGTCATGTGAATTCCGAAAATATGTACATCTGCTGCGTATCAATTTTGAAAATGGGTAAAAGACTTAGACATATCCCCAAAGCAGATATACAAATGGCCAATAAGCACATGAAAAGATGCTCAGTGTCACTAATCATTAGGGAAATGCAAATTAAAATCACAAGATACCACCTCAAACCCATTAGGATGTCTAGTATTAAAACAAAAGCATAAAAAGACAAATAGTGGTGAGGATGTGGAGAAAGTAGAACCTTCTCATATTACTGGTAGGAAACGTAATATGGTACGGTCGCTGCGGAAAACAGTATAGTGGGTCTTCAAAAATTAAATGTTAAATTACCAGATGATCCAGCATCTCCACTTCTTGGCATATACCTGAAATAATTAAAAACGGGAACTTGAACAGACATTTGCACTCCCATGTTCATAGCAGCATTATTCGTAATAACCAAAAGGAAGAAGCCACTGAAAGGTTTATCAACAGATGAGTAAATAATAAAGTGCAATATGTCTATACAATGGAATATTATTCAGAATTAAAAAGAAGGAAAATTGGATGCATACAATAACATGGAAGAACCTTGAGAGCATTATGCTAAGTGAAATAAGCCAGGCACAAACTGGACAAATACTGTATGATTCCTCTTATAAGAGGTACCTGGAGCACTCAGATTTGTAGAAACAGAAAGTAGAATGGTGGTTGCCAGAGGCTAGGAAAGGGAGAATAAGGAGATACTGTTTAATGGGTATGGAGCTTCAGTTTTAAAAGATGAAAAAGTTCTGGAGATGGATGGTAAGGATGGTTGCAGAACAATGTGAATGTGCTTAATGCCACTTAACTGTACATTTAAGAATGGTTAAAATGGTCAATTTTATGTTATGTGTATTTTGCCACATACAAAAAATTCTCTACACTTTGACAGACCTTGGCTGCCACATGTCTGGCTGACTTTCTTGTAAATGTTCTGCTGTCTTCATGTGTATCTTGCTATTAGGAATTTTCCTCCGAGTGAGCAAAAGATTAAGGAGATGGCAACTGGGGATATCGATAAATGTGTTAACAAATGAGCTCTTCGAAAGAGTTGAGTTTACCCCCACATTGGCACTCCTGCTTTTAAATAGTTTGACTGATTAACATAATCTGCCTTCAGAATGATCTACTTTATAAACTTCTGATTGCTATGTATAAAATTTATAAAATTTCCAGTACTATTTGCTTACATTTCACCTTAGTGTTTGGAGTTTTTTTTTGAGGGGAGGGGAATAAAATGGTGCCAAAATATAAACAAAGAATAACTGGAAATTATTGATAATTTCAATGCACAGTAAGGAGAGTTAAAATATATCTAAAATGAATAGATTTTCTTAGCTTACTCATCCTGACTCAAGGCATCTCCATTTAGAAATATAAGCCCACTTTTAATCAATTTCAAAGGTTGTCAAAGCATGTTTATAGATCTTGTATAAGAAAAGTAGCATTTTTACAGGCAAATCTTTCTTCTTAAAAAAAATCAAAATGTAGCACTTAAATTGAGCTTGAAATCCAGCCTTGACTTAAATATTACCCCAATGAGCAATTGCAGGTACATTTCCTTCTCTGGCACAGTTAACGAATCTTGGAAGGTCACAGAGTTAGCAGGGCTCTTTGGGGAAATGCCTCAATCCCCCTCCCGACCCCAGGAAAAGACAGAGGAGAACTGTTTTCCCCTTTTGCATATTCCACCTTTTAAAAGATCATTTCCTTTCCAACACTGAAAGCAGAGTAGTCATAGCAGGGGTTAGGGAAGCTCTACTTCATGCTTTGAAACACTGAAACTTCCCATGTGATTCAAAATTCCAACTCTGATTTTTGGATTTTTAATAGGAACAGAAACTGCTAACTTGAGTTGAGCAGGTGCTTTGTGGAAATGTGAAGCTCTGGAAGCCTCCAGAGACATCAGGTACAGGGTGGCTTCCCCTACCCATGTAAACAAAATGCAGACAGAACATCAACTGTTTCTGTCTTTCCACATTTCTACTTTGGGGTGAAGGGGTGGAGAAGGTTCGTGTAGAAGGGTGGAGATTGGGAAAATTTTAATTCAGTAATATAAAAATGTTATTTGGAAAATAGATAGATGAATTGAGCCAAAACAGAAAAAAATGATACAGAAGGATATTTTCTTTTGCTTTGCAGAAGCTCTTTAGTTTAATTAGATCCCGTCTGTCAATTTTGGCTTTTGTTGCCATTGCTTTTTGTGTTTTAGTCATGAAGTTTTTGCCCATGTCTATGTCCTGAATGGTATTGCCTAGGTTTTCTTCTAGGGTTTTTATGGTTTTAGGTCTAATGTTTAAGTCTTTTTTTTTTAAATTTATTATTATTATACTTTAAGTTTTAGGGTACATGTGCACAATGTGCAGGTTAGTTACATATGTATACATGTGCCATGCTGGTGCACTGCACCCACTAACTCGTCATCTAGCATTAGGTATATCTCCCAATGCTATCCCTCCCCCCTTCCCCCACCCCACAACTGTCCCCAGAGTGTGATGTTCCCCTTCCTGTGTCCATGTGTTCTCATTGTTCAATTCCCACCTATGAGTGAGAACATGCGGTGTTTGGTTTTTTGTTCTTGCAATAGTTTACTGAGAATGATGATTTCCAATTTCATCCATGTACCTACAAAGGACGTGAACTCATCATTTTTTATGGCTGCATAGTATTCCATGGTGTATATGTGCCACATTTTCTTAATCCAGTCTATCATTGTTGGACATTTGGGTTGGTTCCAAGTCTTTGCTATTGTGAATAATGCCGCAATAAACATACGTGTGCATGTGTCTTTATAGCAGCATGATTTATAGTCCTTTGGGTATATACCCAGTAAAGGGATGGCTGGGTCAAATGGTATTTCTAGTTCTAGATCCCTGAGGAATCACCACACTGACTTCCACAATGGTTGAACTAGTTTACAATCCCACCAACAGTGTAAACGTTTAAGCCTTTAATCCATCTTGAGTTAATTTTTCTATAAGGTGTAGGGAAGGGATCCAGTTTCAGTTTTCTGCGTATGGCTAGCCAGTTTTCCCAACACCATTTATTAAATAGGGAATCCTTTCCCCATTGCTTGTTTTTGTCAGGTTTGACAAAGATCAGATGGTTGTAGGTGTATTATTTCTGAGGCCTCTGTTCTGTTCCATTGGTCTACATATCTGTTTTAGTACCGGTACCATGCTGTTTTGGTTACTGTAGCCTTGTAGTATAGTTTGAAGTCAGGTAACATGATGCCTCCTGGTTTGTTCTTTTTGCTTAGGATTGTCTTGGCTATGCAGACTTTTTTTTGGTTCCATATGAAATTCCAATTATGTAAAGAAAGTCAATGGTAGCTTGATGGGGATAGCACTGAATCTATAAATTACTTTGGGCAATATGACCATTTTCAAGATCATCAGAGTGAACAGGCAACCTACAGAATGGGAGAAAATGTTTGCAATCTCTTCATCTGACAAAGGGCTAATATCCAGAATCTACAAAGAACTTAAACAAATTTACAAGAGAAAAACAAACACCCTCGTCAAAAAGTGGGTGAAGGATATGAACAGACACTTTTCAAAAGAAGACATTTATGCAGCCAACAAACATATGAAAAAAAGCTCATCATCACTGGTCATTAGAGAAATGCAAATCAAAAGCACAATGAGATACCAAAATCCATACCAGTTAGAATGGCAATCATTAAAAAGTCAGGAAACAACAGATGTTGCAGAGGATGTGGAGAAATAGGAAAGTTTTTACACTGTTGGTGGGAGTGTCAATTAGTTCAACCATTGTGTAAGACAGTGTGGCAATTCCTCAAGGATCTAGAACTAGAAATAGCATTTGACCTAGCAATCCCATTACTGGATATATACCCAAAAGATTATAAATCACTCTACTATAAAGACACATGCACACGTATGTTTATTGCGGCACTGTTCACAATAGCAAAGACTTGGAACCAACCCAAATGCTCATCAATGATAGACTGAATAAAGAAAATGTGGCACATACATACCATGGAATACTATGAAGCCATAAAAAGGATGAGTTCATGTCCTTTGCAGGGACATGGATGAAGCTGGAAACCATCATTCTCAGCAGACTAACACAGGAAGAGAAAACCAAACATCGCATGTTCTCATTCATAAGCGGCAGTTGAAGAATGAGAACACATGGACACAGCAGGGTTGGGGGCATCACACACTGGTAGCCTGTCAGGGGGTGGGGAGCTGGGGGAGGGATAGCATTAGGAGAAATACCTAATGTAGATGACAGGTTGATGGGTGCAGCAAATCACCATGGCACATGTATACCTATGTAACCAACCTGCATGTTCAGCACACATACCCCAGAACTTAAAGTATAATAATAAAAAAAAGAAGGTCATTTCCTCCTAAGTAATCTGTTCTTTGATTAAAATCAATGTGTCCTGTGTTAACTTTACTCTAATTTTCCTACTTCCAATTTCTCTATAAAGGGTTTTATGGACATGGACCTCTAAAAGTAGTAACATCAGCTATCATTTCTTGAGCTTATGCTCTGTGTCAGACATTGTGCTAAGCTTATTATATATATCAGTTAATCTTCACAATTTTATAATGTAACTATTAATATTATTATCCTAATTTTGCAGGTAAGGAAATTAAGTCTCGGAGAACATACATGAATTCCCAAGGTCTCCTATCTCTTAAGTGGTGGGGCTATAATTTAAATTAAGGCTTGTATGATTCCAAAGCGAATGCTTTGACCACTAATTTATATCACCAGCCTAGATGAATGGATGTGACCACACAATAAAGCCATATCTATTATTGAGTGCTATGAAGATAGGATGCTTGTAAACTTAACCCTCTGCCTTTGAAAAGACATCATGTGGTCTTAAAAAATGCTGCTCTAAAAATTTTATTTTTAAGTCAGTGTTTCTGTAGAACACATAAGTCTAGGGCCAATTAATTTTGAGATCTACAGAGGACATCAGCAAACTGAATGCCCTGGAAGTCTTGTGGTTAAGAAGATGTTTAATGTATGAATTAATCAACTTTGGCTATGAAAATGCTCTATAATAAAAAACTCCAAATCTCAGTAGCTTACAACTATTATGTATTTTTCATAAGTCCTCTGTGTTGGGTCAGCTGGCAATGGTAGGTGACACAGATCTAGAGCATGTGTTTGTCTTTCTGGGACCCAGGTTGAAGCAGTAGTGTTTACCTGGAGAAAACTCCTCTTAGGACAGTGGGCAGAAGTGAGGAGACTGAGCCAAACACATGTTTGACTTGGGTTAAATTCTCTACTTGGACTGGTATATATTATGTCCACTCACATCCCATTGGTCAAAGCAAGTCACATGACCAAACCCCATAACAATAGGTGGGGAAACAGCTCCTCTTACAGAATAGAGATGGAAGAGAATGGACATTTACTGGGCATTAATACATTTTACAACAATAGTGTATGCTCAGGCACTTCACAAACTTACCTGGCCACACAATAACCCTTTTTTTTTTTAAATGTTGTTTTCCCCAAATCTCTTACTGCTTAAGATACTATGGTTCTCTGAGCATAATTTGAGTTGATTTTGGACAAAAGAGAAAATTAAGTCTCCTATCTCTAAATTGGTGACTGTATTATAAATAATAGAAAAGTTAAATAACCTCTGATGTTATGTTTTTTTCAGAGAAAATAATTTAAAACCATCAATAGTGTTTTGAATTTATAAAGGCTCTTTGCTTGGTAGAGTTTTATTGACTGACATATTTATAGCTTTTTGTTCTGTTCTCAAAACAGCCTGTGGCTCAGCTGTTACACTCCATGTATTACAAGCAGAAAATCAGAGTTCCAAGGATGTTGGAATTTTTTTTCCAGGTTAAAGCAATGGAACTGAGTCAAAAATTCTGTGCCCCTATCTCCCACCCAGTTCAGGAAATCATGCCTCATGGTCATGTGCATACAATTGCAGCATAATGATATAAGCTACACTTAGTAGGTTTAAAAGTTACAAATCAGGCTTTACGTGAATGTATTTTAAACATGTTTCAGACCTATACTAACCAGGAATAGAACTCACTAAGGAAAAAAACACAGTTATCTAAACAGTTGTTACCATAAAAATTAAGACCATTCACCTGAAAACCTATTTATTATACGAGATTTGAAGCATAAAGTGCTTTCTTGATTCAGCTGGATTTGTTCCAAGGATAAGATTGTTATCCAAAAAATAACAGTAGGCTTTTCTTTTCTTTTCTTTTCTTTTCTTTTCTTTTCTTTTCTTTTCTTTTCTTTTCTTTTCTTTTCTGGTTTTATAATCACCTAGGAAATAATGGTGACTCTCAACATATCTTTCCTCTTTCCTTTTCCAAATGTGATAGAAAAACACTGCTTCTTGTCTCTTGCATTTACAGCCAAATAGATACACAAACACAGACATCCAAATACTGACTCTGCAGGTCCCATCTCTATTGAACTTTTGTAGCAAAGAGGATCAGGGGCAATAATAATTGGTTACAAAGAATGTATAGGGAAAATCAAAACGCCTCACAAAATGGCAGTACTGAAGGCATGAATAGCAACTTCATGCTGTGTGAATTTGCTAGGGACACATGCCAATCTAGCTTGGCCTCCGATGGTTATACGTCCCTTCTAAACCAAACTGGCACTTGGCTACAGCCCTGGGAAAATTCCCTGGGGGAAAGGATCATTGCAACCTTCCTTGGTTTATAATCATTTTCTTTTTGGACCCCAAGAGAATAAATGAAGCTGGAGGTGAGGAGTTCAAGTGAAATGAAGTATAAGAAAAATAAAACAGCAGCAACAGGGTAGAAAAGTGCAAGAAACTAAATCGCCTTGGAACTATTTCTAAATAAGGCAGAAATAGGACGACTAAATGAAGCAGGAAATAATCTGTCTTATGTATTAAGCTTAAAAGCATGGTATGATGTAGAAAAAAGCAGACAGACTTTGCTGAGCTCAGATCTTGACCCTATTTCTTACTGGCCGTGTGACTCTGAACTAGTTTATTCACTGATTTGGGGGTTATCTGAAAAAAACGAAGACACAGCAACTACCTGGCAGCATTATTGTGACAATTAATTGAGATACCCCATGTAGACTGTGGGTAGAAGGCTGAAAATAACATGAAGATGTTTTTACACAACTTATAGCAGGTATTTTATTTCTTTACTTTGTATTAAATCATAACATTTTACATATATGTGATTCATTTTTATGGGTACATGTGATATTTTGTTATACACATAGAATGTGTAATGATAAAGTCAGGGTATTTGAGGTATCCATCACTTTGAGTATTTATCTGTTCTATGTGTTTGGAACCATTCAAAACCTTATAGAAGATAGTTTTCAATTTGGAACTAGTTAGTATTTAAAAATCAGAGATTTCACTTGAAAATTTAAATATTTTGCTTTTCTTGAGAATTTGGAAGACTCGGTGGCTGAATTATCTGCTGCTGTATAACAAGCCACTATAAAACAAAGTGACTCAAAAACACAATCATATTTTGCTTGCAAATGTGCAATTTGGGCATAGCTTGGTGTAGAAGACTTACTCGCTCATGGGTTATCAGCTGGAGTGTCACTGGGGCTGGAAGATCCACTCCTAAAATGGCTCTCACACTGCTGGCAAGTTGGTTCTGGCTGTGGGCTGGCAAGTTGGTTCTGGCTGTGGGCTGGGAATTCTTTCAGGGCTGAGGGCCTGGGGCCTCAGTCACTCTCCATGTGGGCCTCCCCTGCTGTCCTGGGCTTACTTACACACCAGGGCACTGGGATCCAAGGATGAGTGTCCTAAGGGAGAGCCAAACAAAAATTGTATTGTCTTTAGGAGCTCTCCTTGGACGTCATTATGGCATAACTTCCACAGCGGTCTAGTTCTATGACCCCTCTTCTCAGATTTCAAGGAGATGGGCCACACGCTTCCTTTCTTAATGGTGAGAGGCAAGGTTCTAGAAAAGCATATGAATGGGAAATGTTGCCGTGGTTATCTGCAGAAAGTATAATATCTAGTATCATTGGGCCTGTGTTTTTACATGACCAAAATTAGTGGGAGCTGAGTAATGACTGTGCCTTTAACTAGGTCATGAAATCACTGCCCTTTCTGGCTCCTTGACACTAAGTCTGAGAATTAGTTCCATTTACTAGGCAATGACACTGTTGTTTTCATCTACCAGCATTCAGAGTAAAATTAAGTATCAGCCTGCTGTACTTACTAGGGTGAATTCGCTGTACAAAGCCTGTGAGAAACAACTGACCAAATAAGTAGAGGGTGGAGTAGGAAAAAGGCTGCTGTAACTCAGAGTCCCAAATACACATTAAAACTATATTTTGACCTCTGAAAAAGAAAGATTAGCCAACATAATAATTAAGAAGAACGAAGCTGTTCAACGTTGGAGAATTCACACTTCTCACACTGTGGATCAGTAGACTTTGCAAAATCAGGTGCTGAAGGCTAAGGCAGAGATGGAGGTAAGCTGGCGTAGCACTGAATGAATGCCCCGGCTTAAAGCCAAACTTCAAAGACTGAGAGAAAATTTTTTTTCTCTCTTTTTGGCTACAGACATTTAAGGAAACCTCTGTCAGGTCACTGGCTGACCACTGAGACAATGAAATGAAGACTTCAGAGAGCACACACAACCAGAAATATAGCCTTAGCAAAAAAACATTCCAAAAGAAACTAAACAAATAAATTACGGCACCCCTCAGAAACAAACAACAGCAAAATTTGGGGAAAGGGCAAAATCTGATTTTTGGAGTTACCACAATATAATATTACAAGGCATTCAAACAAAAGAAAAGTATGGCCCATTCGCAGGACAAATTCATTGACTGAAACTATCCCTGAGGAAGCCCAATGATTGAACTTGCAAGGCAAAGTTTTAAAATCAGCTACCATAATATAACCAAAGAACTAAAAGAGACCAGGAAAACAATGTATGAATAACATGAAAATATTAATAAAAGATAGAAATTATGGGAAGAAACAAAATAGAAATTCTAGAGCTGAAAAGTATAATAATAGAAATGAAAAATTTACTACTGGCACTGAACAGCAGATTTAAGTATGCAGAAGAAAGAACGCAAACTTGAATATTGAAAAATTGAAACTATTATTGCCTGAGGATCAGAAAGAAAAAAGAGGGAAAAACAGTGAAGACCGTCTAAGGGACACATTGAGCACCATTAAGAGTACCAACCTATGTGTTATGGGAACCCATTAGGTGAAGAGAGAGAGAAAGGAACAGAAAGATTGTGAGAAGAAATAGTGGCTAAAATAATCTCAAATTTGATTAATCCAAGAACCTCAATAGATTCCAAGCAGAATAAACTCAAAGAGAAGTACACTTAGACACATCATAATCAAAGATAAAGAATCATTTTTTTTCCTTTTCAACTTTTATTTTAGAATCCAGGTGTACATGTGCAAGTTTGTTGCATGGGTCTATTGCATGATACTGAGGTGTGGGGTATGATTGAAACTGTCACCCAGGCAGTGAGCATAGTACCCAATAGGTAGTTTTTCAGCACTTGCTCTCCTCCTTCTTTCCCCTTTCTAGTAGTCCCCAGTGACTGTTATTCCCATCTTTATGACTATGTGTACCCAATGTTTAGCTCCCACTTATAAGTGAGAATGATATTTGATTTGATTTTTGGTGTCTGCATTACTTTGCTTTAAATAATAGCCTCCAGCTGCATCCATAATGCTGCAAAGGACATAATTTTACTCTTTTTATGACTTCACGGTATTCCATGGTGTATATGTATTACATTTTTAAAAACTTTTATTTTAAGTTCAGCGGTAGCTGTGCAGGTTTGTTATATAAGTAAACTTATGTCTTGGGGATTTGTTATATAGATTATTTCATCAACCAGGTATTAAGCCTAGTAGCCATTAGTTATTTTTCCTAACTTATAAGTGAGAACATGCGGTATTTGGCTTTCTGTTCCTGCTTTAGTTTACTAAGGACAATGGTCTCCAGCTCCATCCATGTTCCTGAAAAGGACATGATCTTGTTCCTTTTTATGGCTGCATAGTACTCCATGGTGTATATGTACTATACTTCTTTATCCAGTCTACAACTGATGAGCATTTAGCTTGATTCCATGTCTTTGCTATTGTGAATGGTGCTGCAAGGAACATACACACATGCATGGGTATATTCCTTGGGTATATACCCAGTAATGGGATTGCTGCATTGAATGGTAGTTCTGTTTTTAGGTCTTTGAGGAATCGTCACACTGTCTTCCACAATGAGTGAGCTAATTTACACTCCCTCTAACAGTGTATAAGCATTCCCTTTTCTCCACAACATTGCCAGCACCTTCTATTTTTTGGCTTTTAATAATAACTATTCTGACTGGTGTGAGATGGTATCTCATCATGGTTTCTATTTGTATTTCTCTAAATCAGTGATGTTGAGCTTTTTCTCATATGATTGTTGGTCATATGTATGTCTTCTTTAGAAAAATGTTTGTTCATGTCCTTTTCTCACTTTTTAATAGGGTTGGTTGGTTGTTTCTTCTTGTAAATTTGCTTAAGTTCCTTATAGATGCTGGATATTAGACCTTCATCAACTATATAGTTTGCAAAAATTTCCTCCCATTCTGTAGGTTGTCTGTTTATTCTGTTGATAGTTTATTTTTCTGTGCAGAAGCTCTTTAATTAGATCTCATTTGTCAATTTTTGCTTTTGTTGCAATTGCTCTTGGCATCTTCATCATGAAATCTTTGTCTGTTCCTGCATCTAGAAGGGTACTGCCTAGTTTGTTTTCCAGGGTTTTTATAGTTTTGGGTTTTACATTTAAGCCTTTAATCCATTTTGCCTTAATTTTTTATGTGGTATAAAGAAGGGGTCCAGTTTCAATCCTCTGCATATGGCTAGCCAGTTATCTCAGCACCATTTATTGAATAGAGAATCCTTCCCCATTGCTTGTTTTTGTCAGGTTTGTCAAAGATTAGGTAGTTGTAGGTGTGCAGCCTTATTTCTAGCTCTCTATTCTGTTCCATTGGTCTATGTGTCTGTTTTTGCACCAGTGTCATGCTGTTTTGGCTACTGCAGCCCTATAGTATAGTTTGAAGTTGGATAGTGTGATGCCTCCAGCTTTGCTCTTTTTGCTTAGGATTGCCTTGGCTTTGTGGGCTCTTTTTTGGTTCCATAGGAATTTTAAAATAGATTTTTTGTCTAGTTCTGTGAAGAATGTCCTCAGTAGATTGATAGGAACAGCACTGAATATATAAATTGCTTTGGCCATTTTAATGATATCAATTCTTCCTATTCATGAGCATGTAATGTTTATCTATTTGTTTGCATCATCTCTGATTTCTTTGAGCAGTGTTTTGTAGTTCTCCTTGTAGAGACCTTTCATCTCCCTGGTTAGCTGTATTTCTAAGTATTTTATTCTTTTAGTGGCAGTTGTGAATGGTATTGTGTTCCTGGCTTAGCTCTTGGCTTGACTGTTGTTGGGGTATAGGACTGCTAGTGATTTTTGAACATTGATTTTGTATGCTGAGATTTCGCTGTAGTTGTTTATCAGCTTAAGGAGCTTTTGGGCTTAGACTATGGGGTTTTCTAGATATAAGATCATGTCATCTGAAAACAGGAATAGTTTGACTTTCTCTTTTCCTATTTGGATGCCCTTTATTATTTTTCTCTTGCCTGATCGCTGTGGCCAGAACTTCCAATAGTATGTCGAATAGGAGTGGTGAGAGAGGGCATCCTTATCTTGTTCCAGTTTTTGAGGGAAATACTTCCAGCTTTGCACACTCAGTATGATGTTGTCTGTGGGTTTGTCATAGATGGCTCTTATTATTTTGAGGTATGTTTCTTTAATGCCTAGTTAATTTGGAGTTTTTAACATAAAAGGGTGTTGAATTTTATCGAAAGCCTTTTCTGAATCTATTGAGATAATGGTGTGGTTTTTGTCTTTAGTTCGGTTTATGTGATGAATCACACTTATTGATTTGTGTGTGTTGAGCCACCCTTGCATCCCAGGGATAAAGCCTACTTGATCATGGTGGATAAGCTTTATGATGTGCTGCTGGATTCGGTTTGCCAGTATTTTGTTGAGGATTTTTGCATCAATGTTTATCAAGGATATGTGCCTGAAGTTTCCTTTTTTGTTATTCCTCTGCCAAGTTTTTGTGTCAGGATGATGCTGGCCTTGTAGAAAGAGTTATGTAGGAGTCCCTCGTCAATTTTTTGGAATAGTTTCAGTAGGAATGGTATCAGCTGTTCTTTTACACCTAGTAGAATTTGGCTGTGAATCCATTTGGTCACAGACTTCTTTTTGGTTGATAGGCTATTTATTACTGATTCAATTTGAAAGCTTGTTATTGATCTATTCAGGGATTCAGTTTCTTCCTGATTCAGTCTTGGGAGTGTGTATATATCCAGAAATTTATTCATTTCTTCTAAATTTTCTAGTTTGTGTGCATAGAGGTGTTCATAATATTCTCTGATGGCTATATGTATATCTGTGGGGTCAGTGGTAACATCCTCTTTGTCATTTCTACTTGCGTTTATATGGATTTTCTTTTTTTTTTTTAACTATTATACTTTAAGTTCTAGGGTACATGTGCACAATGTGCAGGTTTGTTACATATGCCGTGTTGGTTTGCTGCACCCATTAACTCATCATTTACATTAGGTATTTCTCCTAATGCTATCCCTCCCCCATCCCCCCACCCCACAACAGGCCCCGCTGTGTGATGTTCCCTGCCCTGTGTCCAAGTGTTCCGATTGTTCAATTCCCACCTATGAGTGAGAACATGCAGTGTTTGGTTTTCTGTCCTTGCGATAGTTTGCTCACAATGATGGTTTCCAGTCTCATCCATGTCCCTGCAAAGGACATGAACTCATCCTTTTTTATGGCTGCATAGTATTCCATGGTGTATATGTGCCACATTTTCTTAATCCAGTCTATCATTGTTGGACATTTGGGTTGGTTCCAAGTCTTTGCTATTGGGAATAGTGCCACAATAAACATAGGTGTGCATGTGTCTTTATCGTAGCATGATTTATAATCCTTTGGGTATATACCAAGTAACGGGATCACTGGGTCAAATGGTATTTCTAGTTCTAGATCCTTGAGGAATCGCCACACTGTCTTCCACAATGGTTGAACTAGTTTACACTCCCACCCAGTGTAAAAGTGTTCCTATTTCTCCACATCATCTCCAGCACCTGTTGTTTCCTGACTTTTGAATGATTGCCATTCTAAATGGTGTGAGATGGTATCTCATTGTGGTTTTGATTTGCATTTCTCTGATGGCCAGTGTTGATGAGCATTTTTTCATGTGTTTTTTGGCTGCATAAATGTCTTCTTTTGAGAAGTGTCTGTTCATATCCTTTCCCCACTTTTTGATGGGGCTACTTGATTTTTTCTTGTAAATTTGTTTGAGTTCATTGTAGATTCTGGATATTAGCCCTTTGTCAGATGAAGAGATTGCAAAAATTTTCTACCATTCTGTAGGTTGCCTGTTCACTCTGATGGTAGTTTCTTTTGCTCTGCAGAAACTCTTTAATTTAATTAGATCTCATTTTTCTATTTTAGTTTTTGTTGCCATTGCTTTTGGTGTTTTAGTCATGAAGTCCTTGCCCATGCCTATGTCCTGAATGGTATTTCCTAGGTTTTCTTCTAGGGCTTTTATAGTTTTAGGTCTGACATTTAAGTCTTTAATCCACCTCGAATCACTTTTTGTATAAGGTGTAAGGAAGGGATCCAGTTTCAGCTTTCTTCATATGGCTAGCCAGTTTTCTCAGCACCATTTATTAATTAGGGAATCCTTTCCCTATTGCTTGTTTTTGTCAGGTTTGTCAAAGATCAGATGGTTGTAGATGTATTGTATTATTTCTGAGGACTCTGTTCTGTTCCATTGGTCTATATATCTGTTTTGTTTCCAGTACCGTGCTGTTTTGGTTACTGTAGCCTTGTAGTATAGTTTGAAGTCAGGTAGCGTGATACCTCCAGCTTTGTTCTTTTTGCTTAGGATTGTCTTGGCAATGCGGGCTCTTTCTTGGTTCCATATGAAGTTTAAAGTAGTTTTTTTTTCCAATTCTGTGAAGAAAGTCAATGGTAGCTTGATGGGGATGGCATTGAATCTATAAATTACCTTGGGCAGTATGGTCATTTTCACAATATTGTTTCTTCCTAAACATGAGCGTGGAATGTTCTTCCATTTGTTTTGTGTCCTCTTTTATTTTGTTAAGCAGTGGTTTGTAGTTCTCCTTGAAGAGGTCCTTCACATCCCTTGTAAGTTGGATTCCTAGGTATTTTATTCTCTTTGAAGCAATTGTTAGTGGGCATTCACTCATGATTTGGCTCTCTGTTTGTCTGTTATTGGTGTGTAAGAATGCTTGTGATTTTTGCACATTGATTTTGTATCCTGAGACTTTGCTGAAGTTGTTTATCAGCTTAAGGAGATTTTGGGCTGAGACGATGGGGTTTTCTAAATACACAATCATGTCTTCTGCAAACAGTAACAATTTGACTTCCTCTTTTCCTAATTGAGTGTCCTCTCTTTCTTTCTCTTGCCTGATTGCCCTGGCCAGAACTTCCAACACTATGTGGCATAGGAGTGGTGAGAGAGGGCATCTCTGTCTTGTGCCAGTTTTCAATGGGAATGCTTCCAGTTTTTGCCCATTCCGTATGATACTGGCTGTGGGTTTGTCATAAATATCTCTTATTATTTTGAGATACATTCCATCAATACCTAGTTTATTGAGAGTTTTTAGCATGAAGGGTTGTTGAATTTTGTTGAAGGCCTTTTCTGCATCTATTGAGATAATCATGTGGTTTTTGTCTTTGGTTCTGTTTATATGATGGATTACATTATTGATTTGTGTATATTCAAACAGCCTTGCATCCCAGGGATGAAGCCAACTTGATCTTAGTGGATAAGCTTTTTGATGTGCTGCTGGATTCGGTTTGCTAGTATTTTATTGAGGATTTTCCCATCGATGTTCATCAGGGATATTGGTCTAAAATTCCCTTTTCTTGTTATGTCTCTGCCAGGCTTTGGTATCAGGATGATGTTGGCCTCATAAAATGAGTTAGGGAGGATTCCCTCTTTTTCTATTGATTGGAATAGTTTCAGAAGGAATGGTACCAGCTCCTCTTTGTACCTCTGGTAGAATTTGGCTGTGAACTCATCTGGTCCTGGACTTTTTTTGTTGGTAGGCTATTAATTATTGCCTCATTTTCAGAGCCTGTTATTGGTCTATTTGGCAATTCAACTTCTTCCTGGTTTAGTCTTGGGAGGATATATGTGTCCAAGAATTTATCCATTTCTTCTAGATTTTCAAGTTTATTTGCGTAGAGGTTTTTATAGTATTCTCTGATGGTAGTTTGCATTTCTGTGGGATCAATAGTGATATCCCCTTTATCATTTTTTATTGCATCTATTTGATTCTTCTCTCTTTTCTTCTTCATTAGTCTTGCTATCAGTCTATCAATTTTGTTGATCCTTTCAGAAAACCAGCTCCTGGATACACTGATTTTTTGAAGGGTTTTTTGTGTGTCTATCTCCTTCAGTTCTGCTCTAATCTTAGTTATTTCTTGCCTTCTGCTAGCTTTTGAATGTGTTTGCTCTTGCTTCTCTGGTTCTTTTAGTTGTGATGTTAGGGTGTGGATTTTAGATCTTTCCTGCTTTCTCTTGTAGGCATTTACTGCTATAAATTTCCCTCTACACACTGCTTTGAATGTGTCCCAGAGATTCTGGTACATTGTGTCTTTGTTCTCATTGGTTTCAAAGAACATCTTTATTTCTGCCTTCATTTCGTTGTTTACCCAGTAGTCACTTAGGAGCAGGTTGTTCAGTTTCCATGTAGTTGTGTAGTTTTGAGTGAGTTTCTTAATCCTGAGTTCTAATTTGATTGCTCTGTCGTCTGAGAGACAGTTTGTTGTGATTTCTGTTCTTTTACATTTGCTAAGGAGTGCTTTACTTCCAACTATGTGGTCAATTTTGTAATAAGTGTGATGTGGTGCTGAGAAGAATGTATATTCTGTTGATTTGGGGTGGAGAGTTCTGTAGATGTCTATTAGGCCTGCTTCATGCAGAGCTGAGATAACGTCCTGGATATCCTTGTTAACTTTCTGTCTCGATGATCTGTCTAATGTTGACAGTGGGGTGTTAAAGTCTCCCATTATTATTGTGTGGGAGTCTAAGTCTCTTTGTAGGTCTCTCAGGACTTGCTCTATGAATCTGGGTGCTCCTGTATTGGGTGCACATATATTTAGGATAGTTAGCTCTTCTTGTTGAATTGATCCCTTTACCATTATGTAATGGCCTTCTTTGTCTCTTTTGATCTTTGTTGGTTTAAAGTCTGTTTTATCAGAGACTAGGATTGCAAACCCTGCTTTTTTTTTGCTTTCCATTTGCTTGGTAGATCTTCCTCCATCCCTTTATTTTGAGCCTATGTGTGTCTCTTCATGTGAGATGGGTCTCCTGAATACAGCACACTGATGGGTCTTGACTCGTTATCTAATTTGCCAGTCTATGTCTTTTAATTGGGGCATTTAGGCCATTTACATTTAAGGTTAATATTGTTATGTGTGAATTTGATCCTGTCATTATGATGTTAGCTGGTTATTTTGCCCATTAGTTGATGCAGCTTCTTCTTAGCATTGATGGTCTTTACAATTTAGCATGTTTTTGCAGTGGCTGGTACCAGTTTTTCCTTTCCATGTTTAGTGCTTCCTTCAGGAGCTCTTGTAAGGCAGGCCTGGTGGTGACAAAATCTCTCAGCATTTGCTTGTCTGTAAAGGATTTTATTTCTCCTTCGCTTATGAAGCTTAGTTTGGCTGGATATGAAATTCTCGGTTGAAATTTCTTTTCTGTAAGAATGTTGAATATTGGCCCCCACTCTCTTCTGACTTGTAGGGTTTCTGCCAAGAGAGCTGCTGTTAGTCCGATGGGGTTCCCTTTGTGGGTAACCCAACCTTTCTCTCTGGCTGCCCTTAGCATTTTTTCCTTCATTTCAACCTTGGTGAATCTGACAATTATATGTCTTGGGGTTGCTTTTCTCAAGGAGCATCTTTGTGGTGTTCTCTGTATTTCCTGAATTTGAATGTTGACCTGCCTTGCTAGGTTGGGGAAGTTCTCCTGGATAATATCCTGAAGAGTGTTTTCCAGCTTGGTTCCATTTTCCTCGTCACTTTCAGGTACACCAATCAGACATAGATTTGGTCTTTTCATGTACTCCCATATTTCTTGTAGGCTTTGTTCATTTCTTTTCACTCTTTTTTTCTCTAAACTTCTCTTCTCACTTCATTTCATTCATTTGATCTTCAATCACTGATACCGTTTCTTCCACTTGATCAAATTGGCTACCGAAGCTTGTGCGTGTATCATTTAGTTCTCGTGCCATGGTTTTCAGCTCCATCAGGTCACTTAAGGTCTTCTCTACACTGTTTATTCTAGTTAGCCATTCGTCCAATCTTTTTTCAAGGTTTTTAGCTTCCTTGCAATGAGTTTGAACATCCTCCTTTAGCTCAGAGAAGTTTGTTATTACCTACTTTCTGAAGCCTACTTCTGTAAACTCATCAAGGTCATTCTCTTTCCTGCTTTGTTCCATTGCTGGAGAGGAGCCGTAATCCTTTGGAGAAGAAGGGGCACTCTGGTTTTTAGTATTTTCAGCTTTTCTACTCCTGTTTCTCCCCATCTTTGTGGTTTTATCTACCTTTGGTCTTTGATGTTGGTGACCTATAGATGGGGTTTTGGTGTGGATGTCCTTTTTGTTGATGTTGATGCTATTCCTTTCTGTTTGTTAGTTTTCCTTCTCACAGTCAGTTCCCTCAGCTGCAGGTCTGTTGGAGTTTGCTGGAGGTCCACTCCAGACCCTTTTTGCCTGGGTTTCACCCGTGGAGGCTGCAAAACAGCAAATATTGCTGCCTGATCCTTCCTCTGGAAGCTTCATCTCAGAGGGGCACCTGGCTGTATGAGGTGTCAGTTGGCCCCCACTGGGAGGTTTCTCCAATTTAGGCTACATGGGGGTCAGGGACCCACTTGAGGGGGCAGTCCATCCGTTCTCAGTGCTCAAACACTGTGCTGGGAGAACCACTGCTCTCTTCAGTGCTGTCAGACAGGGAGGTTTAAGTCTGCATAAGTTTCTGCTGCCTTTTGTTCAGCTATGCCCTGCCCTCACAGATGGAGTCTACACAGGCAGGCAGGACTCCGTGAGCTGCAATGGGCTCCACCCAGTTTGAGCTTCCAGGCTGCTTTATTTACCTACTCAATCCTCAGCAATGGTGGACGCCCCTCCCCCAGCCAGGCTTGAAGCCTCACAGTTAAATCTCGGACTAGCAGTGAGCAAGGCTCTGTGGGTGTAGGGACCCACTGAACCAGGTGCGTGATATAATCTCCTGGTGTGTCATTTGCTAAGACCGTTGGAAAAGCGCAGTGTTTAGGTGGCAGTGTCCTGATTTTCCCTCTATAGTCTGTCACGGCTTCCCTTGGCCAGGAAAGGGAAATCCCCTGACCCCTTGCACCTCCCGGGTGAGATGGTGCCCCACCCTGCTTCGGCTTGCCCTCCATGGGCTGCACCCACTTTCCAACCAGTCCCAATGAGATGAACCAGGTACCTCAGTTGGAAATGCAGAAATCACTTGTCTTCTGCGTCAATCACGCTGGGAGCTGCAAACCGGAGCTGTTCCTAGTTGGCCATCTTGGAATGGACCGCCCTATTTGGATTTTCTATCTTTTCTTTTTGATTAGTCTAGCTAGTAGTCTATTTTATTAGTTTTCTTAAAAAACAAACTTCTAGATTAGTTTATCTTTAGAGTGGCTTTTCGTGTCTCATTATCCTTCAGTTCAGATCTAATTTTGGTTATTTCTTGTCTTCTACTAGCTTTGGGTTTGGTTTGCTTTTAGTTCTCTAGTTCTTTTAGTTGTGATGTTAAGTTGTTAAATTGAGATCTTTCTAGCTTTTTCATGTGGGCATTTGGTACTATAAATTTCCCTCTTAACACTGCCTTAACTGTGTCCCAGAGATTCTGGTATGTTGTATCTTTGTTCTCATTAGTTTCAAAGAACTTCTTGACTTCTGCCTTAATTTCATTATTTCATTATTACCCAAAAGTCATTCAGGTGTAGGTTATTCAATTTCCATCTAATTGTATGGTTTTGGGTGATTTTCTTAGTCTTGGTCTCTAATTTTAATGCACTGTGGTCCAAGAGAGTGGTTGTTATAATTTCAGTTCTTTTGAATTTGCTGAGAAGTGTTTTGTCTCAGATTATGTGGTTGACTTTAGAGAATGTGCCATGTGGCAATGAGAAGAATGTATATTCTGCGGTTTTGGGTGAAGAGTTCTGTAGATGTCTATCAGGTCTATTTGATGCAATGCTGAGTTCAGGTCCTAGACATCTTTGTTAATTTTCTGCCTCAATAATCTGTCTAATACTGTCAGTGGAGTGTTGAAGTCTCCTACTATTATTTTATGGGAGTCTAAGTCTCTTTGAAGGTCTCTAAGAACTAGGTGTTCCTGTGTTGGGTGCATATATATCTAGGATAGTTAGGTCTTCTTGTTGAATTGAACCCTTCACCATTATGTAATGCCCTTCTTTGTCTTTTGTGATCATTGTTGGTTTAAAGTCTGTTTTGTCTGAAACTAGGATTGCAACCCCTGCTTTCTTCTGTTTTCCATTTGAACGGTAGATTTTTCTCCATTTCTTTATTATGAGACTATGTGTGTCATCACTTGTGAAATGGGTCCCTTGAAGTAAGTGTACCAATGGGTCTTGGTTCTTTACCCAGCTTGCCATTCTGTGCCTTTTAATTGGGATATTTAGCTCATTTACATTCAAGGTTAGTATTGATATGTGTGAATTTGATCCTGTCATCATGGTATCAGCTGGTTATTAGTCTGACTTGTTTGTATGGTTGCTTTACAGTGTCACTGGTCTGTGTACATAAATGTGTTTCCATATTTAGTGCTTCCTTCAGGAAGCAGGTCTGGTGGTAATAAATTCCCTCAGCATTTGCTTGTCTCAAAAAGATCTTATTTCTCCTTCACTTATAAAGTTTAGTTTGGCTGGATATGAAATTCTGGGTTAAAATATCTTTTCTTTAAGAATGTTTAATATGGGCCCCCATTCTCTTCTGGCTGAGAGGTCTGCTCTTAGTTTGATGGGCTTCCCTTTGTAGGTGACCTGACCTTTCTCTCTACCTGCCTTTAACATTTATTACTTTCATTTCAACCTTGGAGAATCTGACAATTATGTGTATTGGGGATGATCTTCTTGTGAAGTATCTTGCTACAGTTCTCTGCATTTCCTGAATTTCAGTGTTGGCCTCTCTAGCTAGGTTGGGGAAGTTTTCACGGACGATATCCTGAAACACATTTTCCAAGTTACTTACACTCTCCCCATGTCTTTCAAGGACACCGATGAGTCATGGATTTTGTCTCTTCACATATCCCATATTACTCAGATGTTTTCTACATTTCTTTTCATTCTTTTTTCTCTATTCTTGTCTGACTGTCTTATTTCATAAAGCCAGTTTGCAAGCTCTGAGTTCCTTTCCTCATCTTGATATATTCTACTATTAAAATTTGTGGTTTCATTATGAAATTCTTGTAGTATGTATTCAGTTCCACCAGATTGCTTATGTTTTTTTCTATACTGGCTATTCTGTCTGTTAGTTCCTGTAACGTCTTACCATGATTCTTAGCTTCCTTTGATTGGGTTTCAATGTACTCTTGCATCTCAATGATCTTTGTTCCTGTCCATATTCTGAATTCTATTTCTGTCATTTCAACCATCTCAGCCTGGTTCAGAACACTTGCTGGAGAGGTACTGCAGTAGTTTGGAGGAAAAAAATTATTCTGGCATTTTGAGTTGATTTACTTCCATGGTGCTGCAAATGACATGATTTTATTCATTTGTATGACTGCATAGTATTCCATTGAGTATATGTACCACATTTTCTATATTCAATCCACCACTAATGGTCACTTGAGTTGACTCCATTTCTTTGCTACTGTAAATTGTGCTTCATTAAACATGAGTATAAGTGTCTTATTGGTAGAACAATTTATTTTTCCTTGGGTATATACCCAATAATGGGATTGCTGAGTCAAATGGTAATTCTGTTTAGTTCTTTGAAAAACCTCCAAATGACTTCCACAAGGCTTGAACTAATTTGCATTACCACTAATAATGTATAAGCATTCCCTTTTCTCCACACCCTTGCCAACATCTCCTATTTATTGACTTGTTTGTAATAATCATTGTGACTGGTGTGAGATGGCATCTCATTATGGTTTTGATTTGCATCTCTCTAATGACTAGTAATGATGAGCATTTTTTTCCATGTATTTTTTGGCCACATGCATGTCTCCTTTTGAGAAGTGTCTGTTCATGTCCTTTGCCCACTTTTTAATGGAGTTTTTTTTTTTTCTCATTGATTTGTTTAAGTTCCTTACATATTCTGGACATTAGACTTTTGTCAGATGCATATTTTGCAAATATTTTCTTATAATCTGTAGGTTATCTGTTTCCCTCCTTGACAGTTTCTTTTGCCATGCAAAAGCTTTTGTTTAATTAGGTCTCCTACATCCATTTTTTTTGTTGTTGTTGCATTTGTTTTTGAGGAGTTAGTCATGAGGTCTTTGCCTAGGCCAATGCCTAAAAGAATATTTCCTTGGTTTTCTTCTAGAATTTCAAAAGTTTTAGGTCTTACATTTAAGTATTTAATCCATCTTGAGTTAGTTTTTGTATAGGGTGATAGGTAAAGGTCCAGTTTCATTCTTCTGCATATGGTTAGCCAGTTTCCCAGCATTATTTATTGAATAGGACATCCTTTCCCCATTACTTAGTTTAGTCACCTTTGTCAAAGACCAATTGATTGTATGTTTGCAGCTTTATATGTGAGTGCTCTATTCTGTTCCACTGGTCTATGTTTCTGTTTTTGTCCCAGTACCATCCTGTTTTGGTTACCACAGTCCTGTAGCATAATCTGAAGACAGGTAATGTGATACTGCATGCTTCATTGTTTTGCTAAGGATTGCCTTGGCTATTTGGACTCTTTTTTTATTCCATATGAATTTTATAATAGTTTTTTTTCTAATTCTGTGAAAAATGATGTTGGTACTTTGATAGGAATAGCATTGAATCTGTAGATTACTGTGGGCAGTATAGACATTTTAATGATATTGATTCTTCCTATCCATGAGCACAGAATGTTTATGCATTTGTTTGTGTCATCTTTGATCTCTTCCATCAGTGTTTTGTAATTCTGTTTTGTAATTCTCCTTGTAGAAATATTTCATCCCCCTGTTTAGATATATTCCTAGGTATTTTATTTTTGTGTGTGTGGCTGTTGCAAATGGGATTGTGTTCTTAATTTGGTGCTCAGCTTGAATATTATTGGTGTATAGAAGTGATGGTATTTTTAAAGGGATAAAAGACAAAAACTATCAGACACAAATTCCATACTCAGCAACATTATCCTTCAAAACAAGGCTCTTTAACACCTCCAGAAAGTTACACTAGCTCACCAGCAATGGATCCAAACCAAGAAGAAATCCCTGATTTACCTGAAAAAGAATTCAGGAAATTAGTTATTAAGTTAATCAGGGAGGCACCAGAGAAAGACGAAGCCCAGTGCAAGGAAATTCAAAAAATGATACACGTGAAGGGGAAAATATTCAAAGAAATAGATAGCACAAAGAAAAACCAGTCAAAACTTCAGAAAACATTGAACACACTTATAGAAATGCAAAATGCTCTGGAAAGTCTCAGCAATAGAATTGAATAAGTAGAAGAAAGAAATTCAGAGCTTGAAGACAAGGTCTTTGAATTAACTCAAACCAACAAAGACAAAGTAAAAAAATAAGAAAATATGAACAAAGCCCCTAAGAAGTCTGGGATTATGTTAAGTGACCAAAGCTAAGAATAATTGGTGTTCTGAGGAAGAAGAAAAATCTAAAGGTTTGGAAAATATATTTGGGGGAATAATCAAGGAAAACTTCCCTGGACTTGCTAGAGACCTAGACATCCAAATACAAGAAGCACCTGGAAAATTTATTGCAAAAAAATAATTGCCTAGGCACATTGTCATCAAGTTATCTAAAGTTAACATGAAGGAAAGCATCTTAAGAGCTGTGAGACAAAATCACCAGGTAACCTATAAAGGAAAACCTATCAGATTAACATCAGATTTCTCAGCAGAAACCCTGCAAGCTAGAAGGGATTGGGACCCTATCTTCAGCTCCTCAAACAAAATAATTGTCAGTCAAGAAATTTGTATCCAGTGAAACTAAGTGTCATATATGAAGGAAAGATACAATCTGTTTTGAGAAACAAATGTAGAGAGAATTCACAACTATCAAGCCACCACTACAAGAACTGCTAAAAGGATCTCTAAATCTTGAAAAAAAAAATCCTGGAGACAAGCCAAAACAGAACCTCTTTAAAGCATAACTCTCACAGGACTTATAAAACAAAAATACAAGTTAAAAAGTGAAAACAAAAAAACAAGATACACAGGGAACAAATAGTACAGTGAATGGAATGGTACCTCACATCTCAATACTAACATTGAATATAAATGGCTTAAATGCACCACTTAAAAGATACAGAACCACAGAATAAATAAGAATCTACCAACCAACTATCTGGTGCCTTCAAGAGACTCACCTAACACATAAGGACTCACATAAACTTAAAGTAAGGGTGTGGAAGAAGGGATCTCATGCAAATGGACACCAAAAGTGAGAAGGGGGATCTATTCTTATATCAGAAAAAGCAAACTTTAAGGCAACAGCAGTTTAAAAAGACAAAGAGGAACACTATATAATGGTAAAAGGCCTTGTCCAACAGGAAAATATCACAATCCTAAACATATATGCACTTATCACTGGAGCTCCCAATTTTATAAAACAATTACTAATAGACCTAATAAATGAG
Source organism: Homo sapiens (assembly GCF_000001405.40). Classification (NCBI taxonomy): domain Eukaryota; kingdom Metazoa; phylum Chordata; class Mammalia; order Primates; family Hominidae; genus Homo; species Homo sapiens. The sequence continues at coordinate 22,188,899 of NC_000020.11, read as the reverse complement.
ATAGACACGAACACAATGATAATCGGAGACTTCAATACTCCACTGACAGCACTAGAGAGGTCATTAAGACAGAAAACCAATGAAGAAACAATTGATTTAAACTAGACCCTGGAACAAATTGACTTAACAGATATATACAGAACATTCCATAAAATAACCACAGACTACACCTTCTATTTAACAGCATATGGAACTTTCTCCAAGATAGACAATGTGATAGGCCACAAAAATGAGCCTCAATAAGTTTAAGAAAATTGAAATTATATCAAGCAGTCTCTCAGACCACAGTGGAATAAAACTGGAAATCAACTCCAAAAGAAACCTTCAAAACCATGGAAATACATGTAAATTAAATTACCTGCTCCAGAGTGATCACGGGGTCAAAAATGAAATCAAGATGAAAATTAAAAAATTCTCCAAACTGAATGGCAATGGTGACACAACCTATCAAAACCTCTGTGATATGGCAAAGGTGGTGCTAAGAGGAAAGTTCTTTTTGGTGTTCAGCCTACATCAAAAAGACTGAAAGAGCACAACCTGACATTTTAAGGTCACACCTCAAGGAACTAGAGAAACAAGAACAAACCAAACCCAAACCCAGCAGAAGAAAGGAAAAAACCAAGATCAGAGCAGAACTAAAGGAAACTGAAACAAAAAAAAAATACAAAAGATAAATGAAACAAAAACCTGGTTCTTTGAAAAGATAAATAAAATTTATAGACCTTTAGCAGGATTAACCAAGAAGAGAGAAAATCCAAATAACCTCAATAAGAAAGGAAATGGAAGATATCACAACTGACACCAGTGAAATACAAAAGATCATTCAAGACTATTATGAACACCTTTATGCACATAAACTAGAAAACCTAGAAGAGATAGATAAATCAATGGGAAACTACTAACCTCCTAGCTTAAATCAGGAAGAATTAGATACCCTGAACAGACGAATAACAGGCAGCAAGATTGAAATGGTAATTTAAGAACTATCAACAAAAAAAAACTCCAGGACCAAAAGGATTCACAACAGAATCCTAAAAGACATTCAAAGAATTGATACCAATTCTTTTGACACTATTCCACAAGATAAAGACAGAGCCCTCCCTAATTTATTCTATGAAGTCAGCATCACCCTAACACCAAAATCAGGAAAGTACATAACCAAAAAAGAAAGCTACAGACCGATGTCCCTGATGAACATAGATGCAAATATCCTTAACAAAATACTAGGTAACTGAATTCAACAACATATCAAAAAGATAATCCACCATAATCAAGTGGGTTTCATACCAGGGATGCAAGAATGGCTTAACATATGCAAGTCAATAAATGTGATACACCACATAAACAGAATTAAAAACAAAAATCATATGATCATCTCAATAGATGCAGAAAAAGGATTCAACAAAATCCAGCATCCCTTTATGATTAAAACTCTCAGCAAAATCAGCATACAAGGGACACACTTCAGTGTAATAAAAGCCATCTATGACAAACCCACAGCCAACATAATACTGAATGGGGAACAGTTGAAAGCATTTCCTCTGAGAACTGGAACAAGAAAAGGATGCCCACTCTCACCATCTCTCTTCAACATAGTACTGGAAGTCCTAGCCAAAGCAATCAGGAAAGAGAAGGAAATAAAGGGCATCCAAATCAGTAAAGAGGAAGTCGAACTGTCACTGTTTGCTGGCAATATAATCATTTACCTGGAAAATCCTAAAGACTCCTCCAGAAAGCTCCTAGAACTGATAAATGAATTCAGCAAAGTTTCTGGATACAATATTAATGTACACAGATTAGTAGCTCTTCTATACACCAACAGTGACCAAGCAATCAAATCAAGAACTCAAGCCCTTTTACAATAGCTGCAAAAAAAAAAAAAAAAAAAAAAAAAAAAAAAAAAAAAAAAAAAAAAAACAACTTAAGAATATACTTAACCAAGGAGTCGAAAGACCTCTACAAGGAAAACTACAAAACACTGTGAAATAAATCATACCTGACATAAACAAATGGAAACACATCCCATGCTCATGGATGGGTAGAATCAATATTGTGAAAATGACTATACTGCCAAAAGTAATCTACAGATTCAATGCAATCGCCATCAAAATACCACCATTATTCTTCACAGAATTAGAAAAAACAATTCTAAAATTCATATGGAACCAAAAAAGAGGGTGCATAGCCAAAGCAAGACTAAGCAAAAAGAACAAACCTGGAGGCATCACACTACCTGATTTCAAACAATACGATAAGGCCATAGTCACCAAAACAGCATGGTACTGGTATAAAAATAGGCACATAGACCAATGGAACAAAATGGAGCACCCAGAAATAATCCCAAACACTAACAGCCAACTGATCTTCAACAAAGCAAACAAAAACATAAAGTGGGGAAAGGACACCCTTTCCAACCAATGGTGCTGGGATAATTGGCTAGCCACATGTGGGAGAATGAAACTGGATCCTCATCTCTCACCTTATATAAAAATCATCTCAAGATGGATTAATGACTTAAATCTAAGACGTGAAACTATAAAAATTCTAGAAGATAACATTGGAAAAACCCTTCTAGACATTGGCTTAGTCAAGGATTTCATGACCAAGAACCCAAAAGCAAATGCAATAAAAACAAAGATAAGTAGCTGGGACTTAATTAAACTAAAGAGGTTTTGCATAGCAAAAGGAACAGTCAGCAGAGTAAACATACAACCCACAGAGTGGGAGAAAATCTTTGAAATCTATACATCGACAAAGGACTAATATCCAGAATCTACAACAAACTCAAACAAATCAACAAGAAAAAAATAAACAGTTGGGCACAGTGGCTCACGCCTGTAATCCCAGTACTTTGGGAGGCCGAGGTGGGCGGATCACGGGGTCAGGACTTCGAGACCAGCCTGGCCAATATGGTGAAACCCCATCTCTACTAAAAATACAAAAATTATCCGGGAGTGGTGAAGTGCGCCTCTAGTCCCAGCTACTCAGGAGGCTGAGACAGGAGAATCGCTTGAACCCGGGAGGTGGAGGTTGCAGTGAGCTGAGACTGGGCCACTGTACTCCAACCTGGGTGACAGAGAGAAACTCCATCTCAAAAAAAAAAAAAAAACCAAAAAAATTTACATCAAAAAGTGGGCTAAGGACGTAAATAGACAATTCTCAAAAAAAGATATACAAATGGCCAAGAAATATGAAAAAATGCTCAACATCACTAATGATCAAGAAAATGCAAATCAAAAGCACAATGTGATACCACTTTTTCTAAGCTAGAATGGCTATAATTAAAATATATTAAAAAAAAACAGTAGATGTTGGCATGGATGCAGTGATCAGGGAAAACTTCTACCCTGCTGGTGGGAATGTAAACTAGTACAGCCACTATGGAAAACAGTGTGGAGATTCCTTAAAGAACTAAAAGTAGAATTAAAAGTAGAACCAATTGATCCAGTAATCCCACTACTGGGTATCTACCCACAGGAATAGAAGTCAGTATACCAAAAAGATACTTGCACAGGCATGTTTATAGCAACACAATCTGCAATTGCAAAATTGTGGAATCAACCCAAATGCCCATCAATCTATGAGTGGATAAAGAAATGGTGATATATATATATATATGATGAAATACCAACTCAGCCATAAAAAGGAATGAATTAATGGTATTTGCAGTGACCTGGATGAGATTGAAGACTTTTTTTTTTTTTTTTTGAGACGGAGTTTTGCTCTTGTTGTCCAGGCTGGAGCGCAATGATGTGATCTTGTCTCACCACAACCTCTGCCTCCCAGGTTCAAGTGATTCTCCTACCTCAGCCTCCCGAGTAGCTGGGATTACAGGCATGAGACACCATACCTGGCTAATTTTGTATTTTTAGTAGAGATGAGCTTTCTCCATGTTGGTCAGACTGGTCTCGAACAACCGACCTCAGGTGATTCACCTGCCTCGGCCTCCCAAAGTGCTGGGATTAAAGGTGTGAGCCCCCGCGCCCGGCCGAGATTGGAGACTATTATTCTAAGTGAAGTAAGTCAGGAACGGAAAACCAAACATCGTATGTTCTCGCTGATATGTGGGAGCTAACCTATGAGGGCTCAAAGGCATAAGAATGTTACAATGGACTATGGCGACTTGGGGGGAAATGGTGGGAGTGGGGTGAGGGACAAAAGAATACAAATAGGGTGTAGCGTATACTGCTCGGGTGATGGGCATGCCAAAATCTCACAAATCACCACTATAGACCTTATTTATATAACCAAACACAACCTGTACACCAATAACCTATGGAAAAATAAAAATTTAAAGTAATAATAATAAAAAAAACAGGCCACATGGTTACACTAGGTGTCAAAAAAAAGAAATATAGAAATTGAATATAAGTTATTGCATAGATAAATATAAAAGTCTGTATTACTGCATTTTGGATTGCAACTTCTATTTTTATAATATTTCCTATATGATTTAAAAAGACAAATAAATACACATCACTATAAATTTATGCTAATAGCCACATAATATCCAACAATGTAATTTGTGAAAGCAATTATAAGGCAGGGAATGGAACTGTATAGTAATGTAATTACTGTATGGTATTGAAGCAAAATTTGTAGAAATTTAAATAATATTGTTATAAATTTATGATTTTAATTAGAACCTTTATGGTAATCACCAAGAAATTTTCCTAAAAGTACACACAAAAGGAAATGAGAAGGAAATCCAAACAATACACCCCAAATAGCAAAACACAAACAAGACAAATGGAGGATACAAAGAATAAAAAAGGTATAAAACATATAGAAAACAAATACCCAAATGGAAGAAGTAAATCCTTCCTCAAACAGATATGTTACATGTGAATGGATTAAACGCTCCAATTAAAAGGCAGAGATATGACCAAATGGATTTGAAAAATATGATCCAATGGTATGCTGTCTACAAGAAATTCACTTTAGTTCTAAAGATATAAATATATTTAAATTAAAAAGATACACAAAGACATTCATTTCAAATAGTAACCAGAAGAGAGTTGGGGTGGTTATACAGTAATAGTATTGGACAAAACAGACTTTGACTTGAAAACAATTGCAAGATACAAATAAGGACTTTGTATATTGATAAAAGGGTCAATTCATCAAGAACATATAAACATAACACACAAGAAAGAACAGAGAAGTGGAGTATGCACACATTGACAGAATTAAAGGGACAAAACATAGTTATGCAATAATAGATATTTCAATACTAAACCTTTTATAATACATACAACAAAATAACTGAAGCTCAATAGGAAATAGAAGACTTGAACACTAGACCTAACAGACACAGACAGAACACTCCACCCAACAACAGCAGAATACATATTCTTTTCAAGTGTACATGGAACATTAGCTAAGATAGCCCATATGTTAGGCTACAAAATAAGTCTCAATAAATTTTAAAAGAACTGAAACTACACAAAGAATATTTTCTAACTATGATAAAATGAAACGACGTCAATAATAGAAGAATAACTAGAAAATTCACAAATATGTGGAAATTAAATGATACACTCAAAATAAATGGGTCAAAAGATGAATCACACAAGAAATCAGAGAATATCTTGGGACAAATGCAAACAAAACTTAACATACCACAGTAATGGGATGCAGCAAAAGCAAGGCTAAGTGAGGAATTTATAGCCATAGACACATACATTTATAAACGAAGAAAGATTCTAAACTAACAACTCAATACTACACCTTAAAGAATTAGAAAATAAATATCAAACTTAACCCAAAGTTAGCAGAAGAAAGGAGACAAAGATTAAAAGAGGTAAACAAAATAGAAAGCAGTAGAGACTCAGCAAAACCAAAAGCTGGTCCTTAGAAAAAAAAAATCCACAAAATGACAAGACTTTAGCTAGACAGAAGGAGAAAAAAAGAGGATACACAAATAGCTAAAACTAGAAATGAAAGTGGGGACATTACTACAAATACAGAAAAGACAGACAAATCTTAGAAATACAAATTACCCTTGCTGGCTCAAGATGAAATAGAACATCCTAACAGCCCTATAACAAGTAAAGATATTAAATCAATAATTAAAAACCTCCTAACAAAGAAAATCCCAGGACCTTATGGCTTTACTGATGAATTCAAACATACATTTAAAGAATTAACATCAATTTTTCTCAAACACTAACAAAAAATAGAAAAGAAAGAAACACTTTCTAGCTCTTTCTATGATGTCAGAATTACCCTGATACCAAAGTCATATAAAGACATCATATTTTTAGGGGTGATTAGAAATATTCTGGAACTAGTTAGAGGTAGTTACACAACACTGTGAATGTCCTAAATGCCACTAAATTGTTCACATTCAAATGGTTAATTTCATATCTGTGAAGTTCACTTCATTAAAAAAGTGAATAGTAGGAACAATAATATGTGCCAATTAAAAGTATAATTTAGCAGGTCAGGGATCTCAAAATGAAATTCAGACTGTTACAAACAATCTAACTGTATTACAAACGGATGAAACACTTCACTGAATAGGGTGAAGAAAAAAGATGCTGACCTAAGTAATTTTAGAAATCAGTGGAGCCTCAGATTGCAAAAAACATTGTACATAAGCACTGTACTCTAGTTGATAAACTTTTTCCCATGTGGGTATGGGTTAACAATTCTAGTACTGCAATACATGTGCACTAGATTTGAATAATTAAGTAAGTAGATGGCAGATGTTGAGAGCCTGTTTTTTTCTGTTGGAGTAAGAATTTAGAGATAGGCAAGGGGAGCAGGTTAGAATGATTCATGTGGTAATGGATTAAAGTTGATGATCGCAGTATGAACTCATGTGTAGCTTCCTATAGACACTGCTTCCATATAGAAATATTTATAGATATGCGTATATACATTGCTTAATAAACACACATATATCTTCTGGCTCTGTCTGCTGGGAGGCTTTATAAACAATAACATCCTGGTGGCAACCTGATGCTCAGATCTTGGTTTCAAATACCATTCTGCAACAAAAAGAATCTGAGGTCCTTGGAGACATGGCTGATTCTAGGGCCGGGATAAGAAATATGCAAAATGAGCCTGGATTATCTTGAAGTACCTGAAAATAAGAAAGTGCTCAAAAATAAAAAATAGAAAAAAAAATCCACAATGATGAAAATATATCAAACCGGTACAAGAGCCAATGGAAAGAAATCCCAATAGCCAAAACTGGAACAATCTGAGTGACAAAGTAAATGAAGTAGTATTGGATTATAGCCCAAAGTGTAAAATAAATATCCATGAGTCCATAATCAAATGATGGAATAAATTAAATAAGAAAATACAAATTTTGCATATGTGGAATTCTAAGTAATTTATGTAGGTATTTTACCTGTAAGGAAGTGGAGCATAAACCTCCATCCCTTAAATGTGGGCTCTGTATAGTTCCTTCCTTCCAAAGAGTAATATGGAAAGGGAAGGAAGGGTAAATTTACAGTGGTGAGACCTGGCAAACACTACCTCGGCCAGGCTTATAAGGTCAACTTCAACAGTGATATCATGTTAACGGTATGTATAGTTGATATAATGTGATAAGGGTCAGAATTAATCTCTGTGATCTTTTCCCCAAAACCCATAACATCGGTCTATTTATGAAAAAGTGTACAAATCCCCATTAAGAGGCATTCTAAAAAATGCCTGACCCCTCAAAATTGTCTAGGTCATAAAAACAAGAAAGAGAAACTGTCACAGCCAACAACAGCTTAAGAAGACATGATGACTAAATATGATGTAGTATCCTGGATGCAATTCTGGAACAGAATAAGAACATTAGCTACAAACCAAGGAAAACTGAACAAAGCATGGACTCATGTTAAGTGTAACAATAACATTATCAGAACAATCATCATCATCATCATTACCATTATCATCAATGTATCAGTATTGGTTCATGAATTGTAACAAATATACCATTCTAACATAAGATGTTTGTAATAGAGGAAACCATGTTCAGGGTATATGGAAACTGACTATACTATCTTTGTAATTTTTCTGTAAACACAAATCTGTTCTAAAAAATAAAGTTTTTATTTTTAAAAGTCATAAGTGTAGCGATTGTCAAATTTTATTCTACTTAAAGATCAGCTAAGGAAATTTAGAAAAATGTCCATTTCAATTACCTCCCAAAGGTCTTGATTCAGTGAGTCTGGGAAAGAGTGTATGATCCTCCTTCTTAACATGCTTCCAAAGTGATTCACATTTTAAGACACAGTGGGGCAGAGGAAGGCCACCAGGATTCCATCTCAGCTTTGGCTTCTTTCATAATCTGTAAAGAGATCAGCGGCTTTGCTCCCCCAACCCTGCCCCATGAAGATAGGAGAGTATTGTTGTATTTGTGTGAAATTCATGTCTCCAAATCAAGTTTGGAAAGAGACTTTCAGCTTTCTGGATCCCACCCTGCCATGAAAATCAAAGGTGGCTCCCCCTAGAGGAGGCTGGGGTATTGTCAAAACAGGGGTGTTTCTGGATTGATTGTGGATGGAAATATCAGTTATCTGTCCATAACTCCCCAAAGAATGGAGTAAAGTCCATATTCTTAGTAAGGCATGCAAGGCATATTATTCTCTGGCTCCTGCCTACTTTTCTACTCCTGTTTCCCCTTCCCTTGTGCAAATTATACTTGATCCTAGTGAAAATACTTCCTAAAGTCCCAGTGCTGTTTCTTACCTCTGCAACGATGCAATGCCATTCTCTCAGCCTTAATTACGATTTTCTTCTCATTGCCTACTTACGTTTCAAGATGAAGCAGCAATATAAACTTCCCAATAGATATTTTTTCTGACTTCTCCAAGAAAAATGACAGCAACTTTTCCGATATTTCCTGGTGGCCAGCTATACTTCCACTTCTGGTAGGACACATACTATTGTAGTATGACTGACTTTTCCACTCTCTGTATACATTAGAGAGCAAGACCCATGCTGAATTTACTGAATTCATCTTTTTGAAATTGTAGTTCCCATGCTGAATTTGCTAAATTCATCTTTGAGATTGTAGTTCCTGGCATGTTGCCTTGTCAGAGCCATAAATGCTTATGAGTGGATGAATAGAATGATAAATTCTAGACTCTACCCATTGTTCTTCAGAGGAAAGATGCCAAATAAATTCAACTAACAGTAATGATGCCATGCAACACAACTGGTTTGTGTGTGGTATTATACTTAATTAAAACAAGCAAAAAACCGTAAGTATATTCCCAGAAGAAATTTGACGCAACAATAGCAAAAGAGCTATATCTTGTAATTTTGAAGTATTCAGTAGGTACCCTGTGGATGTTGAAATAAGCCCTAATAAGGTTTAAAAACTCAGGACTAAAGAACAACTAGAAGCTAACATTGAGGATCCAACTGGTTATATATTTTCTCTATAATTAAATTAGAAGCTTCTCAAGGGAAAATAGCATTATTGCAACTTTATGCCAAGACCTGCAGGTACTTTGCATTCTTCAAATAATGCAGTCATACCCAAAAGCTTGTAGAGAGCTTCAGTATCTCCCATTTTACAGCAATGAATCCTGAAGCTCAGCAAGTTAAAGTGTTACCCAAATTCACTGTTAAGTGGGAGGCAGGGCTGAGGCTCACATCCTGGCTGTCTGTACTTCTCACTGATTTCATCTCTCCCCTTCTTTTCCATCTCCCCACCTCTGCTGGACTTGGCAGGAGACACCAGGTGAGTTGACCAACTACTGTTATCATTGTTAAGAATGATGTTACCTGTGTTTTTTTGTAAATGCCCTTTGTCAGATTGAGGAAGTTTCCTTACATTGTTTTTGACTATCTTCATTATGGAAAGGTGTTAGATTTTTTTCAAGTGCCTTTTCTGCATCTCTTGAGAGAATCTTATGGTTTTTGCTTTATTCTACTAATATTGTGTATTAATTCTGTTTTCTTTTTTCAACTTGTAAATTTTTGTGGATACATAGTAGGTGTAATATTTATTGTATAATATTGATTGATTTGTATACATTGAACCAACTTTGTACTTCTTGGACAAATTCTACTTGGTCATTCTGCATAATCTTTTTTATATGGTGTTAGATTTGGTTTCCCAGTATTTGTTAAGAATCTTAGGGCCAATATTTACTGTGATATTTTTTGACCCGTCAATTAAGAGTGTATTGTTTAATTTCCACATATTTGTGCAATTATTTATTTCTAATATCATCCCATTGCAATTTGAGAAAATAATTTGTATTATTTCAATTATTTCAAATATATAGAGATTATTTTATGGCCTAACATATGGTCTATTATGATGGAAATTGTTCCATATGCACTTCAGAAAAATATACATTATGCTATTGATGGTTGGAATGTTCTTCAGACATCTGTTAGGTCTCATTGGCTTATATTGTTATTCAAGTTTTGTAGCGCCTTGTTGATCTTCTGTCTCATTACTCTATTTATTATTGAAAGCAAAGATTTAAAATTGTCACCCATAATTGTTGAATTTTCTATTGCCCCCTTCAATTCTCTCAGTTTTTGCTTCAGTTATTTTGGGACTCTGTTAGTTATATACACATACATATATATGCACACATGCACACTTATGCACATACACATATACACATATTTTTATAATCTTTATAGCTTCTTGATGGATTTATTTTTTAATAATATTTAATGTTCTTTTTTATTTCTTGAAACAATTTTTGCTCCTCTGACTGATTTATTTGCGGTGACCTATTCTCGAGTTCACTGATCCTTTCTTCTGCTTGATCTTGTCTGCTGTTGAACCCCTCTGGTGTTTCAGTTTAATTATTGTGTCCTTTAGCTCCAATATTTCTGTTCAGGGTAAATATTATATCTCTTTGTTGAGATTCTCACTTTGTTCACACATTGTTTTCTTGACCTCAGTGGGCCATCTTTATGAGTTATTTTAATTCTATTAGGAAAATGATACAGCTTCATTTCATTAGGATCAATTTCTTAAATTTGACTTTATTCTTTCGTTTGGAATCTTTGCCTGATCCATCATTTTCCTTGACTCTCTATGTTGGTTTCTGTGCATTAGGCAAAATAGGCACCTCTCCTGGTCTTCACAGACTGGCCTCCTACAGGAGAAGACCCCCACTAATTAGCTCAGCTAGAGAGACTGGGGCCTCTGCCAATTCTTTTCTTCCCCAAGGTAAAGCAGGCAGCTGTAGTTTTTGTCTACTTGCTTTGTGTTGAGCAGGGTGAAGAATTACTTCTGTCTACTAGCCTAAGCTGCCGTCTCTATTCTCCCCCAGGTTGCAAGACTGTCCCAGACTAATCAGAGCTTCAAGACTGGCAAGATAAAAGCCAGTCCTTTGAGGAGATCCCTCAGAAAAGTTAGGGCTGTGGATATGCACAGCAAACCCTCCCTTCCCTGGGTAAAGATGGAAATTAGGGGTCTCTTTCTGATTGTAAGGAGCTAATCTAAGAGCAGGGTCTCTGCTGACAGCATGTTTTCAATATCCCTACTGGCTTTTGATTTACTATTTTCCTGGAAGCAGCAGGCTTTCAATTAATTTATGATTTCTCACAAAGCCAATTTGTTCATGAATTGTTGCTAAATTAGTAGCAATGATGGGAAAGGAGGAGGAGCCAGGGCCTCCTACTCTTCTATCTTGCTGAATCACTCTTCTTGTGACAAGTTTTAATACAAAATTTATTTTGTCTGATATATTATGGCCACTCCAGGTCTCTTCTGGTTACTGTTTGCATGACATGTATTTTCCATAGTTTTACTTTTAAGATGGCAAGATGACCATTCAAATACTTTCCATAATAAGATGAGATATAACAAAGATAAAGAAAAAAGAAACAAAAAAATGAACAAAGCCTGCAAGAAATTTGGGATTATGTTAAATGGCCAAACCTAAGAATAATTGGTGTTTATGAGGACAAAGAGAAATCTAAAAGTTTGGAAAACATATTTGAGGGAATAATCAAGGAAAACTTCTCTGGCCTTGCTAGAGATCTAGACATCCAAATACAAGCAGCTCAAAGAACACCTGGGAAATTCTTTGCAAAAAGATCATCACACAGGCATATAGTCCTCAGGCTATCTAAAGTCAAGACAAAGGAAAGAATCTTAAGAGCTGTGAGGCAAAAGCCTCAGGTAATCTATAAAGAAAAATCTATCAGATTGATGACAGATTTCTCAGCAGAAACCTTACAAGCTGGAAGGGATTGGGGTCCTAACTTTAGCCTCCTCAATCAAAATAATTGCCAGCCAAGAATTTTGTATACAGCAAAACTAAGCTTCATAAATGAAGGAGAGATAAAGTCTTTTTCAGACAAACAAATGCTGAGAGAATTCGCTACTACCAACCCAGCAAAACAAGAAATACTGAAAGGTGTTCTAAATCTTGAAATAAACCTTGAAATAACACCAAAATAGAACCTCTTTAAAGGATAAATCTCTCAAGGCCTATACAACAATAACACAATGAAAAAAAAGGTATTCAGGCAAGAACTAGCATGATGAATGGAATAGTACCGCACATCTCAATACTAACATTGAATGTAAATGGCCTAAATGCTCCACTTAAAAGATAAAGAATAACAGAAAAAATAAAAATCCACCAACCAAGTATCTGCTGTCTTCAAGAGACTCACCTAACACATAAGAACTCACATAAACTTAAGGTAAAGGGGTGGAAAAAGATATTCCATGCAAATGGAAACCAAAATCCAGCAGGAGAAGCTCTTCTTATACCAGACAAAACAGACTTTAGAGCAACAACAGTTTAAAAAAATAAAGAGGAACATTATATAATGATAAAAGGATAAGTCCGAGAGGAAAATATCCCAATCCTAAATATATATGTACCTAACATGGGAGTTCCCAAATTCATAAAACAATCATTACTATACCTAAGAAATGAGATAGACAGCAACATAATAACAGTGGGGGACTTCAATACTGCACTGACAGGACTAGACAGGTCATCAAGACAGAAAGTCAACAACAATGGACTTAAACTATACCTTAGAACAAACGGACTTAACAGATATTTACAAAACATTCTACCAGCAACTGCAGAATATACATTCTCTTCATCAGCACATGGAACATTCTCCAAGGTAGACCATATGGCAGGCCAAAAAACAAGCCTCAATAAATTTTAAAGAATCGAAATTATGTCAAATACTCTCTCAGACCACAGTGAAATAAGATTTAAAATAAACTCCAAAAGGAACCCTTAAAACCATGCAAATACTTGGAAATTAAATAACCTGCTCCTGAATAATCACTGGGTCAACAATGAAATCAAAAAGAAAATTAAAAAATTATTTGCACTGAACAATAATAGTGACACAGCTTAACAAAACCTATGGGACACAGCAAAAACGCTGCTAAGAAGAAAGTTCATAGCATTAAATGCCTACATTAAAAAGCCTGAAAGAATACAGAAAATGTAAGATCACATCTCACAAGGAACTAGAGAAACAAGTACAAACCAAACCCAAACCCAGCAGAAGAAAAGAGATAGCAAATATCAGAGCAGGACTAAATAAAATTGAAACAAAGAAAAATCTATAAAAGATAAATGAAACAAAAAACTGCTACTTTGAAATGATAAACAAAATTGATTAGACCATTACCAAGATTAACCAAGAAAAGAAGAGAGAAGATCCAAAAATAAGTTCAACTAGAAATGAAATGGGAAATATTACAACTGATACCACAGAAATACAAAATACCATTTAAGGCTAGTATGAACACTTTTACACGCATAAACTAGAAAACCTAGAGAAGATGGATAAATTACCAACAAAAAAGAGTCCAGGACCAGATGGCTTCACAGCTGAATTCTATCGGAAATTCAAAGAAGAATTGGTACCAATCCTATTGACAGTATTCCACAACATAGAGAAAGAAGGAATCCTCCCTAAATCATTATATGAAACCAGTATCACCCTAATACCAAAACTTGGCAAGGACATAACAAAAAAAGAAAACTAGATGCAAAAATCCTCAACAAAATATTATACTAGCTAATTGAATCCAACAGCATATCAAAAAGATAATCCACCATGATCAAGAGGGTTTCACAACAGGAATGCAGGGAAGTTTTAACATACACAAGTCAGTACATGTGATACATCACATAAACAGAATTAAAAACCAAAATCATATGATCATCTCAATGGATGCAGAAAAAGCATTTGACAAAATCCAGTATCGCTTTATGATTAAAACCCTCAGCAAAATTGGCATAGAAGGGGCATACCTCAAGGAAATAAGAGCCATCTATGACAAACCCCACAGCCAACATTATACTGAATGGGGAAAAGTTAAAAGCATTTCCCCTGAGAACTGGAACAAGACAAGAATGCCCACTTTCACCACTTATATGCAGCATAATACTGGAAGTCCTAGTCAGAGTAATCAGACAAGAGAAAGAAATAAAAGGCATCCAAATTGGCAAAAAGGAAGGTAAATTGTCACTGTTCACTGATAATATGGCCATATACCTAGAAAACCCTAAAGACTCATCCAAAAAGCTCCTAGATCTGATAAATGAATTCAGTAAAGTTTCAGGATACAAAATAAACGTACACAAATCAGTAGCACTGCTATATACCAACAACAACCAGCTGAGAATCAAATCAAGAACTCAATCCCTTTTACAACAACTGCAATAAAGTAAAATACTTAGGAATATACCTAACAAAAAGTGAAAGATCTCTATAAGGAAAACTACAATACATTGTGAAATAAATCGATAAATCGTAGACAATACAAACAAGTGGAAACACATCCCCTGCTCATGGACGGGTAGAGCAAATATTGTGAAATTGACCATACTGCCAAAAGCAATCTACAGATTCAATGCAATTTCCATCAAAATCCCATCATCATTCTTCATAGAACAAGAAAAAATAATCCTAAAATTCATACAGAACCAAAAAAGGAGGGTGCATAGCCAAAGCAAGACTAAGCAAAAAGAACAATTCTGGAGGCATCACATTACCTGACTTCAAACTATACTACAAGGCTATAGTTAACAAAACAGCATAGTACTTGTATAAAAATCGGCATGTAGACTAACGGGACAGAATAAAGAACTCAGAAATAAAGCCAAATACTTACAGTCAACTGATTCTTGACAAAGCAAACAAAAACATAAGGCAGGGACAGAACATGCTATACAACAAATGGTGCTGAGCTCATTGGTAAGCCACATGTAGAAGAATGAAGCTGTATCCTCGCCTCTTGCCTTACACAAAAATAAACTCAAGATGGATCAAAGACTTAAATCTAAGACCTGAAACCCTAAAAATTCTAGACGATAACATCAGAAAAACTCTTCTAGACATTGGCTTAGGCAAAGAATTCATAACCAAGAATCTAAAAGCGAATAAAACAAAAACAAAAATAAATAGATGGGACCTAATTAAACTAAAAAAATTCTGCACTGCCAAAGAATTAATCAGCAGAGAAAACAGACAACCCTGGAATGGGAGAAAATATCCGCATACTATGCATTTGATGAAGGACTAATACCTTTAATCTACAAGGAACTCAAACAAATCAGCAAGAGAAAAAAACAAATAATCCCATCAAAAAGTGAGCTAAGGACATGACTAGACAATTTTCATAAGAAGATATACAAATGACCAGCACACATATGAAAAAATGCTCAATATCACTAATTATCAAGGAAATGCAAATCAAAACCACCTTACTCCTACAAGAATGGCCATAGTTTTAAAATAAAAAAGTAACAGATGTTGGCATGGATGTGGTGAAAAGGGAACATTTTCACATGCTGGTGGGGATATAAAATAGTATTAATACTACCACTATGGAAAAGAGTAATAAGATTCCTTAATAACTAAAAGTAGAGCTACCATTTGATCCAGCAATCCTACTACTGGGTATCTACCCTGAGGAATGGAAGTCATTATGTGAGAAAGACACTTGCACACACATGTTTATAGCAGTATTTTGCAATTTGCAATTGCAAAAGTATGAAACCAGCCTAAATGCCCATCAATCAATGAGTGGATAAAGAAAATGCGATATATATCACATGGTATATATATATATATATCTGAGATATATATATATATATATATATATATATATATATATATATACACACACACACATGCACACGCACACACACTACTCTGCCATAAAAAGAAACAAAATAAGTCAGGAATGGAAAACCAAACATTGTATGTTCTCACTTATAAGTGGGAGCTAATCTATGAGGATGCAAAGGCATAAGAATGATATAATGGACTTTGGGGACTCTGGGGGAAGGGTGGGAGGGGAGTGAGGGTTATAAGACTATACATTGGGTACAGCGTAAACCGCTTGGGTGATGGGTGCACCAAAATCTCAGAAATCACCATTAAACAACTTTTCCAGGCAATCAAACACCACTTTTCCCCAAAAAATTATTGAAATAAAAATTTTAAAAATTAAAAAGACGAGATATAAAAAAGAATCCACAAACACATAATATGTGTAGACATTTGAAAAGAGAAAATAGTCTTAATGGTGTCAAACTCATACAAGTGATAGGATCTAAGAATAAAGGAGCCAAGTTCAAGAAGAGACAATTTGCCAAAAACAAAATAAAAGCTACATTTGAGAATATATTAGCTACTTAATTAAAATTAAGAAAATACAAATCAGTGCTACTCAAGTATGATCCACAGCCTGATATTGATGCATGAACTGTTTGATTATCAATCCACATAATTACAGAAATTGAGTGTAAATATTTACATCTTTTGTAGCAATTTGGCATTGCCTCAGGATCCAAAGGTGTCATCAGCGAACTTGTCTTGTTAAACATGAAGATGAGCTCAGGTGATGTTAGATTCATGCTGTTGATGCACAGGTAGCTCATGTAGGTATTGGTCATGTGCAGTAGGTCCCCAGAGCAGTCCACAATAGATTTGAAATCAAATATAATATTAGTGCTTTCCCATGGACAGCTGAAGACACATTACATTTAAAAAATATATTTAGAAGATTTTTCTTGTCAAATTATAAATTTAACAAAAGAAAAAAAATTCAATACTATCATTTTTTGTGGAAGAATGAGTGCTCCTACTGATAAAAGTGTAATTGATACAACCATTAAAAAGAGTGTTGAATAGCATTTATGTAGTCCTAAAATATCCATAACTATTGAGTAATTAATTCTACTATCAATTCTACAGAAACAATTGAGTTACTAGGTTGAAATTACACACAATGATAATCATTGTCTGAAGAAAACAGTGGAAACCTATAACTAACTTAAATGCATAACAAGAAAGTTAATTTATTTACATATGCACAGATTGAAATTTTATATAAATTTTACCATTATAAGTTATGATTATGAAGAGTTAAAAAGTAGACTTTGTAATTATAAAATAATATGCATTTATTCTAGAAAAACAGAAGAATATATAAAGAAATTAAAACTCTATAGTCTCAACACCCAGAGGTAAAAACAATATTCTGGTGGGTTTGGGGGAGGGGGTTTCCTTGTGTGTATATTTGTTACATTATTTTCCCCTCACACACAAAATTGATTTCATACATTCAGGACACATTTTTTACCCTATTTTCCCCCTCACTTTTATTTTGTGAGAGTTTTCTTATCTGTATTAACCAATGGGTAGTGGCTACTGTTTAGTGGCTTAAAACAGTGCATGTCTGTTTCTCTCTAATCCATATTTCCATTTACAGTTAGCAGAAGATCTCTACTCCTTATCATCACTCAGCCATGCCATTTCCAATGTTAGTGGCCCCTTTGCCAAACGTGGACTGTTTCCCTTTAATATTTGAGCATTCTGGCCTGGAAATGACATGTGTCATTTCTGCTCATGACATTGTCAGGCAGTCCCACAGCCCCACCCAATCACAAGGTGTCCAGGAAACATGAGCTTTCCACAGGCCCGGAAGGTGGGGAGCCAAAAACATTTGTCAAAGAGCAGCAGCTACTGCCACGCCAGGTCTACAAAGCACCATTGCACTAAGGAAATAGTATTCTGTCTCAAGAAGGTACCCTAATTTATTCAACCACCCTCATGGTTGGACATTTTGGGTTTTCATTCTTTTAGGTATTATAAAATATACGTGCAATATTTTATATATTAATCTTGGATTATACCTCTGATTATTCCCTTTGTATACATACCTTGAAAAAAAAACTTCTAGATCAAAGAATATAAACATTGTAATACTCTTAAAATATTTTATTAATTTTTAGAGCATTTGCACAAATAAATACTATGACAAGCAGTAATGTGTATATTCCAATCAAACTTCAACTTCATGCCCTCTGTGTATTGTCATTTAGAAGTCTATGTTATTTTTATATCAGACATAGTATTCCATTTTTCTTTTAATTACTGTAACAGTTAACAATATATTAAAATGCCATTACATGATTAGAAAAGACTGGGTGAAATGTCAGCCATAAAAAATAATACCATGAATGGAGAAAAATCATCTAAACCACTAAACAGTAGTTTAATGGTTGCAATTACTGATAACTTTTATCTTATCTATGTTTTTGCATTTGCTAATTTTACTCCAATTATCAGAATAAAGTAATGTTTATTAAGTTTATGATAAAGTGGCATTTCAGATCAGTGAGTGACAGAATTATTCAATAAATGGTACAGGAGAATTGAGTAGGAAAAAAATTTCTATCTACCCTATGTACATTAATAAATTCTGAAATAACATCTATCTGTAAATAAGCAAACAAAATAAAACAAGTCTCAATGTAATTATGTTATAATAAAAAATAGAATTAAAACCACTTGGCAAGAAAGAATTTCTTAAGCCATGTAAAAAACATAGAAAATATTTTTCCCATAAACTTTTAAACAACTAAACAGTAGGAGTCAACAAAGTTTAAAGAAAAGTAATAGAATAGAAAAATATATATTAACAACATATGTCAATGTATGGAGTTACTATCCAGAATATATAAAGAATCTCTACAAATAATACAAAAATGGCCAAAGTAAATCCTGCTATAATTAGGGCAATGTAAATTAAAACTATTAACGATCTCTTTTGTATCCTTCATACTCATAACATTTCATATAAAGACAATAAATAATGTTGGTTGGAAGAAGTGATAGTTGACAGTCTTTTCGGACCAAAATTTATCAACGTCTATTAAAATTTAATATTGTACATGAGCTTTGGCTCATCATTTTACTTCTAGGTGTATCTGTTAGAGATACTGCAACATTTGCACAAAGAATATACAGGAATATTTGTTGTAATTTTTAATAATGAAAGACTGAAATCAGCCTAATGTCCATACACATGACAATGTCAAATAAATTAGGATAGTCCATGCTGTGAATTATTAGCTACTAATTAAAATTAATGAGTTATGGTTATATAGAAAGCCATGGAGAACTATCTAAGACATATCATTAAGTTAAAAAAAAAAGAATGTTGCAAAGTAGTCCATTTGGTATGGCCTTATTTTCAATATAGCAGAGTGCAGAGGTTAATAGAGTGTGCTCTGGATCCAGACTGCCTGGTATTCTGCGCTCAGTGCACCTCACCACCTTGAGCAGGTCATTCATTTTTCCTGGCCTTAACTTTCTCATTGGTAAGAGTGCCATAGTAACAGCTCCTATCACATTATCAAACGAGCTAACCATGTTGAGTGCTTAGAAAAATCTCAGGAATATAACAAGTGTTAGCTACCAATTTAATTAAAAATAAAGCATTGTGAACCAAGATAAGATGATTCATTTATATATAAAACACGTTTTCATAAATACAAAGAAGAAAGTATGGGAGATTTTCATAAACTGTGAGATTTGGTAACTTCTGAGCAAGAAAGTGGGATGAGAAAGCTGGAAGTTGATTCTGACTTTGAATTGTTAGAAGTCCTGCCAGTGAGGCTCTTTCTATACATTATTTGTACAAATAAAAATGCAATTGATGTACAAATAAAAATAAAAAATTAAAGAATTGGTATTTACATATATAGTTATTACTTCTCTGAAATAATTTTATAACTGCATATGTCATGGATTTACTTTTACTTTATTTCATAATCTACTGAAACTGATTGATTTCTATCCTTACATAGCTGGCTTAAAGATCAATTTCTTTCCACACATTCAACTTTCAATTAACTTTTATTGAACTACTGCTATGTTCCAGACCCACAAGTAGGTAATGGCATTTAAAATGTTAATGTAATCAAGTCAGTTTCATAGTAAAGGAAACAGACATAGATAATCAACTGCTGGGCAGTGTTACTCGGTGTATGAGAAGATATGTACAAAGGGAACTTGAAGAATACCGAGAGAGGTTAATTCTGCCAAGGAGACAATACTCCAAGCAGGGTTCCTGGAGCTCTTGATCACCATCCCTTCCCTAGCACCAGACACTCTGTAAATGAAGAGACTGGGGAGGAAGTAGAGTCCTGTAGAAGAAGGAAAGTGCTGTGCAGGCAGGAGCAGGTTGAGCACAGGATGACAGGGATGGATGAAGCCTCAACACATGGGCCAGTGGACACACCCTTGCATTTCCAGTGCTCAAGGAGTAAAGAAATAGCCCTATCCATACCATTGACATGAATGCATAAAGGAAATTCAGTCCAGCCCTTCCAAAAAATGTATAATAAAAGTAAGTCCCTGGTACTCACTTGATGTCAAACGACATTTGTAAATCAGGTTATTCTTAAATTGATTGTCTGCATGCTTAACAAAATTAAACATTTGAGCCAAGAGAAAGTCTTTGAGGTCAGATACAGGCTTTTTTCATCTAACTGGCTTTCACATGACTCTTGGTATCTTCTGATGAGACTACCTTCATTTGACCCAGCAATGAGATAGTGGCAGCTATGGTGGCAGCTATTATTGTCTAAAAGGGAAATGGCATCCCCAGCCTACAGCTTCTTTAGGAAGTGCTGTGTGAAAAAAATAACATGCACATGATTTCTTTCTGTAGCTAAAGAGAGGCTAATAGCTAAGAAGAACATAGTTTTAAGAAAACACATTTGGTTTGCTTGGTTTATTTATTTTTTCTAGATGTCAATTAAAATTAGTTATCAGCCACTTACATTTTTCCCTTTCCAAGATAAATGTACAATGATTGAGTGTCAAAGGAGGCTAAATCCTCTGCGTTTAGCCTCTGCAGCAGCATATGAAGCTACAAATATCCTGCATTATAATTGCACCAATACAGACAGTTTCATGTCAGTTAAGGCTCAGAAATAGCCATTAGACTGGTTAAAATGTAATTTCAAATTATAATAAAATAAAACAATATTTTGACTTTGTAAAACACAGGTCTTCTGACTTTCATTGCCAAAATGCTGATTTGATCAAGAGTAAAACAGCCCTTAATTATATCTGAATTTTGTACTTTTAATTTAGGGAATAGCAATCCACAGTTCCAGTTTTCAAAATAAAATGAAACATAAGACAACTTCAGAGTTGTGAAGGTTTGAGAAATGAAACACAACTTTTATCTTCAGAATTAAAATTAATAGCATGTTTAGTTTTAATATTTAAATGTTATAAATCAAGTTAATATGGAAATAATGTTATGACAATTGAACTGATAATAACAAAATAGATACTTTCTTAACATGTTTTTTTCATGTGTTAAGTACTTGAATGAGTAGCAACTCAAGTAAAATTGACTATGGATTTACTTTGTTACTATAGGTCTAGATGTATTTCTTTCTTCAAAAAGAAATGTGATTTTTGTTATTTCCTCTTAGGTAAAGTCATTTAATAGTCAAAATGTATGAAACACTTTAGCATCAATTAAGTAATTTCAAATGATAACCCATTTATTTTCTTAAAAGGCAAAATGGTTATAAAGTAGAAACTCATTTATTTAAGCACAAACACATTTCTCACAAAAATACATGCCCGTTCCCAAGTCGAGGTATTTCCTTTGAAACTCCCCAGCTGCTGATTTTCAATCAATCATTCTATTTAAATAAATTTGTCAATTGAAGTGAAAACAGCTACCAATGCCTTTATATGGCATTCCTTGTTTGGATAATAATGAACATATTACATACACCTTGGAAAAGTGCTTTCTAATTAAAAAAGAAAAGGAAAGTAGAATCCCACACATTCAGAAGGCACAGGGTGTCTCTTGAAATATTGAGACTTGGAAACATTTCCCAAATTTCACTTTCACTAACTTACTTAGGAGGGGAAAAAAAGAAGTGCACCGCTCTTTACAATGTCTGGCCGTCCCAAGGAAGACCTCACCCAGAGAGACTGGACGCATATGGACGCCATTTGTAACCAGTGGAGAAATGCGCAGGTCAGCCTAACCTTTGGTGTCTGCCTATCCATCTGTTTTCACATTAGTTGCAAATTATAGAATCCTCCAGACCCACATGACCATAAATCAGTACTATGAGCATGTACACTTTTCCCATCTGTCATAAAACAATGAATTAAATTCATGCCTGTCAAAATAGGCTGCAGCAAAATGGCCTTCTTCTGCAGCCGAAGGAATACAAAGCTTCACCTCATCGCTATAATTTATGGTCTCTGTGGGGCTTTGGGGTGATTAGGACTTGGCCCACCAACACGCAGAAAAACAGTAGGAACTCCAATAACTCCAAATGGAAATCATGGGTCAAATTTATCAAACAAATCAGAGAGAAATCTATTTCTGTTTGGAAAAGGAGGAGATATATTGCATGTTTAGTGTTCGTGCACAGCTTTGGAACTTTTGGCTATTCGGTATTTGTGAGTTTTGGAATTTCTTGCTTAAATAGTATCACCAAAGGACATGTAATGTATTAGACATGAACCGTTTTTAGCCAAATAAAATATACAATGGCAGGCAAAGAGGTTTTTCAATGTTAACATCAACATATTTGTGCAAATGATGTAACTGAAAATTTTCTAGGTAGACCTAAAAAAAAGCATAGCTTTAGTACTGGAAAAATACACTTGGAGAAAAGGAAATATGTTAGCAACAGGAACCAAAAAGGTAATAAAAAGGAGGGGGCAGCCAAAGCGATAAGGTGTATAGACTCTGACTAGTCCATGCCAAGGGGTTTATATCAGTCCCACCACACAGTTAATGTTTCTTTAAAACTTCCCTTCCATAAAACTGCCTTAAAGTCAAATGCAGCTTGGCATGTCAAAGCAAAGAGATGGAAAAAAAAACAGAGAACAGAGCAAGGCAGGCAAAAATACTGATGTTCACTATACAAAAATTATTGGTCACAGTAAGATCTGATGAAAAATAAATTGAGATAATTTGGTTGTGGGGGAGGGGAAAGGGGTTGAAACTTATCTGGAGATTTTGGCACTTGTCTCTCCTTGTAATCCACAGTGTGCTTGAACTGGTGTTTATCACGGAGGCATGCAGGCATTCATTCAATCAGAAAGTCGTATTTCACCAAACACCCTTGCTGTATTAGAAATGTTCAGCAGGGTTAGAGCCAGTGAAATGAGAAGATGATGTGGCAACACTGTATGTCATAGATCTGGTTAATATCTAGCCGTGAATGATTGCGTCTTTAAGAGAAATTCCCTGGATGTTCAATATCACTTCCAGGGGACTAGAACCCGCATCCAACATCATTCAGGTAGTCTGCAAAATATTTTTGATACCAGGAGTAATGACGTTCAGCTTTCACTTCTGATACTCGGGCTGTGTCATCCCACGGGTTCCCAGCAACGTGAACTGTGCAAGAATGGGGTACGTCTGCAGCACCCAGCATTCAGCAGTAGTTGACGATTGAAATAACTGTGTTCTCATGCACTCCCTCTGCATTTTGGGGAGCTATAGAAGAATATTGTGTTGAATGCTGGCAGCAAGGTGCAGCAGAGGGATCGTGAGTTTTGGAAGCTGTGATTTACTTAACAAAAAAAGATCAGCAAAGTTAAAAATACTTATTTTATATAGATATTGTTAATAGTAGACTTAATGTGCTTGACAGAATTGCAAGATGGTAGGTTCCCAAAAAATAAAAATCTTCCTTCTTTTATCTTTCTTTTCTTTTCTTTTTATTTATTTTATTTATTTATTTTTTTTTGGAGTCTCACGTGAGACTCTATCGCCCAGGCTGGAGTGCAGTGTGGCACGATCTCGGCTCACCGCAAGCTCTGCCTCCTGGGTTCAAGTGATTCTCCCACCTCAGCCTCCCAAGCAGCTGGGACTACAGCTAATTTTTGTATTTTAGTAGAGAGGGGGTTTCACCTTGTTGCCTAGGCTGATCTCGAACCCCTGACCTCAAGTGATCCACCCACCTCAGCCTCCCAAAGTGCTGGGATTACAGGCGTGAGCCACCACATCTGGCCTCCTTCTTTTCTTTGCTACCTTCTTTGTCTTTTTCCTTCCTTTCTTTTGCTCTTTCCCCTTTTCTTTTCTCTATTTTCTTTCCTCTGTGTTATTCCCTTTATTTTTTTCTTTCTTCTATATATAGATGCCAACCATTCACTCCTGCATGCAGTGATTTAACTGCATAAACTGAGTAGTCCTTGCCCCTGAGTAGAACTTGGATGTGGAGCATGTATAGTTTTGGAAGACTGAGATACTGAGCAACACGTTACACACTTTAATAATTAATTGCAGTTGTGATCATTGCTGAGAGTGAAATTTTCCAGTTGCTATAAGAACACTGATTTGAAGGGTGGGGTCTGATCCCATATTGGTTTTCTGTGCCACTAAACCAAAAAGCCCCACCCCAAACCAAACAAAACAATCAAGGTTGTTTCTTCTAAGACACATCATAGACGTTATCATTGTAACCACTGGTTTATTACTTCGTACCCAATAAAGTGACTCACTATATGCTTTATTGCAGTCTTGTATTATTTTTTTAATGGGAAAACTGTAGTAGCTCCTATTACATGAAACTGACCACCAATAACTACAGGCTTATTTTATTTGAGAGAGAATTTATTAAATAAGAACATGTGTTTGAAAGAGAAGAAAATGTGCCATTGAGTTTCTCCTCTCCTATTTACTTTCCAAACCAAAGGTTACAGAAGCCACTTGCAATTGATTAAACCTGTTCCCTGGTCATCTAACTCTATTGCCAACAGCACTCATCAAAATCAAGTGGTGACATTTAAAAAATAATTAAAACTTTTAAAGGTAAAGTTGCAGATGGAAATTGTTTCAGGAGAGTTACTGAAAAATGTTACTAAGTAGAGAAAAATTGTTTCATTCTATTTACTTTAACTTTGGTATACTATTTTACACATTTCTAAGAATGGATACGCACACATGTGAACACACCCCTGCCAAAAATTAGATCACGGCTATTCTATAAAAATATATCAACGGGTTCCAAGGATCTGAGGAAAATTTTCTAGTGTATGTAGACAAAATTTGTGTTTTATTCACAGTAAGTCTGTTTTCCTTTTTAATTGCCATCTTTGTGTATATGTATTGATAAAACATGTTTCTCAAATTAAAAAATACATTTTAATTTTTACGTTCTTTTTGTTCTCTATATTCATGTGTGGATTACTTTAACATGACAATTACAAATGTGGCTGAATTACTGGTAGATCCTCGAAACCTTGACAAGGAAGGAGGAGAACTGTATTTACGATGAAAGGCTTCGTGAAATGTGGAGTCCCGGCACTTCTGCTTCCCCTTTGGCAAAAGGAACGACCCTGAAGGGTATTGTAGATTGTCAGCTTCAGATTTCTAAGCAGAATTCTCTCAGGAGGCCTCCTTCACCCAGAGACCCCAAAACAACATAGGAACTGCAAGCAGGAGAGACACATAGAGACCTTCCCAAAGCAAAACCACACTTCTTTTTAGGTTCCACTGCAAATACCCAAGATGACTTCAACACGTCTGCAGTTACAGACTGACAAGGCCACAAAGTCTTAGTGAGCCATGATTGGAAATTATTTATTTTCCCCCTTTCGTATCCATAATATTTTAAATATGAGGTTTGGCCATTAAATTGTGGCAAGTTAGAGAAAACACTATGCAGCAGCATGAAGCGGGAAAACCTGCAGGAAAGCTGTATAAATCCAGGCTGACGTGGGGAGAAATGAGAGCTGAGCGCCATGCCATCCCCTTGGGCGTGGTGAATTGAGGAGTTATCTTGGGTGCGTGACTTGGCAGGGCCTGCAGGGCAGAGACAGATCAGACCCAGAAAGCTTAATAAAAGGGAAAAGCGACCCCCTCAGTTAGTGCTAAGCTATATACAAACAAAATATAATAAAACAAAATAATCCCAAGGCCTAAATGTGCTGTTAATCTGTGAAGAACTCAACTACCCCCTGGACAAATATTTTCTTGCCTTTGCACGTTGCTTAAGGCTACAGTTAAGTGACTTTTGTTGTTGTTAGTATTTGTTCTCTTTAAGGCTGTTCTAAATCCTCAGGTCAATCTGTGAAAATGACCGTGACAATGCAGAGGTGGAGACACAGCCTTATCCCCTCCTGATCCCAACTCCTCAAGGGACTAAGCCGATTCAGATGTTTGTTTCTGGAATTAACTGAGTTGTAATAATAAAAATGTGTGGCCATTATAGGTGAACTTGAAACACCAGACATCTTCTATAGTCACATAAAAAGAAAAATAAACATAAACCTTCCCATGTAATTTACAAAGAACTGCTCACATTTGATCCCCATAACAACTATGCAATAGATTCTCGTGAAGCTGGTTTTATAAATGATAAAACAGTCTTACCAAAGTGATTTGTCCAGGCCCCTACACACTTATCCTAAGTTACATGTTGTTCTTTTCTGTACGGCAAAATAGGAAGGAAGTGAAGCTGTTGGAAAATAACGTTTCTGTTTCTCTAGCGGAGTGTGGCACTCTGTTATGAAGTTATTTATTTCTTTCACTCTGTTGCCGCTCCTTTGCTGTTTTCTCTACATCAAGGAGTACTTCTTAGAATTTTCATTTCAAAATTCTCTGACACTACCCGATTCTTTTGTAAGGCTACGATTTTTGACCTAGCCCTGTGCAATTACAAAGCGCCCTGTCTACCACAGCAGAGCTTCTTAATTTGTGTTGTATTTCTGTCCCCTCTGTTTGAGGTGTGGCTGGTTGAATGTGACCCTGAGGCAGCAATCCTTGGGACAAGCAGTTCAGGCACACAGGGAATTAACTTCCTGGCTGTCCCCGCATGACAAGTGGCCTCCTTCCTGGAGCCAAGCCTCATCCCACCCACCTGCCATCTCCTCCGGCAGGGCAAGGCTGTCCCAGCAAAGCAAGACTCAGGGGCAGCTGTGGTGGTGTTAGGGGCACCCCAAGAGGCCCTCAGAGCTAGGAGTACAGAGGCAGTAAGACCTCCTGTCGAGTGTCACTCCAGATGACAGCCCCAAAACGCCATCCTCCAGTACATCAGAAACAGATGTCTTTTTGGTTAAAGTGTCCTTTACATTCAAACTAGCTATGAGATGCTTGCTCTGACTAGGCATGTACACCCTGCAAAACAAAGCTTCATCATTCTTTCAAAGTCCTTGCTTGACACATGAAAATCTTAGAGTAGACTGGAAATCTATGCTTATTATCATAAGAAATTGCAGTAGCTCACTTGTCCATTAAGAAAAGAAAATGCTTTTGAGACTTTAATATTTCAACTCATGTACATATTTAGATGGGGAACAATGGCTACTTTTTATTATCTACTCGAGTGAATAAATGCCCTTATGTACAATGACTACAAAACAGTGGAATTATTGTGGCGCTAACCAAATTTAAGGTCTAAGATGCCTCTTTCAACAGCTGTGTGAGTGCTGGCAGAGTTGCTGGGAGTTGCATTCTAGGTTGGGAGAAGAAGCTGGATTTTAAACAGAAAGCTTTCTACATAAGCATTTTTGATAATAACCTAAAGATACTACAGAGGAAAGAGAACTATATCACCAAGCCTCCAGTAACTAACTATGACTTCTTTTCTCATTCTAAATAAATATTTGCATCTGATTTTATATTTGCAATCTTCTATTCTCTTACTTACAGTCTCCCCTCTCCTCCAAATCATGTAAGATTTAGACCCACGAAACCTGGGTCTGCCTTTTATACGGAATTCCGTGAAACCATAGCACACAAAAAACCTGACAGCTAGAGGTACAGGGGCAAGTTCAAGATTCTTATTTAAAAGGGAGAGCGCAAAAGAAAAAGACCTGAAACATATTTCACGTGGAAGATTTATATAAATCCTGTATTTAATATTTTTCTAAAAGGATCAAATTTTATTTTTCTTATCATAATTACATAATATAAAGAACTTGTCATGAACATCTCACCAAGTGTTATATAAATGTCCCTGAATGTCCTGGATGCTGTATTGTACATATGCAATCATTTTCAGTGTGCTATGATGTGGAAAAGGAGGAACGCTGCTTCCTGTTCTCTGGTGTGGCCCATGGATGCTTTTGCTCGGATTTCTCATTTCTAATTACAGCCATGTGCAGCCCCAGGATCCTGCGGGAGGAGCTCAGAAGCCCAGACAGAGCCGCCCCTGCCCCACGCCTGCGCAGTGCATCCTGGCTAAGTGTCAGGCACGTGGGCTGGACCCACTTGGCCAGATTGGTCAAACAACCAGACTAAGCGTTTACATTAGACTGGCGGTTGACTTGCTAGTCAAAGCTGTCTGCACTGTCACAGACAGGGTAGTGTGGAAGTGTTTGTGGAAGTGCCAGTTACTTTTCTTAAGAATTAGTGAGGGCTTGATTTTCTGGGACTCCATCCAGTTGTTAAACCACTTGGTTAATCTTTATGATGTTAAATCACGGAGTTAATGATATTAATCATTACCATTAAGGATGCTAACATCTTAATGATGTTAAATCATGAAGTTAATCTTTATCCACATAAACAATTCAGACTCACAGAGTTGCCAGGTCTCTGTTTATTTGGAAGTTTCTCTATTTTGTTTTGGTTAAGGATGCTACTTGTTTGTTTTAATTCACCACCTTGACCCTTTTGAAGAGTACTCTCCAGTTATGTATCATCTGTCGCATGTCTCAGTCTGGGTTTGTCTAATGGTTCCTCATGAGTAGATGTGGTTTATGCATTTTGGGCAGGAACATCACAGAAGCCTTGTGATGTCCCTCATGGGACATCACATCAGAGCTCAAGGGGTCCATTTGTCCCAGGACTGGTGATAAGAACTTGGATAACTTTGTTGAAGTAGGAAAATTAGAAAACAAGCTGTAGATTAAATAATTGTATTGTGTTAACATTCATTTCCTCATTTTGATATTGTACCATGGTTATCTAAGGTAACACCCTTATTGTTAAATATATATACACTAGAGAGAGAGGGAGGAGGGAGAATAAGGAAGGAAATGAGTGAAAATCTTAACATTTGGAAGAATGAGAGGAAGATATGTGGACATTCTTTGTACTATTTTTCCAGCGTTCCTTTGCTCTGAAATTATTTCAACATAAAAAGTTAAGCAGAATGCAAAAACAATGCACAAACAGTTGACTTGGCACAAATCTCACATCTGTAGGGCGGTTTCCATTTCTATTTGTTTTTGTTTAGGCATTGTTTTGTAATCCAAGAGATTTTCTAACAGAGCCATATTTTTGACCCAGTTTTCAATGAGGCAGCCATCAGTCTAGAAGGGTTTTTACAATGAAGTTTCTGTACAAAAACTGAGGGATGAAAAATTACAATAGCCTTCTCAGTCTATTTCTGAACATCTGGCTCTGAATCAACTTTCAACTTTGCAAAGATTGACTAAAATATGTCTAAAAACCATGTGCCAAAATACACAACAGAACAGGTCTGCTTTAAAGAGCATAACATGGACACTATTAACTCTTCAATTCTCACTTCACTGTCATTATCCCATCCTCTGTCTGCTTTTGGGAGAAAGCTGCTTTCCAAATTTTGAAAGGAAATCTACAGCTAGGCTAGGATAAAATTCCAGAACATCCTGGTGGGATGTCAAAAACAGCAGTGATCCCTAAAGTAATTGACTTAGTTTGTTCACTTTAACATATTAAGAATGTGAAAGCCTTGTTCAAATGTTTGTTGTTTTTAACATTTGGCTCAGTTAAGTTGGCTGAGGGGACATTTTTCTGAGAATCCCAAAGACCGCAGTTTTATTATTATTATTATTATTATTATTATTATTTTAAATCACAGTCCATAACTTTGGACTTTGTAAATCACAAATTTTCGGTAAATTAGAAAGCCAGACAATACATGCAATTGCTGAATAGAATGTTTAGATAATCCTGCGGTGACTGTTTTTTTCAAGAAATAAATGTACTATGATCGGTGTCATGCCGTGAATATAGCATATAAAGAATGATAGAAACCCAGCCTGCCAGCCTCTGGACATGGTCAGGGGAGCAGTTTGAGGTAGTTAAAGGAGTCAACCAGATTTGGATGTGCCAACCAGCTGTGTCATTTACTAGCTCAGTGACTGGGTAAAAGCTCACAGCATGACAGCAATGTAAGGTTGAAGTACTGCAACAAAATCACTTGGCCAAGAAGGTGGGCCCACAAATCTCGCTCACATTCTGCTCACCTGGCTGTACGCTTGGCAAGGCTGTGCCTGCCCAAAGAAAGAAGAGGTCATTTTCTAATGGGTCGTGTGAGAGGAGGGGTGTCTTTGTGATCCCTCCACCCAGAGAACACTGCTTTGTAGTCTGCTCAGGGGACACAAACGTGCTGAGGGCAGCCTGAAGTCCCTTTACCTGCCCTCACTTTTGGAGTGAGGGCAATTAAGTTAGGAGCAGTTCAGAGACTCAGCCTGGAGGATGTTTGTGGCAATGGTGTTTGAGACAGGGAAAAGTTGGAGAACAGCCTAAATGGAGCCAATGAAGGGAAAATGCCTTCCTCTCATGTATGAGAGGAAGAGGACCATTAAGATCGTGTTTCCAAAGAATATTTAATGGTATAGGAAAATACTCACAATATAACAGTCAGTAGTATTAATAAGAGAAGTAGAAATATGTGTGTACAAAATCATAGGTGATTATACATGTCACAGCCTGACAATAATTGTATTGAGGTTACAGGAATATGTATGATTTATATTTTATTCATTTCACAGTTTTTATATTTTCCAAATTTATAAAAGACAATATATATTTTATAAGAATAAAGTTGCAATGAAAAAATTTAAATAAAAAAATTAAATAAAAATGTTCATGTTCTTTGACCCAAGTCTTTAATTTCAAACACATTATGTTAAGAAATCAGAAATATTAAGCATATTTCTTGAGAGTGAAACACGACAATCTGAAAATATTGAAAGAAAAGCAGAACACAAACTAGAATATATTTTAATACCTCAGCTATGTAAAAAATGTAAATACATAGATACGGAGCCAGCATTTAGAGACAAAAACCGGAAGGAAAATACAAAATGGTTATTTCTGTAATAAAATCATGGGCAATATTAATTTTGTCCTTTATAACATTTTCTGTATTTTCAAATTGTTGTAAATTAATACATAATAGTTTAATTACTGGGGAGAAAAAGCATTCTGTTCAAAAACAAAATGCCACTTACGATGGTGTGTCTGACTTAGCAAATTATTTCAATCTTTCCCCAAAATGTCTCATTGGGTGCCAGTTTAGAGACATAAATTAGATTAGACTTTGAGGACTGCATACTATCACTTTGAGCAAATAGGAAAACATCTGGAATGTTGTAAAACCAAACTAAAAATCATACTTACTCCATAACATTTTCCTTTCTCAAACTTTGTTCTCTCCCTCTCTTTGCATCTTAATTATCCCAAGCATTTTATATTTTTGTACTTTGAGAGGACATCAATGAAGAAGATCGTTGTAGGATTTTTTATTTGTTTGGTTGTTTGCCTGCTCTCTTTAGTCTGTAGGAGGGAGGATGACTTAAGAACTTGCTAGCGTCTTGTATTTATGTTGCTGCTATGGACTTACCTGAAAGGGCATAAGCTCCTGTCTCGCCTGCAAGTAATTGAAGGACTGTCCAGGGAAGAAGTGTGGAGGTAGACTGGGGGCTTTAATGGTCAAAGACTAGTGAGAACAACACCCTGGGATAATGACCCTGGATAGAAGGGATGTTCCATGTATGCAGAAGATCAGATCTGACTCCAACCCTGTAGCCTGAGTGGTGAAACCCCATCCCCCTAGGGGCACATGGACAATGGAGGTGCAGCATCCTCAGCAGCATGGGTCACCACAGGTGAAAATAGAGGACCTGGCCACCCTCCAAGGAACTGTGGGGGTCTGAGCTAGGTGCTCTGGGACTGGGGGACAGGATGGAGGAGGAGGTCTCCACCAAATTTACAGATCCTGGGTTTCTTACCTAGGCTGGTGAGTGGGAGCTCAAGCTGTGTTTAATTTGACATTTTTTGAAAAATAGCAAACTGTGGCATTTTTATACT
The DNA here is from genome assembly GCF_000001405.40 of Homo sapiens. Classification (NCBI taxonomy): domain Eukaryota; kingdom Metazoa; phylum Chordata; class Mammalia; order Primates; family Hominidae; genus Homo; species Homo sapiens. The sequence continues at coordinate 22,156,594 of NC_000020.11, read as the reverse complement.
CTGAGTGTCATGGAAAAATTTATGCCCGTCTTAATAAATAAAAAAGCATTAATAAAATAAAATGATTTCTAAGCCAAAATTAATAACCATATTTCAAAAAAACTCAGTTCCTGAAAACCTTGGTCAAAGGGCTAGGCTGAAGTATAAACCCAGGATCATGGAATCTGCAGATAGGCTTTCTCCTGCCAAGTCTATATGCTGCCAAGGCTATATGCTGGGCATAACTCTGCCTTCTCCCCGGTCTGGGTTGTGCTATATAAAGTGATCTTAGGCAAAGTCTTCCTTCTCCCACCAATTCTTCTGTGCAGACTGAAGTTTTCACAGGGTAAGGGTTTTCTTGCTTAAAAATTCCATTAAAACTTCAGAGAACGGTCATTATCTTCTTAAATCCACACTCATTTCCTTGTCACTTGAGGGGTACAGTTTCCAAATGCGCATCTCCAAACCCGTCCTGTCCACTGACCTTCAGACTTCCACAGAACCCCCCAGATCCTTAGCAAAATCCAGGGGCAGGGAAAAGGGCCGCAAATGTGTTTCACCGTGGGGATTTTAGTGAAGTCACCTGGTGTGTGTTATACCCTCAGTGGGGTCTGCGGTATCACCCCACAATCAAACACATCAAAAACTCTGCTGTGAACATATGGACATTCCCAGGGGGCTAAACTATGACTGTCAAGAGCCTCATATTGTTTCAGGTTATATTTTGCTGTCAAAAGAGGTATTTAAATAATTTTCACTTCTTGGACATTTATGGATTCTTGAATTGTGAATAAGGAATCATAGACCTGTATTTAATCTGCCTGCTTGAAACCTCAGCCTGGTTGTCCAAATGATTTTCAAAATGAACATATCTAAAAATAAATCTCCTGAACTTCCTCCATAAAATTCCTTTCCCATCTTACTCATGGTCTCTTTGCTGACCAGGTTGCTAAGGCCAAAACCCTTTATTCTCTCATCTCCAATGTTGACTTCACTGACCAGTCACGTTAGTTCAACATTCAAATCTTTCATCGTCTTCCCTCTCCATGGTCATCCCATAGCTAATGCTGCCATCCTTATTGGCTGGGTTACAGGAGCTTCCTAATTAAAATCTCACCCACTATTGCCCCATCTGACCCCCCAATCCACCTTGAATTGCAGGTGGAAGAATCCTTAAACATCATAAACTCATGTCACTACTAGGCTTTCAATCTTTGGTGCTTCCTATTGTTCTGCAAGTCACATCGTAAATCCTAGGCCCCGTTTGATGCCACCCCTCCCACCTGCTCAGCTGCACCTTGTCACACTCTCTTTCTTGCATTACGCTCCAGCCACACTGGCCTCTTTCTCTTGCTCATACCTGCCATGCTCTGTCCCATCATGAAATAGCACTGGCTGTTCCCTCTGGGCAGCTCCTCCGTGTCCTTCCAGCCTCAGCTTCAAGGGCATTTCCTTTGAAAAGTCTTTCCTCTCATTTCAGTGTAACACAGCCACCACCCCCGACCTCCACTTCTGTCTGTGACATGACAAAGCTCATTCTGCTGGGACACCAGCCTCACTGCGTGATCCCTGTGGATTTCCGCATGTGTCTGCTGCCATCTCCTCACTGTGCCACAGCATCATTTCTGTGAGACTTGTTCACCACCACAAACTCGGCCAGGGTCTGGCTTGTAGTAGATGTGCAATAAAAACTCATTAAAAGAATGAATAAATGATTAATTGACTGAATTATGTGGAAATTAGAGCTAGTTCATGTTAAGTATCTCACATGGTGCCTAGGATATTGCAAACATTCTGTAATTGGAAGTGCATGTTATTCTCTTATGCAGTTATTATTATTGCCAGAAGGTAAGGAACCTTGGGTTTGTGGTCTATACAGAGGGCTCCAATAAGTGGGGATGGGGGTGAGGTCTCCATATGTATGGTTACCCACTTTAAAATTCTAAACAGGTACTGTTTAGAAGGTACTGGTCTTGCCTCTGCTTGCCTTCCAGTGCACAGCTTCCATCAAGGATTATGATCTATGGGTCTCAGGGCTTCTTTCAAGAACTCTAGGGACTTTTAAGTGGGTAATTAAATCTTGAGAGATTGGGCTTGGGCATTTCATTCAGTTCAAAAAATATTATATTCATTGATATTCACCATACGGACCTCAGAAAAGGAATTCATTGCTTAATGATTAAACTTCGCATATGTTACAGATTAAAGTCAATATATCCCATGACATATTTAGATAACACATTTCCCAATTCTTTCACTACTCAAGCCCACATTTCTTTTTTGAAATCAGATTAGTTATCATCTTGACTACTATATATTACCTATTCATCATTTTTTTCATTCCATCCAGTAGAAAAGAGCAGAAATATCCTGTGTGCTTGAAATCATAACTATTTATTTGTTTTATTTAAGGTAGAAGAGAATGACTTTGAATTTTAAAAGTTTTATCTGAAAGAGAATTAAATGGATCAGCTGTGCTTATATAAACAAACAAACAAACAAAAACTCTTGCATTGGATTAAGCAGGGAAACAATACATTTCTAGAGAAGAATGTTATTATATGTGGTAATTTAAAACACATATCAAAAGTTCTTTCCTCTAATGTAAAGAATATAGGCGTTTTAAAAATGAAAAGGACATGAAAGATATATTTCGCATGCCATTTGATGAAATGTTTGACAGAACATAAAACCCCTGAGATTATTTGGATTTGATGTTCTTGGAAGCCATTCACCATGATTTCTGCTTTTGTGGTTGTTTTAGTATGAAGTAAATTATGAGCATTCACCTACTGTGAAAAGTCATATCTGACCATCTGGCTCTATTTCAATGTGATCTTCAACATTTTTTCTCAGAATTAAAAAAATCACTTACTAGTGGATTTATTAATGCACTTGAGATTTGTGCAGGGGGCTAACTGGATGGAGCTAACTGTGTTTACTTCAGAAATATCTGAGAAACATATCTTTAATCACAATTATATAGCAAAAGCAACAGTAAATACTTCAAATAAATTTAACCATCATCTTAAAGGTTCTCAAAGTAGCTCCTTCACTTATTAAATGAATCCCACGGATTCAGAATTTATGATAACCATTATGACTTGACCGGGTTAGAGTTTCTTGTACTTGCAGTTTAAAAAAATTTAATAAAAGCATACGGTAAATAAGGCTTCAAGTGATTTTTGAACTTTCATAATATATTTTTATAACTATAATGCTGGTGATAATGATGATACAATTATCACCACCATGATGTCTAGAATACCAGAGCCACCATTTTTATAGAAGAGTGAAGAGAGGTTTAGAGAGACTAATTAACTTGTCTAGGATCACACAGCTAGAAGGAGGCATAATTTTTACTTCAGAGCTTTTATTTTCATCTAGTTTTGAAAAAAAAACATTTTACCCACTAGTTTGTGGTATTACATGCAAATTTTAGAAATAAAACCACATTTTAACATCCACAACTGTTCATCAGTTCAAAATAACTTTCCCAACAATACACTTGGAACAAGTGAGGATTCATATGATCAAGGCCTTTGCAAATGTTGTACTTTTATAAATATTATATCATATACACCTAACTCTCTTTTTTTTTCTACCTATTTTAACAGACAGTGTGGTTTCCTGGATGCTAAAAAGGCTACCAAGACACAATCAACCCCCTTACAATAATCAACATTTGGATAACTACAGAGTCCAACACATCAGAAATCTTATTCGTTGATTTGATGATCAACTCAACAAAACATGTAGATATATTGCCTTAGAATTTCCAGGGGTGGCTGTTTCATAATTCAAAGTAATGGGTGCTGATGCACTGTGTTCGATGTTGGGCTTTCTTAAACCCTGAGGTCTCATTTTTTCCTTCGAGAGAGCAGCTGCATGATGGAGCATAAGGACTAACCATGCATGCCCTTCCTTAGAGCCAGGCATGGTGGCTGCTAGGTTTCTCAGACATCAGATTTTGTCACTGAGTTCTAAAGATAGCAAAAATATATTCAAAAGTGATGCTTGACTTTTGCGGTCTAAAAACCTCATCACATGATTAATAAATCCTTCCATGGTGAAACTCTTTTGTAATAGAATTTACGGTAAAAATATTTTCATGTGAGTTCCACTTGGAGCTTGGGCCATTTGATTTAGCAGTATTATTATTTGATAGTTTTTTAGTTATTCAACTATGGAAAGCCCAACAGATAATCCTCATAATACTTTAAACGCAAAATAAACTTTGGGAAACCTAGTAGCTTTCGAGATTAGGGAGTTAGAACGAATCAGCAAAGAGGTCTACTTGCTGGCTCTCAGATGCAGCAAACAATGGCTCGCCAGCTTTGCCAGTTGCTCTGCAGTTCTCCTGGCCTTTCAGCTGGTAGCTCTGTGATAGGAGATTAAGCACCAAGCCAGAGGTGGAAAAAACATTGCTTTACCTTATTCTGCCAGGCGCGGTGGCTCAAGCCTGTAATCCCAGCACTTTGGGAGGCCGAGGCGGGTGGATCACGAGGTCAGGAGATCGAGACCATCCTGGCTAACACGGTGAAACCCCGTCTCTACTAAAAAAATAAAAAAATTAGCCAGGCATGGTGGCGGGCACCTGTAGTCCCAGCTACTCGGGAAGCTGAGGCAGGAGAATAGTGTGAACCTGGGAGGCGGAGCTTGCAGTGAGCCGAGATCGCGCCGCTGTACTCCAGCCTGGGTGACTGAGCAAGACTCCACCTCAAAAAAAAAAAAAAAAAAGCATGCTCTACCTTATTCAGTGTGTGTCAGATGGGTCCTTCATGCTTCATCCTTGACCAGGGGCCACCTGAAAAATGTGAGATTTCAGTGATTTGCTATGGAAGACCCCCAAAGCTCCACAGCTGGGGTCTGCCTGCTATCAGCACTCCTAACAGCGAGTTCCTTTCTGATGGGAGATCCAAGTGGCACACCTCCATGCCTGCCTGGGATGGTGAATCCTATGTGTCAACTTGACTGGGCTAAGGAATGCCAAGCTATCTGGTGAAACAGTGTGTCTGAGTATGTCTGTGAGGAGGTTTCTGGAAGTGATTAGCATTTGAATCACTGGACTGAGTAAAGAATATCTGCCCTCACAAGTGTGGGTGGACAGCATCCAATCCATCGAGGGCCTGAACAGAACAAAAAGATGGAGGAAGGTGAACTCTCTCTCTCTCTCTTCTTGAGCTGGGACATCTATCTTCTCCTGCCCTTGGAATCAGAGCTTCTGGTTCTCAGGTCTTCAGGCCTGGACTGAATTATACCACTGACTTTTCCAGTTCTCCAGCATGCTTCTTAGCCTCCATAATTGTGTAAGTCAATTCCCATAATAAATATCCTATTATACATCTATGCGTATCCTATCACTTCTATTTTTCTGGAGAAGGCTAATACACTGCCCTACAGTGTTTTAAATACAATTTGTGTTATTATTTACAGAGTTGGGTAATATGATTAAATATGATTTAATGTGATTGTTGAAATATTTAAAGCACTAGAATTCAGTCCTAAGTTTTAATTCTGCCTCTAGTTACAAAGGCCTTGAAAATAAACTGAGTGAGTAGAACTATTCCCTTTACTAACAGAGATGTTGCCATTTAAAGGCCACAGTTATCATGAGTTTCACCCTCATATATCTCCTTGTAGCAGCAAGTAGTCAGGCCACATCCTCTTACTTCCACAGCACCATGACAATTTACTAGTCTTCCAGCTTCTTGATGCCAATATTGACCCATAGAAACGTATTCCAGTGAAGCAAATCACAAATGGCCCCCAAACTCTTATTTTCTTGGTTCAAACAATCCTGTTTGGTATTCTGCAGCTGATCATTTGGTCTGGCCCCAACATATCTAAAAAATAGACAGTGTGGGGAGGTAACATAGTGGGCCTTTTGATCTTTTGCTCTCCTACCATAGACTCTGTATGTATTCAATTCACTGAATTGACGGCAGTATCAGAAGGAAAAGATGACTTATCAAATATCTATAAGTCCCAGTCGCATCAGAAACCAGCTCCCCAGTGACACATGAGCATCTCTACAGCATGTGCCTGCTCAAAGCTCCGACAACAGAAAGATCATCAGATCATCAGACCCCCAAATAGCTTCAAGCTGAAAAGCATTCTCTCTCCACCAAATGCATATCTTGCAATATTTTCCATGACTCCTTTTTTTAAGATGCAAATCGTGATCCCAAGAGTCATGCAAAACCATGAAAAACATTTTCAGAGCAGTCTCCAAAATAGCAGAAGAGACAAAATGGATTTTGTATATACCCTACCCCCCAGGGAGATAGAACCTAATAAAAAGCCAGAATGTGGGTACCGACTAGCCTAGTGCTGCTGAATGTGGAAAGCCAAATAATCTGAAATCTATATACAGTGTGACCAGCCCCATTGCTGAATCACAAATAATATCAGGAATTAAACCAAATAACATTCCTCAGTCTTATAACCATGGTATGTCCTCATTATCATGGGAAAGCTTTTGAAAAGAGTATATCTCAAAATCGGGCCTTGGCTCACTTATTAATGCAGTAGATAGCTCTCCTTTTTATTGCCCACTGCTAAGGACCACAATGGCTCATTTTTTAGGAAGATGGCATCAGTCTCCATCAGTCATTCAGCAAGTTTATAGAATCCATGGTGTCAGGACACAGGGGTCAGCTTCCAATCTGATATGCCTTGTGTTGAGAAGAAGACTGAACATTGGGAGAACATGAGTTTCAAGGTTTTCTTCTTGTAGCTCTTTGGAGTTTTTGACATGCAGAGGTGAGACCAGGAGTTCTTACCTCTGCAGATGGTAAGAGTATTTCCTTGAGTGACAGATAATTTATTTAAGCCATTTATTTGATGCTTTTCTGTGGTACTGTCATAGCATCTGGTGTCTGGGACCTCCTCTAAGTTCTAATAGTGAGCAAAATCCTGAGTTTACAAGTGGGAGGGCACAGATACTAATGGGGGTGGAAGATGGATTTGTTTCTCACTAGTGCCCCAACCATCCAGCCTTGGCTGGATCATGTCATGTTAAGTAAGGACGCCAGTGTGCTGAACTACAGGTGGGAAGGGGTGGTAGTGGACACAGGTGTCCCTAAGTTTGGTTTTGCTCAAAATTGTTTTTGAACACAGAATATATGTCCCAGTAATTTCTTGCCCTGTAACAAACCACCTCAGAAGTTAGTGACTTCTGATAACCATTTATTTTTCTTATGGTTTTCTGGGTTGGGCGGTTTCTTTCTGATCCACCAGGGTGGCTGGGGCTAGAGGACCAACTTCCAGGGTAATTTCTTCACTCTCATGTCTGATACCCTTCCCTACATTTGGGCTTCTCACAGCGTGGTGGTCTGAGAATTGTTTACCTTTGTTCATAGTTGCCGGCTTGCACCAGGGTGAACTTTCCAAGAAAGAGTTGCCAGCACCCAGAAGGAGGCTGCAAGACCTCTCAGGACCAGGAGCAGAGGTTGCAAAGCACCAAACCCATTGTCTTCTATTGGTCAAGCCCAGGTTCAAGGAGGGATGGGGAGTAAGACTCCACCCTTCAATGAATGGAGGAGCAAAGACTCTGTGGCCACCTCAAATCTAGCACAGTGTATGTATAAGACAGGGAATCCCACAGAATCTCACTCTGCATGGCAGGGAACCTGACTGCCTCACTCACTGGCATTTGGGTGTAAAGTTGGGAAAGTGGTGTAAACAGGTCTTTTTCCTCTATAGTCTAGAGTTTGGAGCCCAGTGCTGCTATCTTTCACGCATTTACACATCACTTATTTCACATCCTCCAGGTTCTTATTTATGGAATAGGAATACTGACACATAACATTGTAGTTTGTTACTAGAATACAGGAATACTGTGCCAAAAGAACTTTTTAAGCAGTTAAGAGGAAAACATGTAAGGGAAATATCTTGCCCTAGAGAATGCACTGGATAAATATGGGTGTTGGAATGAGATGCGCCTGGATTCAAATCTCTTCAATGAGTGAGACCTGGGGCCAACCCTCTCCCAGCCTCAGATCATTCATAAAGATGAAGAAACTGACACCAAAACGTGGGTATAGGGACCAGATGCCACCTAATAAGTAAAGTGGTGGGTGCCAGACAGGGCTAGTTACATGTCAGTTCACGTTTTCTTTCCTGGCAGTCAGGGATTGGGCTTTTTCAAATACTTCAAAATGAATGAGAATCACAGGAAATGTCCATTGACAGTGATGATGGTTCAGTCCTTGGCTCTGCACCAAGAAGAGTGGTAGCACCATCCAGGTAAGGCTGGCAGGATCTAAGTGAGCACAAGCACCTGTGCAGAAGGCAAACCCCTGACTCCTTGGGAACACCCCCTCCTGCCAATTCTGCTTCCTATGCCCTGTTGCCTAGGTGAAAATAAGGGGAGGTTTAAGGAGAGCTCTGGATTAGAAGCAATCTGTTGACAAGATAGGCTACTGAGTGGGAGATTATTACTTCTCACTGTGTTAGTACAATGTAAGTTAGCCTTGTTGGATCAGGAAATCACACTTAGTTTTCACTAACGGAGTCTCAGAATCATTTATTCTTACTTTAGAAATACTAATGTATTTGGAGTTGAAAGGGATATGGCATTTAACCTGAAAGTAAGATTCTCTCAATTTTTTCCAGACACCAGGGTTATTTTCCAAATCTAAGAAGCTATGATAATATGCAGAGCCATTTTTCTTAAGGATCACACTTCCATTTTTCGTTCAGAATGACACTGACATATGTTTGAATCTCAATTGTCTGCTGGTGACAAGAAGTTCACAAACCTTTAAGGATAAGGAAAGAAGGCGCACAGGACAGAGCCAGCCAGGATTGCAAAGGATCCTCTAACTTGCTATTATCCACTTACTAGCCATTATTTTCCTTCTCTTTTTCTTCCTACTAAGGAAGCATGGGCAAAGGATATTGTAAAGAATTGCTTTTGGTTATAAAAATAATAAAAATGAGTTGTCTATTAACAAAGCTGATGTTTGATTCACCATTGGTAAGGAATGCATCATACAGGATGTTATTTTTGAACCTATTTTTACTAGATATGTTAACATTTTTATACACATATTCTATGCTGTTGTTTGGCACTTCTCAAAAACAATAAATAATGTACAACTACAAGATGAAGGAGTCACATTAGTTGTACATTATTCTGTTCCTGGGATGGAAAAGTCACGATAGATTTACATGAACATTCAAACTGTATCTTCGCCTCACTACCACTACCCTCAACCTAAGCCAACAGACCACAGATAGCCATAGTTATTTCATTCATCATGGGAGGGTTGCTCTCACCAATTAAGAGGAGTAACAATATTTTCCTACACGAACATTCTGTTAGCAGTGGAGATGGCAGGTGGGAGGCCTGGGGGAGATGACATTTGTTCCTCCTGACTTATGTCTTCTTTGGAAAAATTGTGTTACCAATGGCAGTGGAGTCCTAATAGAAAATACAGTCCATCCCATCTACATAGCTTTGAACATTGATTCTGTACACACACTTGGCTTTACTGCAAATCCCTGTGACTGCCTTCCTGCAGGCTTTCTCTGGATAGAGAAGGAGAATTTGCTCTCTTGGGCAAGTCTGAAGCATAGAGGCTTCCAGACATGGATACCCTCAGAGCAAACTTTAAGCAGTAACAGGATGTTAGGTAGAAGCACTCCAGCTTCTTTGTCCCTTGGGTGGGGGCAAATCTGAAATGCTTTCTACAGTTTCCCAGGGTGTCCAGAAAGATCAGGCCCCAGTTGCCCACAAAAGAATTATCTATGGACCTCCACTCCTGCCTTGCCTTTCCCCTCCGCTCCCTCACACCACTTCTTGGATCGCCTCTTGATAAGCTGCTTGTTGCAGGGTCTGTTTCTGGGGGGTTTCCAACCTGACAGAACCCAATTCATCCCTCTTGCTATTTGTTCCTCTTCTTTACTCAACCATCAGAATTTTCTTTTCTAGTTTTCTGGCTGGCATAATAAATCCAGATTCCATTCAATGAGATGGATCACCATATTCACGTGATTTTGGATGATTGTAATGTTGGGATGTAACTTCAGAGAAATCTACTGTCTAGTCCAAGGATGCCAAGCAATTTGGGAGAGCATGTCTGTATTCCTTCCACATGTCCCAGCTCTGAGCCAGAGGCTGTGAATTGCTATTGAGGAAGACACTTTTTCATTTTTTCATTGAGTTTTTATGGGGATTAAACGGATAAAATGTTTCATGTCTTTCACACTTTTATTTCTCAATTCATTGCCTTTAGTTATCACTTTGAGTCAACTTTGAACTCATTCTAGAAATAATATTTCTTCACAATTTGAAAACTCACACAATAAATAAGAATGCATTCTGACCCCTTGGATTTACCCCCACAGAGTTTCTATCTCCAAACATTTTGAGAATGACTTTCATATTTCTTCCCTTTATAGCTAGCCATGACCAAAAGCACACTCGCAATTCTATGTAAGACACTTTTTACTTTTTAAGCTTCAGTCATGCAACCCAGTCATACAAACAATCTCCAAGATTTACAATCAATTTGCCCTTTGTACCCAGTTTCTAGCTGTGTTTTTGCTAACTTAGCCTCCATCAAAATGATGTCCTAATTAAGTCTGAAGAACGGGAATTTTGCTTTACTTTACCAATGACTTCATTCAGTATGGATATATATTGAATGTACTTACAACACACACACACACCCACACATGCATACACACACACACATACACACACACACACACACACACACACAGAGTCTTTTGTAGGTTTTTTCCTTCAATGAGTCTGTATTCCTTTTTTAACTGTCATTTTTGGAACTTCATTTTGAAGATCCATTTGTTCATCATATTCTAAAAACACAACCTAATAGGATACTGCAATGGTCTTAAACCAATTTCTGGTTTGAAACATTCTTGATAACATGCTTGCTTTGACACTGAAGGGAGAAACTGGAGAAAAATAGTGCCAAGAAACCACATGATGAACCCAACCTTCTCCACGCCATCCCCTCACATGCTCAAAAGCTGTACGTTTCTGCTCATGCAAGTCTGTATTCCATGCCTCTCAAAGTTCCCTACCCCCAAATGAGGAACAGAGGCAGTTAAAATGTGGAAAATCAAGAAAATGCAGAACACATCATTAACTCATATACTCAGGAAGCTGTGGCAATCTTTACTTCTCCTCACATAAGACCCACTATAAATGAAATATATATTTTAATTATTTCCAGTTTAGATATTCCCAGTGTGCAATATACAACCTCAATTTCTTGCTGTAGAATAAAGGGGAACTGGGCAATGAGAAAGCAAAAAAAAAAGTTGTAGTTAATGCAGAACAGTTGCACGTCATCGTCACATTGCCCTGAGCAAAACTCTTCCTTTTATTTTGTTGAAAAAGCAACTGATTTCCCCACGAGCAGCCTCTGTTTTCAGATTGTGTTTACTCATGAGCTCTGACAGGTTTACCCCAAGCAACTTTGCAAACCAGCTGCTCCCCTCACAATCTCTGTGGTTACAATTCTTTTAAGTTGCAGGGATAACTTAAAATGTACACAGCTCTCCAGGATATGAGGCAGGCAGCAGGAACTGTTGACATATTTTATTTTTTGCATAGCATTTTCAATTACAGAAAATGGCATTGCTATGAACTTTCACTCAGTGGCCCCCTCGCTTGACATTAATCAGGCAACATAAAGCATGCTAAGTCACTTCAGCTCAGCTTCTCCCCAGAAAACCCTGCACACTGGCCGATAATGTCTTTCTTTCATTCCTGATGCAATGAAAAACAAGCCAGAGTTCTTTACATGCACTGAGTATATGGCCTTTCCAGTTATCCTCTGAGAGGGCTTATACCCAGAAGGGAATTTGGAAATTGCAATGGAGTGGGCAATATAGCTTTCATATTTTTTCAGCTTCTTGGCTACTTCTCTCCTTGAAAAAAATAAACGGCTAATTTCTTCAAAAGTTCATATAACCTGCTATTGTTTTTCAAGCTTAGTGACTCTCTACTCTAAAACTTTATCACAACCATTGCTTCTGCTGAAGAGTTTTGACATCTGCTTTAGGCAGTAGAGTTTCTGAAATGAGATTAAGACAGGTGTAGGGCCAGGCTCAGTGGCTGTCCTCTGTAATCTCAATGCTTTGGGAGTCCGAAGCAGGAGGATCACCTTAGCCCACAAGTTTGAGACAAGCCTGGGCAACATGACGAGAACTTGTCTCTACAAAAATACAAAAAAAAAATTGCTGGACACGTTGATGCTCGCCTATAATCCCAACTACCCGGGGGCTGAGGTGGGAGGATCTCCTGAGCCTGGGAGGTCAAGGCTACAGTGAGCCATGATTGCGCCACTGGACTCCATACTGGATGATAGAGTGACACCCTGTCTCAAAAAAAGAAAAAAGAAAAAAAAGTCACAGGTTTAGTACTTTGAAGAATACAGGAAGGTTCTTCTTATTTTATAAAACTGTTTATAAGCACTGTTTTGGCCTGTAGCCAAAATATGATTGTTAAACTTATACTGATATTATATCTAAAAATGCATGGTAGTGAAAATATAAATGAAACTCTCAGGGGATACAGAAGAGTGGTTACAAAGCATCATAACCTGCTCAGACAGGAATGGCTGTTAGAATGAACTGAGATTGAGAATAGCTCCTGCTCCTTCACGAACTGTACTTGCTGGCTGCATGAGTCCTTGCCTATTCCCCAAATTCCGGATGCCAAGGGTTTTCATTGTCTCTTCCTGACCAGAGAACTCATCTTCTAAGTCCTGGATCAAAGACCACTGTCTGCACAGCCTCCCTGGGCTCTTTCTGGAGGAAGCAGCCCCTTCCACCTGCCATACAGCAGAAGCTTCCTGCGAGGTGCCTAATTATGGCTCTGAGCCTCTGCCCATGAACTCTTCTCCCATGCAGCCACATCATGAAAGGAATGCTCTTCTCTGAGACCTACTCTCCATACTGTTACAAAATCTCTGCAAGATTCCAGCTTAGGAAACATTTGTTAAATGAATAAAAGTAAAGTAATGGCAGAAATATGTACATATATGCATATATATGTATGTGTGTATATATATATAATATTTACATACTGTTTTTATTATATGAAAAATTTCAAACTGGCTATAAAAGAGACCCTTTCAGCCCACAGCTCTTAATTCACTATGAGTGGCAGCTCACTTTTTTATTTTTCTGTACAGAAGACCAATGCTTTTCAGAAAAAATATTGCTTCTGAAATAATCATTCCAGTATCAAAATTATTGTTAAAGTGCATGTATGCTCTTATCATATTTCAGGCTCCATTTGATTGTTGCTTATATCTTTGCTACTTGGCTTGTTGCCTCTCTGTTAAAAAAAAAAGTCTACTTAAATGTGTGTGTGTTTGAAAAATCATTAGCACTTCCCAAATAACCTATTCCAGTAAAACATAGGTCAGATTTCCTAGAATTACTAAAAAACAAAATGTGGAAACTAATGCTCAGGTATGAGGAGAAGGAAGAGGAGGAGAAAGAAGAGGAAAAGTGAAGGAGGAGAGGGAGGAAGGGAGAGAAGAAGAGGAGGAGAACAAATAGAAAGAGGGAGAAAAAATAGAAAGAGGGAGAAAAAATAGAAACAGGAAGAACACAAAGATGAAGAAAGAAAGAAACAGGAGATGGAAAAGAAGGAGAAGGAAAAGGAGAAGAGGATGGGGAAGGAGAAGAAAGGAAGAGAAAGACTTACAAGCCTTCTTTGAACCCACACATAACTAGTACTAGCAGCTAACATTCATCAAGCTTTGCAAGATAGACATTGCTTTAAGCACTTTGCATGTATTATCTCGTACAATCCTCACCATCACTCCCTGAGCAGGTCCTAGGTTGTCATGTTATTACTCATGAGACAATCGAGTCTCAGAGGCTGATCTGCCCAAGGTCTCCCAGCTAACATATGGCAGCATCAGGATTTAAACTTGGATTGTCTGGCTCCAGAGGCCATGCCACCTCTTCCTCTCTGGGAAGAGGCCTCCATACTTGCTATTCCAACTTTCTTATTTCCCAGTCACACCCCACCATCTCCAAACTGTCCGCTGATCCCATTATTTCAATGAAATAGCCCCTGGGGGTCAGTCATAACCTCCCCATCACAAGGGTTATTATTCAGACCTTCTTGGACTTGAGCTCTTGGTCACATCTGATACAGCTGACCTCTATGGCCCTTTACTCTGGGTCACAGCTCTTTCCTGTTTTCCTCCTACTTCTCTGCTGGCTCTTTCTGCCTCCTAACTTGAGTAATTCCTAAGCCATCCATTAAAACTTGAGATTCTCAAGGTGTAGTCCCAGAGATGACTCCTTTTTTTCTTCTTATTTATTGATCTCACCTTAGAATCTAAGAATCAGAGCATCTCATCTTTGCCCCAAGCTTCAATTGTCACCTACACACAAATGACACATACATGTATAGTTGCAACTCAGAATTCACACCTACATTCTGAGGTCCAGACCAAATATGTCCAAAGGCCTATCTGATAGTTCCTCTTGGATGTTGTGAAGATACATCAAATTCGATCATCAAATTATGTATTGCTGAATCCCCAGAGCCTGCAACAATGCCTGACACACAGAAGACAATCAGTACATTCTTGTGGAATGACTTGATAAATAAATGTATGCAATGCAATGTGTCCAAAACCAAATACATATTCTCCTATCCCAAAAAACTGGTCCTCTTCCAGCATTCTATCTTTAAGTGGTACCACTTTTGTGAACCCTGTTTTCCTCTGTCATTTCAACACTGATGTCTCTTAATTTCATTTCCTAATTATGTTTCAAATCACTCCCCACTCTCTATTGCCACAGCCATTTGTCTATGCTATCTCTCTCTCTTCCTGGGCTACTGTACAGGTATTATTATACTAACAGGTAACCCGCATTTACCACAGCATTTCCAATTTCTTTTCCACAAGACTGTCAGAGTGTTCCTTTCAGAAGACAAATCTGATAATTTGTCAACAGAATTAGAACTCTTCAGGAGTTTTTGATTGTTCATGTAACTAAGACTCAGATCTCCTTAGCATGACCAATAAGACTCTGAGCTGCCTGTGTCTCCAGACCAACTTGTTCTGGCAAACTTTTTAATTCCCTGTAGAAGCCAAGTTCTCTCCTGCTTGGGAACTTATTAAGTAAGTTGCTGCAGCCTAAAGCCCTCAGCATCCTCCATCATCGCACATCAGTGAGTTGATTCCCATTCATTCTTTTCTGATTTTCCAGAGTTGTTTCATCCTCTTATTAAAGCTTTAAGTTTTCATATGACATTTATTTGTGGAATAGTTTAATGAATATCTTTCTTCTTCACTTGGCTGTAAACTCCATTAAGGTAGGGAGTGTCTTTTTTGCTTAATTTTATCTTTATTTCCTATCAATATGCCTGCTCAACACACTATTACTTGTATTATAATTATTACAGGAATGTATTAATAAGCAATTCATTTTTTAAAAGATCTACACCAAGACATAGGTTGAAAAGTTACTTTAGACCAGAGGCAGTGGCTCACACCTGTAATCCTAACACTTTGGGAGGGCAAGGTGGGAGGATCACTTTAGTACAAGAGTTTGAGACCAGACTGGGAAATGTAGTGAGACCTCATCTCTACCAATCAAAACAAACAAATTAGCCAGGCTTGGTGGCATGCACTTGTAGTCTCAGCTACTCAGGAGGCTGAGGTAGGAGGATTGCTTGAGCCCAGGAGGTCAAGGCTGCAGTGAACTGAGATCACACCACTGTATTCCAGCCTGGGTGACAGAGAAAAAAAATAAAAGATAACAAAGCTACTTTAGTTTGAGAAATATAGAAAGGATATAGCAATCCTAGAAATAAAAAGGTTGTCTGTAAAGGTTAAAGCTTCCAGACTGGATTCCTTAATCTCCAAAAATAGTTTACACTAGAAGACATTAAAATAATATGTTAGGCTTTGAGGGAAAAAAAGTTCACCCAAAGAAATCTAGTAAAGCTATTGTTCAATACAAAGGAAAAAAATTCACCCAAAGAAATCTAGTAAAGCTACTGTTCAATACAAAGGAAAAAAATTCACCCAAAGAAATCTATTAAAGCTATTGTTCAATACAGAGGCAATAGACAGCTTTCTTAAATATATGTGAGCAGAATCATAATGTCCACATCATTCATTTCTTATGACTTATTACATGCCTGCAGCATCCAAAAGCCGGAAAAAGGCAGAATAATCAGAGAAGCAAAAAAACACAAAAAAAGTAAAACGAAGTAATATACATGAAAGTTCACATGCCTTTCATCCTAGTAAATTTAAAAAAATAAATTAATTGAAACGAAAAATAACTCTCAAGATAAAACCAAACCAAACCCCAACACACTTGAAACTAAATGATTAGAAAAGATTGCAAGAGAAAATATAAGAGATCAAAGACCTAAATGTATCATCTAAAACTATAAAACTCACAAGAAAAAATGAGAAAATCTTTAAAACATTGGATGTGGCAATGCATTCTTTTGAAAAAAAAAAAAAAAAATAGATAATAGGACTACATCAAAATTTAAAACTTCTGGGCATCAAAGGATGCAATCAACAGAGCAAAAAGCCAACCCATGGAATGGGAGAAAATATCTATAAGTAGATATAAAATAAGTGGAGAATATTCATACTATAAAGGATGCCTAAAACCCGACATTAAAAACAAACAACCTGATTCAAAAATGGGCAATGAACTTGAAAGGACATTTCTCCAGAGAGGATACACAAATGTCCAATAAGCATATGAAAAGATGCTCAACATTACTAATTACTAAGGAAATGCAAATCAAAAGTACGATGAGATACCACCTCACACCCTTAAGGATGGAAACTGTAAAAAAATGGAAAATAACAAGTATTTGCAGAGATGTAGAGAAGTTGGAATTCTTGTGCATTGTTGGTGAGAATGCAGAATGGTACAGTGCTTGTGGAAAACAGTATGGCATATTCTTAACAAATCAAGAATAGAATTACCATAGGATCCAGCATTTCTATTTCTGGGTATATACCCAAAAGAATTGAAAGAAGAGACTTTAAGAGATCTTCATACACATATGTTCTTAGCAGCAGCATTTAAATAGTCAAGAAGTGGAAGCAACTCAACTGTTCATTGACAGATGAGTAAATCATCAAAATGTGGCATACAAATAATGGAAAATTACTCGGCCTTTTAAAGGAAGGAAATTCTGACACGTGATACAACATGAAAGAACCTTGAGAACATTATGCTATGTGAATTAAGCCAGTCACAAAAGGACAAATACTATATGATTCCACATAAGTGGAATCTTATATAAGATACCACTTATATAATATAGATGATATTATATAAGATATAAGGTACCTTATATAAGGTATCTTATATAAGATACCTAGAATAGTCAAATTCATACAGACAGAAAATAGAATGGTGGTTTGACGTGGCATAAATGGAGGGAGGAATGAGGTATAGAGTTTCACTTTTGCAAGATGAAGAGAGTTCTGGAGATCAGTGGCAGTGATGGACATGAATGTACTTAACACCAGTAAACTGTACACTTAAAAATGATATGATGGTAAGCTTTATGCATAATTTACTATGAAGTTTTTTTAAAGAAGGGAAAAGATATATTTTGTAAATTGGAAGTAAAAACAAAGCTAGAGCCAAAGAATGAACGTCAGGCAAATTTTTAAAAAATATTTAAATTGGACAGAAAAGGCTGCTTTATCATCATTATGCATCATTATGCTGATAGTCCTCTACTGTGAAGAGGAAACTATAGGAATTTCTATGCACCAAGTAATTTGGCATCAAAATACAGAAGTAAAAGCTGCAGAAATCACAAGGAGAAATGGAAAGAAACAGACCTTTAATTCCCAATCATGAGATTCTCAATGATGAGAATCTTAACACACCCTTTTGTTAACAAATCAAGTCAATAAACATAATAAAAGATATATAAGATCTATTTTTCAATTAAACTGAGGTGTAGTTTACATACGATAAAATGCATAATGAATTTTTACTTATGTATATACTCATGTAATCTGCAACCATGTCAAGAAACATTCAAAAGGTTTCCTTGGGTTCCTTAACCAGCCAGTCTTCAAGGTATCTATATTCTGACCTCTACCACCACGGATTAGCTTTAACTGCGTTTCACTCTGGTCTGTATGGTTTTCTCTGTCTCACTTTTTTTCATAATATTTCCCTCCTTCTCTCCTTCTCTCTCTCTCTCTCTTTCTTTCTTTGATGGAGTTTCACTCTTTTTGCCCAGGCTGGAGTGCAATGGCGCAATCTCAGCTCACCACAACCTCTGCCTCCCGGATTCAAGTGATTCTCCTGTCTCAGTCTTCCATTTAGCTGGGATTACAGGCATGTTCCACCAAGCTTGGCTAATTTTATATTTTTAGTAGAGACAGTGTTTCTCCATGTTGGTCAGGGTGGTCTCAGTTTGTTCATTTTTATAGTTGTCTACTATCAATTGTATAAAGATAACACAGATTGTTTTATGTACTACTTTGATATAGTTTGGCTGTGTCACCACCCAAATCTCATGTCCTCACATTCCAAAACCAATTATGCCTTCCCAATAGTCCCCCACAGTCTTAACTCATTTCAGCATTAACTCAAAAGCCCACAGTTCAACATCTCATCTGAAACAAGGCAAGTCCCTTCTGCCTAGATTTTAAAGGATGTATGGAAATGCCTGGATGTCCTGGCAGAAGTTTGCTGCAGAGGCAGGGTTCTTATGGAGAACCTCTGGTAGGGCAGTGCAGAAGGGAAATGTGGATGGAGCCTCCACACAGAGTCCTTACTGGGACACCACCTAGTGGAGCTATGAGAAGAGGGCCACTGTCCTCCAGACCCCAGAATGTTATATCCACTGACGGCTTGCACCATGTGCCTGGAAATGCCACAGGTATTCAATACCAGCCTGTGAAAGCAGCTTGGAGGGAGGCTGCATCCTGCAAACCCAGAGGGGCCGAGCTGCCCAAGATAATGGGAACCCACCTCTTGCATAAGCCTGACCTGGATGTGAGACATGGAGTCAAAGGATATCATTTTGGAGCTTTAAGATTTGACTGCCCTGCTGGATTTTGGACTTGCATGGGGCTTGTAACCCCTTTGTTTTGAGCAATTTCTCCCATTGGGAATGGCTGTATTTACCCAATGTCTGTAGGAAGTAACTAACTTGCTTTAGATTTTACAGGCTTATAGGTGGAAGGGACTTGCCTTGTCTTAGATGAGACTTTGGACTGTGGACTTTTGAGTTAATGCTGAATTAAGATTTTGGGGGACTGTTGGTAAGGCATGATTGATTTTGAAATGTGAGGACATGAGATTTGGGAGGGGTCTGGGGTGGAATGATATGGTTTCACTGTGTCCCCACTGAAATCTCATCTTGAAGTGTAACTCCCACAATTCCCATGTATGACGGGAAGAACCTGGTGGGAGGTGATTGAATTATGGGGTTGGGTTTTTCCTGCACTGTTCCCCTCATAGTTAACGAGTCTCATGAGATCTGATGGCTTTAAAAATGGGAGTTTCCTTGCACAGCTCTCTCTTTGACTGCCACCATCAATGGAAAACATGACTTGCTCCTCCTTGCCTTCTGCCATGATTGTGAGACCTCCCTAGCCATGTGGAACTATAAGTCCCTTAAATATCTTTCTTTTGTAAATTGCCCAGTCTTGGGTATGTCTTTGTCAGCAGTGTGAAAACATACTAATACTGTCTTTTTGCAGATATATTTTTGTTTCATTTCTCTGGAGTAATACATAAAAGTCAAATGGCTAGCTTTCCTTGGAATATAGGGTACATATATATTTTTCTTTGTTAGAAACTGCAATACAGGTTTTCAAAGCATTGTTTCCATTTTAAACTCCCAACAAGCAACCCATGATATTTCCAGTTGCTCCACATCTTTGCAAACAAGTAGTATTATCTCTTTTTCAGCTGCTCCTCGATATGTTTTAATTTGCATTTTCCTGATAAGTAAAATATTTGAATACCTTTTCATAGGCTTATTAGTCATTTAGATATTTTCTTGTTAAATATTTGTTCCAGTCTTTTTCTTTTTCTTAAAAATTAGGCTGTATGTCTTTCCTTATTGATTTATATTTCTTTAGCTATTCTTGAAATTTTTTTTGTCTAATATAAATACGGAAAATATTTTGTCCAGCCTGTGGTTTGCTTTTCACCTTTTAAAAGTGTATTTTAATTACCAGGAATTTTTAAATGTGATGAAGCCAAATTTACCAATTTGTGATCTTTTTTGGTTAGTGCATTTGCATGCTTTTCAAGAAGTCACTGCACAACCAAGCTGTGGAAGGCATTTTTCAAAATTTTCCGCCTGAAGTTTTATGGGTTTAGTCTTTATGTTTAGAAATATGATTCATTAATGTTTTACTTATTATAAGCAGTTGAGCCAAGAGGTGTAAACATATGAAACTTCTACTTGAAAGAAAGGGAAACAAAAGTTTTATATAGCAATATAAAAAATATAAAATAATAAAATATAAAAATATATAAAAAATAAAATATAAAATGTTACTCTAAAGTACAGAAAGCTACCTGAGTTTTCTTTGAAATTAGAGTGCCACCTGACACTGTTTTGGATCATGTGATGAAGTTAGAGCCTGCTGAGCCTTCCCCTGCCTGCTTTAAAAAAAAAAACAAAAAACTTTTTTTCAGCTTTATTGAGGTGTGATTGATGAATAAAAATTTCATATATTTAGGGTGCACAATGTGATGCTATGATATATGTCTACATTGTGAAATGATTATTATAATCAGGGAAATTAGCATATTCACTACATAACATAATTACCTTTCTGTGGTGAGAAAATGTGATATCTACTCTCCTAACAAATTTTAAGTATACAACACATTATTAACTATAGTCACCATGCTGTATATTAGCTATCTAGTACTTATTCATCTTATAGCTGAAGATTTACACCCATTAATCAATATCTCAACTGCCCAACCCCTGGTAACCACCATTCTACTCATTTTATTCTTTGTTGCTATGAGTTCTTTATTTTAGATTCCACACATAAAAATATTATGCACTATTTGGCTTACTTCACTTAGGATAATGTCCATAATATCCCCAAAGTTCATCCTTATGGTTGCAAATGGCAAGACTTTCTTTTTCTAAAGGCTGAATAATATTTCACTATATATATATGTGTATATATATATACACACACACACATATACCTCACATATATATATATGAGATCTCATATATATACCATCTCATATATATACTACATTTCTTTTTTTATTTCATTTTATTATTATACTTTAAGTTTTAGGGTACATGTGCACAATGTGCAGGTTTGTTACATATGTATACATGTGCCATGTTGCTGTGTTGCACCCATTAACTCGTATTTAGCATTAGGTATATCTCCTAATGCTATCCCTCCCCCCTCCCTCCACCCCACAACAGTCCCCAGTGTGTGATGGTCCCTTTCCTGTGTCCATGTGTTCTCACTGGTCAATTCCTACCTATGAGTGAGAACAAGCGATGTTTGATTTTTTGTCTTTGTGGTACTTTGCTGAGAATAATGGTTTCCAGCTTCATCCATGTCCCAACAAAGGACATGAACTCATCATTTTTTATGGCTGCATAGTATTCCATAGTGTATATGTGCCACTTTTTCTTAATCCAGTCTATCATTATTGGACATTTGGGTTGGTTCCAAGTCTTTGCTATTGGGAATAATGCCGCAGTAAACATATGTGTGCATGTGTCTTTATAGCAGCATGACTTATAATCCTTTGGGTATATACCCTGTAATGGGATGGCTGGGTCAAATGGTATTTCTAGTTCTAGATCCCTGAGGAATTGCCACACTGACTTCCACAATGGTTGAACTAGTTTACAGTCCCACCAACAGTGTAAAAGTGTTCCTATTTCTCAACATCCTCTCCAGCACCTGTTGTTTCCTGACTTTTGAATGATCGCCATTCTAACTGGTGTGAGATGGTATCTCATTGTGGTTTTGATTTGCATTTCTCTGATGGCCAGTGATGATGAGCATTTTTTCATGTGTTTTTTGGCTGCATAAATGTCTTCTTTTGAGAAGTGTCTGTTCATATCCTTCTCCCACATGTTGATGGGGTTGTTTGTTTTTTTCTTGTAAATTTATTGGAGTTCATTGTAGATTCTGGATATTAGCCCTTTGTCAGATGAGTAGATTGCAAAAATTTTCTCCCATTCTGTAGGTTGCCTGTTCACTCTGATGGTAGTTTCTTTTGCTGTGCAGAAGCTCTTTAGTTCAATTAGATCCCATATGTCAATTTTGGCTTTTGTTGCCATTGCTTTTGGTGTTTTAGACATGAAGTCCTTGCACATGCCCATGTCCTGAATGGTATTGCCTAGGTTTTCTTCTAGGGTTTTTATGATTTTAGGTCTAACATTTAAGTCTTTAATGCATCTTGAATTAATTTTTGTATAAGGTGTAAGGAAGGGATCCAGTTTCAGCTTTCTACATATGGCTAGCCAGTTTTCCCAGCACCATTTATTAAATAAGGAATCCTTTTCCCATTGCTTGCTTTTCTCAGGTTTGTCAAAGATCAGATAGTTGTAGATATGTGGCATTCTTTCTGAGGCCTCTGTTCTGTTCCATTGATCTATATCTCTGTTTTGGTACCAGCACCATGCTGTTTTTGTTACTGTAGCCTTGTAGTATAGTTTGAAGTCAGGTAGCGTGATGCCTCCAGCTTTGTTCTCTTGGCTTAGGATTGACTTGGCAATGTGGGCTCTTTTTTGGTTCCATATGAACTTTAAAGTAGTTTTTTCCAATTCTGTGAAGAAAGTCATTGGTAGCTTGATGGGGATGGCATTGAATCTATAAATTACCTTGGGCAGTATGGCCATTTTCACGATATTGATTCTTCCTACTCGTGAGCATGGAATGTTCTTCCATTTGTTTGTGTCCTCTTTTATTTCATTGAGCAGTGGTTTGTAGTTCTCCTTGAAGAGGTCCTTCGCATCCCTTGTAAGTTGGATTCCTAGGTATTTTATTCTCTTTGAAGCAATTGTGAATGGGAGTTCACTCATGATTTGGCTCTCTGTTTGTCTGTTATTGCTATATAAGAATGCTTGTGATTTTTGCACATTGATTTTGTGTCCTGAGACTTTGCTGAAGTTGCTTATCAGCTTAAGGAGATTTTGGGCTGAGACGATGGGGTTTTCTAGATATACACTCATGTCATCTGCAAACAGGGACAATTTGGCTTCCTCTTTTCCTAATTGAATGCCCTTTATTTCCTTCTCCTACCTGATTGCCCTGGCCAGAACTTCCAACACTATGTTGATTAGGAGTGGTGAGAGAGGACATCCCTGTCTTGTGCCAGTTTTCAAAGGGAATTCTTCTGGTTTTTGTCCATTCAGTATGATATTGGCCATGGGTTTGTCATAGATAGCTCTTATTATTTTGAGATATGTCCCATCAATACCTAATTTATTGAGAGTTTTTAGCATGAAGCGTTGTTGAATTTTGTCAAAGGCCTTTTCTGCATCTATTGAGATAATCATGTGGTTTTTGTCTTTGGTTCTGTTTATATGCTGGATTACATTTATTGATTTGCGTATGTTGAACCAGCCTTGCATCCCAGGGATGAAGCCCACTTCATCATGGTGGATAAGCTTTTTGATGTGCTGCTAGATGTGGTTTGCCAGTATTTTATTGAGGATTTTTGCATCAATGTTCATCAAGGATATTGACCTAAAATTCTCTTTTTTGGTTGTGTCTCTGCCAGGCTTTGGTATCAGGATGATGCTGGCCTCATAAAATGAGTTAGGGAGGATTCCCTCTTTTTCTATTGATTAGAATAGTTTCAGAAGGAATGGTACCAGCTCCTCCTTGTACCTCTGGTAGAATTCGGCTGTGAATCCATCTAGTCCTGGACTTTTTTGGTTGGTAAGCTATTAATTATTGCCTCAATTTCAGAGCCTGTTATTGGTCTATTCAGAGATTCAACTTCTCCCTGGTTTAGTCTTGGGAGGGTGTATGTGTCAAGGAATTTATCCATTTCTTCTAGATTTTCTAGTTTATTTGCATAGAGGTGTTTATAGTATTCTCTGATGGTAGTTTGTATTTCTGTGGGATCGGTGGTGATATCCCCTTTATCAATTTTTATTGCACCTGTTTGATTCTTCTCTCTTTTATTCTTTATTAGTCTTGCCAGTGGTCTATCAATTTTGTCGATCTTTTCAAAAAACCAGTTCCTGGATTCATTGATTTTTTGAAGGGTTTTTTTGTGTCTCTATTTCCTTCAGTTCTGCTCTGATCTTAGTTATTTGTTGCCTTCTGCTAGCTTTTGAATGTGTTTGCTCTTGCTTTTCTAGTTCTTTTAATTGTGATGTTAGGGTGTCAATTTTAGATCTTTCCTGCTTTCTCTTGTGGGCATTTAGTGCTATAAATTTCCCTCTACATACTGCTTTGAATGTGTCCCAGAGATTTTGGTATGTTGTGTCTTTGTTCTCATTGGTTTCAAAGAACATCTTTATTTCTGCCTTCATTTTGTTATGTACCCAGTAGTCATTCAGGAGCAGGTTGTTCAGTTTCCATGTAGTTGAGCGGTTTTGAGTGTGCTTCTTAATCCTGAGTTCTAGTTTGATTGCACTGTGGTCTGAGAGACAGTTTGTTATAATTTCTGTTCTTTTACATTTGCTGAGGAGTGCTTTACTTCCAACTATGTGGTCAATTTTGGAATAGTTGTGGTGTGGTACTGAAAAGAATGTATATTCTGTTGATTTGGGCTGGAGAGTTCTGTAGATGTCTATTAGGTCCACTCGGGGCAGAGCTGAGTTCAATTCCTGGATACCCTTGTTAACTTTCTGTCTCGTTAATCTGACCACATTTTCTTGATCTGTTGTCAATGGAAACTTGTTTCCATATATCAGCTATGGTGAATAATGTTGCATGCCATGGGAGTGCAGATATCTCTTCAAAATAGTGATTATTTCTTTTCGACGTATGTATATTTATTTCTGGATTCTCTATTCTGTTCCGTTGGTCTATGTGTCTGTATTTTTGCCAATACTATATTGTTTTGATTATTATAGCTTGGTAATATAATTTGAAATCAGGAAATGTGATGCCTCCAGCTTTTTCTTGATCAAGATTGCTTTAGCTGTGCAGGGTCTTTTGTGGTTCCATACAAACTACAAGATTTTTTTTCCATTTATATGAAAGTGTCATTGGAATTTTGATAGGGATTGCAATGAATTTGTAGATCACATTACACAGTATGGACATTTTAATAATATTAATTTTTCCAAATCATGAATATAGAATATCTTTCCATCAATTTGTGTCTTCTAAAATTTTCTTTACTGATATTATATAATTTTTAGTATACAGATTTTTAACTTCTTTGGGTAAATGTATTCCTAAGTATTTTATTTCTTATTGACACTATTGTATATGAGATTATTTCTTGAATTCTTTTTTGGAATACAATATTCATTATTAGTGTAGAGCAATGCAACTGGTTTTTGTATGTGGATTTTGTATCCTGCAACTTTATTGAATTTATTTATTTTTTCTAAGATTTTTGGTGGACACTTTCAGGTTTTCTATACACAATATCATGTCATCTGCAAACGGTGACAATATACCTTCTTCATTTTCAATTTGAATGACTCATTTCTTTTTTTTGCTCATTCGTTCTTGCTAGGACGTCTAGTACTATGCTGAACAGAAGTGATAAGATGGACATTCTTGCGTTGTTATTTATCTTAGATGAAAAGATTCAACTTTTCACCAGAGTGTGATGTTATCTGTGGGCTTGTCATATCTGATCATCATTGTGTTGGGGTCCATTCCTTCCACACCTTATTTGTTGTGACTTTTTTTTTATCATAAAAGAATGCTGAATTTGGCAAAATGTTTATACCATATCTATTGTAATTATCATACAGATTTTGTCCTTCATTCTACTAATGTCTTATATCACATTCATTGATTTGCATATGTTGAAACATCCTTGCATGCCTGAGATTAATCCCATTCTATAATGGTTCATAAATCTTTGTTATTGTGCTGTTAAATTTAGTTTGTGTCATTTTCTTGAGGATTTTTTTATCTATGTTCATCAGGGTTATTGGCCTGTAGTTTTCTTTTTTTATAGTGTTTGTGTCTTGCTTTGGTATCAGGGTAATAATAGCCTAGTAAAATGAGTTTGGAAGTATTCCCTCTTGTTCAATTTTTGTAAGAGTTTATAGGATTGATTTTAGCTCTTTACATGTTCAGTAGAATTCAACCATGAGGTCATAATGTCTGGAAATTTTCTTTTTGGGAGATTTTTAATTACTAATTCAATCTTCTTACTCATTATGGGTCTGTTAAGATTTTCTATTTCTTAATGATTCAGTCTTGGTAGGTTGTATGTTTCTAGGAAGCTACCCATATCTTCTAGGTTATCCAATTTGTTGGTATATGATTGTTCATATTACTCTCTTATAATCCTTTGCACTTTTTGTGTGTCAGTTGTAATATCTCCTCTTTTATTTCTAATTTGATTATTTGAGTCTTGTCACTTTTTTTGTGACATGTCTAACTAAATTTTTGTATTTTTGGGATTTTTTTTGTCTTTTTAATAAACCAGCTCTTAGTTTTATTGAACTTTTCTATGGTTTCTTAAGTCTCCATTTTTTGCTCTGATCTTTATTATTTTCTTCCTTCCACTAACATTGGGCTTAATCTGTTCTTCTTTTTCTAGTTCCTTGAAGTGTAATGTTAAGCTGTTTATTTGAGATCTTCTTTTTAAATGTAGGTGTTTACTCCTATAAACTTCCCTCTTAAAACTGCTTTGATTGCATTCTATAAGTTTGGATATGTTGTGTTTTCATTTTTAGTTACCTCAACATATTTTTAAATTTTTAAAATTTCTTGTTTGACCCATTGGTTTTTCAGGGACATGTTGTTTAATTTGGACATGTTTGTGAATTCTCAGTTTTTTTCCTGTTATTGATTTCCAGTTTCATACCATTATGGTAAGAGAAGATACTCAATATGATTTCAATCTTTTAAAATTTGTTAATACTGAATATGATTTCACTCTTTATATGGTTGTTAAAACATTTTTTTGTGACCTTATATTATAATCTATCCTGGAAAACGTTCTGTGTGTACTTTAAAAGAATGTGTAATCTGCTGCTGCTGCTGCTGATAGGTAGAATGTTATGTATATGTCACTCAAGTCCATTTGGTCTAAATTATAGTTTAAGTTCAATGTCTCCTTATTGGTTTTCTGTCTGGATGATCTGTCCATTGATGAGTTTTGAAGTCCCCTACTATTATTGTATTATAGTCTATCTCTCCCTTCATATCTATTACTATTTTCTTTATATATTCAGTTGCTTTGATGTTGGACCCATTTACAATTGTTATATCCTCTTGATGAATTGAACATTTTTCATTGTATAGTGACCTTATTTGTCTTGTTTCATGGTTTTTACCTTGAAGTTTATTTTACCTGATATAACTATAGCTATTCCTGCTGTTTTTTGGCTTCTTTTATTTGCCTAGGATATCTTTTTTTATCCCTTTGCTTTTAGTCTCTATGTGTTCTTAAAGATGAAGTGAGTGTCTTGTAGGCAGCACATAGTTGGGTTTTGTTTTGTTTTGTTACTGATTTGACTGCTCTGTCTTTTGATTGGAGGTTTTAGTTCATTTACATGTAACATAATTACTGATTGGTAAGGGTTTACTATTGCCAATTTGTAAATTGTTTTCAGGTTGTTTTATAGAACCTTATTCCTCTCTTACTCTCTTGCTGTCTTCTTTTGTGATTTGAAATTTTTCTGTAGTGGTATGCTTTGATTCCCTTCTCTTTATTTTTTGTGTGTATATTCTAAGTTTTTTCCTTTGTGGTTACTCACTTTGCTTACATACAAAAGCCCTGCACTTTTACTTCACATTCTCCTGACATTTTATATTTTTGATATCATAGTTTACATCTTTATATACTGTGTATTTGTTAATAAGTTATTGCAGCTGTAGTCATTTTTAATACTTTTAACTTTTAACGTTTATACTGGATTATAAGTGATCACAGTTACAGTAGTACAGTATTCTGAATTTGACTATATATTTATTTTTTAGCAACAAGTTTTATACTTTTGTATGTATTCATATTACTAAATAGCAGCTTTTTATTTCAGCTTTAATAATTCCCTTTAGCATTTCTTGTGATGTAAGTCTAGTAGTGATAAACTCCTTCAGCTTTTGTTTATCTGGGAAAGTCTTTATATCTCTAACTCATTTATGAACTTTGCCAGGTAAAATATTTTTGTTCAGCAGGTTTCTTTTTTTTTTCTTTTAGCACCTTGAATATGTCATCTCACCCTTTCTTGGCCTAAAAGTTTCAGCAACAAAATCTGCTGAAAGCCTTAATAGAATTCCAATGTGTGTAATAAGCTTGTTTTCTCTTGCTGCCTTCAAAATTCTCTTTATCTTTGATTTTAAAAGTTTGATTATAATATGTTTTGGTGAACTCTTTTGGGTTGAATCTGATTGGTAACCTTTGAAGTTCATGTACCTGAATGTTCATATCTTCTTTCCACATAAATGGAAAGTTTTCAGCCATTGATTCTTTAAAAAAGCTTTCTGTTACTTTCCCTTTCTCTTCTCCTGAAAATTCTATAGTATGAAGATTAGTTCTCTTGATACTGTCTCATAGATCCTGTAGGACTTCATTCCTTTTCATTCCTTTTCCTTTCTTCTCCTCTGACTAGATGATTTCAAATGATCTATCTTCAAATTTCTATATTTTTTTGTGTGTTATCTAGTCTGCTGTTAAAACTCTCTATTGTATTTTGTAGTGCAGTCATTATATTCTTCAGCTCCAAAATTTTCTTTTGGTTCCATTTTATGAATTTGATCTCTTTGTTGAACCTCTTTTTTGTTGTTATATTATTGCTGATTTTGTTAAATTGAGGGTCTGTGTTCTTTCATAGCTCAATTAGCTTCTAAAGAATAATTTTTGAATTTTTTTTGTCAGGTAGTTTATGGGTCTGCAATGTGTTGGGGTTGGTTACTGGAAGTTTTCTGTGTCCTTTGATTATGTCATGTTTTCTCAATTCTTTGTCATTCTTGTAGCTTTGTATAGGAGTCTACACATTTAAACAGGCAGTCATCTCTTACAGACTTTATGGATTGGCTTCAATAAGGAAAAACCTTCAACTGTGGGCCGTGGGACACACTGGAATATGCTCTGGCACTGGATCTAGTGACACAGGGCACCAAGTGCAGGAGGTACAGTGATTCCAGGTCTAGGGAGGTGCAGTGTCTCATCAGCTCAGGTAGCTAGGGTTTGCAATTGCATGGTTTATGGTTGCCAGAACTGCAGAAGGTTTGTAGTGGCTGCAAGGGCTGTTGAGGGTCCTCAACAGTGCCTATGGCTATAGTGACAAGAGATCAGAGAAGGCAGGTAGCAGTGAGGGCCAGTGCTGGTGGTGTGCACATTCTTGACTGTGGGAGCTAGCTTCTGGCATGTGCATGGTGGTGGAGCATGACGACATGGATCTGGAAACTACATGCATGTGCACAGCTGCAGGGACAAAACTGGCAGCATGCATGCACATAGCTGTAGGGACCAGCTGTAGGTATAAACATGGTGGTGTGGGTCAGTGACAAGAGTCAGATACAGCTGCTTGTGCATAGCATCTGCAGGGGTCATGACTGCCAGCATTCATGAGCTCAGCTGCAGGGGTCAGCTGTGGGAGCATGCAGAGAGTGCTCTTGCCCTCTCTCTCTCTTCTTGCCTTGAACAAGGGCATAATGGCCAGCTTATTGCCATATTGAAAACATCATAAGAATCTCAGAGAATTTATTTTTTACAGAAATAAACTAAAGAAAGAGCATCAGCAACCATTTATGTTTTGACTTCTTGTTTTGTGAGGGAAAGAAAATGGCATTGTAGTCATCTGAAAGGATTCATAATTGATAAGTGTGTGTAATGATCAGAACAGATGGTCCTATCCATAGAAAAGAGTGAATAAATAGATGCAGGTACAACTGGGAACTTTTATGATAAGGTTGTTTCAAATCAGTGGTAATAAATTAAAACAAGTTCATAGCCAGTTGAAGGAAGGAAAATAATAAGATTTACCTTGCTTTTTTTTTTTTTTTTTTGAGACAGAGTCTCACTCTTGTTGCCCAGGCTGGAGTGCAGTGGTGCAATCTCAGCTCACTGCAAACTCCGCCTCCCAGGTTCAAGCAATTCTCCTGCCTCAGCCTCCTGAGTAGCTGGGATTACAGGCATGCACCACCACGCCTGGCTAATTTTTGTACTTTTAGTAGAGACGGCATTTTGCCATGTTGGCCAGGCTGGTCTCGAACTCCTGACCTCAGGTGATCCACCCACCTTGGTGTCTCAATGTGCTTACTAAGCAAAAATGAGGAAATGTTTATTTCTTCTTCAATGCTCCTCCAACATGTAGAAAGAAATCTTTGCCTTAATGTTCACTTTTTAAATAGTTATAACTGCAGGCCAAGTGTTGAAGAAGTAAATTGGGAATATTATATTGGCTTATTGTGCTTTTAAAATTATAGTCCCCTTTATTAACCTTTATTAACCACAAATTGAATTTGTATTACACACAAAGATGAATCAGCATTTCCCTGAAGTGAAACCAACAATGAAATAATTTTTGTTGTATTTATAGTTTTGAAACAAAGAAGTGCATCTTTGTGTTTTCCTTTTCTAGTTTTCCTAACAGTATTATTCAATCCTTATAAAATGACTTGCGTGGCTTCACTTTTTTTCAGTTAAGCTATAATGAGACATATATGTTTATTGAATTGGTGCTGAAAGTTACTGGAAAAACCATGTGGGTCTGATGCCTTTGGGAATAAGATACTGATTACCATTTCAATTTGTATTAATACTTGTTTTATGGTTGTGAAGACTAATCATGGCATTTACACTTTCCTAGAAAATTGTCCATTGCATGGGCTTTTAACCTACTGGCATACAGTTGTTCATATCAATTCATAGTTTCTAAAATACTTCATTATATGTTTGTGCTCCATTATTTTTTCCTGATATTGTTTGTTTATATTATTTCTCACTCACTTTCTCTCTCTCACTCTCACTCTCTTTCACCATCAAAACATTTGTCTGTTATACTGGTCTTTAAAAATAGTGTTTAGTCTTAACGATCCACTCTACTTTTTATTTGCCACTTAATTACTTTTGTCTTTTATTTTTATTTCCTTCTTTCTATTTGGTTTAGATTTTGTATTGTTCCTTTTTTTCACCTTTTGGATTTGAATATTAGTTAATTAATCATAAATTTGTCCCTTAATTACAGCTTAAGGGTGCATACTATTGGTTCTAATATACAGCAGTCTGTTTTAAATATTTTATAACATTTCCTTAGATTTACTGTTTAATAATTTTTGAAGAAATGAGTCTTATAATTTCTCAAGGGTGTTTTGACTATTATATTTGTGTTCTAATTTTATGTATTTTGTGGTGAATATTCTCTCCGCAAAGCCCATCTAAACATGAGAAAAATATCAGAGAAACCCAAATAGTAGGATATACGATATTCTGACCAGTATACATGAGAACTGACAAGGTCATTAAAATCAGTGAAAATCTGAGAAACTATCAAAGTTCAGAGGAGACTAAGAACACATGAAAACTCAATGCAATGTGGTATCTTGGATGGAATACTGGAACATAAAAAGGACATGGGAAAAACTAGTAACATTTGAATTAATTGTGGAGTTTATTTAATAATAATACACTGATGTTGTTTCATTACTTTTGACAAATTTATCATTGTAACATAAAATGTTAACAACAAAAGAAACTGGGTGAACATTATATGGGAACTCTCTACGGTAGATTTGCAACACTGCTATAAATCTAAGACTATTCTAAAAATTGCTTACATTTTAAGATAGCTAAACAAAGCAGAACAAAAACGCTCCTGGGGTTTTTTCCCCCACTCAGCATACAATATGCCCATGTCCCTATCACGTCTCTCTGTCCCTGTTATCTTGACCTTTTTGCACAATACTTTCTCCTTTGCTCATTTTACTCTACCCCACCCTCATGGACCTTTTTCTTGTTCCTCCAGCATGCCAACTATGATGACTCTGCAGGACATGTTCACATGTTGTCTCCAGAATCCATGCATCTTACTCCCTCAAACTCTTTATACTTTTATGCAAATGTTCATTTTGAAGTGATGTATGTCTGACCACTTTATTTTAAAGTACAACTTACCTAAGTCTTCTCCTTATCCTTGTATCCCATTTCTTTTATTTTTCTTTCATAACATTTATGACTTCCATCTAACCCCCGCCCCCACCACAAACACACACAATTTTCTTTATTGTCTGTCTGCACTAATTAAACATAAATTTCATTAGGGTAGCAATCTTTTTATGTTTTATTCACTGATGTATCATTAAGTCCTATAAAACATCTGACACCTAGTAAGAACTCAGAGAGTATTGATAGATTAAAATGAATTAGGTAGGACACTTTAGCAGTAGCCCAAGAGAAGTGCCGGTGAATTAGACTTGGTTTATGGCAGAGAAGTTGGAGTGAAGTGGTCAACTTTAGTATGTATTTGGGATGTTGAGCAAATAGGACTTATGGATAAATTAGATGTAGATCTTTTGGGAAGGAGAAGAGTGAAGAATTGCTCTTAGGTGTGTGTTTAAGGTGGGACCATTTAATAACATGGGAAAGATTTTAGAGGAGCATATGGGGTGGAGAACTCAGAGTAATGTTTGAGATGTTGGATTTGAGATGCCTTTCAGATATCCAAAAGGAGATATTCAGTTTGAGTTTACCATTTGAGGAGAATGGAGCCAGAAATACTGACTTGGGAGTCATCAACAGATGGTCTTTAAAGCCACGGTACTAAATAAGATCATGTAGGAATAGAAAATAACACAGTAGAGGATCAAGTGCACCCCATAAATATAATCATGTGACCAGAGGAGACATACACTGAAAAAAAAAGCAGGAGGTAAGATAGCAAGAGTGGAGTAAAAAACAAGACAGAAGTAGCATCATAGGGGCTTTGAAAATATTTTTAAAGAAGAAACGTCAACAATATCAAATGCAGCTAAGTAGTCATTAAGATGAGGACCAAAACTTATCTCTTGGCTTGGGCAAGATGCAGCCCACTGATGTCTATAATATAGTTTTTTATTTTTCACTGAAGCATTGAATAAGAAACCCTAATTGGCATGGATCAGGAAGAAAATGGGAGGTCTGGAAGTACAGACAGTGACTATAGCCAGGGAAGGAGGGCTGGGAAATACAGCACATCTGGGATCTCTCTATTTTTGTGTTTAAGAGGCTAGCAGAGGCGTCCAAGAGAGAGGATACAGTCATGGGTTCTCAGTTTCGGTTTCTGGTTGGGCCAGTACAGCCTCTTCCTCATCCCTCTTTTCCACTTACCACAGGAGACAGAAACTAAAAACTATGGCTTCCAGCTGCTACAAGCCCAAAATAAAATGAAACAGAACAACTATTACAACAAAATTAGACAGGTCAGACAAGCTTGAGTTAGAGTATGGCGTATCCCTCATCGTGCAATTGTCAAGTAGATTCGATGGTGGAAAGCTAAGAGATTATATTCTGTATAGCAACAGAAAAAACAGAGAAACAGAAAACAGAGGATTCATTTTAAAAATTGTGAGGGATTACAAACTAAATTATAGAGACCAAGCTATTAATTTGTACAATAGGATGAAATGGGTTAAATAGCCTTATTATTATAAAAGTTTCTGTTTGGATTTGAAAACTGGTCTACTCAATTTTTCTGTGTATAAAAGCATTGCCATATACAAAATAATAAAGAACTGTTAAAACCAAAGCAATGAATAAAGATTAATTATACAAATGTAAATGAACAGAAAGCTTAAATCTCAACAATGTTCTCCTAATAATTTTACCTCCGGGTTGGAGTTTGAGACAAAGGATAACCAAAGAAAAAGTACTAATTTTGTTGGACACTCCCCGCTGCAAATGACCCACCAGTGGCTACATGAGCTGGGGATGCCGAGGCATGGAAGGAAGAAAAGCATACCCAGCTTTAGCTCTTGACAATGCTAGTCACCATCCTACTTGGTTTGGAGTCCTAGAGAATCCCAAACCGTGGACGCACAGGATACTTCCTGCTCTGACTACAATGATAGCTATTAGGTTGGTGCCAAAGTAATTTCAGCCTTTGCAAAGATCTAACAGTTCTAGGTACATAATGGAAAATAGTCAGAGTTAGGAAGTGTCTGAGAGGAAAAAATTTTAGGAATTGTGGATGTATTGGATATACAGTCAGCACTCCATATCCACAAGTAGATTCAACCAATCACAGATCAAAAATATAATATTCCAGTAATGCAGACCTCTTGAATACAGAGGGCTGACTTTTCAAATCTGCAGGTCATATAGGACCAATGGCAGAACTTGATCATTCATTGGTTGTGGTATGCACGGGAGATGCTAGAACCAATCCTCCACAGACACAGAGAGATGACTCTATATTGGTACTGTCAAACTCAGTAAAACCTCTTTTTTTCCATGTCCATGGAACATTTGTGAAATTATAAAATTACAAAATTTCCATAAAGACTCCACAAATTCCCAAAGGTGCAAATTTTATAAACATACTTATAAATACAAACATTAACAAGAACAACAACAGCACAACTCTAATCCCTTAGAAATTGAAAAATAAAATTTCTGAATGAATGCAAGGGTCAAAAAAGAAATTAAAAATTCAATTATAATCTTTTAGAAATAATAATGGTTGGAAAACAATAAATCCCAATCTATGCCATGTGACAAACACTGTACTCAGAATAACATTTATAAACTTAAATATTTTTATTAAAAAACAATAAAGAAGAAAGTTAAATGACATGAAAAACTAACTCAAGAAGGTAGGTGGGGTAGGTAAATAGCCAGCAAAAGCAAAAGGAAGGCACTAATAAAGATATATGCTAAATGTAGTGAATTAAAGAACAATAAAATTCAAAAATAACTTCATGTGCAAGTTCTTTGAGATTTCTGGGAAAATAGAAAAATGACTGGCATCAACCTAAAGGGCACATGAGAGTGGTATGGCAGTGGGAATCAGGGCACCCCACTGAGAAACTTGATAAGGTGAGTTATATCTCTGCAAAGCTCAGCATGGCCCAAAGACAGTCCTGGATGTGACACCCCTTCATGAGCCGCAATCCGAGGAAATAATGTGCCTAACCTCTTCGAGGCTTAGGTACAACTCCAAAGAGTAAGAAAAATGGCTGAGTCCTGAATAGAGAGACTTTTGGATAAGAATGGACCCAGTTTACATTACCAAATTGTATCAAGATATTTTGGGATTGAACTAATTTCTTTTTTCTTCAAATTTTCATTTTAAGTTCAGGGGTGCATGTGCAGGATGTGGAGGTTTGTCACATAGGTCAATGTGTGCCATGGTAGTTTGCTGCACAGATCATCCCATCATCCATGTATTAAGCCCAGAATTCATTAGCTATTCTTTTTATATATATATATATACTATAAGTTTTAGGGTACATGTGCACAACGTGCAGGTTTGTTACATATGTATACATGTGCCATCTTGGCATGCTGCACCCATTAACTCGTCATTTAACATTAGGTATATCTCCTAATGCTATCCCTCCCCCCTGCCCCCACCCCACAACAGGCCCTGGTGTGTGATGCTCCCTTCCAGTGTCCCTGTGTTCTCATTGTCCAATTCCCTCCTACGAGTGAGAACATACGGTGTTTGCTTTTTTTGTGCTTGCGATAGTTTGCTGAGAATGATGGTTTCCAGCTTCATCCATGTCCCTACAAAGGACATGAACTCATCATTTTTTATGTCTGCATAGTATTCCATGGTGTATATGTGCCACATTTTCTTAATCCAGTCTATCATTGTTGGACATTTGGGTTGGTTCCAAGTCTTTGCTATTGGGAATAGTGCCACAATAAACATATGTGTGCATGTGTCTTTATAGCAGCATGATTTATAATCCTTTGGGTATATACCCGGTAATGGGATGGCTGGGTCAAATGGTATTTCTAGTTCTAGATCCCAGAGGAATCGCCACACTGACTTCCACAATAATTGAACTAGTTTACAGTCCCACCAACAGTGTAAAAGTGTTCCTATTTCTCCACATCCTCTCCAGCACCTGTTGTTTCCTGACTTTTAATGATCACCATTGTAACTGGTGTGAGATGGTATCTCATTGTGGTTTTGATTTGCATTTCTCTGATGGCCAGTGATGAGGAGCATTTTTTCATGTGTCTTTTGGCTGCATAAATGTCTTCTTTTGAGAAGTGTCCGTTCATATCCTTTGCCCACTTGTTGATGGGTTTGCTTTTTTCTTGTAAATTTGTTTGAGTTCATTGTAGATTCTGGATATTAGCCCTTTGTCAGATGAGTAGATTGCAAAAATTTTCTCCCATTCTGTAGGTTGCCTGTTCACTCTGATGGTAGTTTCTTTTGCTGTGCAGAAGCTCTTTAGTTTAATTAGATCCCATTTATCAATTTTGGCTTTTGTTGCCATTGATTTTGGTGTTTTAGACATGAAGTCCTTGCACATGCCCATGTCCTGAATGGTATTGCCTAGGTTTTCTTCTAGGGTTTTTATGATTTTAGGTCTAACATTTAAGTCTTTAATCCATCTTGAATTAATTTTTGTATAAGGTGTAAAGAAGAGATCCAGTTTCAGCTTTCTACATATGGCTAGCCAGTTTTCTCAGCACCACTTATTAAATAGGGAATCCTTTCCCCATTGCTTGTTTTTCTCAGGTTTGTCAAAAATCAGATAGTTGTAGATATGTGGCATTATTTCTGAGGGCTCTGTTCTGTTCCATGGGTCTATATCTCTGTTTTGGTACCAGTACCATGCTGTTTTGGTTACTGTAGCCTTGTAGTATAGTTTGAAGTCAGGTAGCGTGATGCCTCCAGCTTTGTTCTCTTGGCTTAGGATTGACTTGGCAATGTGGGCTCTTTTTTGGTTCCATATGAACTTTTTTTTTTTTTTTTTTTTTTGAGACGGAGTTTTGCTCTGTCGCCCATGCTGGAGTGCAGTGGCGCGATCTCAACTCACTGCAAGCTCCGCCTCCCGGGTTCACGCCATTCTCCTGCCTCAGCCTCTCGTGTAGCTGGGACTACAGGCGCGCGCCACCATGCCCGGCTAATTTTTGTATTTTTAGTAGAGACGGGGTTTCACCATGTTAGCCAGGATGGTCTCGATCTCCTGACCTCGTGATCCGCCCATCTCGCCCTCCCAAAGTGCTGGGATTACAGGCGTAAGCCACCGCGCCTGGCCGGTTCCATATGAACTTTAAAGTAGTTTTTTCCAATTCTGTGAAGAAAGTCATTGGTAGCTTGATGGGGATGGCATTGAATCTATAAATTACCTTGGGCAGTATGGCCATTTTCACGATATTGATTCTTCCTACCCGTGAGCATGGAATGTTCTTCCATTTGTTTTTATCCTCTTTTATTTCATTGAGCAGTGGTTTGTAGTTCTCCTTGAAGAGGTCCTTCACATCCCTTGTAAGTTGGATTCCTAGGTATTTTATTCTCTTTGAAGCAATTGTGAATGGGAGTTCACTCATGATTTGGTTCTCTGTTTGTCTTTTATTGCTGTATAAGAATGCTTGTGATTTTTGCACATTGATTTTGTATCCTGAGACTTTGCTGAAGTTGCTTATCAGCTTAAGGAGATTTTGGGCTGAGACGATGGGGTTTTCTAGATATACAATCATGTCATCTGCAAACGGGGACAATTTGACTTCCTCTTTTCCTAATTGAATGCCTTTTATTTCCTTCTCCTGCCTGATTGCCCTGGCCAGAACTTCCAACACTATGTTGAATAGGAGTGGTGGGAGAGGGCATCCCTGTCTTGTGCCAGTTTTCAAAGGGAATGCTTCCAGTTTTTGTCCATTCAATATGATATTGGCCATTGGTTTGTCATAGATAACTCTTATTATTTTGAGATACGTCCCATCAATACCTAATTTATTGAGAGTTTTTAGCATGAAGGGTTGTTGAATTTTGTCAAAGGCTTTTTCTGCATCTATTGAGATAATCATGTGGTTTTTGTCATTGGTTCTGTTTATATGATGGATTATGTATATTGATTTGCATATGTTGAACCAGCCTTGCATCCCAGGGATGAAGCACGCTTGATCATGGTGGATAAGCTGTTTGATGTGCTGCTAGATTCGGTTTGCCAGTATTTAATTGAGGATCTTTGCATCGATATTCATCAGGGATATTGGTCTAAAATTCTCTTTTTTGGTTGTGTCTCTGCCAGGCTTTGGTATCAGGATGATGCTGGCCTCATAAAATGAGTTAGGGAGGATTCCCTCTTTTTCTATTGATTGGAATAGTTTCAGAAGGAATGGTACCAGTTCCTCCTTGTACCTCTGGTAGAATTCGGCTGTGTAACCATCTGGTCCTGGACTTTTTTTTGGTTGGTAAGCTATTAATTATTGCCTCAATTTCAGAGCCTCTTATTGGACTAGTCAGCAATTCAACTTCTTCCTGGTTTGGTCTTGGGAGGGTGTATGTGTCAAGGAATTTATCCATTTCTTCTAGATTTTCTAGTTTATTTGTGTAGAGGTGTTTATAGTATTCTCTGATAGTAGTTTGTATTTCTGTGGGATTGGTGGTGATAGCCCCTTCATCATTTTTTCTTGCACCTATTTGATTCTTCTCTCTTTTCTTCTTTATTAGTGTTGCCAGTAGTCTATCAATTTTGTTGGTCTTTTCAAAAAACCAGCTCCTGGATTCATTGATTTTTTGAAGGGTTTTTTGTGTCTCTATCTTCTTCAGTTCTGCTCTGGTCTTAGTTATTTCTTGCCTTCTAGTAGCTTTTGAATGTGTTTGCTCTTGCTTCTCTAGTTCTTTTAATTGTGATGTTAGGGTGTCAATTTTAGATCTTTCCTGCTTTCTCTTGTGGGCATTTAGTGCTATAAATTTCCCTCTACACACTGCTTTGAATGCGTCCCAGAGATTCTGGTATGTTGTGTCTTTGTTCTCGTTGGTTTCAAAGAACATCTTTATTTCTGCCTTCATTTCCTTATGTACCCAGTAGTCATTCAGGAGCGGGTTGTTCAGTTTCCATGTAGTTGAGCGGTTTTGAGTGAGTTTCTCAGTCCTGAGTTCTAGTTTGATTGCATTGTAGTCTGAGAGACAGTTTGTTATAATTTCTGTTCTTTTACATTTGCTGAGGAGTGCTTTACTTCCAACTATGTGGTCAATTTTGGAATAGTTGTGGTGTGGTACTGAAAAGAATGTATATTCTGTTGATTTGGGGTGGAGAGTTCTGTAGATATCTATTAGGTCCACTTGGTGCAGAGCTGAGTTCAATTCCTGGATATCCTTGTTAACTTTCTGTCTCGTTGATCTGTCTAATGTTGACAGTGGGGTGTTAAAGTCTCCCATTATTATTGTGTGGGAGTCTAGGCCTCTTTCTAGGTCACTCAGGACTTGCTTTATGAATCTGGGTGCTCCTGTATTGTGTGCATATATATTTAGGATAGTTAGTTCTTCTTGTTGAATTGATCCCTTTACCATTATGTAATGGCCTTCTTTGTCTCTTTTGATCTTTGTTGGTTTAAAGTCTGTTTTATCAGAGAGTGGGATTGCAATCCCTGCCTTTTTTTGTTTTCCATTTGCTTGGTAGATCTTCCTCCGTCCCTTTATTTTGAGCCTATGTGTGTCTCTCTATGTGACATGGGTTTCCTGAATACAGCACACTGATGGGTCTTGACTCTTTGTCCAATTTGCCAGTCGTTTCTTTTAATTGGAGAACTTAGCCCATTTACATTTAAAGTTAATATTGTTATGTGTGAATTTGATCCTGTCATTATGATGTTAGCTGGTTATTTTGCTCGTTAGTTGATGCAGTTTCTTCCTAGCCTTGATGGTCTTTACAATTTGGCATGTTTTTGCAGTGGCTGGTACCAGTTGTTCCTTTCCATGTTTAGTGCTTCCTTCAGGAGCTCTTTTAGGGCAGTCCTGGTGGTAACAAACTCTCTCAGCATTTGCTTGTCTGTAAAGTATTTTATTTGTCCTTCACTTATGAAGCTTAGTTTGGCTGGATATGAAATTCTGGGTTGAAAATTCTTTTCTTTAAGAATGTTGAATATTGGCCCCCACTCTCTTCTGGTTTGTAGAGTTTCTGTGGAGAGATCCGCTGTTAGTCTGATGGGCTTCCTTTTGTGGGTAACCCGACCTTTCTCTCTGGCTGCCCTTAACATTTTTTCCTTCATTTCAACTTTGGTGAATCTGATAATTATGTGTCTTGGAGTTGCTCTTCTTGAGGAGTATCTTTGTGGCATTCTCTGTATTTCCTGAATCTGAATGTTGGCCTGCCTTGCTAGATTGGGGAAGTTCTCCTGGATAATATCCTGCAGCGTGTTTTCCAACTTGGTTCCATTCTCCCTGTCACTTTCAGGTACACCAATCAGACATAGATTTGTCTTTTCACATAGTCCCATATTTCTTGGAGGCTTTGTTCATTTCTTTTTATTCATTTTTCTCTAAACTTCTCTTCTCACTTCATTTCATTCATTTGATCTTCCATCACTGATACCCTTTCTTCCAGTTGATTGAATAAGCTACTGAGGCTTCTGCATTCATCACATAGTTCTCGTGCCATGGTTTTCAGCTCCATCATGTCCTTTAAGGACTTCTCTGCATTGGTTATTCTAGTTAACCATTCATCTAATCTTTTTCCAAGGTTTTTAACTTCTTTGCCATGGGTTCGAACTCCTCCTTTAGCTAGGAGTAGTTTGATCGTCTTAAGCCTTCTTCTCTCAACTCATCAAAATCATTCTTGGTCCAGCTTTGTTCCATTGCTGGTGAGGAGCCACATTCCTTTGGAGGAGGAGAAGTGCTCTTATTTTTAGAATTTTCAGTTTTCTGCTCTGTTTTTCCCCCATCTTTGTGGTTTTATCTACCTTTGGTCTTTGATGATGGTGACTTACAGATGGGGTTTTGGTGTGGATGTCCTTTCTGTTAGTTTTCCTTCTAACATCAGGACCCTCAGCTGCAGGTCTGTTGGAGTTTGCTGGAGGTCCACTCCAGACCCTGTTTGCCTGGGTATCAGCAGCGGAGGCTGCAGAACAGCAGGTATTGGTGAACAGCAAATGATGCTGCCTGATTGTTCCTCTGGAAGTTTTGTCTCAGAGGAGTACCCAGCCGTGTGAGGTGTCTGTCTGCCCCTACTGGGGGGTGGCTCCCAGTTAGGCTACTTGGGAGTCAGGGACCCACTTGAGGAGGCAGTCTGTCCATTCTCAGATCTCAAGCTGCGTGCTTGGAGAACCACTATTCTCTTCAAAGCTGTCAGACAGGGACATTTAAGTCTGCAGAGGTTTCTGCTGCCTTTTGTTTGGCTATGCCCTGCCCCCAGAGGTGGAGTCTACAGAGGCAGACAGGCCTCCTTGAGCTGTGGTGGGCTCCACCCAGTTGGAGCTTCCTGGCCGCTTTGTTTACCAACTCAAGCCTCAGCAATGGCAGATGCCCCTCCCCCAGCCTCGCCGCTGCCTTGCAGTTTGATCTCAGACTGCTGGGCTAGCAATGAGCGAGGCTCTGTGGGCATAGGACCCTGCAGGCCAGGCACGGGATACAATCTTCTCGTTTGCTGTTTACTAAGACCATTGGAAAAGTGCAGTATTAGGGTGGGAGTGATCCGATTTTCCAGGTGCCATCTGTCACCCCTTTCCTTGGCTAGGAAAGGGAATTCCCTGACCCCTTGCACTTCCTGGGTGAGTTGATGCCTCACCCTGCTTCAGCTCACACTCAGTGCACCACACCCACTGTCCTGCACCCACTGTCCAACAATCCCCAGTAAGATGAACCTGGTACCTCAGTTGGAAATGCAGAAATCATTCATCTTCTGCATCGCTCATACTGGGAGCTGTAGACTGGAGCTGTTCCTATTTGGCCATCTTGGCTCCAGGACTTTTCCCAAGTTTTGATCATTAGCTAATCTTTGTGATACTCTCCTTCCCTCCAGCCCCCAACCAAGAGGTCCCAGTGGGTACTGTTTCCCACTATGTGTTCATGTGTTCTCAGCATTCAGCTCCCACTTATAAATGAGAGCATGTAGCATTTTGCTTTCTGTTCCTGTGTTAGTTTGCTAAGGATAATGGCTTCCAACTCCATCCATGTCCCCTTATGGCTGCACAGTATTCCATGGTGTATACTTACCACATTTTCTTTATCCAGTCTATCATTGACGGGCATTTAGGTTGATTCCATGTCTTTGCTATTGTGAATAGTGCTGCAATGAACATATGTGTCATGTGTCTTTATAATAGAAAGATTTATTTTTTTTCAGGTAAATACCCAGAAATGGGATTTCTGGGTCGCATGGTATTTCTGCCTCTAGGTCTTTGAGGAATTGCCACACTGTCTTCCACAATGGTTGAACTAATTTACATTCCCACCAATAGTAAATTTTTTTTTATCCACAACCTTATCAGCATCTGTTGTGTTTTGGCTTTTTAATAATTGCCATTCTGACTGATGTGAGATGGTATCACATTGTGATTTTGGTTTACATTTCTTTAATGATTAGTGATGTTGAGCATTTTTCTTATGTTTGTTGGCCACATGTATGTCTCTTTTTGAGAAGGGTCTGTTCATGTCCTTTGCCCACTTTTTAATAGGGTTTTTTTTTTCTTGTAAATTTGTTTAAGTTCCTAGTAAACTCTGGATATTAGACCTTCATCAGATGGATAGATTGTAGAAATTTCCCCCATTCTGCAGGTTGTCTGTTCACTGTGATGATAGTTTCTTTTGCTGTGCAGAAGCTCTTTAGTTTAATCAGATCCCATTTGTCAATTTTTGCTTTTGTTGCAATTGCTTTTGGCATTTTCATCATGAAATCCTTGCCTGTGCCTGTGTCCTGAATGGTAGTGCCTAGATTTTCTTTTAGGGTTTTTTTTTTTTTATATAGTTCGGTGTTTTACATTTAAGTCTTTAATCCATCTTGGGTTAACTTTTGTACATGGTGTAAGGAAGGAGTCCAGTTTCAATTGTCTTCATGTGGCCAGCCAGTTCTCCCAACAACATTTATTAAATAGGAAATCCTTTCCCCATTGCTTGTTTTTGTCAGGTTTATTGAAGATCAGATGGTTGTAGGCAAGTGGTCTTGTTTCTAGAGTTCTCTAGTCTGTTACATTGGTTTATGTGTCTGTTCTTGTACCAGTACTATGTTGTTTTGGTTATCATAGCCTTGTAGTATAGTTTGAAGTTGGGTAGTGTGATACCTCCAGCTTTGTTCTTTTTGCTTAGGATTGTCTTGGCTATTTCGGCTCTGTTTTCAGAGTCTGAATTCCATATAAAATTTAAAATAGTTTTTTTCTAATTCTGTGAATAATGTCAGTGGTAGTTTAATGGGAATAGCATTGAATCTATAAATTACTTTGGGCAGTATGGCCATTTTCACGATATTGATTCTTCTTATTTATGTACATGGAATATTTTACCTTTTCCTTGTGTCCTCTCTGATTTCTTTGAGCAAGGGTCTGTAGTTCTCCTTGAAGAAGGCCTTCACTTCCCCTGTTAGCTGTATTTCCAAGTATTTTATTCTTTCTGTAGCAATTGTGAATGGGAGTTCATTCATGATTTGGCTCCTTGCTTGCCTCTTCTTAGTATATAGAAATGTTAGTGGGTTTTGCAAGTTGATTTTGTATCCTCAGACTGCTGACGTTGATTATCAGCTTAAGAAGCTTTGGGGCTGAGAGAATGGGGTTTTCCAGACATAGAAACATGTCATCTTCAAACAAAGATGGTTTGACTTCCTCACTTCCTATTCGAATACCCTTTATTTCT
This sequence comes from Homo sapiens, assembly GCF_000001405.40. Taxonomy (NCBI): domain Eukaryota; kingdom Metazoa; phylum Chordata; class Mammalia; order Primates; family Hominidae; genus Homo; species Homo sapiens. The sequence goes on along the minus strand of NC_000020.11, from coordinate 22,112,754 downwards.
TTCTCTTGCCCAATTGTCCTGACCAGAATTTCCAGTAATACGTAGAATAGGAGTGCTGAGAGAGGGCATCCTTGTCTTGTACTAGTTTTCAAGGGGAATGTTTCCACTTTTGCCCATTAAGTATGATGTTGGCTGTGGGTTTGCCAAACATCGTACCTGAAATCATTACAGTCTCTCAGACCACAGCACAATCAAATTAGAACTCAAGATTAAGAAATTCACTCAAAACCACACAACTACATGGAAGCTCCTGAATTACTCTTAGGTAAATAATAAAATTAAGGCAGAAATCTAGAAGTTCTTTGAAACTAATGAGAACAAAGAGACAACATACCAGAATCTCTGGGATGCAGCTGAAGCAATGTCAAGAGATAAATTTATAGCACTAAATGCCCACCTCAAGAAGCTAGAAAGATCTCAAGTTAACAACCTAACATCTCAACTAAAAGAACTACAGAACCGAGAGAAAACAAACCCCAAAGCTAGCAGAAGACAAGAAAAAAACCAAGATCAGAGCTAAACTGAAAGAGATCGAGACATAAAAAACCCTTAAAAAATCCACAAATCCAGGAGATTTTTTTGAAAAAATTAATAAAATAGATAGACTGCTAGCTAGACTAATAAGGAAGAAAAGAGAGAAGAATCAAATAAACATAATCAGAAATGATAAAAGGGATATCATTACTGACCCCACAGAAATACAAACAACCATCAGACAATACTATAAACACCTCTATGTAAATAAACAAGAAAATCTAGAAGAAATGGGTAAATTCCTGGACATGTGTCCCAGGATTGAACTACACCCTCCAAAGACTGAACCAGGAAGAAATTGAATCCCTGAATGGACCAATAATAAGTTCTGAAATTGAGGCAGTGATATGGTTTGGCTCTGTGTCCCCACCCAAATCTCATCTCAAATTGTAATCCCCATAATATCCACATGCTGAGAGCGGGACCTGGTGGGAGGTGATTGGATCATTGGGGAGGTTTCCCTTATCCTGTTCTCATGATAGTGAGTGAGTTCTCATGAGATCTGATGGGCATATAAGTGTTTGACAGTTCCTCCTAAACACTCACTCTTTCTCCTGCCACCTTGTGAAGAAGGTGCCTGGTTTCCCTTCTGCCATGACTGTAAGTGTGAGTGGAACTGTGAGTCAGTTAAACCTCTTTCCTTTACAAATTACTCAGTCTTAGGTATTTTTTATAGCAGTGTGAGAACGGATTAACACAGGCGGTAATAAGTAGCCTACCAAACAAAAAAGCCCAGGACCAGACAATTCACAGCAGAATTCTACTAACAGTGTTACAAAGAAGAGTCAGTACTATTTCTACTGAAACTACTCCAAAAAATTGAAAAGGATAGACTCCTCCCTAACTCATTCTATGAGGCCAGCATCATCCAGATACCAAACCTGGCAGAGATACAACACAAATAAGAAAACTTCAAGCCAATATCTTTCATGAATATCGACGCAAAAATCCTTAATAAAATACTGGCAATCTGAATCCAGCAGCAAATCAAAAAGCTTATCCACCACGGTCAAGTTGGTTTCATCCCTGGGATGCAAAGCTGCTTCAACATATGCAAATCAATATATGGGATTTATCACATAAACAGAACTAAAGACAAAAACCACGTGATTATCTCAATAGATGCAGAAAAAGCCTTCGATAAAATTCGACATCCCTTCATGTTAAAAACTTTCAATAAACTAGGTATTAAAGGGACTAATTTTTAAACTTGGAAAGAAATAGATCAACTCTCTAATTGGGCAATATAGGGACTACAGAAGTAAATTAAGTTCAGATATATAAAATAAAGTTGGCTTTCACACCTGGGTTAAAAGGTGTATGAGCATCATACAAACTACAGATATGAGACAAAATGTTCCACTTCTGTAGTAATAAAAGAAATACAATGTACAATTTATGAAGGTGACAACAGTTTGGTCAATGTCTGTCTTCCCCCACTCAGTATGAGCTCCGTGAGAACAGGGGCCAAACCTGTTTTTGGTCAACAGTACATGCGGTGCATGGAAGGCAGTGGTGCTTTATAAGAATGAGTTGAAAGACGAATAGGTAGGAAAGAGGAAGAGGAGGAGGGAGAGGGAGAGGAGTAGGAAAGAGGAAGAGGAGGAGGGAGAGAAGGAAGAAGATTTAGAAGGAGAGTGGGGGAGTGAGAGGCAGGGGAAAGAGCAGGCAAGGGGGTTGGGTTTTTCTGTGGAATACAATATGGAAAACATAGGCTGTGCTTTCTAAGGTCTTTGCCCTATAAATATTTATGTTGGAATGCTCACATGTGTTTAACACCCAAATGAATTTGGAGTGGGTATACAGAACTAGATTTCAGAGTATTGGAATTCTTACTTAAGCATCTTGAGTAGTGGTAGGAGTTAAAGCTTTAAATCTTGACAACTGCAAATTACCCCAGATGACATTTACAGTGGTGGGAGGTGGCAAGCCATATCTGATACTCCTGTCCTGCATCTTCTTATCACCTTTCATAAATCTGCTTCTCCCCTTTTAAGCTTATTCATATTCATTTCTGAAAAAACCTCTTTAAATCATAACCACATGTCATCACTTTATGTGCCTTCCTCATCCCTTCCCTCTGTCCTGTGTTCCTTGCTCCTCTTATCATTCTGCCTCTGTCCTTTCTTTCCCTGAACAAATATGTATAACAAATCAATTTCATGGCCTTTCCCATTTTGTTCCTCTTCATCTGAAATTCTTTACTTTGTCCCTGTCCTTTCTAAATGTGGAGCCCAGAAGAAAGGCACTACTCTAGATGTAGCCTTACAATGCAACAGTCATATTTCTGAACCCGAATATCAGGTTTTTATTAATCCACGTTAAAAGTACACTTGGTTTGGAGCAGCCCATAACGCTTTTGGCTCAGGGTGTGCTCACAACCCACTGAGCCTTCTTGGGTGCTTGGTCAGGCCAAATCATGTCCAGGCTGGACAGGTAGCATCAATAGCTGTCACGATCCTGTTCAAATGACCTGGTTATTCCTGTTATTGTACACCTTGCTGTTTTCAGGCTGTCTAAAATAAATAAAACCCTCTGCAATCTTGCAGTTTGTTTGCAAAACAACAGAATGATATGAGAATTAATTTTTGTGACCTGATAAAACCAGGACTTACGCAGCTTGAATACTTTACCAGTTTCATTCCATTGTGGATTCTTTTCATTTCATAATGAATTTACATAACTTCTGGGCTTTTTAAAGGTGAAGCAGAAGTTGGGCTTCACCTTCATTTCGACAAGACCGGCCCTGATATCATCTCTTTCGTATTTCTGCATTCTTCATGAAAGAGTGTAGAAAAGACAATGGAGTACACTATTTTTAAAACATGTGAAAACCGGCGACTTTTACAAAGCATTCCCTCCTGTTGACATCTGAATGTCAAAGTCATCCTACCCATTATCCTTTCCATATAGGCAGGAAAAAAGGTCTTTCTTCTTTTCACTGAGGTAAAGCTCTTGATTCTCCAGCTCAGCCACATGCCCTCCAACCTCTCCTGCATCTCCAATTTTTTCTTTTTTTTGAGACGAGGTCTTGCTATGTTGCCCAGGCTGGCCTCAAACTCCTTGGCTCAAAGGATCTTCCTGTCTTGGCCTCGCAAGTAGCTGGAATTACAGGCACATGCCACGTCACCCAGCTTGCAATTTATTTCTCTCAGTGAACATCTTCCCCTTAATCTACAAACAGAATAGCCCGCGCTAACCTGGCACCAGCCCAGGCTGCCTTCACTTCACCATCCCTTGCTTACTGGTTTTTGAGTTGTGTTTGCCACCACCCTGTGTGTCCTCATCAAAGGCATCTTAACTATTTCCCAGTGTTCATTATCCTGAAATCTTCACAGCATTTCTTAAAATCCAACCATTAGCCCCACTCGCCTACCACTAGAATCTCCCTTGAAACCTCTCCTCTCCCACAACATAAACCCATTGTAATGGCCCATATTTCAATGCCGTCAAAGTTACTTCAGTTTGAGAGTTTAGGATTATTCATGCAGCCTAACCCAGCAAAAATTGTGATTTTTGTCCTCCATCTATATTAGGTTTAACCATATAAAACTACTCTTTTATAGATCAAAAATGTTCCATAGTTTTGCAATGTTACCATTGGAGGAAACTGGGTAAATGGTGCATAAATTCTTTATGTATTATTTCTCACAACTGCATGTCAACCTATAATTTTTCAATAAATATTTTAATTTAAAATGGTCAAATAAAAATTTGACACGAGTCAGCCTAATAGCATTCAAAAATGTTCAGAAACAAATGAGTTTTTTTTCTCATTGTGGATTTTTCCAAATGTTATGAAATGGTAATACAGAGAGCCCAACTTTATAAACTAAATAACTAATGAAGACATGGAGTATTTCCACGTCTTCCTCCATGTCATAAATATTTCTGGAAATATTCCTTGATTATTTCCAGGAATAATTATATTTGTTCACATAGTGATTAAGCTTAAATATTTAGTAGATGTAACATTTACTTAATGCCAAATTCTTTTAACAAAGAGTTGACCTTAAAAAACTCTCATTTTTTTTTACAAATATATATTTCCCATGTGTTACATAATTTTTGCGACTAATAAATCCAATGTCAATTACATAAGTTTAGGCTTGGATTTGGGTGGGAGAATCTAACCAACTTGGCTTTATTTGCTTATCTTTTAAAATGTTATAGATTAAAAAGTTGACTATGGATTGGGTCAAGCCATGGATTAAATACTAAAGGCATCTTTAAATCATAGAATCTCAAGATATATGGGACATTAAGGTCATATAATTTGGTCACACATACCTATCCTACAACTTCCCTCTCCAGATCATCCTAAACCATCCTTGGATACTTCCAATTGTTAGATTTTGTTGTATTCCTCATCATAAGGTGGCATGTATTTCTCTGCAACTTCAGTTCACTAGTAGCAATTCTTTCTTGGGTCAAAAGAAGTAAAGTGTGGAACTTATTAGATTCGTAAATAGTTGCACTTAGCTATTCTGTCCTCCTTTGTCTTAAATGTTGTTTCCCAAGTCCAGTGTTTCCCCAGTTCCCAATTCTTCATCATGTGGCCTGACATTTGGTTTCTTTTTCATCTTGCTTGCTCTCCTTTGATGGGCTCCTCTTTGTGTTAGTCCACAGTTAAGTGCCATCTCTGCAATCTCGGCTGTGGTCTGAGCAGTCGATTGTTCCTTCCACTCATCCACCTAGATACCAGATCTAAATAATAAAGACTGAGATGATCTCATCAGATATTCTTGTATTTGGCATTCAGATTGTGCTATTAACTCTTCCATCTCTTAACTACAGAACCAAAATCATCTTTCATGTTTTCCCACTTCTCCTTCAATTCCAGATCAATTTTTTGGCTCTTGATGGTCAAGAATGGCCAATAACAGGATAAAAATAACTTGTCCCAAATTCAAATATCATCAACAGATCTTATATCCTTCCATACCTCAAGAAATGGTGTTTACGCAGAAATGAGTGATTAAACAAAACACGTGAGACCAAAATTGTCCATTTATCTTCTCTGAGTTTCAGGCTCAAACTTCCAATTAGATAAAAAACCTCTCTGGTGAAAACAGGTTAGTCAGTGATTACCATGATTGGAAGATGATACAGATCATTGCAGAATGTTTTCCATGATGGGAAGGGAATGGTAGCCTGTTTCTCAAATTATAAAGCAAAACAAACAACTTGTTATTTCCAGACAGGCAACAAGGCAAATGCTGAAACAAGTTTAAATTTATAAGAAGCCACATTACAAAAATGAGAGGAAAAAAAAGTGGTGAGGTGTTGGCCTGGGTAGTTCTAGCAAACCCAGAGAGTGTTCAGTGCTGGAAGCATCGCCAAACCCGTCTGCCTGGTGGACTATCAGGTATTACCTGAGAAGGTGAAGCCCACCCACAGGTCTGGGTCCTTCTGTTTCTGAATTAGGAATGGGAGCCTCTCATGATGAGCGGTGCCTTCCTAAGGTGCTCTGAGAGGTTAAACCCCCAGGAGGCACTAGAACCTGTTTAACCCTGTTCTTCATACAATTACCTTCTGCTCTACATTTTCCTTTTCAACTGCCTTAAACTCTTGACCAAGCTTTGCTATCTAACCAATCCCACCTCTGGAAAGTTTAGATTTTATCTTAAGTTATATAATATTTGGAAGCCATCAAAGCTTCCAATCAAAGCTGTATCTGGGGACTTAAATTCTAAGACAGTCATTTCTTTTTTTCAGCAGGTGGCACTGTTGCAATGAGGCTGTTTCTTCTAGAGAGGTCAGCATCAAGAAGAATCAGCAAATTTCAACCTTACAGTATATTTAATTCAAGGATCAGATTTTTTAAAATTACCTTAACAAGTGATGAAATTATTTTCACCTGTAATAGGACAAACCAATTTCATGTGTTGCACTGAGGACCTGCCACCTTATGTGGTGTTTTTGCCAAAAATGCATGACCTGAATCTAACCCTGAAGAAACATCAGACAAATGTAAAGTGAAGGACATTCTACTAAACAATTGACCAGTACTCTTCAAAAATATGAAATTTAGGAAGACAGAGAACGGTTAAGGAATCATTCCAGATTAAATAACAGAAAAGAGACATAATAACTAAATGTTATACATAATCCATGATTGGATCCTAAACCAAGAATTTTTACCCTGGACAGGACATTATTGAAACAATTTACAAAATTTAAATGTGCATTATAGATTAGGTAGTAGTATTGTATCAGTATCTGCTTTCCTGATTTTATGCTGTGGTTATGTAAGAGAATGCCCTGGATCTTAGGAAATGCAACTGGAACTACCTAGAGATAAAGGGTATGATGAAATCATGTCTTCAAAGTATTCTCATATGTTTAAGAAAAAAATATGCTTTGCATATATTGTATATTTTGTATATACTGAAATTATGTCAAAATAAAAATAAAAACCCCCAATGTTATATTTTCCCAGCACCTTACGCAACTTCTCCTTCCAGCTAATAAAATATGCATGCTGATACCCAACTTGATTGAGAACATCCTCCCATCAGTCTTTCAAAAGTTCATAAATTGTTTTAAGTTACTTCCTGTTTCTCTTTGAGCTCTCAAGTCTTCAATACCTTTAGGGACAGCCTCTGAGATATGGTTTGGTCTAATGTCATCTACTTTCAGATCATCTACCCTTCAAATATGTTTTGTAGATTCATTTCCAATAAGCAGTGTATGTTCATTTACTTAAACATGAGAACATGTTTAGAAAACATGATCAGAGGCCAGGTGCAGTGGTTCATGCCTGTAATCCCAGCACTTTGGGAGGCCGAGGCAGGTAGATCATGAGGTCAGGGGATAGAAACCCTCCTAGCCAACATGGTGAAACCCCATCTCTACTAAAAATACAAAAAATTACCGGGGTGCGGTGGTGCATGCCTGTAATCCCAGCTATTTGGGAGGCTAAGGCAGGAGAATCTCTTGAACTCGAGAGGCAGAGGTTGCAGTGAGCCAAGATCGTGCCACTGCACTCCAGCCTGGATGAAAAGAGCAAGAATCCATCTCCAAAAAAAAAAAAAAAAAAAAACGAAAACATCATCAGAATACCTAAAATCACAGGATACATCTTAGAATGTAAGAGCCAAAGGAATTTTAGAAGTCATCGTGCAAATATTGTCCCATCCCACCCTCCACCTCACCTTCTGGGAGAAGAAACAGAAGACAATAGAGCTGCCATGACTTACCCAAGTGTACATGGTCACTTAGGTGCAGAACCAGGTAAAATGCCCCTAATTCCTGTCCTGCCTCTAGTACTCCATCCCTCACTTTGCTTCTCACTGGAGAAATATAGACGATAAGGTCAGATGCTAAAGACATGAAGCCACAAAATAACACAATGTGGCTCCTGCGTCGTGACAAGAAATTTAAAATATCCTATAAAACTAAAATAAAAACGTATGCAAAATTTACTTAAATTTTCAAACTTAAAAACAGCAGACTTAAAAAATAATTGACACTTGTCACGGTTGCTTTGGACTGTACCCTCAGGTACTCTAGGAGTAGAAGGCCATTTTTTCTACTCCATAGTAAAAGTTCTCATTTAGAAACGGCAGAGAGGCCCTGGGACAACTTAACCAACCAACAGGAAAGCGAGTTCAGCTGACAACTCAATCTGCACAGCTCTTCTGCACCAGAGAATTTGGTTAATTCGCTGAATTTCCTCTATACCAGCAAAGTGTAGGTCACCCTGCAGACCAAAACACAGTTGTCAGCTATGAGAGATACTAAATGCCTGGCATCCTCAGGTGCTGTGTGACCAGGGGGAGAAGCAAGGGCCCTTCCAGAACAGCTGGCTGCGTGTGGGAAATGCCCACAACCAACCCCTAGAACAGTGTCCCCCAGCCCCAGCCCCCCACCACCAAACCCACACACACTCACAGGCCAGAGCTATATTTCCCTAACTCTAGCCTGAGGCGGTTAAAAGCCTGGAGCTCATCAGGTCCAGCACATTGGAAATCAGAAGGGGCCTCCCCTGCTAATCTTTAGGCAAATATTTTCTCAGCTCTGCGGACTTAGTGGTGAGTTACCAGCCTTGCACCTCTACAGTAAATTGAAGCAAGCCCACTTGGGTGGCAAGAGCACCAGTGCAAGGGGCCTGCCCTGGCCACTTGCCTCATCACCACCGTCCCAGGTGGAGATGCTAATGTTCTCTTCCTCTTTTCAAGGTGAGCCAAGAAAGGACCAAAAGGAAGAGGACAGGCAGCCCCATAGGGCAGATGACCAGAATGAAACTAAGCATAGTAAGAGAAAAATAAAGCTACCTTTATTTTTCTGGGTTTGGGGACTGATGGATTCATTCCTATGATACCTAGTCCTCTCTTTAGCCCTCAATTTATGATACCAAGTACATTTGAGCTTTTTGAGTTTGGATTTGGTTGGCGATTAGGTTGGATTTCTCCACTAGTGGACCCTGAAACAAGGATTCACACGCAAGTACTTATTTTGGCGGTGATCCCAGGAACCACCCCTAAGAGAATAGGGAAATGAGACAAGAAAGAGAAGGCAGCAAAAAAAATTTAAAAGGTGTGGATCAAGCATGTTTCCATTGCGGTCATTAAGCAACCCTGCTGAGAACCTCCAGGGACAGTGCATCGGAGTTGCCCCATGGCAATTCTTCCTTGTTTCCAGGGGCAAGGAAGCTGCAACATTTATCCACCAATTCTCATCAGCATTCATGTGAGGGCTGCTCCTTGCAGATGGACATGAACTCCCCAGCATTAATGGGCTACCCTGTGCCTGGGCTGAGGACACCTTGCTAGGACATAAAAAGCTCTCAGGCATAGTTCTGGGTGCCTGAGATAGAAAGCCAACAATGATGCAAAAAGAGCAGGTGCCAAAGGGGTGGGGATGGGGCACTGGCAGCATCTACCCCAGGAAGCCCAAAGCTAGAATCAAAGAGTCCCTGAATGTCAGACCAGTAGTTTACTCCAGGTTTGGTTTTCTTCCCATCTTTAGATTCAGTGTGGCAAAATGAACTAAAAGAAATCTCCAGCAGGATAGCAAACCCCAGTCCACTTTGCATGGTCTTATCAAGCCATTTTATACCACCAGTGGACTGTGTAGACAGAAGGGAGGGTGGCACAATAAAATATGGTACTTGGAACCTGATTCCAGTAACATGAAAAGGCCATTTTTACATTAAAAAGGAGTGGAGTTTGGAGATTTACAAGGTTAATAATCCCCCACTCAGGGCTACTCTTGACCTGGCAGAATCCTATCTTCAACAGGCAGATTGTCATCACAATCCAAACAAGATCCTCTCCCATGAGTAACTGGAAGATCCTAGAAGCCATACTCTCTGAACTGGCTCAGGGCAATATCTCCTGGCACCCTGTCCTGATCATTTCTGCTGCGTGCTTACAACACAGCATGCAGCCTCCACAAACTTTGTGTGTCACAGGGCTGCTTGTCACCAAGCCTCAAGCCCAGCCCTCTTAAGACTGCTCCACACTTTTTATCTTGCTGACCTTTCTGCAGAAAATGAAACTGGCCCTCTTTTTTAGAACCTTTTTTCCTTGCATTAAAAGTCATTGTTCTCTGGTGGCCTTCCTCTCTCGATGGCTACTCAGTGATTTTGAGTTTCTCTGCTGTCTTAACCTCACCTTACTACCCTCTAGGACTTTGTCCTAAGCCATAATCTCTTTTTACTTGATATTTCTCTGTTTGGTCAGCTTTCCTCCATTATACCCCAAATATATAACCATAACCCACAGACTGATGACGCCCACTTTATCCTTAACCCAGAATTATGCTCCCAGTTGCCTACTTAACCCCAATACCAATACACACACATTTTATTGCCTCACCCTTTACATCTGCCCCTTCCCTCTGTGTGCCTAGCCTGATGCATACCCCATTCTTCATTCAGTCAACAAAGGCAGAGAGTAGGTCATCGTCCTACATGCCTCCATCTCTACACCAACCATCCCAGTTCTGATTCCCATGCCTTCATCACCATAAACTTTTTAATACATCCCCCCAACCAACTCAACTCTCTTTGATTACTACAGTGACTTCTTTAAACATACAATGTCTCTGGCTTCAGCTTTGCTCCAATTCATCTTCCACATACGTCCAGGCTCTTTCTAAAATGTAATGTTAACATGTGTCTCCTCTGCTCAAAAATGTTGGTAGCTTTGGCTTTCCAAAGCCATCAGGATTAATTCAAATTCCTCAGCCTGACACAGGGCCACCTCCAGTTCATCATCTTCTCTCTCGCTCTCTCTTTCCATTCTCTCTCTGTCTCTGTCTTTATCTTGGTCTTTGTCTCTGTCTCTCTCCCTCTTTCTCTCTCTCTCTCTCTCTCACACACACACACACATGCACACTTTGTCTCTCTCTGCCTCTGTCTCTCTCCCTCTCTCTCCTCTCTCTGACTCTCTCTCTTACACATACACATTCTGTTTCTCCCTGCCTCTCTCTCTCAGTCTCTCTTTGTCTCTCTGTCTCTCTCTGTCTACTCTCTCGCTATCCTGTTACACACACCCACACACAAACACAGACACACAGACATCTCCACATCATTACCCCTGATGCTTACACAAATAGGTTCTTCCTCTCTCAGGCTATTCGTCTCTATACAGACCTCAAGGCTAATCTAAGCTGTCACCTCCTTGGTAACAGACTCTTACTCTCTCAGTCTTTAATTCATTAGACGACTTTTTTGGATGTTCTCATGGGATCCTCTACATTCCTTTGAAGAATCTTTGTGGCACTACCTTGTGATTGCTTAACTGTGTTCTCACTGAGAACAGGGACCATGTGTTTCCATCTTGATTTTCCCAACTTGGAGCACAGCCTTTGGCTCAGAGTTGAAGTCCCCTAAATGTTTGATGAATAAATGAAAATGAATAAATAAATGACACTGATAGTTCATGGCATGGAAACATATAGCTTGACAGTGGTCGACGTTCATGTTTTTCACCCTTTCTTCCGGTTACCCGTTTCCATTACAACCTGCTTAGGGCAGCCAAGGCTGTGGCTGACCCAGGTCTCTCCAGGCCTCCTAAGCCAGCTCTGAGACTAAGAATGGAGAGGAATGCTAACTTTGCCTCGACTATGTAAGACTTTACAAGTTCCAGAAAATTGATTTTTCCAGGCCTGCATGGCTTGGCATAAAAGTCAGACAATTTTTATTGAATCTGATCCTGGTTAGTTAGATTTTTGACCTTAGCAATGTGGCCAATAGATTCGACCATGAATACTTTTTTTCTAATTTTTGCCACATGGGCTCATGTTTCCCAGGTCAGCCAGTAGTTTCAGTCACCATTGGCTTCCCTCGGGATCTGTTTTCCCTGTTCCCGTGGCATCCGTAATTGTGAATAAGCTTGTGGGTGCATTTTTGAGGAGTGGTGCGATGGCAATGGCATGCACTACAGGAGATGTGTGCCAACTGGTACTTGATGGCTGTTTACGTTTGTCAGTGGTCCCTGTAATTGGAAGGCTGTATTGCCTTGCAATTTTACAAAGGATAATAAAAAGAAAATTGGGGAAAACATATAACATCAGACATAAACCAGTGTTATTTTGTAATTTTACACAAATACAGTACAGATTTCTTCCCCAAAATCTACTCAATTGTAGTGAATACTGAACAAAGAAAGCTCAGAAAACTCCACTTTAAAACCCAAGCACAAACGAATAGCTAATCTTTGGGTCTTTGAACTGATACAGTCCACTATAACCACACACACTCTCTGTCAGAATTCAATGAAGGCAGGAATCCAAGATTGTTGTTTTTCCAATGAAAAGCATTAATTAAGAGGTGTAGGAATGCAGCATGCTGTAAAGAAAATGGATACCTTGTATGGTTGCATGGATTCTACCACATCTTTTTAAGATTGCCACTGCAGTAAACCTTGTCAATGCAGACTTCACTAGCTCCAACATTACTCTATAGTTAAAAAAGAAAAGAAAAGAAAAGAAAAAAAATCATTCTTCTTCTGAGAATATGCAAATTTCGACTTTTTTAAAAGAGGAAAATCTGAACATTCATCTTAAAATAAAACTAAAAATTAAGGTTTCTATCAACAACCTGCTCTATTAGATTCAGGAAAATAATATTATTTAAGGGGTTATTTATTGTTAAAAATGAATCTATATAATCTGGTATGCCTTAATGTAGGCATATTGTGAAACTTCTGAAAACTTTGGGTGCTTGTTGATATAATTACACTATGATATGAAAAATCTTTGGGAAAACAGAAATACCCATCACTGCCCTTTCAGTTCAGGCTTTGGTTAGACAGCATCTTACTGCCTACTTGCACATTCCCAGACTTTTCCACATTCACACACTGTCTCAGTCTATTTTGTATTGCTACAACAGAATACCTGAAGCTGGGTAATATATAAAGAAAAGAGGTATATTTGGCTCATGGTTCTGGTGGCTGAAAAGTCCAAGATTAGGCAGCTGCATCTGGTAATGGCCTCATGATGTTTTCACTAATGACGGAAAGTTTAAGTGGGGGTGAGCATGTGCAAAGAGATCACACGCTGTGGGAGGAAGCAAGAGAGAGAAACAAATGAAGCCAGATTCTTTGTCTTTGGTCACTCGCCCCTGAGTGAGGGCATTAATGTCTTCATGAGTGACCACATCCATGACTGAAACTCCTCTCACCTGGCCCCAGCTCGCAATGCCACCACACTGGGGATTAAGTTTCAACATGAGCTTTGGTGGGGACAAACAAAAAATATCCAAACCATAGCACACATCTACAGCATGTTTCAGTTCCTTTTCTTTCTTGCTGCATGATCATAGGACTTGCAGTACAGTTGCATAACTAAAATATAATAAAAACAAAAAAAGTATTATGGTACTTTCTCAACCATACTGGCCAACTTTTAAATATCTAATTCATATATTATACTAATGGACTCAAGAAGTGCCTCTGTTATTATTCATACATATGTTTATATTTTAAAACTTTCATTTACTAAAATAGCAAACATGATTTGCACTGATTTATAGCTTCAGCAGCTTTTTCTCCTCATGGCACTGTCTTCAAGGGCAGCATGCAGAACTCTGAAAAGCCTCTGTGAAGCAGGATGGTGAGCTGTTTCCTCGGACTGTAATCCTGTTCCTTCTGGAGGAGGCCTCTGGAGCCCATCGACCCTCACTCATATCATTTCCAGAGTATGCATGTGTGAAGCAGAAACATGAGAAAAGATCACTCTCTCTGGGCCTACGTTTAGCTTTTGATCTCTACAGGTAAGTGTGTTACCTACTCACGGAACCAACTGGAAAGCCATGAGCTTCCTCAAGGAAATGGTCTAGATGAAGTATGACCCTAACTGTTTTTTGGCAGCATACAGGGTTTCTGAGCTTCTTTAGACTTAACATGCTTAGCATCTGGACTGGCTTAACTTTCCCTCGGCAATGTTTTGGATATTTTAATGGATAGGAAGTGCTTTCTCATTTTCTCTCCTTTGGGGAACCAAGACTTATGTACAGATTTTCCTCTCAGATTTGAGTGAGAGGTCTTAAGTCAAAACCAGGATTTTTTTTCCTCCCCTGAAAAATGCCACATGCCCAATGTCCAGGAACATCCCTCTGGTGGAGGGGAAGAGCAGCACAGGGGTTTCATGTGTTCAGAGCATCAAGGAAATGAGCAGACTCCTTCCCACAAAGTCTTTCATAGAAAGGACGGGGAAGATGGGCATAGAAAGCCAAGCTTCCTGCTTCATTATAATTATTTTTAAATTTATGACTCTTGTCTCTTTCAGTTTTGAAGGGGCGTTTTTAAAAGTATTTTTCTTGGCTACCAGCTAAGGTTTGTTGAAAACTAAAGCCAGAGTTAGAAAAAATGTAGAGGATGGGGAAGTTGACCTCCTGGGGCCAGTAACACACATTTCCTGTCCTTATGCAGACTCTGAAGATGTTTCAGAGTTTATCATCTTCAGCCAGCAGAGGAGATGATCAGTATTGGCAGATGGGTTTAAAGATCTCACAATAAAATCAACTGCAATCAGATACAAAGCAAAGAGTCTTTCTCGTTTATTTTACATTGAAACAACCCTAGGATGAGAAGAAATAAAAGTGATTCAAAAAGAAACATGATATCTGGTCTTTCAAAGATAAATGAAATTCTTAAGAGCCATGAAAGTCCAAGACCAAGGGCCAACATCTACCAGTGGAGCCTCTGATGTGAAAAAGTGACCCACAGCTATGATTCCATCCTGGGATAGCTTCACCCTTATGTAGCGTCTCTACACTGCTTCGCAAACACCCTTCCCTCCACACCAGATAAAGCTTGAAAACCCAAGGAGATATACTGGGAAAATGACTACAGCTGTTTGTTCCCTAATTTTTCTGTCTTTAACATAAGTAACAGAGCCAATGACCTCTCCCCTCACACAACCTGCTCTGCAGCTGAAAGGTCCAATGACAAAAGGCATCTTCACTTTAGAGGGTACAAGAACTCCACATTACTCAGAGATGTCTTACACATAAAAGAAAAGGAAACAGAGAGAAGTGATGGATAACTCATTTCCAGAGGAAGTAGAATTAAATGGAAGTACACACTTCAAAAAAAAAAAGAAAGAAAGAAAATGCCTAGTGTTGTAGAACAAACTAAGGCTGCCAGAAACACTTTTTTTTTTTTTTTTTGTCAGAACACTTTTTAATGGACTCTCATTGTAATAATTAGCAGTCTCACACAAACCTAACCAAACAACCCATATCAATTCTCACTTCTGCTAGAGGTTCGGTCTCAGCCACATCCATCTAATTTTTAAAAAATTTTCCTTTGAAAAGTCAATATATTGAGTTTCTCAGTTGTTTTTAGTTAAATTCTGGGGCAACAAATTTCCATAGCATGAGAAACTTCTCAAGTGCATAGTTAGATATTTCATATTTATTTTTTTTTTTTTTTTTTTTTTTTAAGACGGAGTCTCACTCTGTTGCCCAGGCTGGGCTGCAGTGGCGCGATCTTGGCCCACTGCAAGCTCCACCTCCCAGGTTCATGCCATTCTCCTGCCTCAGCCTCCCTATAGCTGGGTCTACAGGCACCCGCCACCACACCTGGCTAATTTTTTTGTATTTTAGTAGAGACGGGGTTTCACTGTGTTAGCCAGGATGGTCTCGATCTCCTGACCTCGTGATCCGCCCGCCTCAGCTTCCCAAAGTGCTGGGATTACAGGCGTGAGCCACTGCCCCCAGCCTCATGTTTACTTTTATATAGATAAAAGCATTAATCTAAATACACTTTAAATTTTTCAAATACACTTTAATTTTTTAAAGTGTATTTGACTAATGGAAAAATGAATTAAATTATTTGAAATTTATGCAGTTTTTGTGCTTAAGAAATATCTGCCATCTAGAGATTGCAACTTCATTTTAATGGAATTAAAGAGAAGGAAAAAGTGCAAAGTAGGAAAAAGAAATTCTGTCCTTGGAATGGGAGAAAGATTCAGGGGATTTTCTAGGTACAGGAAGACACAGTTTGCACTGATACCTACACATTCTTAACTGTTTCCTATACCCAGCTCATAGATGAACTTAAGTGTCCAATTTTGAAATAATTTTAAAAATATTGAGTGAGTAGCTCATGAAATTCAAAATTTATCATAGTGATGGTTGATGACTGTAACAAAGATTTATTGATCCCAACTGGTAAAATAAAATAACACTGAATTAACTGGCAGAGGAAAATAAAAATTTCAAAAGAAATTCTTAAATTACAATGTTTTCCTTTAGCAAGGAAAAATATATTCATTCAACTGAGTCACTCTGAAGCAGTGATTTTTAAACATCTTCAGGATCTTCTTTGACTGGAATATTACACAATATTCAACACATGAAAGAGATCAATGTGAAGCTGCAAGGCCGAAGCAGGATCCCAGAAACTAGAGTTCATACCCCACTAGCTGTGGACCAAAGACACCATACTCTAAATACAAACAAACGCACAGGTCAGTTATTTTGAAGATCCTCCATCAACATGGAAGCAAAAATCCCGAATAAAATACTAGCAAATAAACAAAAAATAGAGATATTTTAATATATTACTGCAGAATGTTTTCTAAGTTAAATTGTTAAAAAAGAAACAAGCAAAGTGTAGGAAAAAATGTATTGTACTCTAGCACTGTTCAGGAAAGGAAAGTGATATGAATACAAGCTTCTGTAAATTTTCTTTTTAAAATGTATTAGAAAAGTAAAATTAAAATATTTTAAATGTTGACTTATGGCAGAAAGAGAGACTAAGATAGAGAAGACAGAAATAGACATTAAACTTTTTAAAATACATCTTATTTTGCATGCTTAATTTTGAAAGCATGTAAATATTTGTATATAATTTGAATAAACAAATACATAAAATAATTTCTAAAAATAAAAATAAAAAGCAACTATGTATGTAGTTTGTGGTGTAAACACACTCAGAGGAACTATTTCTAGCTACTTTGAGATACATTATTTGACTGTACATTACTACTTGGACATGTCCTAAGGACAAGAAGAACTGTAAAACAACGTTTAAGGCTCTTTTTCATTTGTATATAGGTTTTTCCATTATCTTATTATATGTAGTAACAATGGTGCTGTGTGTGTTTTGTAGGATAAAACAAGTTGTTATGTTGGCGTTTGTGGGAATAAGGTTTTCCAGTATGACCTCATGATGTATTTTATCTTTTTTAAAAAATCATTTCCTAGTGGTGAAAATGTAAAGTGAAAAAAGCATTTTACTTTATAGTGAAAAGAACTAGAAATAATGTCACCCAAGCTGTGATCTTTAAATATCATTTCCCATTGAAAGGAACAAGTTCTCCTTTGGAAAATGAATGCAAGACTGGAAAGGAATTGTACAAAATGAACTTGAGACACATTATTATAGGAAAAAAACAAGGATGCAATTAGGACTTCTGGATCAACTATAAGGAATTCAGCAACTTCTCTCCCCAGTGAAACAATGATCAAGTGTCGATTATTATAAAACACAACCATTTGAAGTCTTTGGAAATGGACCTAAGGGCATACAGCAAATTGAGAAGCATTTATTCAATAAAATCTATAAAACCTTGGAAAGAACAGTGTGGCCGAGAGGATGGCAGATCCTTTTACTCCCAGGACACAGTCATAAGGCTATGGCTTCACCCCAAGAGGGGCAAGCTGCTGGCGCCTCTTTTCCTCTCTGTTCTGGGAGGTGCGGTCAAGAACTGGGCCTCATTTCCCCCACCCACTTCCACTTATTTGGTGGAGGCTCTATCTAAGGCTTTTTAGGCCAAGAATACCAGGCCCTGATTACTGCCTGTCCACGGTTTCTACTTGTATGTTATAGGCTCCCCTCAGAGAGGGGCAAGCTGAGAATACCACAAGCTACTATACTTACTCCCAGCTCCCACTTATAAGGTAAAGGTATAAATCTGGAAGAAGACCACCATCTCCACCTCCAGTTCTGGTACAGTAGAGCGCTAGAGATTCTTCCCAGAGGGAGGGGCAAGATGGGAACACTGGAAGCTCTACAGATCTGACGGAAGGGCTGATATTATCTGGAGAAACTCAGGCCTCAAGGCATTGTGGAAAATAATAGAGATCTTAGCGGTGAGCAATTAAGAAAAGTCTAAAAACTCATCAATAGAGTTCTAAGAAAATAGCTGACCAGCCAGAAGTTTAACAGAAAGAAACAGAGTAGGAAAAAAAAATTTAAAAAAGAAATAAAAAGACTGCTAAGACTGTATTGAGCCCTGGGGTTCTGAAAGCTGAGTATATGCGCTAGGCTGCACTCACCCAGGAGGAGCCAGATGGAGCACTTGAAAGCTACTAGCCTATGTTAAAATGTGGGGTGAACTTGAAACTATACACATATTCATCAACAAAGGGCCAAAGTTGTACAAACTTAAAGGGCACTAATTCTGACCAATATTTGAATGAACACTAAACTATGCTGGGCAAATGGTGGCTTCCAGGAGGCAAGCTTAAAAAATAAAAACAAACAAAATGTGGCACATGCACACCATGGAAAACTATGCAGCCATAAAAAACGATGAGTTCATGTCCTTTGTAGGGACATGGGTGAAGCTGAAAGCCATCATTCTCAGCAAACTATCGCAAGGACAAAAAACCAAACACCACATGTTCTCACTCACAGCTGGGAATTGAACAATGAGAACACTTGGACACAGGAAGGGGAACATCACACACCGGGGTTTGTCATGCAGTGGGGGTGGGGGGGGGGGGATAGCATTAGGAGGAATACCTAATGTAAATGACGAGTTAATGGGTGCAGCACAGCAACATGGCACATGTATACATATGTAACACACCTGCACTTTGTGCACCTGTACCCTAGAACTTAAAGTATAATAAAAAAAAGAAAATATCTCAAAATAAATAAATAAATAATTAATAAAAACAAAGAAGAAAAGATTGAGCAGTGACATCAGAGGCAACCCTTTGGAGGAAGTAGAATTTACAAATTTAGTTCAGGCAAACCACTATACAAATAAACTAACAAAACCCACCAACATCAACATGCCTCTGATAGAAGGAGGCACTAATTAATTAAGATCCAGAGTTGCCACAATGTATTATCTAAAATGTCCAGTTTTCAACAACAAAAACAACAACAAATGAGACATGCTAAAGACGCAAGACAGTGTGATCAGTATACAGAAAAAAAATAAGTGAGTAATAAAAGCCGCCCTTCAGAGAATCCAGATATTGGATGTGGCAAACAAAAATTTTAAAGCAGCTATTATAAATAAGATCAAAGGTTTGTTTAGAAGCTATTTTTAGAGGATTAATGGCGGTTTGATGCAATGATTTATCAAATAGAGAATACCAGTAGAGAATAGAAACTACTTCCAAAACAAATAGGAATCCTGGAATTGAGAAACACAATATCTGATATGAAAAGTTTACTAGAGGTGCTCAACAGTACATTTCAACTGGCAAAAAAGGGAATCAGCAAACTTGAAGACAGATGATTAGAGATTTACAATCTGAATAACAGAATGAGAGAATGATGAAAAATGCAAAACTCTTCAGAGAGCTATGAAAATCATTAAGCATACCAACAGACACATAATGGGAGTATCAGAAGGAGAGGGAGGAGCAAGATAAGATAGAAAGTATGTTTGAGGAAGTAATGATGGAAAATGTCTAATGTATGGTGAAAAACATTAATCTACACAACCAAGACTTGAGATACTTATTGGTCAGAGTTGCCCTTTAAGTTTGTAAGTCCTCGGCCCTTTGTTGATAAATCTGTGTATAGTTCGGGGAATGCTTTCAAGTCCACTCCACATTTAGCCAGAGAATGGCAGCTTTCTAGTGCTGAATCTGGTTGCTCCTAATACAGACAGAAGACAGGGAAACATTGGGTAGAAGAGGGTGGATCCCCAGCAAAGACCCCACCCTCAAGCCTGAAAATCTGCAGCCCCAAATAAAGACAGGAATTTCTGGTTTTGCACCCAAAAAGTTGCCTTTTGGCCTGCCATGCCCCCTCCATCCTGCCCCCATATAAACCTGAGACCTCAGCAGGCACACAAACAAGTGGCTGAACATCAGGACCAGCAGACCAGCTACAGTGAAACAACACAGCAGAAAAAGAGAGAAGAGGAAGGATGTCTGGCACCAAGGGGAGTTCAGCCAGGAGCAGTCAGAGAAGTGTCTGGCTGCTGGGCAGCCTGATTCTAGGGGAAGACCACCTTCCACTCCATTCCCCATTTCTGGCTCCCCATCCATCTCACTGAGAGCCGCCTCCACCATTTAATAAAATCTTGCACTCATCCTTCAAGCCCATGTGTGGTCCGATTCTTCTGGTACACTGGGCAAGGACTTGGGATGTAGAAGGCTGTCAAACTGACCCCCTGCCCTTGAGATAAGGCAGAGGGTCTATTGAGTTGATTAACACAAGCCATCTGCAGACAGCAAAGCTGAAAGAGCACACTGTAACACATGCCCACTTGGGCTTCCAGAGTAGCAGACCCCCACCGCTAAATGCTGCCATGGGGCCAGAGCCCAAAAGTGCTCACACCAGCCTCTACACCTGCCTGTCTGCATGGTCCCCTTAGGGGTTTGAGCTCTGGGGTTACCAAGCAGGCAACACCCCTGTCTCAAAGTCCTGTGAGGGGAACCAGGGAACTGTCCCATTTCACTCCTGGGTGAGTGCAGTCTGGCACATGTACATAGCCTTCAGATTCCCAGGGCTGAATGTAGTCTTACTAGGCTTTTATTTTTTATTTTAAAATATTTTTCTTTGGTTCTTTCTGTTAAACTCCTGGGTAGTCATCTATTTTGTTTGTTGTCATTATTTTCACTGAGTTAATAACCTTTTTTAATTGCTCACCACCAAATCTAAACTTCAAGTAGGATAAACACAAAGAGATCCAAACATAGATATATTACAGTCAAAATGTTTCAGGACAAAGACAAAGAGAAAATCTTGAAAACAACAGGAGAGAAAAAAACTTGTCTTTAGTCACGTACAATGGAACCTGAGTGGGCTTAAAAAATGACTTCTCATGAGAAATGAGGAAGAAAAAATGCTGTGGGACAATGTACTGAAAGAACCAGAAGAAAAAAATCTGTCAACCAAAAATCCTATATTCAGCAAAACTAAACTATCTTTCAAAAATGAAGGCAAGGGAAAACTGATGCCTAGCATGACAGCATGAGTAGGTCTGCTGATTTACTCCCCAGGGAAATTAATAAAAAATATTTTAAAACAACCTTTTGGAAATAACCCTAAAGGCAAATAGTAAATGAATAAACATCTGTTGAAGAAAACCTATAAAAATTCAGTAGCAGGCTAAGCATGGTGGCTCATGCCTGTAATCCCAGCACTTTGGGAGGCTGAGGCACGCAGATCGTGAGGTTAGGAGATTGAGACCATCCTGCCTAACACAATGAAACCCCATCTCTACTAAAAAATAAAAAAAAAGATTGGCTGGGCATGGTAGCACGTGCCTGTAGTCCCAGCTACTCAGGAGGCTGAGGTAGGAAAATCGCTTGAATCCAGGAGGCAGAGGTTGCAGTGAGCCAAGATCATGCCACTGTGCCATTGCACTCCAGCCTGGGCAACAGATTGAGAATCTGTCTCAAAAAAAAAAATTCAGTAACAAAGGTGAGGCCATGTGGTATATGAACCAATACCTTGCCCTCTTTCCTCCCCTCTCAATTTAACAAGGCAGAGACCCTTCTCCAAAATGCTGCAGCCAAGAACACAGAGCTTCCTATTTCCCAAAATGATTAGGACTTCAGCATTTCTCATCCTATTCTCAGCTACTTGTTGTTGAGGCTAATTTCCAGGCAAGCAATGGCAAGAGGTGGAGGTTCCCCTTATCTGCCCAGGCCCCACTTAAAGAAAAGAGGCTCTACCACAGGTACAGTATGCTGAGAACTCAGAAGCCCAAATTGCCCTTTATCTGGCTCATAAGGCTGTAGATTCATGCTAGGAGAGAGAAGCCAGGAGTACCTCCTCAGTCTGCTATCCCCTTCACCCAGTGCTCAGCTCCTAGAGTGGGGATATCACTAGGAGAGAAGATTTCCATTTCCACTACTGCCAGCTCCAGAGCACTGGCTCAGAATTTTCCTGGGAAGATAAATAATCTATAAAATACATAGCTCTTACTCTCTTCCCAAGGGAACTATCTTTATTTACAAAAGAGGATGGAGAAATTTAAACCTAAAGTCACTCTTAAGAACAGTGGATATTGTGGTGAAAGACAATTTGGGGAACTTTCTTGTATTTAATAAAAATACACCCAAGACAGTTAACCAACTGGTTTGCCAGAGAGAAACAAGGAATAAGACATCTAGAAAAACCCTTCTGGGTTAGAACAAATATTACACAGGACATTAGAAACTTTTCTTACAAAGGAGCCATACTTGATTGGATTGGTATGTAGAGCAACCTATGCCCCCAGGAATCATTGCAAACAATAGAGTAATCAGTTAGCATTAGTGGAGTTTAATATCTGAGTTGATCAGGAAAAGAGACTACTAATATCAGTGTCATCCCAAGTGACTACAGACATACTCAAAACTGCACCTCCCTGAGAAACGACCTCAGAGGTTTACCACTGTTGGAGGTAAACAGACATCGCTAAAATAATCCAGCCACTCACTAAAACATAAAGAAGCAAATAACAATACAAGCTAAGCATTGGGGAAGGGCTACTACCCACAGTTGCTGCAATACATATGATCTAAATTGTCCAACTTCCAAAAGAAAGTGATGAGGCATGCAATGAAACAGAAAAATATGAGCCATATACCAGAAAAAGCAGAAAACATAAATTTGTCTGTGAGAATGACAAAACATCAGATTTAAGAGAAAAAGACTTCAAAATAGCCATTATAATTATGTTCAAATAACTAAGAGAAAGCATGATAAAAGGCATAAAGTATAATGATAACATTGCATCAAAGATAATACAGGTTGAGTATACCTAATCTGAAAATCTGAAATCTAAAATGCTTTAAAATCCAAAGTGTTTTGAACACTGACATGATGCTCAAAGGAATGCTTCACTGGGGCATTTTCAATTTTGAATTTTTTGATTAAGAATGCTGAATCAGTCAACAGATAATGCAAATATTCCAAAATCCACCCAACCCAAATCTGAAATCTGAAATACTTCTGCTCTTAAGCATTTCAGATAAGGGATATTCAACCTGTGTTAATAAATAGAAATAAATTATAAAAGAGAATGAAATGGAAATTCTGGAGTTGAAAAATATAATAACTGAAATTTTAAAATTCACTAGGTGATTCAACAGAGATTTAAACTGACAAAAGAGAAAATTGGTGAACTTGAGCATAAATTTATAGAGATTATACAAGCTGAAGAACAGAGATAAAAAGGAATAAAGAAAAATGATGGCAGACTGAGAAAAATATGGGACAATGTCACCTGTACCATGTAGGCATACCTGAAGGTGTAGAGAGAAAAAAAGGAAGAAAAAAATTCAAGAAAACACTGTCAGAAAGCTTCTCAAATTTATTGAGAAACACTAACTCACACATCTAGAATATTCAACTAGGACAAACACAAGAGATCAACAAACAGATACATCATAGTAAAAATGCTGAAAGTCAAAGGCAAGAAGAAAACCCTGAATGCAGAAGGAGAAAAGCTCATCACTTACGATGGAACCCCAATAATATTAACAGCTGACTTCTCAACAGAAACAGTGAAAGACAGAAAGCAGTGGGATGAAACAGTCAAAGTGCCGAAAACAAAAAATTCAACCAATAATTCTACATCCGGCAAAGCTACATTTCATTATCTTTCGAAAATGAGAGTGAAGTAAGACTTTCTAAAATAAATAAAAACTGGTCATTTGTTGCTACCAGATTAATCTTACAAGACATACTGAAGAAAGTCCTTCAGACAAAAAGTAAGTAACCCTAGACACTAATTTGAATTCACACACACACACAAACAAAGAACGTTGGTAAAGATAATTTTGTAATTTTATAAAACAGCATAAAAGCACATTTTATCATTTCTTGTATGTTATTTAAAATCAATTGTATAAAATAATATGTATATGTGCAATGTAATTTTGGGCTTATCACATATAAATATGCAACATATGGATAATATATTTGCCGATACTAGCACAACAGAGGTGACAGGGAGCAAAACTGTGTTAGGATAGATGGTAAATCAATAACTATAACAATGCATTGTTGGTTTGTAATATCAATAGAGGTAATGATATATATAAAAATAATACCAAAAAAGGGGAAAATGAAATAAAGCTCTAATGGAATCATTATTCCATTTAATGTTTCCATATATAACTGCAATTAAGAAAGTGAAAATCTGAAGGTGATTCTGATAAATTAAGATACATGTGGTAAACCCTAGAGGAACTATTTTAAAAAAAACCTCAAAACTTTAATGAAATAAATATTAGATAAACTAAAATGCTACATTAGAAAACATCCACTTAATGCAAAAACAAGCAGTGAAGGAAGAATAAAGGAATAAAAATTGCATGAGACATAGAAAACAAAAACTAAAATGGCACATAAAAATCCTACTATGTCAATAATAGAACTAAATGTGAATGGAGTAAACAATCAAAAGTTAGATTTTGTCACACAGTACTTTAAAAAATGATCCATCTATATGCTGTCTATAAGAGACACACTTTATATTCAGAGATAAAAATCCATTGAAAATAAAAGGATGAAAGAAGACATAAAAAGATATGGAAAAATATTAAAGAACAATGTCTCTAGCCAATGGGCTTAAGTATTACATATAAACAGCATACCCTTCTGCCTGGGCAAAAGAGACTTCTGCCATATGCGTATACTTTAAAGTATACGCCCCAAATATCACACCAAAAAAAGCCCAAGTTAATAAATATAGGGCACCTTAATCAGAACATGACCCTAAGCAGCCACCTTAGGACTAATGTAGTTGAGGCCCCAGGTAAATGCTTCTCTCCATTTTTTGCCTTATGTCTTCAAAGCAAAGGGTGACTGCATGGAAAGGCAATGAAGATCTGCATGCTGTGCTTCTGTCAACGTTAGAGATAGACATGGCTTCAGAACACAGAGAGTTTTAAGCAGTGGAAGCATTTAGTCAAAATAAGTAAGTACAAGACAAAAATTAATTTTCTCTCAGAAAACATAATGACAGCAAGTCCTTGGGTAACAAAACATCATTTTCCAGTGGTGCCAACCATTCATTTTCTTGTTTTCTGTGTGCTACCAGAAGTATTCATGGATTTTCACATTATTAGCAATATTTGCATTTTTGTTAGGGAATATTTACAATATTAACAATAAATACTACTTTTAAATATATAAGTATATAATGCACATAATTACCCATATATATGTATACATATATATCCACACAGACATGCAGGTGCAATTCGTTACATTTGGGATTTAGATGAACGTTGAATACATCAATTCCAAGAATTGCAAATAACCTACTTTTGGTTATTTGATGCACATACGACCAACTTTTTACTTAATATGGCATTGTGAATATTATCTTTTATCACATAATATCTAACTAATTCTCTATTTTTGGACCTTTATATTTTCACCCTTTGCTTCCATAATTAGGGATGAGATAAACAGTGTTACCATCAAAGTTCTACAAGTATTCATGGGATAATATTCTAGAAATTATTTGCTGAGTTAAAGGAAACATAAAATTTTAGTGTGGGCTGTATTACAGTAATCAGTAATTATTTTAGTTTAATAAGCTTAATAAACATTTCAGTAAATGTGTCATAATTAGAGCATCTCATGAATAGCATTCTATTGTCTTTTTAAATTTTTCAGATAAATAACCAAATTTAATACATCAAAGAAGCAATCATGAATGTCAGACAATCAAATTATATCTCAGAAAATGCCTACAACTTTAGTTGCTCTAAAAAAGTGGGCATTCTTAGTCAACCATGAATCTTTTTAAAAAGATGTCCCACACACTTGGACAAAATATATACACACATGTTACATGAGCATGCATTTGTGTTTATTTATTCATTTATTTGTGAATGATTATTATAATACATACTTTGGAAAGACATTTGAGTGAGTAGTTACACCATAAAAATATGCCATGGCTTGGAGGATTTCTCCCATTTGAAGCCTCTGTAGTTCAAAGAGAGAATCTATGATTTGGGTAAATATTCATTTACAAAAAGAAACCAACAAAAACAAAATTTTTTTCTTATGATTTCTTTTTAAAGTCAAGTTTACTTTAAGTGAAAACACAATAAATATTTGGTAATAGGGAGCAGACCCAAAGTTACAGAATAAAAACTATTTAATACCAGATAACAAAACAGAGTCGTCAAAGGAAAACTCATCTTAAACTATTTATAGCATAACCTTGCCCATCTTATAAAGGCTTTTATGTGATACTTGGTTATTCATGTGATTCCTACCAACATATGTGTTTATGTTATTTTGAAGGAAACTATTCAACCAATTATATTGTTCAATTCATCTATTAAGCTTTAATGTTCTTTTACACAAAAATGTTTTTGACAAATTGGCCAGTATTTGATCTACAGTTTATATTTTGCTACTTTTTTGCAGGGAAAATTAATATTTATCTTCATGTAACACTTTACTGAACAGAACTAATAAACACTCAACAGGAGTTTCAAACTGAAGTATATATGAGATTCAAATACATTAAACAGAATTCTTTCAAAAACTTGCCAATTCACAGGTCATGTGGTTTAAATTTTTACATATGAATTTGACACTCAGCACTCTAACTTAAGCATCATAAATATGCAGAAATAGTGCACAGTATACAAAATTGGGAAGTTGCTTTCTCTCTTATGTCCATGGCCCACTCTATTAATTACACTTTGTCTTCAAAAATCTCTCTGATCTCATGCCACTGACTGAGAAATCCCCTAGTTAAATGAAACTCTAGAAGGTCATTAAAGAAGACCTCCATTTGTCACCTCATACTGTAGCTTTTAGCCTCTTCTTGGACTGTTTAAAAAATATGCTGGTGGTGACTCTAGTTCAAGTTAGGCCTCACCTGAGGCCACAAATTGTGGAGAGTCAATAATCAGTAAAGCCCACTGAGTTATAATTTGACTCAGGGAGCCCTACAACCAGAACCCAAGAACTGAGCTGACACAGGCCTACTTGGGACAACTGTTGATATGGGCATGAGGCTGTGGGAGTGCAATAGGGAAGGAGTGTTCATTTTTATAAGAAAAGCTGGTGTGAGTATTCTGTTCCTAGATGACTCAGGATTTTATCTGAATCCTAAGAAATTTTTCTGCTATAGGACCTTGGTTTCCCAAAACATCTCTAGAAGACAAATGGTTGTTCCTAATTATTGTCCTGAAATTTAGGACTCCCTTCTAACCTGGCTCCACTGTGCCCATGGCTGCTTATACTTGTTCTTGGCCTTTTTTGAAGCTTTTTTCGTTTAACCCTAAATTAGTTTCAGACTTCACTAGAATTGGAAAAGTGAAATGACTCTAGATGCCCCTCAGTCCTGCTAATGATAGCTGAATAGAAATGTCACCACTTCAATGAAATGTCTCTGGCAAAGCATCTAGCAAGACTGTGTATATTGTTTTAATTAGGCCATACTATACAAAGTCTTTTTAAAAACACTGAATTAATAGGAAAAGTAATTTTTCAGGAAACGTAATTATCTTTTGATTAACTACATATTGTTGCATTTGAAGAAAAATGTCTAATAACTACATCTTTAGACATTTTTAATCTATATTTTCATAAGGCACAGTTTTTTTTCTTCTAACACCAAGGAAATCATACTGCAAAGAAGACAGATTTTAAAAAAAACAAATAGACATTCATTTTTAACTTGTTACAAACCAAAAGCATTTAAAGCATTATAAACTTGTTGATTAGAAATAAAAATGTTTTTACATCCCTCCTGACATGCTTTGATTTTTCTCCAAACATGTGTCCCTCCCATAGCTAAGAGAAGAAAGCATGTCCAAAGTTTAAATTGCTATTTATTTGTCTTAACTAGTATGTGTTCTCCAACCTCTCAGCAAAGATGACTGACTGAAACCAGAAGCTTAAGTATGACTTTGTCACTTGGGGTGACTCAACCAAGCTCTTTTGCCTTGCATTGGGTTTTCTGTGAAATATGGAAATCATTACACCAATGATTGTGAAGGCATGATGAGACCACATTGTCTCCTTGGAAGATCTGTGGGACAGGGATGGTTAGAAGAACCCTGAATTGTACTTCCTTTCATGTGACCATAGACGGATGAGCCACTCTTTAACAAAGTGCGCCTATGGATACTGGAATTATACAGCAATAGCTAACTAAAACACATACAAAGATATCTATTCTGGTCCCAGAATTAGTAAAGTATTTACATGGGAAGATAAAAAGACATAAACTAATGATATAGCACAGCCAACTCAAGACAATTGAGGAAATAATCTGGATACAGATTTGAGGAGAGATGCTCGGCAAAGTCTATCGGAACGATAAAATAATAAATAAAAAAATTTTCCATTAAAAGAAATCAATATGAGAGAGATAAAAAGGAGATGAAAGAAAGAAAACTCTTACTTTAATTCTACCAGAATATCAAACTTAGAAATGGAGTAAAGTGAAAGTTTTCAGGGTTTAATAAAAATGAGCAATGAAAAGTTGCCTAAGATATATATATATTATATATATATTATACATACATAAGTATATATAATATGTAATATATACATATAATACATATACAACATATGTATATATTATATATACATATACAACATATGTATATATTATATATACATATACAACATATGTATATATTATATATACATATACAACATATGTATATATTATATATGCATATATTATGTAGTATATATGTATATATTATATATGTATCTATATAATATATATGTAATAGGAAGCAGGAATGAATGCACAGAAGACCTTAGAGTTTAAGGCATTATTGGTATAATGAGACACATATATATGTATATTAATATATACGTATATATAATATATACATACATAATATATACATATATAATACACATATATAATGTATGTATATAATGTATGTATATATAGTATATATGTATACACATATATATAATACACATGTATATAATACACATGTATATAATATACGTATGTATAGTATATATGTATACATAGTATATACTATATATGTATATATGTATATATTATATATACGTCTATATTAATATATGTATATATTATATATACGTCTATATTAATATACGTATATATAATATTTCTCATTACACAAATAATGCCTTAAACTCTAAGGTCTTCTGTGCATTCATTCCTGCTTCCTATTACATATATAATATATACACATATATTATATATACCTACATAATATATACACATATATTATATATACCTACATAATATATACACATATATTATATATACCTACATAATATATACACATATATTATATATACCTACATAATATATACACATATATTATATATACCTACATAATATATACACATATATTATATATACCTACATAATATATACACATATATTATATATACCTACATAATATATACACATATATTATATATACCTACATAATATATACACATATATTATATATACCCACATAATATGTACACATATATTATATATACCCACATAATATATACACATATATTATATATACCCACATAATATATACACATATATTATATATACCTATATAATATATACACATATATATGCCCATATAATATATATACGTATTATATATGCCTGTATAATATATATACCTATATAATATATATGCACATATTACATATACCTATGTAATATATATACCTATATAATATAAATGCATATATTATATATACCTATATGATATATACCTATATATACCTATGTGATATATACCTATATATACCTATGATATATACCTATATATACCGATATGATATATATCATATATACCGATATGATATATATCATATATACCTATCATATATCATATATACCTATCATATATCATATATACCTATATGATATATGCGCATATATCATATATACCTATATGATATGTGTGCATATATCATATATCTACCTATACCTATACCTATATGATATATGCGCATATACCTGTATGATATATGCGCATATATCATATATACCTATATGATATATGCGCATATATCATATATACCTATATGATATATGCATATGTCATATATACCTATATGATATATGCATATGTCATATATACCTACATGTATAATAAATAATATAAACGTGTTTAATATATACATATATGTACATGTGTAATATATACATATATAATATATACATGTATAATCTATACATATAATACATACATGTATAATATATACATATAATACATGCATGTATAATATATACATATAATACATGCATGTATAATATATACATATAATACATGCATGTATAATATATACATATAATACATGCATGTATAGTATATACATATAATACATGCATGTATAGTATATACTTATAATATATACATGTATAATATAATATATACATGTATAGTATATACATATATTATATATACATATATTATACATATAATATACAGATAGTATATATAATATATGTATATATGTAGGTATATTATTATATACCTACATATATACATATATTATATTGTATTATTATTATATTATATTAATATATAGTAATAAGTATATATTAAAAGTGTATATATAATATATATAAATAAGCATATATAAGTAAAAGAACGGGAAAAAGATAGTTTTTGTAAACCTACCCAAAGGAAAAGAAGTTGTTATATGAAAAAGACACCTGCACACACATGTTTATAGCAGCAAAATACACAACTGCAAAAATATGGAACCATCCTAAATGTCCACAACCAATGAGTGGATAAAGAAAATATGGTATATATACATCATGAAATACTACTCAGCCATAAAAAGGAACAAATTTAATGGCATTCGTGGAAACCTGGACAGAGTTGGAGACCATTATTCTATGTGAAGTAACTCATGGATGGTAAACCAAGTATCTTAGGTTCTCACTTATATGTGGGAGCTAAGCTATGAAGATGCAAAGGCATAAGAATGATATAATGGACTTTAAGGACTTGAGGGGAAGGGTTCAGATGGGTGTAAGGGAAAAAAGACTGCATATTGGGTACAGTGTACACTGCTTGTGTGACAGGTGCACCAAAATATCAGAAATAACCACTAAAGAACTTAATCTTGTAACGAAAACCACCTGTTTCCCAAAAACTATTGAAATAATTTTTTTCTTAAAAAAGCAGAAAAAAGGGAGCTAGAGTGGCTATACTAAAAAACAAATTTGACACTAAGTGAAAAATTGTTAGAAGATAAAAGGACATTATATAGCAGTAAAAGAGTCAATTCATCAAGAAGTTACAATTATAAACATGTATGCACAAAACAACAGAGCCTCCATATGGGGACAAGAGTGATTCTATTTTAGATGCTAATCTGCCATGTGACTCCTGACTAACTTTGAATCTGGGAATTCCTCCAAGATGTCTCATTGATATATTACTCCCTATGTAGAAATACCTATTTATTGTAAGTTTCACCTTTCCTCCAAAACAGCCCTTGATGTTGGATGCATCATAGGTTGTGATGCCAGTAGTATTCTTTAAGTCACCTACACATTTCTTCCAGGGATATGTACTTACCCCCCACCCAAGATATATAAGCCCTGGGCCTAGAGGGTTGCACTGCCGAATTCTTCCTGGCTTGCAGCCACCCAAGACCACATTTCTGTCTGTAAGTCCTCTAATAAATCACCATTTACTGACAAACTGGATTTGTCTGACTCATTTTTTCATTTCTTGGCTCAATCTGCATTTGGAGATCATGTTGTATATACAGCCCTTTCACAGAACACCTCAAGTATATGAAGCAAACACTGACAAAATTGAAGGAGAAATAGATAGTTCTGCAGTAATAGAGACTTCAATACCCCACTTTAAATCATGGATAAAATATAAACAGAAAACGAATAAGAAAATAGAAGACTTGAACAACTAGACCTAACACACAGAATACTCCACCCAATACATATTCTAACAACAAAATATGTATTATTCATATTTGTACATGGTATTCTTTAGGACAAATTATAGGTTAGGTCACAAAACAAGTCTCAATAATGTTAAAAGAGTTGACATTATACAAAATATCTTTTTTTTTTCTTTTGAGATGAAGTCTTGCCCTGTCACGCAGGCTGTAGTGCAATGGCAAGATCTTGGCTCACGGCAACCTCCGCCTTCCAGGTTCAAGCGATTCTCCTGCCTCAGCCTCCTGAGTAGCTGAGATTACAGGTTCAAGCCACCACACCAGACTAATTTTTTTTTTTTTGTATCTTTAGTAGAGACAGGGTTTCACCATGTTGGACAGGTTGGTCTCGAAACCCTGACCTCGTGATCCGCCTGCCTCAGCCTCCCAAAGTACTGGGATTACAGGCATGAGCCACCACACCTGGCCTACAAAATGTCTTTTTTGACCATAATGGAATGAAGTTAAAATCAACAGCAGAAGGAAAACTGGGAAATTCGCAAACATGTGGATACTAAACAATACACTCTTAAACAACCAGTGAGTCAAAGAAGATATAACAAGGGCCATAAAAATACTTGAAGATGAATCAAAACAAAATATAACAAAACTAATAGAATATATCCCACACAGTATTTAAGAGGGAAATTTATTGCAGTAAATGCCCACATTAAAAAAGAAGAAAGATCTAAATCAGTACCTAAACTTACACCTTAAGAAACTAGAACAAGAAGAGAAAATTAAACTGAAAGATACTAGAAAGAAGGAAATAATCAGAGTAGAGTTGCAGTAAATGAAATAGGGAATAGGAAAACAATAGAAAGAATTAACGAAACCAAGTTGATTTTTTTAAAACATCGACGACATTGACAAAACTTTGGCTAGACTGGCAAAAAAGAAAAAAAGAACAAATAAAATCAGAAGTGAAAAGGGGGACATTGCCACTAATCTAACAGAAATAAACTGTAAGATAATACTGAGAACAGTTATACATCAACAAATTAGATAACCAGTCTGAAATGGACAAATTCTTAGAAACACAAATTACCAAAACTGATTCAAAAAAAAACAAAAAATCTGAACAGATTGATAAGTAAAGAGATTGACTCAGTAATTTAAAATAAACAAATAACAACAACAAAAATTTCCAACAATGAAAAGCCAAGGATCAGATGCCTTTACAGATGAATTTTACCGAACATTTATAAAACTCTCCCCAAAACTAGAAATTAGAGATCTAAAGAAATGGATTGCAAAAATTTTCTCCCATTCTGTAGGTTGCCTGTTCACTCTGATGGTAGTTTCTTTTGCTGTGCAGAAGCTCTTTAGTTAAATTAGATCCCATTTGTCTATTTTGGCTTTTGTTGCCATTGCTTTTGGTGTTTTAGTCATGAAGTCCTTGCCCATGCCTATGTCCTGAATGGTATTGCCTAGGTTTTCTTCTAGGGATTTTATGGTTTTAGGTCTAACATTTAAGTCTTTAATCCATCTTGAATTAATTTTTGTGTAAGGTGTAAGGAAGGGATCCAGTTTCAGTTTATCCAGAATATACAAAGAACTTAAACAAATTGACAAGAAAAAATCAAACAACCCCATCAAAAAGTGGGCAAAGGATATGAACAGACACTTCTCAAAAGAAGACATTTATGCAGCCAACAGACACATGAAAAAATGCTCATCATCACTGGTCATCAGAGAAATGCAAATCAAAACCACAATGAGATAACATCTCACACCAGTTAGAATGGCAATCATTAAAAAGTCAGGAAACAACAGGTGCTGGAGAGGATGTGGAGAATTAGGAACACTTTTACACTGTTCGGGGAGTGTAAACTAGTTCAACCATTGTGGAAAACAGAGTAGTGATTCCTCAAGGATCTAGAACTAGAAATACCATTTGACCCAGAGATCCCATTACTGGGTATGTACCCAAAGGATTATAAATCATGCTACTATAAATATACATGCACATGTATGTTTATTGCAGCACTATTCACAATAGCAAAGACTTGTAGCCAACCCAAATGTCTATCAATGATAAACTGGTTTAAGAAAATGTGGCACATGTACACCATGGAATACTATGCAGCCATAAAAAAGGATGAGTTCATGTCCTTTGTAGGGACATGGATGAAGCTGGAAACCATCATTCTGAGC
This sequence comes from Homo sapiens, assembly GCF_000001405.40. NCBI lineage: Eukaryota > Metazoa > Chordata > Mammalia > Primates > Hominidae > Homo > Homo sapiens. The sequence continues at coordinate 22,078,501 of NC_000020.11, read as the reverse complement.
AAACTATTGCAAGGACAGAAAACCAAACACCGCATGTTCTCACTCATAGATGAGAATTGAACAATGAGAACACTTGGACACAGGGTGGGGAACATTACACACCAGGACCTGTCATGGGGTGGGGGATATGGGGGAGGGATAGCATTAGCAGGAATACCTAATGTAAATGACGAGTCAGTGGGTGCAGCACAGCAGCATGACACATGTATACATATGTAACAGATGTGCACGTTGTGCACATGTACCCTAGGACTTAAAATATAATAGTAATAATAAAAAGAAATGGAAAGTACCCCATGTTCATGAATTAGAAACTTATTTTTTAAATAGATATTTTTAAACTTCATAAATTGATCTATATATCCAACACAAAAATTGATATCAAAATTTAAATGGTCTTTACTAGAGAAATGAAAAAGCTTACCTTTAAATATGTACGGAATTGTAAAGTGTCCTAAATAGTGAAAACAATCTTAGTAAAGGAGAACAAAGTTGGAAGACTCACACTTCCTAATGTCTAAAGTTATTGCAAAACAACAGAAATCAGAACAATGACACTAGCATGAGGATAGACATATAGACCAATGGAATAAAATAGAGAGTCCAAAGTAATCCATATGTCTATGGCCAATTCATTTTTGACAAGAGTTCCATGACTAATAAGTGGGGAAATAATAGTTTCTTCAACAAATAATGATGAAACAACTGGACAGCCACCTACAAAAAAGTAAAGTTGGATCCTTACCTCACACCAGGGAAAAATTCACTCAAAAATAGATCAAAAATCTAAATAGACAGAGAAAAACATAGGGGTAAATTTCCATGACTTTGATTTGAGAATAGATTCTTAGATAAAATGCTGAAAGCCAAAGCAACAAAAGTAAAATAAATAAATTAATTAAACTATATCAAAATTTAAAACTTTTTTGGGTCAAAGGAAATTAATAAGAAAGTGAAAATATAGCCTACAGAATGGGAGAAATATCTTCAAATTATATATCTGGTAAGGGTCTAGTATTTAGACTGTATAAAAACTTTTACATTTTGATAACCAAAATACAAACAATCCAATTTTAAAATGGACAAAGGATTGACAGACAAAGTAGATACACAAATGGGCAATAGGCACATGAGAAGATGTTCAACAGCATAAGTCACAAGAGAAATCAAAACTACGATGAGTTACTGCTTCACACTCACCAGAATGGCTATAATTCAAAAAAAAGAAAAGAAAAGAATGAATTTCAGCATGGATGTGGAGAAAATGGAAGCCTTGTGCATTGCTGGTGAGCATGTAAAATGGTTCAGCCATTCTGACAGTGACTTGGGCAGTTTCTCAAAGAGTTAAATGTAGAATTACCATATGATTCATCAATTCTACTTCTAGAAATGAAAACAAGTACTCAAACAAATACATGCACATGTACATTTATAACAGCACTGTTAACAATAGCCAAAAAGTGGAAACAGCCCAAATGTTCATCAGTATATGAATGGATAAACCACTTGTGCTATACACATACAATGGAATATTATCCAGTCAAAGTACTGATGCCTGATACAATGTGGATGAGTCTTGAAAATATTATGCTAAGTAAAAAAAGCCAGACACAACAGGTTATGTATTGTGTAGTTATATTTATGTGAAGTGGCCAGAATAGGTAAATCCAGGATACAGAACATAAAATTGGTGGTGCCAGAGGTGGGAGAAATAGGGAGCAATTTCTTAATGGGTACAGGTTTTCCTTTTAGGGTGAGGAAAATGTTTTAAAATTAGTAAGGGTGGTTGTTGCACAACATTATGAATGTACAAAATGCCACTAAATTGTTCACATTAAAATGGTTACTTTTAAATTATGTCCATGTCACCTCATTTTTTTAAAAAAAGAGTGTCCAAAGGGAAGCTAGTGCATACATGTCTGCAGACAGCTGAAATAAAGCTAGAGTATTAAGATGGGAAATTAATTTTGTTTCATTGTTTCCTGGTAATGATAGCAAAATTAGTGTGATCATGTTCTGCTGATTTTGTTTGTGTATATGTTTGCATACCTTCCATTGTCATGAAATGGTAACTGGATTGAGTCACTTACCCTTGGAAGAAGTCTCATTATTGTCACTAAGACATCAAAATCCCAGCATTTTTATTTTGGAAATTGACAAACTGATTCTAAAATTAATATGGAAGTGCAAGGGACCTAGAATAGCCAAAATAACTTTTTTTGGAAGGAAGAAAATAGTTGAAAGACCAAAACTCACTAATCTTAAGACTTATTATAAAGCTACTGTAATCAAGACAGGTGTGATTGGTACAAAACACAGACAAATAAATCAATGGGAAAAAATAGAGAATACAGAAATAGACCCACATTTATGTAAATAACTGATTTTCTACAAAGGTGCATAAGTAATTCCATGGGGGAAAGGGTAGTCTTTTCAACAACTAATGCTGGAACAATTAGATATTCATATACAAAAAATGAACTTCAATCCACACCTTGTACCATATACAAAAATTAACTCAAATGGATTGTAGAATGAAATGTAAAATCTAAGACTATAAAACTTGTAGAAGGAAACAGGACAAAATCTTTGTGGCCTTGAGTTAGGCAAAACCTTCTTTGCTATGACAGCAAAGTCATGGTCCATTAAGAACAAATTGGTAAACTGTATTTCCACAAATTAGAAACCTTTGTTTTTGGACCAACATTGTTTCATTCATAAAAGAATGAAAAGGCAAGTTACAGCCTGGAAAGGTATATTTGCAAAGCATAAGTCTAATAAAGGACTTACATTCTGAATACAGAGCCCCCAAAACTCAATAACTTTAAAAAATATTTTAATAGGCAAAACAGACACTTCACCAGAGAAGATATATGAATGATAAATAAGCACATGAAAAGATAATCAACATTGTTAGTCACTAGGGAAATGCAGATTAAAACCACAATGATATACCACTACACTCCTGTTTCAATGGCTCAGATTAAAATGACCGTCAGGTGTTGGCTAGGATTTGGAGGAACTAGGACTCTCATGCACTGCTGGCAGGAGGTGAAATGGTACAGCCACTTTGGAAAAAAATTGGCAGTTTAACAGTTAAATATACACCTCCTAGTTGATCCAATAAAAATGAAACTATCCATAGAAAGATTTGCACTTTATTTGGTAATAGCCTAAAACTGGAAACAAGCCAAAAGTCCATCAACATATAAATGAATAAACGAATGACAGTATACACAACAGAATATCACTCAGTAATCAAAAGGAATAAAACACTGATATAAGCAACAACATGGATGAATCTCAGAATAATGATGGTGAGTGGAAAAAAATCAAAAAAAGATTACATCCCATATGATTCTATTTATATAAAATTCTAGAAAATTATCATTAACCTACAGATCTATAGTGCCAGAAAACAGATCAGAGGTTTCCTCTTGTAGGATGGCAGGGGGCAGATTAGGAAGGGGCAGACGGAGGAATTATAGGTATCCAAGGAGATTTGGAAGGTGATAGTTGTGTTTATGATCTTGATTTTTGATGATGGTTTCATATGGCAAAGCACATCAAATTGTACATTTTAATAATTGTGGTTTATTGAATGTCAGTTATACCTCATTGAAGTTCTTGAAAGCATATCAAAAAGCAAAATGTCTAAATTCATTACTCAGCAAATATTTACTAAATTTCTGTTTATCTGTTTTTTGTTTTTTTTTTGTCTAACTCTTCTCTGTTTCCTACTCATATCTTGAGTGAAACAGATATAACACTTTTAATTCCACTTTTTGATAATTTAGTGATTGTATTAGTCAGTTCAGGCTGCTGTAACAAAATACCACAGGCCAAGTGGCTTAAACAACAGTTTATTGTTTCACAGTTCTAGAGGCTAGAATTCCAAGATCACAGTGCAAGCAGGGGTGGTTTCTGGTGAGATCTTGCTGGTCAGGTTGCAGAGGGCCGCCTTCTTGCTGTGTCCTCACATGGCCTTTCCTTTATGCACCTGCAGAGAAGAAAGAGAGATCTCTAGTGTCTCTTTCTCTACTTATAAGAACACCAGTCCAATCAGATTAGAGCCCTACACTTATGACTTCATTTAACTTTAATTACCTCTTTAAAGACTCTCTCTGTGAATGCAGTCATATGGGGGTTAGTGCTCCAATATATGAATTTGTTGGGGGGGGCATGATTTAGTTCACAAAAGTGATATTTAGTTTTATTTTTTAAATCTTTGTCCAAATATAATACACAGTAATAACTAAACATACACAGACCTCTAGAGAGGATTATGGACCCAGGTCAAGCTATTGTCAGGGTCCGTATTCTTGGTGAGTAGGACCATGTGTCTCAAAACCTTGCTAAAAATGCATATTTCTTAGCCTCAGCCCAGGCTACTAAATCAGAATCTCAAGGGATGGCATTTTTAAATAAGTATCACAGGAGATTATTGGGTACACTGAAGCTTGAGAGCAACTAGACTCCCTTTCCCTTTAACTGCGACTAATTGTTATTCCAGACCCTTTCTGTCTTTTACACCATGGGTTGGAAAACTTTTTTCTGTAAAGGGTCAGATTATTGTTTTAAACTTTCAGGGCCATACAGTCTCAACTGTGCCATAGTAGCAAAAAGCAACCATAGACAACAAATAAACGAAGAGCATGTCTCTGTTCAATCAAATTTTATTTACAAAACAGGCTGGTGGGGCTGTGGGCCATTTAACCAGAGGTATAGTTTGTGGACTCCTGGCCTAGACAGTCTATTAATGCTACCTACTCAAGAGACAACCATGTTGAGGGTGGTTTTACATTTTCTTCAGGTGAGAACAAGAGTTGATTCTCTGAGATTCAGAATTAGAATACAGATTCATGGCCAAATCATCAATAAATAATTTTGAATGCAGATTTCTGGGCTCTCCTCTCATCTACTGAGTCAGAATCTTAAGAAACTAGGGCTCTGGACGTCCTTAGGTTCGCCAGTGACCCAGATGCACAGACAGTGGTAGGGATTCTGGAAAAGGATGCAGCATGACCATACTTACTTTGCTCCAGGTAAGCTGGAGTGTTGCTGCTACAACCAGCGGCTTCTCCTCTGCATGGCAGACACTGCACCCATGGCCACTGTAGGGGGAATTTCTTTTTTAATGTTTGTTCAATGAAATCCAAGGAAATGGGAAAACTCACCTAAAGCTAGCCTGGACCTTAGCCTTTAGGGAAAATAGAGGCTGCGTGATCCTCCTTGGGAAACTTCAATGGCTCAGAAAACCAGACACAGTCCTGCTGAACTACACACAGGCCGTTCCCACCATTTCCATCCCATTTCCCCATCCTCTGCCCCATCTCTTGAGAACAGGATTCTGAGAACCAAATGGGGAACTGAAATAAGTGTGTGCTTTAGAGTCAGATAAATGAGGGTTAAAATCATAACTCTGCCATTTTTAAGCCAAGGGAACTCAATCAACGTAGAAAAGATTATTCTCCCTGAACTTCAGTTTCTCTGTTTTCAAAGTGATAAAATGGGAATAATAATAAATACCTCATAAAGTTGTTCTGAAGATTTAATGAAATAATGGAGCTGAAACTTGACCTATCACAGATGCTTGCTTGGTGTCAGCAGAGGCTGAGTGGGCATAAGCATTATTTTTAGTAAACGTTTGAATTTAGAATAATTTTAGATTTATAGAAAAGTTGCAAACATAGCACAGAATTCACCTATACCCTGCACCCAGTTTCGTCTATTGTTCACAGCTTATGTTAGTGTGGCACAAGTGACTCAATCAATGAACTAATATGGACACATCATTATTAACTAAAGTCCACACTTCATGAAGACTGCCTCAAGTGTCTTCACTCTGTCCTAGGATCCCACGCAGGGTCCCCCATCACATTTAGTCATCTTATATCCTGAGCCTCTGGGAGACCCTGGCCATTTGACACTCCTCTTGTTTTTCATAATCTGGACAGCCTTGAGGAGCACTGGCCAAGAATTTCGTAGAATAAATGTCCTTCAGTTTGAATTTGTTAGATGTTTTTCTCATGGCCAGACTAGGGTGATGGGTAGTATTTTTTATTCGTCTTCTCTCTTTAGTTTCCATCCAATGTCATTCAGATCCTCAGGCAATGGGCCATCCGACTCAGAATAACAAGGCCAGGAGAGAGAAGCCTGTCATTATTTATGGAATCAGGGCAGCCACAAGAAGGCATAAGTGCAATAGCACTACAATGAGCTTAGATTTGCAAACAAAAAATGTAGTTCTCACTTGTTACACATGTGCTTGATATAAAGTTAATTCGGGATTTTGTCCCAGGAATGGGTGCAAAGTAACAGCTCTTGCTAATTCCTTAACTGTAGGTAATAAATAGTAATAAAAAGTTCTCTTTGTTCATCACCACTGAGTTGCATAATTTGCAGGCAGTTTACATCTCTGTGTCATAAAATTTAAAAAACAAGCTACTCCTTCAAGGTCAGTTAGTGAGAACTTGAAAGATCTGAGTCAGGCCATCAATAAAATGTGGCAAAATGAGATCCAGGTGGACAATCTGTCGTGTTCAAAAGTCTGAAATGAAATATGATCACCAAATGATACAGAAAATTTCAGCAGCTAAAATTCAGCTAGATTACTTAGAAAAAGTTGCCTGCACTGGATAACATCTGTTATAGATGCCAGAGATGCAGTTGCTATTAAATTGTATAAAGTGTCTTTTAAGTAAAAACATCACATTTCTTTTCCACTATTATCAGGAACCAAGACAACATATTATTGCAAAATGTATGCTGTCCAGAGGGTGTGTATGACAGACTTTGATGAAGCTAAAGCCAAGATCAAGGAAAACTAAATAGGAAAGTTCATTATTGACTCCCTTCAAGCACGCACACAACTCCCATACATGGGAATGGCAACTACATGTGCATATCAAAAGCCGAGTACTTGCTCAAGCTCTTAAGACTGAAAAATATAGTTTCCTCATCTGTAAAGTGAGCAGGCAGCACTAAATGATCTCCAGGGTCTCTTCCAGATTGAAAGTCCTAATGTCCTGTAATTCTATTATCCCAGCCTTTGATATGGAATACTCAATGAGAAATAAACTCAAATCAGGCCTGACAGCCAAAATATAATGCAAAGAATCAGTCTTCCCACTCCTAATGCACTAACTGAATTAATGGTTTAGTAGTAATACATGGCTTGTCCTGACAAATTCCATTCTGTATCTGGTAGCAATACCAGCGGGGGAGGGGAGATCCTTGGAAAATACAGCAGCAAGTGTCCATAATGATAATGCCGGTTGAGCACAGTTTACTGTGGGCTAAGTTTAAAATCAGCCCAGATTGTTAAATAAAAATACACATCAGGAGATTTTTCCAGGAGATTAGTTGGCTTTTTCCACACTTGAATTTTGGGAACTTGGAAGTCAGCCCAAGATCTTACAACTTGGCAACAAGGGGGTGGGGTGGGTGTGGGGGACAGGTTTGGAGAGTGTAGAGAGAGAGGTTTGGATTTACTCTACTTTCCTCTTTCTAACACTTTTCTGATATCCAACACAGTTCCTCTTCCTTTAATAAATCAGTAATACCAAAATCAACAAACACGGGAAAGCTGACTAAACAGCAATTGGCTCTGGCCTGCTGTAGTTACTACAATGAAATGATGCCATTAACTGGCCCCAGCCCCATCCTGCTCAGCGCTGAGATTTCTAATCTTACACAGCTGTGCAGCTCCTGGGCCCCTGGAGTTCAGACAGTCTGACTCAGGCCTGAAAGATGCATCATCCTCGACTCTGCAGATCACCAAAGAGGGTCACTTAGTTTGCTTGCCCTTGCTACTCACAATGTAGCCAGGCACCAGCAGCATCAGCACCAGCTAGGAGCACCTGGCAGACTCTTGGGCCCCACCCCACGCAGAACTACCAAATCTCAATCTGAGTATTAACAACTCCGCAGGTGGTTCCTACGCACATTGAATTTTGGAAAGTGCTGGCCTAGACCTTCCCTTTGCTTTCCTCTTTGAGAGAGAGAACAATGTAGCAACTTTAGGTACTTCAAGGCTTCAGTTTTCTGAAAGGGGACCAGATTCTAAGCATCATAAGAAGTGGCATCCAGGCTGGGCATGGTGGCTCACGCCTGTAATCCCAGCGCTTTGGGAGGCCAAGACGGGCAGATCACCTGAGGTCCGCAGTTCAGCCTAGCCAACATGATGAAACCCCGTCTCTACTAAAATTAAAAAAATTAGCCAGGTGTGGTGGCATGCACCTGTAGTCCCAGCTACTTGGGACGCTGAGGCAAGAGAATCGCTTGAACCAAGGAGGCGGAGGTTGCAGTGAGCCGAGATCTCACCACTGCACTCCAGCCTGGGTGACAGAGCAAGACTCCATCTCAAAAAAAAAAAAAAAAAAAAAAGAAGCTTCATCCAAAAAGAGAGTTGGAACTTTTTATGGGATTCTGCTCTGTGTGGCAGGTTAATTGAGATGGTCCTTTGTTGTTTGTTTGTTACCCCTCCACATGCAGACACAGAATCAGCATTTGGGGGATGCGGGAGACCAGGGACGACTCCTTCCTCCTGGGAGAGCTGGGATTCCAGTCCTGGGAGTGATTCTGGGTCATCAGGCCGGAGAATCACACTCTCTGCTATCAGCATCCAACCTACTTGAGTCCTGACCCCACACTGCCAGGAGAGTCCAGCAAGCCCTGAGGGCCTGAGCACAGCCAGGCTGGACACTGGAGGCAGCCCCGGGAGATGGTATGTGGCCTGTTCATGGAGAAGCTGGTTCTACCTCCTGGCTACCTTATTTAGGTGTGGTTGCATTTAATCACCATTTTTTTTCATTGTTGTTTCTTGAACAGATGAACCCCCATACATTCACAATGCCCCTTCTAACATATTTTCACCATATTCTAAACCATTGCTACTTAAGAGTGCAATCCAAGGACCACAGGCCATTGGCATGCCTGTGAGCCCATCACCTCTGCAAGGCTCATGCCCCATCTAGTCCCACTGAGTCTGAATGTGAATTTCAAAAGATCCTGCATGATTTGTGTGCACATTAAAGTGAGAAACGTTGTTGTAAACAACTGCTGCATACCATGAAAAGACTGTTGGAAATGTGCTCAGAGAAGAGCCCTCCTCATCCTCTCCCTAACTGTACCATAACACAGAGCTGGTGCTGAAAAGACAACAGCACATGGTGTGTCTGTGTGATTGCTTGTTTCTCAAAATTTCCTTTTCTCTGAAGTTATTTAGAGGAGTATTTCTTGAAGTGGGCTTCTTTTTTACTTTATTTTGACCCACTAGTTCAGTACTGGTCCCAGTTCCCAAAGAGTTTGGTTTTTATTGGTGAGATGGGGTGGTGGGTCATCGAATTAACTGATGTCCATCTACAGCTAAGTACCTGAGTGGGTTCAGAGGCCTTCCTCTCACTGACTGCTTAACTTCTCTCCTCTACATTGTTGCTGTCCTTTTATGATGCTTTTCCTCGCTTCCTAGGCATGGTTCCTACATTACATCCATCCTCAACCCTCTTTCTTCCTGGCCTTACTCAGCTTAATTCCAGAACATGATTTATAAAATATTAGTCTAAATAACATACTAAACTTTATATGTAACTTGATAGTCTCTAGAAATATGCCCAAGTCAGGTTGTTTCTATGACATTTCTGGAGCCAAAAGCAAAATGCTAACCACAGGTAAAAAGGAAACTTCACTACTCCCATTAGTAATACCCAAACAGTGACATATTCAATTGCCTGCTAAATTCTGAAACCTGAAAAAATACAGCATTGATGTGACTTACCATTAGAAGCAATTAATAAGATTATAATGACTTACCAAGAGTTACCTTTTATGATTATGAATCTTTGTACGTTGATGTCAGGTTTTCAACAATGTGACTTATCTCTTGAGGACAGGAATCATAATTTAAAGCCATTCGCCTTCCTAGTGCTAAGCAGTGCCCAGGATCCCATAGAGTGATGGCTGTACTGGGAGTGATGGTGCCAGTGATCACCAGGATGGAGATTTTGCCATTTTCAAGATGGGTTCAACCCTTTCAGGATGTAGATTTTTTCTTGCAGTTATTCTGTTTTCCAGAAAGAATTAAGTTTAGAAACAACTATAAGAATAGGAAGTCTAGCAGAAAGGATCTTGGGACCTTCAAGAATGATTCCTCTGCTACAAAAAGGTTCTTCCCCTTTAGAAAGGAGAGCATGGGGCCAGGCACAATGGCTCACATCTGTAATCCCAGCACTTTGGGAGGCCGAGGCGAGAGGATCACTTGAGGTTGGGAGTTCGAGACCAGCCTGGCCAACATGGTGAAACCCTGTCTCCACTAAAAATACAAAAATTAGCCAGGCATGTTGGTGTGCACCTGTAATCCCCACTACTTGGGAGGCTGAGCCAGGGGAATCAATTGAACCTGGGAGGTGGAGGTTGCAGTGAGCTGAGATCATGCCTCTGCACTCTAGCCTGGGTGACAGAGCAAGACTCTGTCTCAAAAAGAGAAAAAGAAAGGAGAGCATTGGAGAACCTAAATTTTGGGTTTAATATAATTTCATCAACCATCATTTGAAAGAAGGCTCCAGGTTCTCCAAAATGTAGCCAGGCATCAGCAGCATCAGCACCATCTGGGAGCACATTAGAAAGGCAGACGATTAGAAAAACAGTTCTCCAACCTGCAGCAAATCCTGCTCTCTCCTCCCTTAAAATGTCATATTTCCCTATAGACATTAGTCATATATAATGTATCTATTTGGAAAATGAATTTATACCTAGAGCAAGCCTCAAAGTAAAGCCAGGAACAGAAGGGGTTGAGGATGGATGCAATGGAGAAACCATGCTTAGGAAGCAAGGAAAAGCATCATAAAAGGACAGCAACAGTGTAGAGGAGAGAAGTTAAGCAGTCCATGAGAGGAAGGGCTCTGAACCCACCCAGTTACTTAGCTACAGATAGACATCAGTTAATTCCATGATCAACCACCCCCATCTCACCAATAAAAACCAAACTCTTTGGGAACTGGGACTAGTACTGAACTAGTGGATCAAAATAAAGTCAATAGGTACCCATGCTTTCCCTTGCAGCTTCAATTCTAGCCACCAGTCATACTCAACAATCAAAGTTTCATGAACTCACCTCTTTGAGCCTTTGTGTCTGATGCTAAGTCTGAAAAGAACACCTTTTTCCTATCTGACCCAACCTCTACTCATGCTCGAGGCCACTACTTTCCACAGGGAGTTTTTGCTGATATTCACACATGCAAGGCTCTCTTGTGGTAGCCTGTGTTCACTCCTGTTGGAACTGATAAAATTATCTGTTTACTTGTCCTCTTCCTATCTCAACTGTTATCTCCTAAAACATAGAAATAATTTTGTTTGGTTAATTTGTGCCTCACATACTGCTAGGGTATGTTAGATGCCCAATACTTACGTATCTAATCAACTCATCAGTATTCTATGATACTCCTCATTGATCAGTATTCTTAAATACCACCAAGTTGTCAAAAAGTGGCTCTTACATGAAAAGAAATTATTTTCTAAATTACTGTTTCATATTTGTCTTTACATCCATCATTTATTCCTCCTCAAAAGAAAAGGGGAAAGAAGCCTTGTTATAGCCACAGTTTCCTGTTCTCACTCATAAAATAGTCATTTTATATTGCTGTTGGGATGCAGGTGGTTTGTGCAGGAACTTGGGGTGATAGAGGAAAGCCAGACTCAATGATTTTTTGGTCCTTTCCACTCCAGAAGATGTCTTCAGATATTCCTTTTTCTCCCTCTCTTTTCAAAATTAGGTGGGACCTCCTAAGTGACGCCAAAATCCATCTCTCCACTAAAGATGTTTATCTAGCTGCAGACAAACTTTCAAACCTTCTCTTGGCTCCTCGCCCAGAAGATCTGCCAGGGAAGCACAGAATGGAGAAGGAGGAGAGGTAGAGAAGCACACTTTGTGCTTAGGGACTCTCTTTTCCTTCCCCCAATCTTCCACTCTCCCACTACTGTGTTTTTCTAATACTGTCTACTCTTCATCATGGTTGAGAAGCTACTGAGCTGGTGTTTCCTAAATTCTAGAACTAGTGCCTGATTAATTAGCAAATAATTACAAAACAATATACAACCTCCAGATGAAAAGCTTAATGGCAGAGTATTATGTCAGGACCTTAGAATTAATAGCATATAATATTTACACTATTCTATTGCTGATCTCTGACCACTTCCACAATTTCTGCAGAAATTAGATATTGTCTTTTTTAGCTATAATTGTCTCAAAGGGAAAAAGAAAAGCTGACATGACAGTGCAGTCCTTCCAAATAGAACTTCATGATCAGTTCATTGACTTGGAGGCATCTTAAAGAAAATTTTAAGATCACCTAGGTCAAATCATCCATTTTATAAATAGGTAAAGTGAAGCCCACAGAGGCTTTGGGGATTGTCCAAAGGCCAAGACTTGAGTCTCACATTTAATCTAATCTAGCATTCATCTCAGCAGTAGTTCTCAAAGTGCGCTCCACAGAGCAGTAGCCTCAGTACAACCTCAGGACTTAGAAATGCAGACTTTCCACCCCATCCAGACCTATTGGATCAGGGCCGCTGGTGGTCAGGCCCAGCAATCTGTGTTTTCACTGGCTCTCCAGGGGGTTCAGATGCACCCTCGGTTTGAGAGCCACTGCAGATGCACCACATACCATCCAAAGGTTGCTCAAAAGTAATGGGCAAGTCTTCTGACTCGAAGATCATGTTGACCAGGGAGTGGGGTGGAGAGAAATATTCTGATAGCCAAATGAGAGGCGATCCAATAAGAATAAAGATGCAAAATAAGAAGGAAAAGTAGGCTCAGGACTCCAGTTGGAATGCCTATTAAAGTAGCAGCAAGATCCCTTCTTATCCTTGGCTATGAAATAGTGACTCTTCCCTTTCAGAAAATAAAACATGAGAGGAAGGAGGAAGATAAAGAACCACTTTCCTTTCCCAATCACTTTCTTAGCTCCAGAAAGTTTGCCTCTTAAGGAATTTAATCAGGAAATAAGATCTCAGTAGGAAGTGGAGTAAGTTCTTTCTTCTACAAATCACCTGACAGTTTCCAAAGTCATTAATCAGCGTTTTCAATTCCACTCCTCCCATGTGTGGGGCTCAATCTCTCCTTCCTTTACACAGTGGAGAGCATGGCTTTCTTCCTGCAGTCCAGTGTCACCAGGCTTATGTCTTCATAGCTCATTTCCGAGGAGATGGGGGAATCTTGCCTCATAGCTTTTGGCTTTCAAAGTGCATGAGAAAACCCTTGTGGGTCCAGCTTGGTCATTCTGCTACAGCGTGGACTATGTTCCACGGACAAACAGAAGAGACACCATGATTAACCAGGTCTGCGTTACAGGACTATGCTCTAAGCAAGGAAAAGGTCACTGAAATTAGGGATCCCCACCAGTGAACCATGACAAAAATGAGTGGAAGATTGGTGTTCCCAGTGGAAATAGTGGAAAGATGGCTGCTATGTCCCTTCTCCCAGCATTGGCCTTATGGAGCCTCACAGTGATGATTCGTCTGATCAACTATGGATGATGATAAACTAACTTTTGTTATTAAATATTTTGCCATCGCAGGACCCATTTATGTGGTTAACAGATTGGAGAAGGTGTAACACTGTGAGATTTGAGGGGGATGCAGTTCTTGGTGAAATTAAAACAGCAGATTATGGTAACTCAAAGTCCAAACACAGACATGACTCATGCTAATTCAGAACAGAGATTCAGGAACCAAAGGCCGCATTATCCAATCTTGCCTGTATCTCATTCTATTGGGCTAAACCTTGAGATGACAGTAGAAAGAGTATTATCCTTTCCATCTTACCAAGGAGAAAGCTAACACCCAGAGAACTTTACTAACTCTATTAATAGTAACAGAGCTGCCCCAGATCCTAGTTCAATGCCCTTACAATGATTTCAGATGGCTTTTACAAAAGAAAAGAGAAAGATAATCAGGCCATCAAGGTAAGACCATCCTGGACACTCATAAACATTCTGATGACCACAGAAATAAGCAGAAAGGTGGTCAAATATATGAATATTGTCATTTATATGAGAGGAAACTGGAGGGGAACATGTGTCATATACTATGCTTTCTTCCTCCAAGTGAATTTTCTAATTAGAGTTCAAGCGTGGTTCAATTGGGGGTGGAGGGACTAAAATATGGAACTTTTATGGATCTGCTCCTGTGTCTTATTTTATATCAAATTCTTGACCATTCTCATGAGTTTAGATCTGATTTATGATGACTTAGGAAATTGCATATAGATCCATCACTGCTGAAATAATGTGACCATCTGAAAATGAAGGTGGGGAAAGACCCTGAATCCACTCCAGGAGGTCATTTAAAATCTGAGGGGGAAAAATAGATAAAACATAGAGGAGACCAGCAGCAAAATAAAACCCGGCAATGTGGTTCCTGATTGAGAAGCTAGGGAGTGGAGAAGCAGCAAGCTGTGCACAGTTGGAAAATGCAGGGAGTGCTCATTTCAGTGGCCAGGTTTTGAACATGTCAGTTTAATTATGATGCATCATAGTTGACAGCAATGCATATGGAACCAATTACAGCACATGTTAAAATCAATTATTGCATATTTCAGCTATCCTAAACACTGGAAAAAGCATTCTGTGCATTGCTGCAGATTTCAACTCCACTAATCATTTTTACTATCATGGTTCAACAAGAAAAGGAAAATATATATATATATATATATATGTATGTGTATGTATAAAAAATATATATATGTATGTGTATGTATAAAAATATACATATATATCTATACTGAGAAAAACACGTTTCATAACCAACATCAAATGCAAAGCACAGAAACAGTAGCAATAGAAAAGTTTCAAACGTTTGTTCTTAGAGAAGTCTAATCTTCCATCATGCCTTTTTGAAGAGAAATAATGAAAAATAAAATTCCTTGCTATCTCCCAAACACTGTTTTGATCAATTTAATCCACTTGGGCCTCTTTACCAGCAGTGAGGTCCATTCTCAGCTGCTGTCTACTGGCTATTTTGGTCTAAAATGTTTGCCTTAACTGTTTACCCTGTTTCTGTGGCCTTTTCTCCCCCTTCAGATTTCTAACT
Organism: Homo sapiens; assembly: GCF_000001405.40. NCBI lineage: Eukaryota > Metazoa > Chordata > Mammalia > Primates > Hominidae > Homo > Homo sapiens. Next base: position 22,063,414 of record NC_000020.11, on the reverse strand, counting down.
CAAAAACTATCCTTCAAAGTCCACAGCTTATTCATTTTCTGTTTACTTTTATATGCACCAGCAAATAATTGGGTTATTGAAAAATGAAGGTGAGGAGGAGGAGGAGAAGGAAGGTGAAAAAAGTGAAGGTGGATGGCATTTGCCATTCCTCGGAGATTTGCACATATCCTGGTTGTATTAAATCAGCAGCCTGTATGGTGTGGTGAGCTCCAAAATACGTTTCCTGTGAAGAAGGCTTATATTCTGCAAATTTCTACTTCCTGTTCACTGTGCATAACAAAAGTCGCCATAGCAAAAGTGAGTTGCAGGAAACCCACTGTGTCTGAACTGCACTGAAGGCTTGGGGACACACACTGGTCTCCCATGGTGATAATTTATCTACACAAATCCTCCTGTCCTGGGATGAGGCAGGAGCTCCAAGGTGACCAAGCATTCCAAAAAAAAGCCACACGCCTCACAAAACTTGGCTCCAGGGAGCAGGTGGGTGTGTATCCCGGGAAAGGGATCAGTGGTGTCTGAGTCAAGAAGAGCCCAGTGGTCCAAGCAAGAGCAAAGAAAAACAGCCCATGCGGTTTAGTCAAGAGAGAGCCGGGCAGGATGTCGGGAATGCTGACTTCTCTGCTCAGCAGCTTGCCCAGCTGGGGCAAGGCACTCAATGCCTCGTTGTCCTCCGGACTGTCACCTGGCAATGAGGGAAGTATATCAAAGAGAGAACGAGGCCTCTGAATTGCTTCAGGGCCCATAAAAGGAGGACAGCTCCATTTTGAAGTTTTTGAGGATCAGGGTGGGAACAACTTATGCTTGTTTGTTCTGTGACTAAACGATGGACCCCAACTTGTGCCAGCTGCATTTCATTCATTTGTTCCTTCCTTCCTACCTACCTTCCTTCCTTCCTTCATTCACTTAAGAAGTACTTATTTTGAACTAGTCCTAGAGATACCCATTCTCCTCTAGTGGAGCTGATAGATTACCAGGGAAGACAGCGGCATCAATAACCACATGGACATTAAGGGAAGTAAAACAAGACCCAGGCCCCTGGGTTGTGTTCTGGATAAAGGGAGAATCTGCACTATACTGTACACATGCCTGTGATCTGCCACAAAGGGAGTATGGTGGGAAAGTGGAGGAGAAAGAATCCCACATTGCCCCTTCCCAAGAATTTGATGGACTCTTAAGTCTGCATTGTGATTCAAATGATTTAAAGGGTATCTTGTGTTCCATCCAATAAGTGGGGACCTGGGCTGTGTGAGCTGAGTAGGAAAATCTGCTGGTGGCCATTTGCGAGTTGGAGGACAAAGCTCAGACATAGTTTGGGACGAAGGAGTTTCATGGGTCAGGGTCCCAGAAGGATATGGAATTCACCCATATGGTTCAAATGTAGAAATGCTGTCCAAGGGGTGGCAAGACAGAATGTAGGCAGAGTAAACCAACAAGGGTTGGGAGGCCCCCAAAGACTAACAGCAGTTTGGAGCAGTTTGGAGCTATTACTGCCCTAGGAGATACTAGGAGCTAAGGAAGAGGGCTGCAGGGGAAGTGCCCACCAGAAGGGAAGGGTACAACTGCTGCTGGAATTGTGACCCCAAGGCAGGGAGGGAGTGGAGGAAGAAATGCCCCATCTCTCTCTTCTGTTTGCCTACCTTCTTCAACAGAGCCCAGATGTGGCATTCCTCAGCACAGATCAGTTCCTCAGCAAAGAAAAAAGTATGTTTATATGGCTGGAAGTGACCAGAACAAGGACTCCAGCAACCCCAGAACATGCCCAGTTGCCCAGGGTTCAGGGACCATTATCTCAATGTATCTGTAACCAGATCTGACATTCAAATTGGGACACTCTAGAACATGATTCACCCCAGCAAAGGTGTGCAAATAGAGTGCGAGACAGGAGCCAGCTCTAGATGAAGAGACCTATGAGCAATGGTCTAGAGCATCATGCCCCCAGCATGCTTTGGGCAAGCTTATGTGGTTAGGGAGGGAGGCTTGGGAGAGAACCTCAGAAATGTTGAGAAAAGTGCTAGAAGGCTTTACTAAAGCATTTGCACTTGATTCTAAAGCAATGGAAACAAGCTTTTAAGATGAGCCCACTCACTTCACCTCTCTGTTCAGAAACACACATGTGCTTTTGACCCCAATGGGTTCAGTAACAAGCTTGTGAGTAGACGCGAGTGGCTTCTACCAGTTGAAGCTCATCAGAAAAGCAATCAGTAGTTTCATGTAGTAGTTAAGAGCATGGGTTCTAGCCTTGGGTATGCCACTTACCAGCTGTGTGACCTTGGGCAAGTTACAGATAGTGCCTCAGTTTCCTCATCTGTAAAATGGTGATAAAAATGGCACTGACTTCATTGGATTGCCTTGAGGAGTAAATGAGCTCATATTTGAAAAGATCTGAGAACAATAATTAGTATCCATCTTAATAGCAGCCACATATAATGCATAATAGTTACATATTCAAAAGAGATATTATTGTAACACTTACCAGCTGACCAAGAACCCTGAAAAGATACCCCTGAAGAGCACCCATAAAGAGATTTGAGCTATAAATAAGAATCAAGAAAACATTAGGCTGCCAGCTCATCAAAATTGTCCCAGCCCAGACCACAGAGCAGAACAAAGACATCTGAGAGTTTTTGCATATACTCCCTTATGACAGAGAGAACGGCCACATACAGTCTAATGCTGAATGTGCACACGTTGTGAATATTTCCAGACCTACAAAACTTCCAGGTGGCATGTCACAGTATTCTAGAGGCAAGCTGTCTCTAGAATGTCACAACACAGAACTTTCCTGAAGGCATCTCAGAGCCAGAGGAGTAAACAGCAGAGACTAGCTCCCAGGTCATCTGCCTGTAACCCTCACTGCTGCTAAAACATTCCAAGAAATTACTCTTACCATCCCATCTGATTCACTTGGTACAAGCAGCAAGTGCAAATACCCATGTGTGGTCTGAACCACATGACCCTTCAAATAAAAAATATAAAATATGTCATAGTATTTTCACAATCCTCTGCAAAAAAAATGCAAATTTTTTTTCTCTTTTTCATTTTTCTGTTGACATTCATAGCTCTACAGTTGACATTTGGTCTTCTAAAATGTCTTATATAGATGTATCAGAGGCTTAGGCAACTGAAAAAGTGGAGGCATAAGGAGGTGTTTTGTAGTTTATCAAACTGTGAGTACTGATACCTCATTAATTTTTAATGCTTCCTTCGGCCAAGGTGAGGCAGCGTTTTCCTCCGGCAATCTTAATGATGCAAGCCCTGCCACTCACACAGGTGTTAATGGCAAAGTAATTTTGAGGTTTCTGGATGAGACAAACATTCCACATTTGTAGAACAAACATTCAGGAGGGATCCAATGTCAATGTTTCCTACGGATTTTTATTTAATAGCTCTGCTGCCTAGCCTGCTGGGATGCTCTCAAGAAGGGACACTGTTGTCCAGTCAGTCCTTGCTGAATCACCCATGCCCACTACAGCTCAGACATGCCCACATTGTCCTCACTCCTCACCACACCCTGGAGAGGGCATCTTTCCTCCACATGCTGTTCAAAAATTGACACAGCAGAAGCGGAGCCACAAGACACCTGGACCAGCCCAGAAAGTCTCTGCAGCATTATTAAGGCAAGGGTGCTCCGAACAGTTGTTCTTAAAATGTAATTCTGCAGTTCACCCAGGAACTTGTTAGAAATGCAAATTCTCAGTCTCCACACCAGACCTTCTGAACCAGAAACCCTGGCGATGGAACCCCACTATCTGTGCATCAACAAGCTCCCCCCAACACGCCGCAACAAGTGATCTGATGCCTACTGAGACAACCAATCAAAAAGTACACAAATAAAAATGTGGTTTTGTGTAAGTAAGGTTAGTACATTATCTGCATGGTGAAACCCTACAAAACATAGGTCACATCTGTTGCTCAATCTAGAGAGAAGAGACCTAGGGTCCAAATGTCAGTGGAAGCTTCAGGACATTGAGGAACTGCCCTTGCCGTTATTTGGAAAGAGAGAAAAAGACTACCCCTGCTCCCTCACCCAGCAAAAACAAAATGCCCTAAAGGGTATAATTTAACAGAGCCATTTAATGATCAGAAAGGGGCTTCCTTTGTCGGTCAGAAGGAAGGAGGAAAAAGGAGGCACATTCTTCAGCGAGGGAGAGAAAGCCCCTTTGGCAATCAGGTGAAAGCCCAGTCAGAGCATGGTTTTGGAGCCTCTGCACAGCAGGTCTGGGACTACAGTCTTTGGGATGATGTGACACTCCCTCAGCAACCTGGCAGAGCACAAGGACAAGAAGGGTGGTGATAGATGATACTGGATCAATTACTTGGATTCCACCAGTTAAGTAGGAGGAACTTAAATGAGAACTAGAACTCCAGCCACCATGCTATGCAGGAAAAGGAATAGAAAAACAGCTTATGATTTTTGCTTCCTGGCTGGGAAGCTTCCTGGCTGTGTCTGCTATGCAAGCAATAAAGTGGTTTGACCTGCCTGTTTTGACACCATGTACACAAAGCTTAGTCTGTATATGGTCTTGAGGATTTTAGAACACTTGGCTTGGAATTTTATAGCCTCATGTTCTATCACAATTCCAAAAAGATATCTGCATGAAAACAAGAGTTTTGGAATCTATTTAACAGAGCTACAGTCCTGATATATAGAAGAAATAATATTCAGGTGGCATCCTCTGTCTATCCGTGGTGGCTCAATACCTGCCTTCAGCCTTCTAGGGACTTTTCCTTCCACTTCCCACATAAACTCTTCCTTCAGCCAGGCCAGCTGCCCTCACTGTCACAGCGTCCAGTGTTCAACACTTCCTATCTCTATGCCTTGGCCTATCATGCCCTCTAGGCTGAATGCTGCCGCAACTCCCTCTCTGGTTACTTGCTCCCAGGACTCTCTTACTCCTCTGCATCTTCACTGTTCAGTTTCCCTCTCTCTGACTTTTCCCTTGTTTTTATGTGTTCATAATGCTCTGCCCTGTGCTGTGCACTTGGACTGGCACAGGAAGTAACCCTCATGGAATCCGTGCAGGCTACCAGCTATACAGGTTTGGCCCCAAAACCAGTCAAATTTGTACATAACCGGTTATTTACATTTCAATTCCCGAATTTTACCAAGGCAAATTGCTGAAATAAAAGTAATATCTGTTTACAATGACTTTAAAAAGGATTTTTTTTCCTTCAAGTCTTTGCCAGATTAGAAACACACAACCTATGTTTCAGAAAACTGAGGAACTACAGGTGTGGAAAGAGCCCAGCAGTGCTTGCCACTTTCTTAGACTGAGAAGTAAGGTGGGCTCTTCCTGCAGAGGGTAGAGAAACAGGGTGAAGAAAAGGAAGGGCAACAAGATTGAGTCCACCCATTCTATCCATCTATCCCTCCACCCTTCTATCCATCCGTATTAGTTCATTTTCACACTGCTGATAAAGACATGACCAAAACTGGGAACAAAAAGAGCTTTAACTGGACTTACAGTTCCACAGGGCTGGGGAGGCCTCAGAATCATAGCAGGAGGCAAAAGGCACTTCTTACGTGGCAGCGGCAAGGAAAAATGAGGAAGAAACAAAAGTGGAAACCCCTGATAAATCCATAAGATCTCATGAGACGTATTCACTATCACAAGAATAGCAAGGAAAAGACTGGCCCCATGATTCAATTACCTCCCCCTGGGTCCATCCCACAACATGTGGGAATTCCAGGAGAAACAATTCAAGTTGAGATTTGTATGAGGACACAGCCAAACCATATCACCATCCATCTGTCCATTCATCCACCTATCTAATCATACATTCATCTATCCATCCATCCATCCATCCATCCATCTATCCATCCATTCATCCACCATTTATTCATCTGTCATCCATCTACCTATCCATCCACTTACCCATTCATCCATTCATTCATCTATCCATCCACCTTTCCCTTCATTCATCAATCTATCTATAGATCCATCCATCCATATATTTATCTATGTCTATCTACATATTATGTTATAAAATTATATTATTATATACTGTAAAATTATAGTAATATAATATACTATTATTAGGATGTAGATTCAATGGTTATAACAAAAAAAAACCCTACCAATGGTGACTTAAACAAGATAAGATTTCTTTCTTGCTTGCTTAAATACACAGGCTTAGGCAATTCTGAACTGATGTGGTGGCTCAACAGCATCAATGACTCAACTTCATTAGTTCTCGCTTTGCTGTCCTCAATGATTAGATTGCACCTCCTGGTCTCATGTGGCTGCTTCAGCACCCACTGCCATGTGCAGAGCACAAGGGACAGAAGGAAAGATATGAGCATGACTGAGAGGTGATATCCACCATCGCCATTCACATACCTCTGACTATAAGTTTAGCATGTGACCACCACCACTTTAAAGGTTCCTTTGGACAAGGGACCACACTCAGTATACACTCAGATAAACTATTACTAAAGGAAGAAGGATGAAAGGGATATTGGACACCTGTATCTCTACTATACTGGCTATCCTGACTTAATAATGTGGAAATTCCTAAATTATAAAAGATATTTATATATATACAAAATTATTTTCCACAGAAAGCACTAACGTGTATGGGCTGTTTGCCATCGTGTGCCATCTGTCACTCCAGCTTCCCATTGCCATCGTTATCTTGAGTGGGCCTTACTACAGCACTCCATTTCTGGGTGGAGATTAAGTTCATAGACTGTCAAACTTTCCTTTATGTTTTTAAACTTATTTTATAGAGTGGGATTTATTACAAATGTCATGCAATTTTGTTATAAAATAATTCAAAAATGCAAATAAGCAAACAGAAGGAGAGGAAAGAGAGAGAGCAAAAAAAGAAGGGAAAGAAAGAAAAACATTTTGTGGTTCTATCCCACAGAGACCATGACTTGTAATTATTTGGTGTACATCACTTTAGTTATTATTTTTCTACCAAAATAAAATTACAAAGTATATATGACCTTGGAACTTAGTCAACCTTAACACATACACTTAACAGTACAGTATAGATTTGGTTCTATTTGAATACAACATTTCTCCAAGAAATTTGCTAATATCTATTACAATATACCATTGTAAAGATGTTTTTAAATTAATCTAACTATTGTTGAAGATGAAAGTTTTACCACTGAAAACAACAAACAATAAGCTCTGCGGAAATACAGAGCAAAAGCAATGAAAAAACTATGTTATCAGCATTTATGCTTTGAAATCTTAGATTCTTTTGGCAGTCTGTAAGCAAAAAGAGGATAAGAGAAGTGGAATAAGTGTTTTATCAGCAAGATCATATTTGCAAAACTATTTTATGAGCACAGGGTAAATGGAGAGCTTCATTCCTTTCAAGAGAAAGAATTCTAGAATACATTCCATTACCAATATACATCCCTATGTGAAGATGATCAAAAATATGTGCATTGAAAAAAAGAAAAGGAGGAAAAAAGATTGTAAGATGTCCCAAACAGAACAGATTGCTCTATTGTAGCTGATGTTTTCCTCTTTCCCTATAATCAAGCATCAAAGGCCCTAACAGACAATGGCTAAGTTGTCCCAGATGGCGGCACACACATATGGGAAAAGAAGACCAGTGCATGACTGTGCTGATGGGGTTAGGATGCATTTCCTAAATGTCCATCCAGGAGGACAAGGCAGACCTGGCCAGACCAAGGCTACAGACACATCGAAAGAATTGGAAACCTGACAGTGCACCAACCCAGCAAGCCTATTTGGGTGCCAGTCATACAAGCAGCATGCATAGGTTGCCTCTCGTCTGTAACAGCATCTCGTACTCATTAGCCCACTGGAGCCTCGTGCTTCCAGGGCAAATGTGAAATAAATTAAACCGACAGGGTCCTGCTTTGCAAGAATTTATGTTGTCTTTTTTTTTTTCATGGCCATATTGGGCCCCGAAAAGGGCCTCCTGCTCCAACCCTAGCCCCAGCTTGCATCCTGGCCAGGTAATCTAACATTTATGAAATGCCTCATTCTCCACATTTAGCTGGAGAGACAAATCCTTGAAGACATTAGGGATATGTTTTGCTTAAAAGCAAATTCTAATATATAAGATATAAGCATGGGGTAACTTTTATTCTACAAAATAATTCTGAACTTTATAGAAGAATTTCTCAGACAATTTTGTCTCATGTGAGCTTTTTAAGTAAGAGACAATTTACAAAATCATTCATACTCAACTTTTTTTCTGAGAATTCATCTATTGTGTAAAGTTAAGTACAACCACATTGTTAGAGTCATCATAATTAGATTGGTTAGTTCATACAATAAAAGCCACTAGTAACATTGTGTCTTATGGTTGACAAAGCACTTTCATAACTATGATCTTTCATAACTATGACCTTTCATAACTACGACCCTACAACAACCTCCAGTGAGGTAGTAATTACTATTCTCTCTGACACACTAATGAAGAAAACTGAAGCTCAGAGAGGTTGAGTAACTTTTTAAGAATACACAGCTCGTGGATGATAGAAATGGGGCTGGAATCCATTTCTTCTCACTTAACCATACTTTCCTCTCATTTCAACTCTTGTGGTATAGAACCAGGATAACCGTATGTCCCAATTTTCCTGGTATCACCCGTTTAAGACTTTTTCCCAGAATAAATTTATTAAGAATGTCTTCTTTTATTCTCGAAATTGACCCTGTTTGTATGATAAATGACAGAACAGTGTTTTATGTTCCATATTTTTCAGGCTGTAAGATTTCTTGTGATGCCACATAGGGATGGGGAACAGGGCAAGAGGTGTAAAGACCAAGTAGGCTAAAGAATCCCTAATTGCATTTCAACTGCAGTACTCATACCATTATCTGTTTTTATGTCTTTGTTCTGTTTTTAAACAAAACGGAAAACGGATACTACTCTTTTAAAAGGTTTAAAGCCTTTTATCTATAAAAATAGTTGCAGAAGTAAGACTATGGAATACACATCATTAGTAAAATCTAACCACTACACGTGGAAAATAATGGATTCTAATACCAACACTGAGAGACTTATACATTCAACAAAACCTAACAAAGCATAGGCTATCATATCATTTAAGACTGGTGGTTGCTATTAACTGAAAATCCAATTCACTGATTTAATTAAAAAGTAAAGAGAAAAAATAATGACAGTATTGACTCACATAACTAAAAAGTCTGGGACTAGATCCAGATGCTCCAAGCTGTCATTAGAAGTTGGTTTCTCCATCTTTAACGTCTGCCTTACACTCTAATGGATCCATTCTCAAGATTTCTACTGCTCCCTGGGAGTGCAGGGTTTATATAGTGCCAGTAATCTCAGCAAAATGCTTTGTATCTGCCTGATGCGCCTTACTCTCTCCATTCAAAGCAATCAGGACAGCCAAGTGAAAGCAATGCTCAGATTGGTCCACAGGAATTGCCAATCACATTCTGTACCTAGAGGTGGGATCTGCCCAAAGTATGTGTCAGGAGAGTAGAGGAAGACAGATTACCCCAAGAATGAAAGAGGGGAAATCATTACAAACCATGTAGATACTAAAAGGGGGAAAATGTATGCTATACTATACTATCACATACTACAGATAACTCCAGGCTGGTAAACTAGATAACTTAGATAAAACAGGGTGATGCTGCATTTTGGAGTTGAAGATTCCATCCTTTCTTTTGCACCCATATCCTAGATTCTTGGGGTAATCTGTCTTCCTCTGCTCTCCTTATAAGTGAGAACACGTGGTAGTATTTGGCTTTCTGTTTCTGAGTTATTTGATTTAAGATAATGGTCTCTAGTTCCACCCATGTTGCTGCAAAAGACATGATTTCACTCTTTTTTTATGGCTGAGTAGCATTCCATGGAATATAGTTATATACTACCACATGTTCTCACTTATAAATAGGGCCTTAAAAAGGTGTACACATGGACATAGAGTGTGGAATAATAAAGGCTGAATACTTGGAAGGGAGGAAGAGTAGGAAGAGGGTGAGGGATGAGAAATTACTTAAGGTGTACAAATGACATTGTTTGGGTGGTGGTTACATTAAAAGCTCAGGTTTTACCACTATGCAAAGTATCCATGTAACAAAACTGTGCTTGTACTCCCTAAATTTACACAAATAGAAAAAAGGAAAAAAGAACTCAAAAGGAGAAAAATAGTCTACTCTATTTATGTGGCTATTTCTGTTGATCTTCTTTTATTTTTGAAGTTCCAAGTTCCATTTCTTATCATTTCCCTTCTGTCTGAAGAATTTTTTTAAGCAATTCTTTTAGCACAGGTCTGATGGCAATAAACTCTCTTAGTTTTCCCTCATTTGACTATATCTTTGTTAATCCTTCATTCCTGAAGGAATTTTTTGTTGAATATAAAATCCTGGTTTGATAAGACTTTTCTTTCAGCATTTGAAAACTTGTGTCACTTCCTTCTGGTCTTCATGGTTTCTCAAATAACCCAGTACTTAATCATTTTCCCCTGGATGTTTTCCAGGTTTTTCTTTGTCTTTTATATTTAGAACTTTAATTACAATGTATCTAGGCATTGATTTATTTGGGTTTATTATGCGTTGGGTTTGCTTAGCTTCTTCAATCTTTACATTTTTCTCTTTACCAATGCGAAAAGTTTTCACTCATTGTTTCTTCAAATACTTTTCTACACCAGACTCTTTCTCCTGTCTTTTTTTACTCTGATGACATGAATATTAGACTTTTCATTATTGTCCCACAGCCCATGAGGCTCTCTTTTTTTTCTTCTCTAAAATTTTCTGTGTTGTTCAGATTAGATAATTTTTTTTTTGTCTATCTTCAATTTTACTGACTTTTGTCTTTCTTCTCCTTACTGCTATTAAGCCCTTTTATTGAGTTTAGGTCTTCTTATAGCTTCTATTTGTTTGCTGAGACTTTCTATTTTTCCCCTTATTTCAATAGTGTTCACAATTGCTTCTTGGGGCATTTTTATAGTAGCTGCTTTAAAACCTTTGTCAGTCAGTTCCAGCATCTGTGTGTTGTCATCTGTTGACTGTCTACCCTTGCAAGCACAGATTTTCCTCATTCTTCATATGATGAGTAATTTTGAAGTGAATCTTAGACATTTTATTTCTTGTGTTACAAAACTCAGGATCTTGCTTTAATTCCATACAGAATGTTAATATTTTTGTTTTAGTGGCAAATTGACCTGATAAAATTAGGCAACTGTTCCAATTCACCACCTGAGAGCTGTGGTTCTGTCAATTCACTTTTCAAAGCTTTTGCAGTGCAATTCAATGGAGAAATGATAGTTTTTCAACAAATGGAGCTGCAACAACTGTAATTTCACATACAACAAAATCTAGACACAAAGTTTACAACTTTCACAAAATTGATTCAAAATGGACCATAGACCTAAATATGAAATCTAAACGATAAAACTTTTAGAAGATAACATAGGAGAAAATATAGCTGAACTTGGGTTTGTAGATGAGCTTTTAGCTACAACATCAAAAGCATAATCCATGAAAAACTGATGTTAAATTTCATTAAAATTTAAAACTTCTGCTCTGCTATTTAAAAATTAAAAAACAGGCCGTAGACTTATAGAAAATACTTGCAAAACACTTATCCAATAAAGGAATTGTATACAAAATATATAAGGAAATCTTAAAACTCAAAAAAAAGAAATGAAATGAACAACCAATTGAAAAATGGGTAAAAGATCTGAATAGGCAGCTCACCAAGGAAGATACATATGGCAAGTAAATATATGTAAAGAAGCTTAACATCATGATATTAAGGAATTAACAATGAGATCAACAATGAAATATCGCTACGCACTAATTAGAATGACAAAAAAATACAAAAAAAACAACAATACCAAACGATAGTGATGATGTGGAGCAACAAGAACTTTCTCCTTCATTCCTGGTGGGAATGCAAAATTGCACAGCTACTTCAGAAGACAGTTTGGCAATTTCTTATAAAATTAGACTTATTCTTACCATACCATCCAGGAATTTCTTTCCTGTTTTGTAAAGTGAGTTGAAAACTTACATTCATAAAAATCTGCATATTCATGTTTATATCAGCTTTATTCATTATTGCCAAAAGCTGGGATCAAGCAAGATGTCTATCAACTGAAGAATGAATAAACAAACAGTGCTAGATCCATATAATGGAACATTATTCAGGAATTAAAATCAATGAGCTATAAAGCCACAAAAAGAAAGAAAGAACCTTACATGAATGTTGTTATGTAAAATAAGCCAAAAAGAAAAGACTATATATTATAGGATTCCAACTATGAAACATTCTGGAAAAGATAAAACTATAGAGACAGTAAAAAGATCAGTGATTGTCAGGACTTTGAGATTCAAGGAGGGATGAATAGTGCAGCAAGAGGGATTTTTAGAGCAGTGTAAGAATTCTGCATGGAACTGTAATGTTTGATATGTAGCATGCATTTATCAAAACCTGTAGAATGTACAACACAAAAAAATGAATCCTAATGTATGTAAACCATGGCCCTTAGCTAATAATAATGTATCATCACTGGTTCATCAATTGTAACAAATGTCCCACACCAATACAAGATGATAATAATAATGGAAACCTTTGGGAGGCCACGGCGGGTGGATCACGAGGTCAGGAGATCGAGACCATCCTGGCTAACACGGTGAAACCCCGTCTCTACTAAAAATACAAAAAAAAATACTGGCTCAGTGGCGGGCGCCTGTAGTCCCAGCTACTTGGGAGGCTGAGGCAGGAGAATGGCATGAACCCAGGGGGCGGAGCTTGCAGTGAGCCGAGATAGCGCCACTGCACTCCATCTCAAAAAAATAAAAAATAAAAATAAATAATGGAAACCATGAGTGGGGGAAGCAGGGTCATATGGAAACTCAGTATTATCTACTCAATTTTCTGCAAACTTAAAACTGCTGTAACAAATAAAGTCTACTAATTAATTTTTTTAATCCAAAGAAACAAAAAGCCTTGGCAGTGTTCTTTACATCTATCACAGGCACGTGCCCCTAGCAGCTGGTCCAGGCCTAGGCAGTGATCTGTCTCCTGCTCTGCTCTCAGCATCCCCCACGCTTATTACATCAGACCCATGTCAACTGTGTGGACCACTCTCCTGGGCGCCTCTCTCTCCATAACCTCCCATGATTTTCCAGTTCCCTCAAGTACTGTTTTAGGTCTTCTAAAACACTGTTCTGACATGCAATTCTGTAACTATGCATCCAAGGCCAAGGGGTGGAAGGAACAGAGGAAAAAGTGGTAAATTCACCACTAATTTTGGCACTTTAAATTCTGGTTGTTTTTTGAGTCACTTTTCAGAGTCCTCACAGCCACCCTGTGCCTTATGTTCAGGTTTTATAGCCACATCCAGTGAGAGAGATGAGTGAAATGTGCTCACTCCATTATACCTGGGACCAGGACTTCTCATTATTTATTTAGATACTCCAATGACCAGAGCCAAATGGACAAATATGCTGTAAAATGAAGTGGTCTGCACACCTCAAAAATGCCAAGGTTAAGTTAGACAAAAAATACTGAGGAAGTGGCCAAAGTTAAAGCAGACTGAAGAGACAGAACATAACGATAAAGTATAACAACATGGCAAAATTTAAATACAGTCTGTGGATTGAATAACAGTGTTTTATCCATGTTATATGTGCTGATTTGGTAACTATTATGGTTATGGAAAGGGATATCCTTGTTCTTTGAAAATATATACCAAAGAATTTACAGGGCAGAGTGCATGATATCTTTAGCTCACTTTCAAATGGTTCAAAATTCACATAAACACACAAACATACACATATGCACGTGCACACACACTCACACACACACATCCCTGCACATGCATGCAGGCCGAAGGGTGCAGAGGAAGGAGCACCAACAGGAGGATCAGGAGACCCAAGTTCTGGTCCCACTTCCCCTATGAGCCTGCACCAGGGCCAGTCATCAACCTTGTGGTGCCTCGTTTTCCTCTTGTAGAAGGTGGGATCGGAGAAGTGACCTCTAAAATTGCCTCAAACATGCCAAATGTGTGTATAGGAGAAGGATGGATTTCTGTCTCCATGGAGCTCTCATGAATACTGAGGCTTATGTGGTAAAAGAAAGAGGTGGGGGGAGAGAGAGAGAAAGAGAGAAGAAAGAAAGAAAAAAAAGAAAGAAGGAAGGAAAGAAGGAAGGAAGGAAGGAAGGAAAGAAAGAAAGAAAGAAAGAGAGAGAGAAAGAAAGAAAGAGAGAGAAAGAAATGGAGAGAGAGAGAGAAAAGAAAGAAAGAAAGAAAGAAAGAAAGAAAGAAAGAGAGAGAGAGAAAGAAAGAAAGAAAGAAAGAAAGAAAGAAAGAAAGAAAGAAAGAAAGAAAGAGAAAGAAAGGAAGGAAGGAAAGAAGAGAGAGAAAGGAAAGAAGGAAGGAAGGAAGGAGGGAAGGAAAGGAGGGAGGGAAGAGAAAAGAGGGGAGGGGAGGAGAAGAGAGGAGAGGAGAGGAGAGGAGAGGAGAGGAGAGGAGAGGAGAGGAGAGGAGGGTTGAGTTGAGTTTAGGTTTTCTCTTGAAACGAGTCTCTCACTTTGCTCTGATAACAGAGTTCAGGAAAGCTGGAGGTGCCTGACCTCACCACATGGCTGCCTTTCAGCTCCAGCTCTGTCTTCTCTTCCTTCCATCTGCTGTGGGGGAGGGTTGGTGAAGTGCTGCTCGGTGTGGTTTTGAGTAGCTGAGTTGTTTTTCTTATTGTTTCAATGCTAAAGGCAGAAGTAAAGCTAAGGCTTCTGAAGTTCCAAAACCTAAGCATTGAAGCAACTAGATATTCTTTTAAATTCACTCATGGCCATTAACTTCAAAGTCTAAGAGATGGAAATTTAACAGTAGGACTATTACAGAAATACACTTATATTCTGGGAATTATCTTTTGACCTCATGAGAGGTAAATCAGCAGAACTTCGTCTATAAAGCAATGAGCCAGGACCGAGATGGAGAGACCACATGAATCCACTCCCTCTTGCCTCAGAGCTGTAGCTATGATGAGCCCTTTTACAACATGACACAGCTGAAAATCAAAAGGCTAAACAACTTTCTGTAATTTGAACCCAACTCAGTCTCACCCCAAACCTCTGATCTAAGGCTAAGGTATAAGTGACATAAAAGAAACAGCTGGGCTTCTATAGCTAGAATCACAACAGAAAAAAGCACCAAATAAGGTTACTTGATTAATCTCCCTCTTTCAAAGGGATCCTTCTTCCAGTGGGAGCAGCAGAGAAGGAAGGGTTTGAGTTAGACAAACATACATTCAAATTATGCATTGAGTCCTGGGCAAATCACTTAACTGCCCTGAGCCTCACTTTCCCTTTCTGTAAAATGGAATAATAATGGAATCTATCTTGTAGGGTTGGTTGCTGTACAATGCTATATAAGATTTAAAATACCTTGCACAGTGCCCAGCCCTTTGTAAATGCTTAATCTGTGGTGACCCTCCTGAGATCATGAGTGTCATCTTGCTTTATAACACAAGTTTAAGACTCTTCTGATTCTCATTCAAACACCGACAAAAAGCAAAGAAATACAGTCCACCAAGGAAACTTCCTGCTTCCAGAGTGAAATTTTAACTAAAGATTCCCTGGTGTTGGCGCAAGGTCATTCGTCAATATCTACCACAGCATCCCAACATGGCAGCCTCATGCAAATCGTGCAGCACTACCACCTAGAAATATAGCATGAGCCACACAGGCATGTCAGATTTTCCAGAAGCCACATTAAATAAAGAAAAAAGATGAAACTAATTTATAATAAATGTAACCTAATATACCCAAATTATTAACTTTTCAACATGTAATCAACCTCCAAAATATTGGTGAGGTATTTCACATTTTTATAATCTTTTTTTATACTAAGTCTTAGAAATACGGTAAGTCTTTTACACTTAAAGCACATCTCAATTAGGATGAAGTTTCGTCAGAAATATTGATTGGTATTTAGGTTTCATAAAATTTACATTTGAAAAAGTAGATTTATGTGCTGAACTTGTTCTAAATATACTTAGAAGTTTTCCAATGACTAAATTGAGTATTGGTTCTTAAATTCCAATTAAAAAAATTAAAATTAAATAACTTGCAAATTCAGCTCCTCAGTCACACTAACCACAGTGTTAGTCGGGCAGTGCAGTCTTCAACATGGAGACTCTAGGGGACCTCAAAACTTTGTACATGGATTCTGTTGATCTTCCTCTGGATTGAGTCTTTAAGGGTCCAAATAAGAGACACAGTTAAATATCGCTTTTATTTCTGAATGATCAACAGATAAACCCATATTGAAAATGTATCTAACCAAAGACGAACTCTCCAAACATTCATTTATTCAATCTATCAATTACTTATTAATTTATAATTTATTATTGTAAGGTTCACTGAGAGCCACTTTGTGCCACCGCAGAGGGGACACCCGAGGCGTGTCTTTCAGAAGAAGTAGGTGCCAGCCCAACAGTGGGGCAGAAGTAGGAGCTGACACAGGGCATCCTTCAAGCTGACTGTGATGAGCCTTTGGTCATGACTCTGGGGTGTCGTCATTTCATAAGGAAACCACCACCTAGAAACATCTAGGAGGAAAGGCCCCATCCTAAAAGTATTCACATTCCTCACCTGACCCTGTCCTAGGTCACCAGCACACAGCACCTGACCAGCATTCAACCCTCCAACTGACGCCAATGGCTCCAGACACATGTGGAAGGCTGGCCAGGCACTGCTGATGAGAATCTGGTGAACTTCCTCAGGGTGAAGTAGGGCAGGTTCACAAGCCTGTTCCATGAGCTACACACACATACACACACACACACTCTCCACTCAGTGAGTTATTATAAAAGAGGAGCACATGGCAGGGGAGCCAAGATGGCCGAATAGGAACAGCTCCGGTCTACAGCTCACAGCGTGAGCGACGCAGAAGACGGGTGATTTCTGCATTTCCATCTGAGGTACGGGGTTCATCTCACTAGGGAGTGCCAGACAGTGGGCGCAGGACAGTGGGTGCAGCACACCGTGCGCGAGCCAAAGCAGGGCGAGGCACTGCCTCACTTGGGAAGTACAAGGGGTCAGGGAGTTCCCTTCCTTGTCAAAGAAAGGGGTGACAGACGGCACCTGGAAAATCAGATCACTCCCACCCCAATACTGCGCTTTTCTGAAGGGCTTAAAAAACGGCACACTGTGAGATTATATCTCCCACATGGCTCGGAGGGTCCAACCCCCACGGAGTCTCGCTGATTGCTAGCACAGCAGTCTGAGATCAAACTGCAAGGCAGCAGCAAGGCTGGGGGAGGGGCGCCTGCCATTGCCCAGGCTTCCTTAGGTAAACAAAGCAGCCAGGAAGCTTGAACTGGGTGGGGCCCACCACAGCTCAAGGAGGCCTGCCTGCCTCTGTAGGCTCCACCTCTGGGGACAGGGCACAGACAAGCAAAAAGACAGCAGTAACCTCTGCAGACTTAAGTGTCCCTGTCTGACAGCTTTGAAGAGAGCAGTGGATCTCCCAGCACGCAACTGGAGATCTGAGAAGGGGCAGACTGCCTCCTCAAGTGGATCCCTGACCCCTGACCCCCGAGCAGCCTAACTGGGAGGCACCTCCCAGTAGGGGCAGACTGACACCTCACACAGCCAGTTACTCCCCTAAGACAAAACTTCCAGAGGAACGATCCGACAGCAGCATTCGTAGTTCACGAAAATCTGCTGTTCTGCAGCCACTGCTGCTGGTACCCAGGCAAACAGGGTCTGGAGTGGACCTCTAGCAAACTCCAACAGACCTGCAGCTGAGAGTCCTGTCTGTTAGAAGGAAAACTAACAAACAGAAAGGACATCCACACCAAAAACCCATCTATACATCACCATCATCAAAGACCAAAAGTAGAAAAAACCACAAAGATGGGGAAAAAACAGAGCAGAAAAACTGGAAACTCTAAAAAGCAGAGTGCCTCTCCTCCTCCAAAGGAACACAGCTCCTCACCAGCAATGGAACAAAGCTCGATGGAGAATGACTTTGATGAGTTGAGAGAAGAAGGCTTCAGAAAATCGAACTACTCTGAGCTACAGGAGGAAATTCAAACCAAAGGCAAAGAAGTTGAAAACTTTGAAAAAAATTTAGACAAATGTATAACTAGAATAACCAATACAGAGAAGTGCTTAAAGGAGCTGATGGAGCTGAAAGCCAAGGCTCAAGAACCACGTGAAGAAAGCAGAAGCCTCAGGAGCTGATGCGATCAACTGGAAGAAAGGGTATCAGTGATGGAAGATGAAATGAATGAAATGAAGTGAGAAGGGAAGTTTAGAGAAAAAAGAATAAAAAGAAATGAACAAAGCCTCCAAGAAATATGGGACTATGTGAAAAGACCAAATCTACATCTGATTGGTGTACCTGAAACTGATGGGGAGAATGGAACCAAGTTGGAAAACACTCTGCAGGATATTTTCCAGGAGAACTTCCCCAATCTAGCAAGGCAGGGCAACATTCAGATTCAGGAAATACAGAGAATGCCACAAAGATACTCCTCGAGAAGAACAACTCCAAGACACATAATTGTCAGATTCACCAAAGTTGTAATGAAGGAAAAAATGTTAAGGGCAGCCAGAGAGAAAGGTCGAGTTACCCACAAAGGAAAGCCCATCAGACTAACAGCAGATCTCTCAGCAGAAACTCTGCAAGCCAGAAGAGAGTGGGGGGCCAATATTCAACATTCTTAAAGAAAAGAATTTTCAACCCAGAATTTCATATCCAGCCAAACTAAGCTTCATAAGTGAAGGACAAATCAAATACTTTACAGACAAGCAAATGCTGAGAGATTTTGTCACCACCAGGCCTGCCCTAATAGAGCTCCTGAAGGAAGCACTAAACATGGAAAGGAAAAACCGGTACCAGCCACTGCAAAATCATGCCAAATTGTAAAGACCATCGAAGGTAGGAAGAAACTGCATCAACTAACGAGCAAAATAACCAGCTAACATCATAATGACAGGATCAATTTCACACATAACAATATTAACTTTAAATGTAAATGGACTAACTGCTCCAATTAAAAGAAACAGACTGGCAAATTGGATAAAGAGTCAAGACCCATCAGTGTGCTGTATTCAGGAAACCCATCTCAAGTGCAGAGACACGCATAGGCTCAAAATAAAAGGATGGAGGAAGATCTACCAAGCAAATGGAAAACAAAAAAAGGCAGGGGTTGCAATCTTAGTCTCTGATAAAACAGACTTTAAACCAACAAAGATCAAAAGAGACAAAGAAGGCCATTACATAATGGTAAAGGGATCAATTCAACAAGAAGAGCTAACTATCCTAAATATATATGCACCCAATACAGGAGCACCCAGATTCATAAAGCAAGTCCTGAGTGACCTACAAAGAGACTTAGACTCCCACATAATAATAATGGGAGACTTTAACACCCCACTGTCAACATTAGACAGATCAACAAGACGGAAAGTTAACAAGGATACCCAGGAATTGAACTCAGCTCTGCACCAAGCGGACCTAATAGACATCTACAGAACTCTCCACCCCAAATCAACAGAATATACATTTTTTTCAGCACCACACCACACCTATTCCAAAATTGACCACATAGTTGGAAGTAAAGCTCTCCTCAGCAAATGTAAAAGAACAGAAATTATAACAAACTGTCTCTTAGACCACAGTACAATGAAACTAGAACTCAGGATTAAGAATCTCACTCAAAACTGCTCAACTACATGGAAACTGAACACTCTGCTCCTGAATGACTACTGGGTACATAACGAAATGAAGGCAGAAATAAAGATGTTCTTTGAAACCAACGAGAACAAAGACACAACATACCAGAATCTCTGGGACACATTCAAAGCAGTGTGTAGAGGGAAATTTATAGCAGTAAATGCCTACAAGAGAAAGCAGGAAAGATCTAAAATCCACACCCTAACATCACAATTAAAATAACTGGAGAAGCAAGAGCAAACACATTCAAAAGCTAGCAGAAGGCAAGAAATAACTAAGATCAGAGCAGAACTGAAGGAAATAGAGACACAAAAAACCCTTCAAAAAATTAATGAATCCAGGAGCTGGTTTTTTGAAAGGATCAACAAAATTGATAGACCACTGGCAAGACTAATAAAGAAGAAAAGAGAGAAGAATCAAATAGATGCAATAAAAAATGATAAAGGGGATATCACCACCGATCCCAAAGAAATACAAACTACCATCAGAGAATACTACAAACACCTCTACACAAATAAACTAGAAAATCTAGAAGAAATGGATAAATTCCTCGACACATACACTCTTCCAAGACTAAATCAGGAAGAAGCTGAATTGCTGACTAGACCAATAACAGGCTCTGAAATTGAGGCAATAATCAGTAGCTTACCAACCAAAAAGAGTCCAGGACCAGATGGATTCACAGCCGAATTCTACTAGAGGTACAAGGAGGAACTGGTACCATTCCTTCTGAAACTATTCCAATCAATAGAAAAAGAGGGAATCCTCCCTAACTCATTTTATGAGGCCAGCATCATCCTGACACCAAAGCCTGGCAGAGACACCTCCAAAAAAGAGAATTTTAGACCAATATCCTTGATGAACATTGATGCAAAAATCCTCAATAAAATACTGGCAAACTGAATCCAGCAGCACATCAAAAAGCTTATCCACCATGATCAAGTGGGCTTCATCCCTGGGATGCAAGGCTGGTTCAATATATGCAAATCAATAAATGTAATCCAGCATATAAACAGAACCAAAGACAAAAACCACATGATTATCTCAACAGATGCAGAAAAGGCCTTTGACAAAATTCAACCTTCATGCTAAAAATTCTCAATAAATTAGGTATTGACGGGACGTATCTCAAAATAGTAAGAGCTATCTATGATGAACCCACCGTCAATATCCTAGTGAATGAGCAAAAACTGGAAGCATTCCCTTTGAAAACTGGCACAAGACAGGGATGCCCTCTCTCACCACTCCTATTCAACATAGTGTTGGAAGTTCTGGCCAGGGAAATTAAGAAGGAGAAGGAAATAAAGGGTATTCAATTAGGAAAAGAGGAAGTTAAATTGTTCCTGTTTGCAGATGCCATGACTGTGTATCTAGAAAACCCCATTTTCTCAGCCCAAAATCTCCTTAAGCTGATAAGCAACTTCAGCAAAGTCTCAGGATACAAAATCAATGTACAAAAATCACAAGCATTCTTACACACCAATAACAGACAGAGAGCCAAATCATGAGTGAACTCCCATTCACAATTGCTTCAAAGAGAATAAAATACCTAGAAATCCAACTTACAAGGGATGTGAAGGACCTCTTCAAGGAGAACTACAAACCACTGCTCAAGGAAGTAAAAGAGGATACAAAGAAATGGAAGAACATTCCATGCTCATGGGTAGGAAGAATCAATATCATGAAAATGGCCACACTGCCCAAGATAATTTATAGATTCAATGCCATCCCCATCAAGCTGCCAATGACTTTCTTCACAGAATTGGAAAAAACTACTTTAAAGGTCATATGGAACCAAAAAAGAGCCTGCATTGCCAAGTCAATCCTAAGCCAAGAGAACAAAGCTGGAGGCATCACGCTACCTGACTTCAAACTATACTACAAGGCTACAGTAACCAAAACAGCATGGTACTGGTACCAAAACAGAGATATAGATCAATGGAACAGAACAGAGCCCTCAGAAATAATGCCGCATATCTTCAACTATCTGATCTTTGACAAACCTGAGAAAAACAAGCAATGGGGAAAGGATTCCCTATTTAATAAATGGTGCTGGGAAAACTGGCTAGCCATATGTAGAAAGCTGAAACTGGACCCCTTCCTTACACCTTATACAAAAATTAATTCAAGATGGATTAAAGACTTAAATGTTAGACCTAAAACCATAAAAACCCTAGAAGAAAACCTAGGCATTACCATTCAGGACATAGGCACGGGCAAGGACTTCATGTCTAAAACACCAAAAGCAGTGGCAACAAAAGCCAAAATTGACAAATGGGATCTAATTAAACTAAAGAGCTTCTGCACAGCAAAAGAAACTACCATCAGAGTGAACAGGCAACCTACAAAATGGGAGAAAATTTTCTCAACCTCTCATCTGACAAAGGGCTAATATCCAGCATCTACAATGAACTCAAACAAATTTACAAGAAAAAAACAAACAACCCCATCAAAAAGTGGGCAAAGGACATGAACAGACACTTCTCAAAAGAAGACATTTATGCAGCCAGAAAACACATGAAAAAATGCTCATCATCACTGGCCATCAGAGAAATGCAAATCAAAACCACAATGAGATACCATCTCACACCAGTTAGAATAGAAATCATTAAAAAGTCAGGAAACAACAGGTGCTGGAGAGGATGTGGGGAAATAGGAACACTTTTACACTGTTGGTGGGACTGTAAACTAGTTCAATTATTGTGGAAGTCAGTGTGGCGATTCCTCAGGGATCTAGAACTAGAAATACCATCTGACCCAGCCATCCCATTACTGGGTATATACCCAAAGGAATATAAATCATGCTGCTATAAAGACACATGCACACATATGTTTGTTGCAGCATTATTCACAATAGCAAAGACTTGGAACCATCCCAAATGTCCAACAATGATAGACTGGATTAAGAAAATGTGGCACATATACACCATGGAATACTATGCAGCCATAAAAAATGATGAGTTCATGTCCTTTGTAGGGACATGGATGAAATTGGAAATCATCATTCTCAGGAAAGTATTGCAAGAACAAAAAACAAAACACCGCATGTTCTCACTCATAGGTGGGAACTGAACAATGAGAACACATGGACACAGGAAGGGGAACATCACACACTGGGGACTGTTGTGGGGTGAGGGGAGGGGGGAGGGATCGCTTTAGGAGATATACCTAATGCTAAATGACGAGTTAATGGGTGCAGCACAGCAGCATGGCACATGTATACATATGTAACTGACCTGCACATTGTGCACATGTACCCTAAAACTTAAAGTATAATAATAATAAAATAAAATAAAAGAGGGGGCAAAGGTAGGAAGAAAAAGTAAAACATCTTTTATGCTTTCATGAAAGCCTTGAAATAGAATGTTAAAACTACTGGGTAACAGCAAAGTACTAGCATGCTTCATGGTTTTGGATTCTGTGATAAGAGGGAAGGCTGATGTTCATGTGCACAGTATACTCCCCTGAAATTCACAAGCATTTTATGGAAAATTGAAATATCATGAATAAATTGCAATCACCACAAAAAAAAAAAAAAGAGGAGCACATCTTCAAAATCTTTAAAACAGGACATAGAACAATAGAGTAGCTTGATGGTGAACTCAGCATCTTTGTGTCTGTGTTCATGTGGCATTCATTCATTCATTCATTCTTTCATTCATGGACAAATGTTTACTGAGCTAGCAACTGCAAGAAAGTTCTGACAATATTCCTGTGAAAACACAGTGTGTCTGCCCTCTTGAAAGTCACAACCTCCTAGGGGAGACGTGAAGTCTCCAGGTTACAAAGTTAAAAAGCATCCTCAATAATTTAATAATAATGGCCATGTACTGGAAGCTTCCAATGTGCCTGATACATTATCCTATGTGAGTGTGTTACTAACTCCACTGTGCAGATGGGGTAGTTGAGGCTCAGAGAGGCTAAGTCAGTTGCCTAACTTTACACAGTAATTAGTAGCAGGACCAGGACCAAAACCTAGTTTTAGGTTGCCCCCAAATCTCTCTTCTTAACCATGGGGCAATGCGGTACTCAGTTGCTTCACTTCTACCTTACACACAAGCTCGTCTACCTGAGTGAAGGAATGGAGGTAAAGAATAAAATAGCAGCAAAAAAGTACAACTAATTTCTTTTTATCCCATCAGAGTAGGATTGACCCAAGATTTCAAACCCGAGATTTCGTGTTAGGAATAATTTATTGTCTTATTGTAAATTCATGTTTTTCTATACTACCATAAAACTTGTTAATATTTGTGATATTAAGTAGTCCTGAAGAGGTTAATTGATGTTCAATATGACTTAATTGAGATGGCAGAGAAGTGTGTATAATGTTTCAAAAGAATTTCCACTAGAATAACTAAAATAAGTTATTCTTTATTATTCCCTGGTGATGCAATGTAAATGAAGTTCTTTAGTAGGCAATTGGGAGTAAGGTTGACCTGACTTTAAATTCTGTTCCTAACATTTACTAGCTTTGTAAACTTGAGCAAATAACCTCTCTGTACCCCTGTTGTGCATCTATAGAGTGGGCTTAATAATACCAACTTATGAGTGCTATTGAGACATTGATGGTCAACTATGTTTAGAGCGTAAAGCACCCAGCAGTGCATCCAGCACACAGTAAGATGGGAAAATCAATTTATGAGATAACAAGTAAAGGGTGCATAAATCTAGAAAAGACACTCCAAGACACGTATATGCTCAAAAATATATTTCTATATTCTGAACTAGAGAATACAGCCAGTGTTGGGGGGTAGGGTTGGAACTGCAGGCTTCTCATACTACTTCCTTCACTGAAGAGTCATCAAGAAGTTGAATGTGAAGGCTGGAGCAGTATTAGTAATCATCTGGGGAAGGACAGAAGGTTCTGTGTTTAGACTATTATGGTCCAAAGCTCGAGAATGAATAAGAAGAGCTGGAAAGAACAGCAAATGTGTGGAGAACGTAGTGAACGTAGTGAACGTAGTGTGAGAATGACAGCAGAGTATACACAGGCAATGGGAGGTTGGCTTTTGGGCTACACAACGTGGGTCAGGAAATGTTTTTTATAAATGGACAAACAGTACATATTTTAGGCTTTGTGGGCCATACAGTCCCAGCTACTCAACTGAGGAGCACATGGCCAGATGCCCAGGCCACACTCTTAGATCTGTTAGATTGTAATCCCTGAAGGTAAGACTCAGGTATAAGACTTTGCAAAGATGTAAGGGTCCTCACTGGTGTGGGTCATGGACCATTCTCATGTGTGCTGG
The DNA here is from genome assembly GCF_000001405.40 of Homo sapiens. Lineage (NCBI taxonomy): Eukaryota > Metazoa > Chordata > Mammalia > Primates > Hominidae > Homo > Homo sapiens. The sequence continues at coordinate 22,038,502 of NC_000020.11, read as the reverse complement.
TAAGGGGCTATGACCATAACTGGTACCCACTGTGGCAATCATATAAACCAGCACATGCTTAGCAATAAGAGGAAATGGGCACTGGAAATGTGGGTCTGGGATTGAGGAGAGAAGCTGTGGTCGGAAGTTTCTATCCAATTGAGAGTTCCTAGCACAATACTGTGAGAGAGAGAGAGACGAGAGCCTGTGAGTGAGTGAGTCCTGATACAGCAGATCTAAGGCCCCAACCAGGTTAGCTCCCTTCCCTTCATCAAGTAGTAATTGGTCGGCGACTTTAACACATGTCATATTGACACATTCATTCAGCTGCAGATTTTCAGACTGGGCACTACAGCAAAATGGAGCCGCTCTTCCAACATTCAATATCCATTTACCTAGAGCATCATGAGCTTAGTGGGAACTGGTGCTTGCAGAAGCCACGGGGCAGCAAGACCTGAATTTGGGCAAACTCTGCATTTTATGAAGCACACTTGTATAGCTGATCATGGAGAGAATAAAAATCACATTCTCAATTTTAATAAGGTAATCAAATATATATAAAATAAAGATCTACAAGAGCATTTTATTACTTCCAATCAATTCTGCAGAAGTGGATGCACTGAACAAAGACTCAGAAATTATTCTGATTGTAATGGTCACCAGAGCATGTTCCAAAAATATAAACCTATGATCTTACACTCATTCCTGTATAATGTTAAGTAAAAAGCAAACCATATGTTTACGATTAAATTTGAATTGAGAATTAAGGTATTTTGGCGACTGAATTGAGTAGCAAATCATTAACACAAAATTACCTCTCAAAAGCATCATATAATAACATGAAACTAAGACTATCCTAACCACAGAGCCCCCAAAAATGTATATTCATAGAGGTGAGATGGACCTAAGTACCTACTGGGCTCCAGGCCTTGCATCGGTCTTTATAGATGCTACCTTGGTTAACTTTCATATTTCATCATATCTGAAGGTAAGTATTGGTTTGACCATGTGAAATTAGAGGTTTTTATTTTTGTAAGAAAATTGGGTTTACATAGAAAGAGAGCCATTTGAAATTCAAGCCCAGATCAACATGCATCTTCTATAGTTTAAAGAAAATAAGACCAAAAGAAAAATGTTGGCCAGGCGTGGTGGCTCACGCTTATAATCCCAGCACTTTGGGAGGCCCAGGCTGGTGAATCACGAGGTCAGAAGTTCAAGACCAGCTGGCCAAGATGGTGAAACCCCATCTCTACTAAAAATACAAAAAAAAAATTAGCCAGGCATGGTGGTGGGCACCTGTAATCCCAGCTACCTGGGAGGCTGAGGCAGAGAATTGCTTGAACCCAGGAGGCAGAGGTTGCAGTGAGCCAAGATCACGCCACTGCACTCCAGCTTGGGTGACAGAACAAGACCCTATCTCAAAAAAAAAAAAAAAAAAAAAAAATTCTGTGGATAAACTAACTCTCAAATTTTAAGGTTTTTAAAATTTTAAGGTCAGATTTTCCTCATATTTATTTCTACAGGAATTGCCACAGATACTCAATGATTTTCAAACTCACACATTGTCTTAATATGCCAATAATTAATGCCATCTCCACGGATAAACTACAGATCATTAGAACTTACTGTAATGTGATATTTGGATAACTTCTCCATTCTAATCAGAAAAACATTAAAAACAAACAGAGAAAGTCTTACAGTTGTGTTTTTTAGGTTTTCAGGTTTCCTAGACTAGGCTGATACTTCTCCAAGCAGCCTCGAGGCAAAGGAATGTGCCTGTGTGGGTTCTTCCAGGTCTAGTTCTCTGCCCCACATGTACTTCTCTGCACCTAGATCTGTGTTAAGTCTTTAGACTTAATATGGCTATCCACGTGGACTTGGCAAGTTTGCCTAATACTTAACATACATAGCTAATAAGGCAAGTATCAGATAAGCACTTTCACTAACCTCTGAAAAAGAGGCCAGGCGTGGTGGTTCACGCCTGTAATCCCAGCACTATGGGAGGCTGAGGCGGGTGGATCCCTTGAGGTCAGGAGTTCATGACCAGCCTGGCCAACATGGTGAAACCCTGTCTCTACTAAAAATACAAAAATTAGCCAGGCATGGTTGTGCATGCCTGTAATCCCAGCTACTTGGGAGGCTGAGGCAGGAGAATCATTTGAACCTGGGAGGCGGAGGTTGCCCTGAGCCAAGATCATGCCACTGCACTCCAGTCTGGGCAACAGAGCAAGACTCCATCTCATAAAAAAAAAGAAAAGAAAAAAAAAAGAATCGCCCCTCAGAGGTCCTACAACCACCACTACCACCAGAAAAAAGAAAGAAAGAAAGAAAAGAAATGAAGTTTTCACTTACTATGAGGAATGAGGGAGAAGAGTCCACTCAAGTTGGCCATTTTAGAGACAGCAATTGTCATTTTGTGGCCTATGGGAAGAACCTGGCTGTCATCTCCTACCACCTGCCCTAAAGTAGCTGGCAGTGTCGTTTCTGTTACGAGCTCTGTGAAACCCAGTGATACCTTCTCCTGTTACAAATGAAGTGCCTGCTATTCTCTGTCCTGTTAATTGACTCTGGAAACCCCTCAAAGGAACTCTTCCTAATGGGCTTTGTCCCACCACTATTTAAAATTACTAATACTATTCACAACAGCAAAGATATTGAATCAATCTAAGCGCCCATCAACAGATGAGTGGATAAAGAAAATATGGTATATATACACCATGGAATACTACTCAGCCACAAAAAGAAATGAAATTGTGTTTTTTGCAGCAACATGGGTGGAATTGAAGGGCCTTAAGTTAACTAACTCAGAAGCCAAAAACTAAATACCGCATGTTCTCACTTAGAACTGAGACATAAACAATGTGTACACATGAACATAGTTAAATAATAGACACTGGAGACTGAGAAAAGTGGGAGCATGGTGAGGGATGAGAAACTACCTAATGGGTGTGATATACCCTATCTGGGTGGCATTTACAATAAAAGCCCAGACTTCACCACTATGCAACATATCCATGTAGCAAAACTAACCTTGTACCTCCTAAATCTATAAAAATAATAAAATAAAATCACTAGTAAAAGATGGCTGGTGAAGTGGCTAGCTCTACAATAGGTAATTCCTCATGATAATTGAATTGACTGCTATTGTTTGGCAGTCCCCACCCTCACATGGAAGCTGCCCAAAAAGAGAAGCTCAGCAAATTTATTTTCCCCTGCTGGTTATAAATCAAAAACTCCAGCAAGGCTGGGCTTTATTCCTTCACTTTCGGAAACTGAAGAAACTTTTCTCACCACACGCTGAGCTCATCAAGAGTTGCATATGTATTTTGATTTTGAGTCCTATTATTGTCATATTAGAAATACAAACATTGAAAACTAATCTAGTTTTATTCCTTCCATGTTTCAGACTAATATTTTACCTAATAAAACTGCTTTTGTTTCTTATCCCAGAAATTATATGTAAAATTATAATTAATACTATCCACTGTGTTTCATTACAAATTAAATAAATTATGTAACTTTGCCCACTTCCTTTTACCCTTCTTTCTCAAGGTTTCTCTTACCTAGCAAGATTTAGCATCCAAGCTCTTCTGATTGACTCAAACCATAGTCTCAGCTGTCCCATTAATTCCAACCCATAATATCTGTCTTCATGTAAACACTTGAAAAATATGTAGATATAGATGATAGATTAGATAGATACATAGATAGATGATAGATTAGATAGATAGATGATAGACTAGATAGAGATTAGATTAGATTAGATTAGATTACATTAGATTAGATTAGATTGGATAGATCTCCATGCCCTGAAGAAAGTGAAGGGTCAGCTCAATCTACATTGAGTGTAACCATTCACTGAGGAATTAATTATTAAAGTGGTGGATGAGTGGATGGAATCACTAGGTACCTAGCGCTGAAGAGAGTGACACCACCATTTCAATGGTGTTAACACAGCAAAAAGCACAACCCCTTGAATCTTGGGGGGCCAAGTTTTAGAACTGGACTGCTTTCCCTTAACCTCTGTTAATTAGTCCTGTTTATGGATAGCCAAACACAATTTCTTAAAGGCATTTTATTCAAGCCTTCAAGAATCTTGTTAAAGAGAGTCATAATATTTCCTAGATAAAAAAATGAAATAAGTCTATCAAAAGAACATTTTGATGAATTGAGTGTAAATGAATTAGAAACACACGGATTAAATTTCCCTTGAAATACACATGGGTTTCAAAATTAAGGTGAATTAACTTCTCCAAATGTGTTTTCAATTTTGCCTGACCTCAAAAGTTTGATGCATGGTAAGAAACGGTTGGCCTGATGCCAGTTTTGCCTACCCTTACCATGGCTTTACCTGGGAAACCATTTTATTTTCAGATTTTCTTGGCCTTCTGATGCCTTAATAATATCGCCAATCTGATGCGTAGGGCCTAGCCCATTGCAATAAATATTATAATGGTGAAAAAATGCAGTTTTTAAAATGACCTCCAAGCCTAGCCATTGGCTCTTTGATTTCATCCAGCTTTGGGTGGTATATAAAATTCCAACACAAATAACGATTTTATGAAGCCTCTGAAAATGTTTTGAGAGTTTCGATCTTTGGTAAAAAAAAGATTCACATTCTCTTAAGAAAAATATTAGAAATGATAAAGATTTCATTTTAGAAGATATTTACTGAAAAAGTAATTGGATTTTGAAATTTTTGAAAATGTCTCATCACTTTTTTCACTCAATACCTTTAAAATGCATCGTGATTACTAGGTAGATGTTAACTTGTTTTTTGTACCTGATAGAAAACTTCAAGCATAAGTTAGCTATCCAGCAAGTCACTGGGAGGAAGCATTACAATGCCCCCACTTCTTTGTCTTTAAATGCTGTGTTCTAGATCACCAGCAGCAGACAATCCTGAGCCATGTAAATTTCGTAAGCATTGGCTTTGATGAAGAGCTTACCGCTGGAACAACTCTGAGTTCCAGAAAGGTCATCTGACCTTAGGTTCATGGCCGCTCCTACCTTGTTGTCTCCCCATCAAGACAGAAAACAGTAATAATCACGTGGCAGCAGCAACAATCTTAGCTCAGCATAGTTGGGAATAGAGAGCAGGAAGAGAGGGGTCTCGGATGCCGATAATGGTGTGAGGAAGTGAAAGAGGAAAGATAGGACACCCAGTGGTCCACTGAGCTGAATCCCATGCTGAAACTCTGGGAAGTGTTTGAAATTTATTCTCTCTGCAGGTGAGGGAGCTGAGGCGTGTATACCTCAGCCCCTTTCTGTCATGACTGAGGCTGCTGTGAGTGGGAACGGGAGTGGAGCTGCTACATCCCAGCACTTCCAGCTTGCCACATCTGGATCTGGCAGTGAGAGAAAGCTCCAGGTGAAGCAAGGAGCTGCTGGCAGTTTCAGATTGCAATTGAGTGCACTGAAAAGGTCAATGCTGACAGGTTACCAGTAGGCCCTTGGCAATGTTTGCTACAGGAGGCTTTGAGAGATTGATTCATCACTGATGTCCAGGCTTTTCTTCAGAGACCTCCAGCCACCCTGAACTTTGTGAAGGCAGTCAGAGAAACCATGTAACTCTTCTATTCCTAGTAATCTTATCTCTCTTGTATTGGTAAAGAGACATCACTCTTGTCCATTCAAATTTTTTCTGGCTAAATAGACATTGTTTTTCTGGTTCCATTGTGAATGGATTGCTCAAAGGATAGTGGCTCGGACTTTGCCAGCAGTTGCAAGATCTCACCATAGGCTGGTTCCTAAATTACACTCTACATTCTATCAGCCCCACCCTTTACCCCAATTTGCACTAATATGTATGTTGCAGAGGTGGCAGTGTTACAGTGTGGTCCTGGTTTCAGGTTGACCTTCAGGGATGTGGCCCATCATGTCAGCTCCCTCACCTGGAGAGAGAATAAATTTCAAACACTTCCCAGAGTTTCAGCATGGGATTCTGCTTAGTTGACTATGTTGGCATGTCTTAACTTAGCCTAGAGTCCCGTCTAGGCAGCAGGCTCACTGGAAAACCCAAACCGTTTTAGGAGTAAACACAAAGTAGGGGGCCAAACCAAATAAATATTCATGAGACCAGGCTTTAAGAGCAGAAGTATTTTATTGGGATAGGCCAAGAAAAAAAAGTAGGGTCTTTTTACATTTTTCTCATCTCCGAATCTCACGTCACTCTGTGATGTGGCACATGACTGACACTGGTCCATGACCTCTCCTGGACCACAACTCAGTTTGACTGCATAGGCTTACATATGCCAAGAAAGCCTTATAAATTAGAAACAGAAGTTAAATAACTGCAGGAAGAGTCGAGAGAAAACTGCCCTCCACTCGTCCCTGCCTCCTATCTCTGGGCTTCCAGAGGCCTTAAACTAAAGAAGAAGACAACCAGTGAGTCAGATACAGACAAGTGCAGGAGAAAAATCAGATATTTTGTACAAAAGGAGCAAGAGACAAAGAAGTTACTCACTACCATGATTGGTCCCTTGTTTGCAAATTCTTTAGGGAAGTAGTCCTGACCAAGCAGCATCAGCCTCATCTGGGGGCTTCTTCAAAATGTACATTCTTGGGTTCCAGCCCAGACCTACTAAGCAGAAACTCTGGGGATGAAGCACAGGAATTTGCATGCTAACAAGCCCCCCAGGAGCTCTCATGCCTGTTGAGGCTTGAGAATCACTGCTTCAATGGGAGAAGACAAGAGATCAAATAAAATCATAGCTAAATATTGTAACTAGTGATATAATTACATAAATTAATAAGTAAAGTTCAGCTACAGTATCGCAGTGGTCCTTCTAAATTAATTCCTTTGCTTTCAAAGATCTGAGTTATATTCAGGTAATACAAACCAGATATGACTCAACCCAGATGGACCAAATTAATCCCCCAGAAGCTTGTGCAGGGCTTATCCTCGAGGAGTCAGCCACAGTCACCCATTATTATACCACTGGGGCCTGAGTAACAGTGCTCCCCATTTCAGGATAAGCACACACAGCTTTCTTGTAATACTTTCAAATGGGAAATTGGTGCCCAGAAGAAATCTTTCCTCAGTAACTGAATGGAATTTTATTATGACAAGCCATTAGCCTGAATGAAGATTACTCTTTGACGGGAAATACCTAGTTCAGTGGAAACTTCTGAAAGCAGGGGTACCACCTGCTTTTTACGGACTGCTTCCTCACCTTGTTCCAGGTTAATCAATTATTGATGCCATTATGATTTGTGTGGAAAACTTCAAAGGCACAAAGGGGAGGTCCCCAATCTCTGGAATGGTATAGCTAATATAGAGCTTTTCAAAATGCAATTCACTGCATGACACTATAGTGATGGATACATATCACTAACATTTGTCCAGACCCATAGAATGTACAACACCAAGAATGAATCCTAATGTAAACTGTGGATGATTGGTGACAATGAGGTGTCAATGTAAGCTCATCAACTACAACAAATAAACTACCCAGGTTGGGGATGTTGATAAGGTGGAGACTGTGCATGCATGGGAGCAGTGTGTGTGGGAAATCTCTGTATCTTCCTTTCAATTTTGCTGTGAACTAAAACTCTAAAAAAGAAAGCTTTTTTTAACAATGAAATTTGCAAATTAATCCACTTGTAGGTCTGGGATGGGTCTTAAAGTTCTGTGTTTGTAACCAGCTCCCAGGGGTGCTGATGCTGCTGATCCACAGAGTGCGCTTTGAGTATCAAAGATCTAATAGAACTATCAAGCTGATACAGACACAGACTTCTTCATTCCTCATCCTTGAATAAAATATGACAAAATATGTGGCTCTTAGAAACTTGGAAGTGAATAGTTTAAATAATATAAGCCAATCACATGGTGCCTTCTTGTAGTTCCAGTTACTCAGGAGGCTGAGGTGAGAGGATTGCTTGAGCCCAGGAGCTTGAGGCTGTAGTGCGCTATGATCATGCCTGTGAATAGCCACTGCACTCCAGCCTGGGCAACACAGCAAAACATCATCTTTATAAAAAACAAACATATATATATATATATATATATATATATATACACACACACACACACACACACATATATGTTTTAATTCATATATGTGTTTTTTTAGATAGAATTTGTTTTATAGAGAGAATTTCTACATATATTCACAGATATACATATACATATGTATGTATATATGTATATGTATAGGTATATAAACACATACATATATACATATATACACAAATGTACATATATACATATGCGTGCATTAGGTTGGTACAAAAGTAATTAATTGCAGTTTTTGCAATTAAAAGTAATTGCAAAAAAGTATGTCCATATATATATATATATGGAGTTTGCTAAGGAAAACGAAACATTTAACTTTATTGAGGTAGAATAAGAGGAGGAAAAAGGGCAATTATTCAATAATATAATGTTGCAAAACTGAATAGGTGATTGCTGTAACTGAGGATTGAAAATAAGAGGCCTTCTTGGCAGCGTCATCTCCATTTGCTGCCTCCACTGGGCTTGCCTTATTTGTTATTTATGACAGGACAATGTCAAGGCAAGTTCTATGAATGTGCTTCTCTCAAATTTGTTTTATTTTGTTTTTGTTTTGTTTTGTTTTATTTTTTGAGACAGAGTCTCACTCTGTCTCCTAGGCTGGAGTGCAGTGGTACAATCTTGGCTCACCGCAATCTCTGCCTCTCAGGTTCAAGTGATTCTCCTACCTCAGTCTCCCGAACAGCTGGGATTACAGGCATGCACCATTACACTCAGCTAATTTTGTATTTTGTAGTAGAGAAGAGGTTTCTCCATGTTGTTCAGGCTGGTCTCGAACTCCTGACCTCAAGTGATCTGCCCGCCTCAACCTCCCAAAGTGCTGGGATTACAGGCATGGGCCGCTGCACCCGGCCTCAAATTCACTTTTATATCTTACTTATAAGATATAAATTCTTTTATCAAATTATTGTATCAAAGCTCTTTGTTAATATCTTTTTTATGAAGCTTTGTCAAACTTTAAGAATCCCAAAAGTTTTTCCATTTCATAATATACTCAATCAAAATTTTGTTTTTAACCTTTTAATGTTAGCTTGCTTTCTGAAATAATGTCCAGGCTGCACTCCTCCCTCCCACCTCTCAGTCTACCCCCAAGCCCTCCTGCATCCACATAGAGTCTGTGGCCGTAAAACTTGAACAATGGAGTTACACTGGCCTCGTTTCTGGTCTCATCTTTCTTTTAAATGGCTGCAGGATCTTCAGAAAATTTGCTGAACTTCACTATTAGCCCACTACTTGCTTCGCTGCACAATGAGGATAATGCTAGTTCCTAAGCACACATAGGTAAGGCACTTAGCACAAGCCAGGTACCTGGTAAGCACCCAATAAATGTAATGTTACTGTTATCAACCACCACTTAATTATACACAAGAGAAGTACAGCTACTCTATAGCCACAGAGGAGGTTGTTTCCAACTATATCTGGATGACAGAACTTTGTGATGGAAGTGGACATGGTAAGTAATCACAAAGATGTCTGCCCAAGAGACTACCACCCTTGGTATGTATTACGTCTGTTTAGCACAGTCATCTGTTATCTTTTTTCCTTCTTTCTGTCCTGCAAGGCTGCTGATAAATTCACCAGATTTGCTCAGGGATTGTCAGCTAGAGCTCACAAAACTACTAATCTATCAGCGCTCTGGTTGGATACTTCAAAATGGATGTGAGCACATGTATAAGGCAGAGCTACATTTATAAACAGGTCATCTTGTAAATGTTAACATTTGCAATTGAGGTTATAGTTCCCTTCACTTATCATTCATTATAAGAACAATTAAAATGTTTATTTCTCTCATCTACGGCTATTTCTTGAGGTGATTTATATCAAATAGTATAATCCCCAACCAGAAAGATGGGCCTGCACACACGTGGTTTTGGCTCTCACATTACAATTGATAACCTTCAAAATGTTTTGTGTAATAATTTCACAACAGCTCAACTGAGAAAAAATTTTCATTTGCATTGTTCATGAATAAATTATTTGCCAAATGTGGGAGTAAAAATGGATCCAAAACATTTTGAAAAACTAAACTATTTGTCAGTATTAGTTAAAGCAAAACATACACGTACCCTATATCTCAGCAGAACAAAATATGTATGTTCCAACAAAAAAAAAAAACATAAGAGGACTTATTTCAGGATTATTTGAAATGACTGCAAACTAGAAAATACCCAAAAGTTGATCAATAGTAAAATAAATAAAGATATTGTGCTATAGTAATAAAATTGAATACTATACGGCTATGAGCATGAATGAACTCCAACTACCTACAACAAAGTGGATGAAATTCACAACCTGTTGCGTAACAAGAGCCTTATACGAAGGATATATACTGTATAAATAGCAAAGCTAATCCACATATTAGAAGTCAAGATAGTGGTTACTATTTGGAGGGCTCTGTCTGGAAGACGGCAGAGGTGATGGTGCTTCTGGGGGCTGATGAGATTCTGTCTCTTAATTTAGGTGCGGGTTATGCAAGAGTATTCGACTATTCGACTTGTGAAAATGCATTGAGCTGTAAACTAGTGATTTGTGCACTTTTCCTTTAAAAATTCTATTTAAAAATTTCACTGATGGACCTCTGGTATCATGGCCCCAGGGTTAACCTGGTTTTCTCTGTTTGCTGCACTATTTGACTGACCCAGCCACAGAGCATTGCTCACCAGCCTTCATGAGTGTCAACACTGTGGTCTTGACCTTTGACTATCTTCCATCCCCACCTAATAAGCTACCAGAAGTGTCAAAGCAACAACCCAACAAAGAAATAAGCATGTAGTCTTTTTGGTATTAGAAAAATCTACAGGAGTAAAACTACTGCAAGCTTTAAAGATGATTTAATGGCTTTATAATAGTTTTTTGTTTTGTTTTTGTTTTTGTCTACTCTGCAGTTTTCACCACCATTTTTCTGTTGGTGTCGTGGAGACAGGATGAAATTTATGCAGCTATCAGTCAAACACTAGTCAGACAAAATTGATGGGGCATTGAAAGTGGTAAAATTCACATTCTTGGACAGCAGAGGAAAATATGGTGGATAGGAGGCAGGACTAAATTGCAGCTCCCTAAATTGCAGAGCAGAGTGTGGAGACTCACATCATGAAGTTTTGCTCCAAGAACTACTGCAGGAATATACCAGGAAAGCCAAGAAAATCCACAAACCCTTTGAAGAAAGCAGATTACTTCTGCAGGACCTGAGAGACAGCCCAAATACTGTGAGTTCCCAAACTGTGAAAGTGGGAAAGGGAGATTGTCCACCCCCAAACACACACCCTCACTGGGAAACCTGAAAGGCCAGATCACAGGCGAAGGATTTGACCTTACCTGGAGCTGAGACAATTTAGAGAGCTGAGCAAAATACAGGGTAGAGGAAGCAGCAGGAAAAGCCCCGTGGGATTTCTGGGTCCCCAGGGAAGCCATTTCTGACTTGTCTCATAGGCGTCCTTGGGGAGGGCTACCAGGGGAACTTGGAAAAGACCACAGGGAGAAGGAAACCTCTAGACAAACTTGGTAATAATTCCAACCAAACATGAAGCTTCCTGACCAGAACTCAGTGGATGGCGTGAATCTTGTGGGCAGACTCAACAGGCAGGGAAGCGCAAAAGCCTTGCCTGCTCTCTCAGCTGGGAGGCTGGTAGCCCGGGGCAAGTTCTCAGCACTGCTTACCCACTGCCTGGAAATAAACTTGGTGCTGTTGGCAGGCGCACAGTGGGAGTGAGACTGGCCTTTTTGGTTGCATGGGAGCTGGGTGAGGTCTGTAACTGCTAGCTTTCCCCCACTTCCCTGACAACCTGCATGACAGAGAAGAGGCAGCCATATCCTCCTGGTAACATAACTCCATTGACCTAGGAACCACAACTCCATTCCCCACAGCAGCCACAGCAAGCCCCACCCATGGAGAGTCTCAGCTCAGACTCACCTAACCCTACACCAACCTGATGGTCCTTTCCTACCCGCCTCTGGTAGCTGAAGACAAAGGTCATATTCTCTTGAGAATTCTAGGGCCCTGCCCACTGCCTGATCTTCCCTATACTGCCACAGCTGATGCTCTCTTGAAAGTGTCATCTCCTGGCAGGAGACCAACCAGCACAAAGCTAGTGCATTAAACAACTACAACTTAGGACCCTTACAGAGTCCATTTCACTCCCCTGCCTCCTCCACTGGAGCAGGTGCTGGAATTCATGGCTGAGACCTGAAGACGGTCCACATCACAGGACTCTGTGCAGACACCCCCAGTACCAGTCCAAAGCCTGGTAGCCATGTGGGGTGGCTAGATCCAGAAGAGAAAAAACAATCACTGTAGTCAGTTCTCAGGAAGCCACATCTCTAGTAAAAGGGGCTCGTGCTACATCAAGGCAGCATTCCGTGGAACAAAAGAATCTGAACAGCAGCCTTGAGCCCCAGATCTTCCCGCCCACATAGTCTACCCAAACAAGAAGGAACCAGGAAACAATTATGGTAATTTGACAAAACAAAGTTCTTTAACATCCCCAAAAAATCACACTATCTCACCAACAATGGATCCAAACCAAGAAGAAATTCCTGAATTGCCAGAAGAAGAATTCAAAAAATCAATTATTAAGCAAATCAGGCAGGCACCAGAGACAGGCGAAGTTCAACTTAAGAAATTTTTTTAAGATATGAGGGGAAAAATCTTCAGTGAAATAGATAGCATAAATAAAAAACAATCACAACTTAAGGAAATAAAGAACACATTTATAGAAATGTAAAATGTACTGGAAAGTCTCAACAATAGAAATGAACAAGCAGCAGAAAGAACTTCAGAGCTCAAAGACAAGGTTTTCAAAATAACCCAATCCAACAAAGACAAACAAAAAATAATTTTAAAAAAATGAACAAATGCTCCAAGAAGTTTGGGGTTATGTTAAATAACCAAACAATAATAATTGGCATTCCTGAGAAAGAAGAGAAATCCAAAAGTTTGGAAAACATATTTGGGGAAATAAGCAAGGAAATCTTCCCTGTTCTTGCTAGATGTCTAGACATCCAAATATAAGAAGCTCAATAAACAACTTGGAAATTCATCACAAAATAATCATTGCCTAGGCATATAGTCATCAAGTTATCTAAAGTCAAGGCAAAGAAAAGAATCTTTAGAGCTGTGAGACAAAAGCACCAGGTAACCTATAAAAGAAAATATATCAAGCTAATAGCAGATTTCTCAGCAGAAACCCTACAAGCTGAAAAGGATTGGGGCCCTATCTTCAGCCTCCTTAAACAAGACAATTATTAGCCAAGAATTTCATATCCAGCGAAACTAAGCTTTATAAATAAAGGAAAGACACAGTCTTTTTCAGACAAACAAATGCAGAGAGAATTCACCACTACCAAACCAGCACTACAAGAACTGCTAAAAGGAGCTCTAAATCTTGAAACAAATCCTGGAAACACATCAAAACAGAACCTCTTTAAAGCGTAAATCACACAAGACCTATAAAACAAAAATACAATAAATAAATAACCCAAGGTATTTGGGCAACAAATAGCTCAATGAATGGAATAGTACCTCACATCTCAATACTAACATTGAATGCAAATGGCCTAAATGCTTCACCTAAAAGATACAGAATGGCAGAATGAATAAGAATTTACCAACCAAGTATCTACTGCCTTCAAGAGACTCACCTAACACATAAGGACTCACATAAACTTAAGGTAAAGGGTTGAAAAAAGACATTCATGCAAATGGACACCAAAAGTAAGCAGGAGTACATCAGACAAAACAAACTTTAAAGCAACAGCAGTTAAAAAAGACAAAGAGGAACATTATATATTCATAAAAAGCCTTGTCCAACAGGAAAATATCACAATCCTAAACTTATATGCACCTAACACTGGAACTTGCAAATTTATAAAACAATTACTAATAGGCCTAAGAAATGAGATAGACAGAAATGCAACAACAGTGGGGGACTTCCATACTCCACTGACAGCACTAGACAGGTCATCAAGACAAAAAGTCAACCAAGAAACAATGGATTTAAACTATACCCTAGAGCAAATGGTCTTCACAGATATATACAGAACATCCTACCCAACAACTGTAGAATATACATTCTATTCATCAGTATATGGAACTTTCTCCAAGATAGACCATATGATAGGCCACAAAACAAGTCTCAATAAATTTAAGAATATTGAAATTATATCAAATACTCTCTCAGACCACAGTGGAATAAAATTGAAAATTAACTTCCAAAGGAACCCTCAAAACCATACAAATACATGGTAATTAAATAACCTGCTCCTGAGTGATCACTGGGTCAACAATGAAATCAGGATGGACATTTTAAAATTCTTTGAACTGAACAATAATAATGACACAACCTGTCAAAACCTCTGGGATACAGCAAAGGTGGTGCTAAAGGTATAGTTCATAGCCTTAAACACCTACATCAAAAAGTCTGAAAGAGCACAAATAGACAATCTAAGGTCACACCTCAAGGGACTAGAGAAACAAGGACAAATCAAACCCAGCAGAAGAAAATAAATAACCAGGATCAGATCAGAACTAAAATTGAAACAAAAAAATACAAAAGATAAATGAAACAAAAAGCTGGTTCTTTGAAAAGGTAAATAAAATTGATAGACCATTAGTGAGATTAACCAAGAAAAGAATAGAGAAGATCCAAATAAGGTCAAACAGAAATGAAATGGGAAATATTAAAACTGATACCATAGAAATATAAAAGATCATTCAAGATCGCTATGAACAACTTTACATGCATAAACTAGAAAACCTAGAAGAGATAGATAAATTCTTAAGAATACAGAACCCTCCTAGCTTAAATCAGAAAGAATTAGAAGCCCTGAACCCACAAATAACTAGCAGCGAGACTGAAATAGTAATAAAAAAATTACCAACAAAAATGTCCAGAACCAGACTGCTTCACAGCTGAATTCTATCAGGCATTCAAAGAAGAATTGGAACCAATCCTATTGACACTATTCCACAAGATAGAGAAAGAGGGAATCCTCCCTAAATCATTCTATGAAGTCAGTGTCACCCTAATACCAAAACCAGGAAAGGACATAACAAAAAAAGAAAACTTCAAACCAATATCCCTGATGAACATAGATGCAAATATCCTTCACAAAATACTAGCTAACAAAATCCAATAGCCTATCAAAAAGATAATCCACCATAATCAAGTGGGTTTCATACTAGGGATGCAGGGATGGTTTCATATAAGTGAAGTAACTCAGGAATGGAAAACCAAACATCATATGTTCTCACTCATAAGTGGGAGCTAAGCTATGAGGATGCAAAGGCATAAGAATTATACGATAGACTTTTGGGAAAGGGTAGGGGGTGCTGAGTGATAAAAGACTACAAATTGTGTTCAGTGTATACTTCTCGGGTGCTGGGTGCACCAAAATCTCACAAATCACTGCTAAAGAGCTTACTCATGTAACCAAACGCCACCTGTTCCCCAAAAATTGTGAAAATAAAAAATTTAAAAAAATTGACAGCAGACATAAAAAGAAAAAAGTCAACACCCTTGGCAAAGTTCTATCCAAGCTCTATTAATTTTTGTTGTTGCTGCTGTTTTTGCTATTGCTGCTGCTACTCAAGCACCTTTGAAACAGAAACACAAGTTTCTTTTAGCACATCCTTTTGGCAAGGTCTTAAGCAAGACTGTCTGATATACACAGCTTTCATGAGCAGTGACAAAGGTCACTCTCATCCAAATGCTTTTTTTCTTAACATTTTGTTTTCTAGGAGTTCTGTAGCATCCAACCCAGACACCATAGGACATCCTTATCTTAGCCAAGTCAACAGTCTTGCTCCAGCATCTATTATAGGATTCTGCTCATTCTCTTTTCCCCCCTCCTAGTCATTGTGTTTCATTTCTCTCGGGCTTATAACAGTCTCTCACTGCCCTTCATCATTACATCCATGAATGGCAGCTAAAATTCATGGACATAGTCTAATGTTGCAGTATGAAAGAGGAAAGTTGAGAGAACTTAAATATGAATCCATGGCTGTGCACATCATAATCAACAGTAATTACAGTGGCAGGCATTTTCACCTATGCTATTTGCAATCAAATAGAAGACACTGCTTAGGGGATACAGGTCTATAATTTACCATTAAATCATCATTCTATAAATAAAATATATTTATCTTCCATTATCACTTGTTTTATCAAAACATTTTTTCTATGCCGTTCAGCCAATACATTCTGATGTCGGCTGCCAAACACTCCTACAAAAAAATATCTGGAAGTAGACATTCTTACTAAAATTATTATTATCCATTCAACAAGTATTTATGAAGTACCTAGTATGTATCAAGCACAATTCCCTGTAAATACAACAAGGAAAAGTAAACATACACACACACATTATCACAAGATTTCAACACATGGTCTATAGGAATAAACTGAGGACCTCTTTCTGAGAAAGTTACATTTTGGACTAAATTTGTAAATCAGCAGGGAAACTCATGGGCCATCAGTCTAGCCAGCTGACCCAGGCAGAACAATTCTGGCAATCAGATTGGACCCAGATAGTACAATCAGAGATCTAGCGTCTCTTGCCCTAAGTACTTGAAACAAAAGGAGGCTGACCCAAAATGCCATGAAGTCTTTTGGATCTTATGACTGCCAAAGTCAGAAACATACACTGCTCAGAAGTGAAGAGAATTAGAGTAGCAGAAGCACTTGACTAGAGAAAAAACATCAATCAATTAATCTGTGGAACCCTTCCTCGGATAGAATGAGACAGTGTGAGTGTCCATTTCCTTGCTTTCTTTGTGGTCCAAGCACTGCTTGCAGAGATGTGCATGAATTAACTCTTCACAACAGTTAAGTCTTCACAACAGTTGTGTGGCAGCTGAGGAACATTTTGTAAGCATTAAAAAAAAATCACATGACCCTACTCATCTGACAAAGGGCTAATATCAAGAATCTACAACGAACTCAAACAAATTTACAAGAAAAGGACAAACAACCCTACCAAAAAGTGGGCAAAGGACGTGAACAGACACTTCTCAAAAGAAGACATTTATGCAGCCAAAAAACACATGAAAAAATGCTCATCATCACTGGCCATCAGAGAAATGCAAATCAAAAGCACAATGAGATACCATCTCACACCAGTTAGAATGGCAATCATTCAAAAGTCAGGAAACAACAGGTGCTGGAGAGGATGTGGAGAAATAGGAACACTTTTACACTGTTGGTGGGACTGTAAACTAGTTCAACCATTGTGCAAGTGAGTGTGGCAAATCCTCAGGGATCTAGAACTAGAAATACCATTTGACCCAGCCATCCCATTACTGGGTATATACCCAAAGGACGATAAATCATGCTGCTATAAAGACACATGCACACGTATGTTTATTGCGGCACTATTCCCAATAGCAAAGACTTGGAACCAACCCAAATGTCCAACAATGATAGACTGGATTAAGAAAATGTGGCACATATACACCATGGAATACTATGCAGACATAAAAAATGATGAGTTCATGTCCTTTGTAGGGACATGGATGAAACTGGAAACCATCATTCTCAGCAAACTATCGCAAGGACAAAAAACCAAACACCGCATGTTCTCACTCATAGGTGGGAATTGAACAATGAGAATACATGGACACAGGAAGGGGAACATCACACACTGGGGACTGTTGTGGGGTGTGGGGAGAGGGGAGGGATATCATTAGGAGATATACCTAATGCTAAATGACGAATTAATGGGTGCAGCACACCAACATGGCACATGTATACATATGTAACAAACCTGCACATTGTACAAATGTACCCTAAAACTTAAAGTACAATAATAACAATTTTTTTTAAAAATCACATGACCCTTAAAGTTGTACATCCAAAAGAATGCTATTAGATGGGCCTTGTATTACATGCTAGAATTGTGACTACTTACTGTTTATAAAAATATCTTCAAAGGAACTGACTACATTTTTATAAAATTAAATTTTAAATGTCAGCTTTATTTAAAGAGTTTACAAGATCGTACAGGGCAAATCTATGCTAATGCTGTTGACATGGTTGGTAAAGAAAAAGATGTGAGGCCATAAATTTGGCTGAAAACCAGAAGCATTCCTTGAGCCCCGCATGGCACATGTTTTGAATTTGTTACTATGAGACATGGCCTCAGCTGGGCCAATAGCAATGACAGTCTTCGGAATGATTCAAAATTGTATATGACATTTTCTGGGCTTGCCCCAAAATGGAACATCTTGATGAAACACTATCAATTTTGACTTTACGACTTCTCTAGGTCACACAGGGAATGCTGGCTGAATGCTGATAAAGAAACCAGATTTAATTTAGACAAGATACAAAATGTATCAGAAAAGTTAAGTGAAATGTAAGATGCTCAAATAAATAGTGAATCATACTCTTTGGAAGAAAATCAAATTAATTTTGAATTTGCACTATTTACATTATTTTGTAGGAATCACGGTTGCTATTAATGTTAACAATAGCTTTCAGAAACAGATCCGAGTTTGGCCATTTTACTCTATAAAGGATTAATTTTTTAACTTTAGATAAAATGTGGGGGTTTTTTAAAATCAAAAGTGCATGTGAACTATGTAACAAAGAAATCTTCCAGGAAAAAAAAAGAAATTAGAACAACACAAATCATTTCTATTACAAAGGGGAAAATTCAAATACAAATAATTCCAAAATAAATGCAGAGAGTATTTTATGGATACTATAGTGCTGTGTGAAGAGAGATTTAAATAAATTAAACAAGACATGATATTTTGTGTTTTCTTGATAATATCCTAGCACAGAAAAATTTGAAAGAAGAATCCAGGAACTATATATCTTCCCTGCATGGATCCTGATATTATTGTAAAAGAAGTGATAATTTGTATGCGTCATAACAATCTATATAATACAGTTAAAATATTTTTATAATTTCTATGATAATAGCATATCAGGTGTGACAGAATTACAACATTTGAACATGACATGCAAATTTCACCCTTCATTTCTCTTCTAAATTTCACTTAAAGAATTGTGTTGAAAATTCATTCGCTTGGCCTTAGCAGAGGAAAATCTCTCAAAATCGAAATTAATTTTAGGATCCTGTTGAAGAACAGTGACTGGAGCAAGTTTACCAAGTTAGCATCATTTTCTATAAAAAACAAATGATATAAAAATCTGGACTCTTAAAAAATAGAATTTGTGATATTGCTGAAATGAAGGCAAGAAAATTTTAGGAAAAATAATTTATGAATTGTGCAGGTGTTATTATTCATATGTTTTGATATTCTAAAGATCAAATATCAAAACATATGATATCAGGCCGAGTACAGTGGCTCATGCCTGTAATCCCAGCACTTTGGGAGGCCAAAGTGGGTGGATCACTTGAGGTCAGGAGTTCGAGACCAGCCTGGCTAACATGGTGAAACCATGTCTCTACTAAAAATACAAAAATTAGCCCGGTGTGGTGGCAGGCACCTGAAATCCCAGCTACTCAGGAGGCTGAGGCAGGAGAATTGCTTGAACCAGGGAGGTGGAGGTTGCAGTGAGCCAAGATCATACCACTGCACTCCAGCCCAGGCAACAGAGCGAGACTCTGTCACAAAAAAAAAAAAAAAAAAAAAAAAAAAAATTCAAAGAAGCATATGATATCAAATATCAAAACATATCAATAAATGCATTTTGATATTCTAAACATCACTGGTATGTGCACAATAATAATTAAATTCAGTCATATTTGATATTTTGCTGATTTTCCGTCACACAAAAACCTGTTTGCACATATTTTTCTATTTTATCATGATGAAGGTGGAATATCTGACAATGTAGAAGAATAGAATCTGTTTTATTTAACAACTTTCCCACTTGATTTACAACTTTTAAATATTGTGCCCATGGGATGTGGGCCTCTTCCCAGGCCTCACACATGTCAGGGGTGTGACTAGAGAACATCTACGTACAGGACATAAAGTTCTTATAACTGGGACATTAATTCTTCACATTAGAGATGTAAGAAATAGCAAAGCAAGTATCTAGAGGGATCCACAAACACATGGGCACTGAGGTGAAAGACAAAGTAATAATCCTGTTTGAAAATTGTGGAGAGTAGAGATGGTCTGGGAAAATTCCTTGTTAAGCCACATCAGTCTTAGAAACAGCCCACCTGCGGATCACAAGGTTAGGAGATCGAGACCATCCTGCCTAACACGGTGAAACCCTATCTCTACTAAAAATACAAAAAATTAGCTGGGCATGGTGGCAGTCGCCTGTAGTCCCAGCTACTCGGGAGGCTGAGGCACAAGAATGGCGTGAACCCGGGAGTCGGAGCTTGCAGTGAGCCAAGATCGTGCCACTGCACTCCAGCCTGGGCGACACAGCGAGACTCTGTCTGAAAAAAAAAAAGAAAAGAAACAGCCCACCTGTCCAGCCCCTGATTAATTTCCGAATTCCAAGTTTTTGATGTCCTTGTGCTGTCCCCACCTGCCCAGGTTCCCACTGGTGACATCCTCATGCCACAGCCTTCCCGGGCTCTTCCATGTTCCATATCCCCTCTCCTCCCTCTGCTGCCACAATGTGCTTATCTTTGTCCAATTCCCTCAGACCCTCAGAGCTTCTGGATGTGGAGTTTACACCTTAATGGGTAGGAAAGGTCTCCTCTCTGCATTTACCAACCCAGATAACCCTCCTTTACCATGTTCAGTTGGGATATTATTCATTTTACAGAGTCCTTAACACAAAGGAGTGATTAGTGCAGGGCATTTCAGGTGCTCCAAGGCATGGCTTTTCAGAGCTCCTGAGTGTCCCTTGAGTAGCACGTTAAGATGGGGCAGTTAACCTGATTCCTATTACTTTAGGTGCCTTTTGATTAGAAAGTAGAGATAAGATGGGCAAAAACCCCAAATCAGAACAAATCTTGCACACTGGAATTATACATCTGGTGCACATTTGGGGAGCGTGGAGAGAAAGCAGAGAAGGAAAAATGAGAGAAAAACAGGCCCTCCAGAAGCCCAGTGTCCCGGTGGCCCAGTCTTGCTTATCTGATCTTCTGCTGTTTCTTTTCCCAGAAACCAACTGTCCTTTCGTCAAGAATTTTTGAAACACATAGATTCAAAACTGGCACCGTGCACAGTTTAAGATTGGTTAAAAAACTTCAAAACCCATGAAATTGGACTGAGTTCTGAACTTTACAAAACACACATTCCTCCAGAAAGGTCCTTTGACTTAATTGCCAAATATGCTGAGCTGTACGAGAGTTTCTGGTCATTCTTTTACATCAAAGATCATGTAACTTTTGTTGTTTGGAATAACGAAGTCCCAATGCATTTCACGCATTTATGTTTCACCCCATTCTATAGATGAGAAGATTTCTTTTTTCTTAGTTATTCCATCCTGGTTTTCAGGACACTTGTATTCTCACAGCTCATTTCAAACGTGAAGGGATGCAGTTATGAAATCTATACTGATCCTGGCGGTGTACTTCCAACCCACGAACATGGTTCTTATTATCAATCTAAAATCACTGGCGAGCATCAGTGTCACTGGAATAAAAAATAACTTGGACTAAAGATGATTATTAAGAAAAGCAAAACTCTTTGTTGGTAAGGCTGTAGCCAGAAAGATCATGATTTCCCTTTGTTTCTGGATCAAACAGCCCAGATATCAGTATGTGAACATGTTTTGAAATGCTTTGCAAGTTGTATAATTTCCTGCAGCTGCCTTGCATGTTAATGATAATGAATTTAAAACAAATTTCTCAAGTACAACCTCTGTATAGTATTGACTTGAGGTGATAAGTTATCTTAGTCTGAAAACACTCCCATCCAAAGAAACACCATACTGTGAGCATTTATACAAACTGATAAGTGTCCCATGAGTTATGCATTGGTGAAGTTCAAAGGCTTTGGAGCAGGATATTTAGATGCATTTCTCTTTGTTCAGGTTGCAACTGGAAGTAATCTTAGGGAATACTCACTATTTTGTCCAACAAAAAGGAAATGCATCAAAATCCTGCAAGCTCAAGGTGGGATGTGAACATTTGCATTCCAATGTCCAATAGCATTGCCAAGCACACTAATTGTGAGACTGAGGGTAGCTTTGAAATGGTCACCAGCCAACATAGAACTTCCTTTCTCACACAAAAGCTGAGATGAACTTATTTTCAGGAAATTTTAAATCAACTCTTTTAAGTATTGTACATCCAGGACAAACATTTTGCCTGAGATCAGTTAAAGAGAAAGGCATGGAAAGGATTCCCCCAAGTCTACTTCTCAGAATGTCACTCAGAAATGAAGCTGGAGACTGAAGAAGAGAGGCCAGTGGTGGAAATGAAAAAAAAAAAAAAAGCAAACAAACAGGATTGGCAATGACAGTGCTTAGGAGTCTAGGAGGGAGGTTTGGGAAGGGCATACTTCAAGGGTTAGAGGGTAAACCTGACTATGGTAGAAAATTTCTGCCTAGAAAAGAAAGCTCTCACCTGCAATGTGAACCTTTGAGCATAATGACCCCATGTCCATCATATGTCCTTTTCTTTTTTTTTTTAATTTTATTGTATTATACTTTAAGTTTTACGGTACATGTGCACAATGTGCAGGTTAGTTACATATGTATACATGTTCCATGCTGGTGTGCTGCACCCATTAACTCGTCATTTAGCATTAGGTATACCTCGTAATGCTAACCCTCTCTCCTCCCCCCACCCCACAACAGTCCCCAGAGTGTGATGTTCCCCTTCCTGTGTCCATGTGTTCTCATTGTTCAATTCCCACCTATGAGTGAGACTATGCGGTGTTTGGCTTTTTGTCCTTGCCATAGTTTACTGAGAATGATGATTTCCAATTTCATCCATGTCCCTACAAAGGACATGAACCCATCATTTTTTATGGCTGCATAGTATTCCATGGTGTATATGTGCCACATTTTCTTTCTTTTCTTTTTTTTATTTTATTATTATTATTATACTTTAAGTTTTAGGGTACATGTGCACAATGTGCAGGTTAGTTACATATATATACATCTGCCATGCTGGTGTGCTGCACCCATTAACTCCTCATTTAGCATTAGTTATATCTCCTAATGCTATCCCTCCCCCCTCCCTCCACCCCACAACAGACCCCAGAGTGTGATGTTCCCCTTCCTGTGTCCATGTATTCTCATTGTGCAATTCCCACCTATGAGTGAGACTATGCAGTGTTTGGTTTTTTGTTCTTGCGATAGTTTACTGAGAATGATGATTTCCAATTTCATCCATGTCCCCACAAAGGACATGAACTCATCATTTTTTATGGCTGCATAGTATTCCATGGTGTATATGTGCCACATTTTCTTAATCCAGTCTATAATTGTTGGACATTTGGATTGGTTCCAAGTCTTTGCTATTGTGAATAGAGCCACAATAAACATACATGTGCATGTGTCGTTACAGCAGCATGATTTATAGTCCTTTGGGTATATACCCGTTAATGGGATGGCTGGGTCAAATGGTATTTCTAGTTCTAGATCCCTGAGAAATCACCACACTCACTTCCACAAGGGTTGAACTAGTTTACAGTCCCACCAACAGTGTAAAAGTGTTCCTATTTCTCAACATCCTCTCCAGCATCTGTTGTTTCCCGACTTTTTAATGATCACCATTCTAACTGGTGTGAGATGGTATCTCATTGTGGTTTTGATTTGCATTTCTCTGATGGCCAGTGATGGTGAGCATTTTTTCATGTGTTTTTTGGCTGCATAAATGTCTTCTTTTGAGAAGTGTCTGATCATGTCCTTCGCCCACTTTTTAGTAGGGTTGTTTGTTTTTTTCTTGTAAATTTGTTTGAGTTCATTGTAGATTCTGGATATTAGCCATGGTCAGATGAGTGGGTTGCGAAAATTTTCTCCCATTTTGTAGGTTGCCTGTTCACTCTGATGGTAGTTTCTTTTGCTTTGCAGAAGCTCTTAAGTTTAATTAGATCCCATTTGTCAATTTTGGCTTTTGTTGCCACTGCTTTTGGTGTTTTAGACATGAAGTCCTTGCCCATGCCTATGTCCTGAATGGTAATGCCTAGGTTTTCTTCTAGGGTTTTTATGGTTTTAGGTCTAACGTTTAAGTCTTTAATCCATCTTGAATTAATTTTTGTATAAGGTGTAAGGAACGGATCCAGTTTCAGCTTTCTACATATGGCTAGCCAGTTTTCCCAGCACCATTTATTAAATAGGGAATCCTTTCCCCATTGCTTGCTTTTCTCAGGTTTGTCAAAGATCAGATAGTTGTAGATATGCAGAGTTATTTCTGAGGGCTCAGTTCTGTTCCATTGATCTATATCTCTGTTTTGGTACCAGCACCATGCTGTTTTGGTTACTGTAGGCTTGTAGTATAGTTTGAAGTCAGGTAGCATGATGCCTCCAGCTTTGTTCTTTTGGCTTAGGGTTGACTTGAGGATGTAGGCTCATCTTTGGTTCCATATGAACTTTAAAGTAGTTTTTTCCAATTCTGTGAAGAAAGGCATTGGTAGCTTGATGGGGATGGCATTGAATCTATAAATTATCTTGGGCAGTATGGCCATTTTCATGATACTGATTCTTCCTACCCATGAGCATGGAATGTTCTTCCATTTCTTTGTATCCTCTTTTATTTTATTGAGCAGTGGTTTGTAGTTCTCCTTGAAGAGGTCCTTTGCATCCCTTGTAAGTTGGATTCCTAGGTATTTTATTCTCTTTGAAGCAATTGTGAATGGGAGTTCACTCATGATTTGGCTCTCTGTTTGTCTATTATTGCTGTAGAAGAATGCTTGTGATTTTTGTACGTTGATTTTGTATCCTGAGACTTTGCTGAAGTTGCTTATCAGCTTAAGGAGATTTTGGGCTGAGACAATGGGGTTTTCTAGATACACAATCATGTCATCTGCAAACAGGAACAATTTGACTTCCTCTTTTCCTAATTGAATATCCTTTATTTCCTTCTCCTGCCTAATTGCCCTGGCCAGAACTTCCAACACTATGTCGAATAGGAGTGGTGAGAGAGGGCATCCCTGTCTTGTGCCAGTTTTCAAAGGGAATGCTTCCAGTTTTTGCCCATTCAGTATGATATTGGCTGTGGGTTTTTCATAGATAGCTCTTATTATTTTGAGATAAGTCCCATCAATACCTAATTTATTGAGAGTTTTTAGCATGAAGCGTTGTTGAATTTTGTCAAAGGCCTTTTCTGCATCTATTGAGATAATCATGTGGTTTTTGTCTTTGGTTCTGTTTATATGCTGGATTACATTTATTGATTTGCATATATTGAACCAGACTTGCATCCCGGGGGTGAAGCCCACTTGATCATGGTGGATAAGGTTTTTGATGTGCTGCTGGATTCGGTTTGCCAGTATTTTATTGAGGATTTTTGTATCAATGTTCATCAAGGATATTGGTCTAAAATTCTCTTTTTTTGTTGTGTCTCTGCCAGGCTTTGGTGTCAGGATGATGCTGGCCTCATAAAATGAGTTAGGGAGGATTCCCTCTTTTTCTGTTGATTGGAATAGTTTCAGAAGGAATAGTACCAGTTCCTCCTTGTACATCTGGTAGAATTCGGCTGTGAATCCATCTAGTCCTGGACTCTTTTTGGTTGGTAAGCTATTGATTATTGCCACAATTTCAGAGCCTGTTTTTGGTCTATTCAGAGATTCAACTTCTTCCTGGTTTAGTCTTGGAAGAGTGTATGTGTCGAGGAATTTATCCATTTCTTGTAGATTTTCTAGTTTATTTGCATAGAGGTGTTTGTAGTATTCTCTGATGGTAGTTTGTATTTCTGTGGGATCGGTGGTGATATCCCCTTTATCATTTTTTATTGCATCTATTTGATTCTTCTCTCTTTTCTTCTTTATTAGTCTTGCTAGCGGTCTATCAATTTTGTTGATCGTTTCAAAAAACCAGCTCCTGGATTCATTAATTTTTTGAAGGGTTTTCTGTGTCTCCATTTTCTTCAGTTGTGCTCTGATCTTAGTTATTTCTTGCCTTCTGCTAGCTTTTGAATGTGTTTGCTCTTGCTTTTCTAGTTCTTTTAATTGTGATGTTAGGGTATCAATTTTGGATCTTTCCTGCTTTCTCTTGTGGGCATTTAGTGCTATAAATTTCCCTCTACACACTGCTTTGAATGTGTCCCAGAGATTCTGGTATGTTGTGTCTTTGTTCTCGTTGGTTTCAAAGAACATCTTTATTTCTGCCTTCATTTCGTTATGTACCCAGTAGTCATTCAGGAGCAGGTTGTTCAGTTTCCATGTAGTTGAGCGGTTTTGAGTGAGTTTCTTAATCCTGAGGTCTAGTTTGATTGCACTGTGGTCTGAGAGACAGTTTGTTATAATTTCTGTTCTTTTACATTTGCTGAGGAGAGCTTTACTTCCCAGTATGTGGTCAATTTTGGAATAGGTGTGGTGTGGTGCTGAAAAAAATGTATATTCTGTTGATTTGGGGTGGAGAGTTCTGTAGATGTCTGTTAGGTCCGCTTGGTGCAGTGCTGAGTTTTATTCCTGGGTATCCTTGTTAACTTTCTGTCTTGTTGTTCTTGTTTATCTGTCTAATGTTGACAGTGGGATGTTAAAGTCTCCCATTATTATTGTGTGGGAGTCTAAGTCTCTTTGTAGGTCTCTCAGGACTTGCTCTATGAATCTGGGTGCTCCTGTATTGGGTGCACATATATTTAGGATAGTTAGCTCTTCTTGTTGAATTGATCCCTTTACCATTATGTAATGGCCTTCTTTGTCTCTTTTGATCTTTGTTGGTTTAAAGTCTGTTTTATCAGAGACTAGGATTGCAACCCCTGCCTTTTTTTGTTTTCCATTTGCTTGGTAGATCTTCCTCCATCCTTTTAGTTTGAGCCTATGTGTGTCTCTGCACGTGAGATGGGTTTCCTGAATACAGCACACTGATGGGTCTTGACTCTTTATCCAATTTGCCAGTCTGTGTCTTTTAATTGGAGCATTTAGTCCATTTACATTTAAAGTTAATATTGTTGTGTGTGAAATTGATCCTGTCATTATGATGTTAGCTGGTTATTTTGCTCGTTAGTTGATGCAGTTTCTTCCTACCCTCGATGGTCTTTACAATTTGGCATAATTTTGCAGTGGCTTTTACCAGTTGTTCCTTTCCATGTTTAGTGCTTCCTTCAGGGGCTCTTTTAGGGCAGGCCTGGTGGTGATAAAATCTCTCAGCATTTGCTTATCTGTAAAGTATTTGATTTGTCCTTCACTTATGAAGCTTAGTTTGGCTGGATATGAAATTCTGGGTTGAAAATTCTTTTCTTTAAGAATGTTGAATATTCGCCCCCACTCTCTTCTGGCTTGTAGAGTTTCTGCCGAGGGATCCGCTGTTAGTCTGATGGGCTTCCCTTTGTGGGTAATCTGACCTTTCTCTCTGGCTGCCCTTAACATGTTTTCCTTCATTTCAACTTTGGTGAATCTGACAATTATGTGTCTTGGAGTTGCTCTTCTCGAGGAGTATCTTTGTGGCATTCTGTGTATTTCTGGAATCTGAATGTTGGCCTGCCTTGCTAGATTGGGGAAGCTCTCCTGGAAAATATCCTGCAGAGTGTTTTCCAACTTGGTTCCATTCTCCCTGTCACTTTCAGGTACACCAATCAGACGTAGATTTGGTCTTTTCACATAGTCCCATATTTCTTGGAGGCTTTGTTCGTTTCCTTTTATTCTTTTTTCTCTAAACTTCCCTTCTTGTTTCATTTCATTCATTTCATCTTCCATCACTGATACCCTTTCTTCCAGTTGATCGCATTGGCTCCTGAGGCTTCTGCATTCTTCATGTAGTTCTCAAGCCTTGGCTTTCAGCTCCATCAGCTTCTTTAAGCCCTTCTCTGCATTGGTTATTCTAGTTATGCATTCACCTAAATTTTTTTCAAAGTTTTTAACTTCTTTGCCTTTGGTTTGAATTTCCTCCTGTAGCTCAGAGTAGTTTGATCGTCTGAAGCCTTCTTCTCTCAACTCATCAAAGTCATTCTCCATCCAGCTTTGTTCTTTTGCTGGTGAGAAACTACGTTCCTTTGGAGGAGGAGAGGCACTCTGCTTTTTAGAGTTTACAGTTTTTCTGCTCTGTTTTTTCCCCATCTTTGTGGTTTTATCTACTTTAGGTCTTTGATGATGGTGATGTATAGATGGGTTTTTGGTGTGGATGTCCTTTCTGTTCGTTAGTTTGCCTTCTAACAGATAGGACCCTCAGCTGCAGGTCTGTTGGAGTTTGCTAGAGGTCCACTCCAGACCCTGTTTGCCTGGGTACCAGCAGCAGTGGCTGCAGACCAGCGCATTTTTGTGATCCGCGAATGCTGCTGTCTGATCATTCCTCTGGAATTTTTGTCTCAGAGGAGTAACCGGCCATGTGAGGTGTCAGTCCGCCCCTACTGGGGGGTGCCTCCCAGTTAGGCTGCTTGGGGGTCAGGGGTCAGGGACCCACTTGAGGAGGCAGTCTGCCCCTTCTCAGATCTCCAGCTGCGTGCTGGGAGAACCACTGCTCTCTTCAAAGCTGTCAGACAGGGACATTTAAGTCTGCAGAGGTTACTGCTGTCTTTTTGTTTGTCTGTGCCCTGCCCCCAGAGGTGGAGCCTACAGAGGCAGGCAGGCCTCCTTGAGCTCTGGTGGGCTCCACCCAGTTCAAGCTTCCTGGCTGCTTTGTTTACCTAAGCAAGCCTGGGCGATGGCGGGCGCCCCTTCCCCAGCCTTGCTGCCTCCTTGCAGTTTGATCTCAGACTGCTGTGCTAGCAATCAGCGAAACTCCATGGGCGAAGGACCCTCCGAGCCAGGTGCGGGATATAATCTCATGGTGTGCCGTTTTTTAAGCCCATCAGTAAAGCTCAGTATTGGGGTAGGAGTGACCCGATTTTCCAGGTGCCGTCTGTCACCCCTTTCTTTGACTAGGAAAGGGAACTCCCTGACCCCTTGCACTTCCTGAGTGACACAATGCCTCACCCTGCTTTGGCTCACGCACAGTGCACTGCACCCACTGTCCTGTGCCCGCTGTCTTGCACTCCCTAGTGAGATGAACCCGGTACCTCAGATGGAAATGCAGAAATCACCCGTCTTCTGCATCGCTCATGCTGGGAGCTGTAGACTGGACCTGTTCCTATTCGGCCATCTTGGCTCCATATGTCCTTTTTTTAAAACCAGTCTTTAGGCCAGGTGCCATGGTTCACCCCTGTACTCCTACAACTTTGGGAGGCCAATTCAGAAGAATGACTTTAGGCCAGGAGTTCAAGACCAGCCTGGGCAACATAGAAAGACTCTGTCTCTATAACAAAAATTAAAAATTAGCCAGGCATAGGGGTGCATGCCTGTAGTCCCAGTTACTCCAGAGGCTGAGGGGAGAGGCCCGCTTGAAGCCAGGAGTTTGAGGCTGCAAGTGAGCTGTGATAACACCACTGCACTCTAGCCTGATCACACCACTGTACTCAGTCTCTAGAATTTGATGGCAAAAATGTGCAGATGTCTTCACTGTGCAGGAGAGACTTGAAGGAGACCAGTTCATAGACAGGCCCAGGATCCCTTCCCATCAGGGCTCCTACAACCCTCTCACTTAAATGCTGCCCAAGTTCCTCTAAACTCTGCGGCATCCAGACTTCCTATTTCTGAGCAACTCTTTGTGTGAAATAAAAAAATAAATAAATAATGATCAAGGCCCTCACCTGCCCTTCTTGGCCTTCCATCCTTAGACACTAGTTCAAGGAAATTTCCGAGTGTTGGAAGGTGCTCTGCCTCTCACTGCTCTGGGTCTGCTCCCTAAGACTCTCACCTTCCACAGCAGAGTGATTCTTTCCCATTCCTTCCCCTAGATCCAGAAATCTGCTCCCTATTTTCTGGGCAAATTGCCTGCTGAGGATATGTCTGCAAAATGATGTTCTCTCTGTTATTAAATGGGGAGATTGCGGTGACATAAATGAGTTCCTGTTGCCAGGAGACCTTTGTGCCTCATAGCCAACAAAATCATATTTGCAATTTCTCTCCTCATCATCTAGTGATTCAGCTGAATCGTGAATTGCTTGCAGTATAATGGTGCAGTGCTGAGGTCAGGATGGAATGGGGGGTCATCTCTAAAGACAGAAGACATGAGTTCAAATCTAGACTCCAACATGTGTTAGCTTTGTGTAACATGAGTAAGCACCTTCCCTCTAAGCCCAGGCTTCCTTTTCTGAAAAATAAAGATCATAATAGGTACTTCCTCAGAAGGTCACTGTAGGGAATAAAATGAGTTAAAACACACAAAAGGCTTAGAGCAGTGCCTGGCATTGGTGTGCTCTCAGTAAATATTAACCATTATTGTTATCATCTGTCTTTGCTACAGTCTAGTGTGATCAAGGGAGGTGGGGTGTGGCTCCCCAAAAGCAAGATTGGGAAATTAATGAGGGTAGTTAATTTGGGAGCCTGGCATAGAACATGCCTTCACTCAGTGGTGACTCTGGTTGTGATTAGCAAATCCCTCCCCTCATCATGTTACATTGTGTTAGAGCCTAACTGGGGAAATGACTGACTTTGAATCTCCAATTGAGACCTGCAGTGTCATCTTTATGCCTACTTCCACTTTACTTTTCAAACAGTGATCACCTAACTATACAAGAGGCAGGCTAAGAATGTACCTAGGGCACCCAAAAATAAGAGGCACCAAATTTTTTTTAAATGGAGGGGGAGGTGGAAGAAAGTTTAATTTCAATTAGCATATCCAAAAGTTGGCAACTAAAAAATACAGAGAGAAGATACTTCAGTTCCCAAAAGTGCACACACTGACCATTGTTTCTTAGATTTGCATATGCCTTAGGGGCACTGATAGCTTTAGGAAGGTCATGTGACTGATGCCATTGGTGGCTACACTTGTTCCCTTGCCCTTCCTTCCAAGGTTCCTAGCCTGACTTCCAGCCTCTGCCAGGACCTGCATTCATTCCTTGCCTGAATGAAGGAAGGCTTTGCAGGCATCAATTGAGAAAACCCCACAGAAGGGTTAACCCTGAGGCCCACGGAGCTCCCCAGTTGGGTTGATCTCCAGCTGCTCACTGTTGTAAGCAGCTTCCCTAGGCACCTCCGATGGACTCTCTTTTCTTCCTGGCTCACTTCCCGACCCCCCTGATGGAACTTTCTTCACAACCCAAATAAACTATTTGCACTCAAATTCTTGTCACAGGGTTTGCTTCTGGGGGATTCCAAACTAAGACAAATTATGAGCCCACCCTGATCTTTGTGGACATCCTTTGCTCCATCTGCAGCCTTTTGGGTTAACGCTGGTGTAGGCCTTCTCTGGCTGAAGAAGCCAAACTCCACCACATTCTTTTACTCCTGGCTGACGTTATCCACCAGCTGCCTACCAGGGGTGGTCACCACTCAGGGACACTTAGTTCACATTCCCCGGATGGCTCTTGGCCCCTCCAATATTTACTTTCATTTCTATTTCAGACGCAACAAAGTCTTTGTACTGAGCTCAGGGGGCCAGGACGGACTGGTGGCATGCCCACAAGTGGTGCATTAGGAAGGATATGCAGCATGTGTATTTACAGGATCCACAGCCGTTTAGTCCAGTGCTTGTCTGTCACAGCTTTGTCATCTTTAAATTAGCTGACTGGCAGTCACAGAGGCATGGGTGATGCCTGCCTTTAATTAAGTTCAAGAGAGAAATGTAAGCACATCTGGGCTAAGAGTTCATGTACCAATTTGTGGTGGAATTAAGTTCCCTTGGTAAGCCAGGTACCATTGTCTCTCAGAACAATGTAACAAATGTGAATATATATGCCTAACTATTTTATATCTGAAATAACTGAAGTGATTCAACAACTATTTATTTCCCCTGGGGATTCTTTGAAATTATGTACTCTCACTTTAGTTCTAACATGAAATATCTTAAATAATCCACCTATTTAAGGCCATTTAGGTGTTTTTAACTTAAAAAAACTGCATTTCACTGGATGGGCTTGGCACTTTGGAGATATTTTCATAAAAACTAACATAGTGCTTCACAGAATGTTCCTCTAAGAAACCCCTGAGAGGAAAGGAGAATAATTTTCCAAGATTTTTGGTGCCCAGACTGAAGCTGCCTACTCAGCTAAAACATTGACATTGATTTGAATCTAATGGCTCTTAAGAATACCTGCAAATTTCACTATTTACTTCATTATGCATTTCCCTATTCATGTTAATATAAAATTATGTTTTGCATTACCTTTAAAGAAGTTGACATTCCAACATTCCATGAAACTTGCTAGAATCTGTTTCATCTCTAGAAACCTCAAGAGAGTTTTCAGGGATTACACACAAGTGGCCTAATCATGTTCTCTTTGTTTCTCTGTCTTTGGGGCTGGCACAGAATTTTTAAATGATTTAAATTAAATGATAACAATTGAGCAATTCAGAGCTTTTGTATAAAAAGCTAGAATTTCTGTTTGGTTTTGTTTGTTTGTCTTATTTTATTTTGTTTGTTTTTTGGAAAATCAGAAGGCTTACCTGGAATAGAATAAGTGTTATCTCCTTTTAATGGGCATTTGTTCTCTAATTCACCACAGTCTCCACCATACCCTATTGCCACATAACTGTCTGTGATTCCTTAGAAACCACTGGGTTTATAAGCCCTAATTTACATCAGTCTTGGCATTCATTCAGCTGGCTAATTACAAAACACCCTGAAAACACAGTGCACAGAAGAACCCCTGTTCACCGCTCCCCTTTTGATTTAGTATTTGATCAGTCTTAACTGATTGTTCAGAATCTACTAATTCAGTGCTTTTATCTGAAATAACTGAATTGATAAATATCATAAAATATTTTATGATATTTACAAAATTATTTAAATATTCATAAAATTCATGTTTAAATAATCATAAAATATTTAAGATTAATTAAGGATCACTAATAATTAATTATAATAACGAATGACAAGTGTAATAAATAAGGATAAGGGATAATTAACAATATCCCCATTTTTTCTGCATGTCCCTAAAACTCTCAGTCCCACTTTTATGAAAACCTGTTCTGTTAGCTTTTTATAAATTCTTACCTGGTATATTACAGGTTCTAAAACTCCTTGCCTCCCTCAAGTTCAATCACTGCCCAGTGCTGAATGCCAAATGAACAATTCTTCATAAAACACTATTTGAATATGGCATCATGGCATTTTAGGATTTAGCCTATTTCTTCCCCCATCCCCTCTAGGGATGCAGGCAGTAAATTGTGTAGTGTTACTCAGAATGTGGTCTGCAGAACACTACCAGTTATGTTAACTGCCTGTTATTAATTTGCAACAAGGTAGGCAATTGAGCAGAAAATTCATTTAGAAATTTTCATAGCAATTTGACATTGTTGCAACATCCATGTGCATTATCAGCGTTCTCTTCCTTGAAATGAAGACAGATTTGTTTAGATGCTGCCACACTTACGTGGTGATTAGCAAGTGGTGCAAGCTGGAGATGAGTCATATGTGGTAAGACTATGCACCAATCCAGGAGAGATAAGAAATTTTGAAAAACTAGCCCTTTACCACTTTGAGAAGCACTGAGTTAGTAGATTCTCAACAATCAGTAAAGACTGATCAAATACTAAATCAAAATATATTCATATGATAGCACAAATACAGTAAACATAGGGTTAGATATACTCATGATATAACTTTGATAAATATTTTCATTGAAAACAATTTCACTCCACATCATTTTAAGCCACTAGAATCCCAATCTTCCACATAGAACTCTTCAAAATGACACATTTCTTCTGCATTTCCCAAAACTCTCAGTCCCACTTGTCATGGTACATGAAGAACTTGCCTGGAGAATTGTGAAGGTCATCATGTCTTTGGGTTTCATAACGAATTCCTCTAGTGTTTTCTAACTGGGATTAAGGTAACTAGTGTGGTTTTACATGATTCCTTTCATTGCTAGAAAACAATTGGGATTTTTTTTATTTTCATTATTTATTGTTTAAGCATTCTGACACTCCTTCTAATTCCTTATGCCTGGCAGTGAACATCAGAGAAAGCCCTTATGGGTAACATGAATGGAGTCTGTGTTGTAAGATTCATAGTAAAGCAATCCCTGCTTATTCCAAGGGGGAGAAATTCCAAAGAATGGCCACAGCAGGGTGATGGATACAGGCTGGCAAGTGACATAGCCATGCTTGGGTTCCTATATCTGATCTTCATATTCACACAGATAGATAATAAACAAATGCCTTTAACAACCCATCCAGGAAAGGATAAATGCATTCTGTAGAAGCTGTTTGTTAAGACTGCAGCAAATGTCCCTGACACCCAGCAGCAAAAATAGCAAATTGGGCTGGTCTTTCAGGAGCAGTGTTGAGTTTACAACAATCCATACACTCAGGCTTTTCTGATTGTTGTGAGCAAGGACACACTTCTTCAGGCAGGGACAGGGATGTGGAAGGTACTTATGGCAAGGACTTTCACTCTGTGCACTACTGATGAGTCAATGGGGGAAGTGAATCTGTGACATTTAACTGAATTAGCAGAATGGCCAAATCAGTCAGGCCAGCCCACTGAGACTGAGGACACAGGGTGTGGAAAAACATGTTGGTGTTTAAAAATCAGCTACCTCTGCAGGTACAAGAGAGAGATTTGGGCAATAGTTCTTCTCCTAGACCAGCTATGAGGCCAGTACTTTAGAAACATCAGTCACAAATTTAAAATCATCATAAATGCAACAATATTTCTGCCCTGTCAGCATCTTGATATAAGCCAAACATGTAGATTGATTATAAATATTACATGTTTTAGAAATAATGCCTACTAATTTTTTAGCCAAGAGACCACTTAGCCTCATAGCTATGTTTAAATACACATTTGAAAATGTAGTGGTGACCACAGTTCAGTGTCATTACATTTGAGAGCTATAATAGCTGGCTGCAAAGAAGCACACATTTTTATCCATTTAATGTTGATACTCTGACATATTTGGAAAGATTTTGTGAATAAGCAACTTCATTTCCAATAAATAAACTCCAAAATGTATATTTAAAGAAATTAAGAAAGTTGCATGATTTGCACAAGCAAGAATAGAACAGAAAATTTTTGTTCTGGTGTAGTAAATGTGTAAACTTGGTTACACTGAAACCATGAGGTGATGTCCCACTTAAGCACTTAAGTGGCCTTTATTTGGTTATTGCATTTCTCCCTTTTAGGGTTTTTTTTTTCTTTTTTTTTTTTTTTTTTTTTTGAAGTGGAGTTTCACTCTTGTTGCTCAAGCTGGAGTGCAATGGCACGATCTCGGCTCACTGCAACCTCCACCTTCCGGGTTCAATCGATTCTCCTGCCTCAGCCTCCTGAGTAGCTGGGATTATAGGCATGCGCCACCACGCCTGGCTAATTTTGCATTTTTAATAGAGATGGGGTTTCTCCATATTGGTCAGGCTGGTCTCGAACTCCCGACCTCAGGTGATCCGCCTGCCTTGGCCTCCCAAAGAGCTGCAATTACAGGCAAGAGCCACCGTGCCCAGCCGTAGGGTAATTCTCATCACACATTTATGTCTGCTGCTTCCATAGCAATATGTCTTAGTCCATATTGGGTTGCTATAACAGAATACCAGAACTGAGTGATTTATAAAGAAAATGGGTTTATTTAGCTCATGGTTCTGCAGGGTGGAAAGTTCAAGGGCAAAGCCCTGACTTCTGGTGAGGGTTTCCATGTTGCCTCTAATATGGCAGAGAAGGTCAAAAGGGAAATGGACGCGTGCTAAGAGAGAAAAGCTGAGGAGCGTGCTGCCTTTATAATGACACACTCTTTCAGAAACTAATCTATTCCTGTAGGAACTTACCTAGTCTTGCCAGAGGGAGAAGTCACTACTGTGAGAATGGCACCAATCCATCAATGAGGACAGAGCCCTCATGACCCAAACACCTCCCATCAGCTTCCACCTTTCAACACTGCCACAATGAGAAATCAAACTTCAACATGAGTTTTGGTGAGAACAACCAAATCATACCTAAAGCATAGCATGGTGAGTATGAAATGACACATTTCTATTTAGCAGAAAAACCTGGTGATTCATTTCCATCTCATCAGTTTGGTGGCAGACAATGTGCTACTTCAATGTGGGGACATCCACCATCCTGGGAAAAAGGACAAATAAATACTAATGCCCTTTTAATTCCCTGTAAACCCATAAGGCTCAGCTGCTTTAGGTTAGCTTTAATCTTATTTGTCAAATTTATGTCAGTTTGTGGTATTAGAAGTCTTTTATCTTTGCTCGTCTTGCAACACAGAAGGATCTCGGAGGTTGGCTTGTTACTTTTCTCCCTTGTTGTTTTGTTACTTATTATTAATTAATGTTGTTGCCTCCCCCTCACAAATGGCATGGGAAAGCTAGAATCACAGCTTTGCTGAGTTGGTCTGACCCTGGAATGCTGCTCTCATGTTTCTAGCTTCCTAGGATGAAACAACACTATCATGAGTGAGGAAACACCCCATCCAGGCTTTCTTACTCACACTGCTGCAACTATAGTTTTGGAAAGAAAAGCCAGCCAGAATGTGTGAAGAAGATGTGAGCTCACCTGCGCAATCTGGTGACTCATAGTTGCACCAGCCTAGGGAAAAAGCAATTAAAGCATCAGAAAGAGGGACTTCAGAGAGGAAACATAAATGTTTGACTAGGGATTGCAGCTGCAGTGAGCCTGGTGCACTGATGCCTGTAGCAGTAGGGAACAAACCAAGGCACATCACTGTCAATATGCAAAACACATCAAGAAATGCAAACTTCAAAAGAGGCAAAAAAGAGGATTCTACTGCATCAAGGAATACAGTGTCTCTAAGCTTTATTTCTCTTTGAAGCTGGGGTGGAGGTCATTTCTATTCATCCATCCATCTATCCCCTATTTCTATTCATTTGAAACATCTCGAGTTCCATAAAGCACCTAGTATGTGCCACATAATGCGAGGGTTTGATTCAGTGGGTATGTGAGCACTTATGTACCAAGCATTTTTAGAAGCTATGGAATATATAAAAATAAAAAACACGTTCCTTGCACCCTCAGAGATAGCGGAAAGCTGCAGCACATTCAATGAAATTCATCTATATTTGTATTGAGGTGATACTCAAGGCATCATTTATTTAGCACAAAGCAATGATTTTATGGCCCATTACTCTCACAAAGAAGTATTCTTCTAGATTACATTGCATACCACATAGTGTCTGTACTGTACAAACACTTGGATGTTAAGCAAAGAGTTGCATTGATTGAGGACATCTTTAAAATCATCTCATCCACTCAGATTGTTTTCCAGCTGAGCATACAGGTCCCTAGAGGGGAAGTGGACTATCCAAGATTGCCAAGTGTGCATCTTAAAATTAATTAACAGAAAATACTTTGAAGGAATTTTATAATTCTGAAAGAAATACTTCCCTCTCATGTGACCATGGTATGAGGACTATTTTTTGCTAATAATAAAGGAGCGTGGCTGGGTACGGTGGCTCATGCCTGTAATCCCAGCACTTTGGGAGGCCGAGGTGGGCGGATCACCTGAGGTTGGGAGTTCGAGACCAGCCTGACCAACATGGAGAAACCCCATCTCTACTAAAAGTACAAAGTTAGTCGGGCATGGTGGCACATGCCTGTAATCCCAGCTACTCAGAAGGCTGAGACAGGAGAATCGCTTGA
This sequence comes from Homo sapiens, assembly GCF_000001405.40. Classification (NCBI taxonomy): domain Eukaryota; kingdom Metazoa; phylum Chordata; class Mammalia; order Primates; family Hominidae; genus Homo; species Homo sapiens. The sequence goes on along the minus strand of NC_000020.11, from coordinate 22,000,942 downwards.
ACCCGGGAGGCAGAGGTTGCTGTGAGCCGAGATTGCACCAAGCTGAGATTGTGCCATTGCACTCCAGCCTAGGGGACAAGAGCGAGACTTTGTCTCAAAAAAATAAAAAATTAAAAATAAATAAAAAAGGAGCATTTGCAGTCAAACCTATCTCGCCTGGTCATGACAAAGAATGGGAGTGGGGAGTACTGTGGGTCAGATTATCTTATTTCATAATGAAAATGGAAAGTCATCCAATACTTTTCTGGCAATTGTCATTTTATCTCACTTTCATAAAAATCCTTTTATCCAAAGGAAAAACAAGCAAACAATTCACCAATGTGAAGAAAGTAATTCATAGCAAATTTACAGTATGAATTTTCCCACTGAGAGTTAAATCATTCTCACAAAGAAAATGCTGTTTCCGTCCGTGGTTTCACCTGTGCTAAGCATCAGCCTTAGGAGAAAAGAAGAGATCATGCAAATTATGCAAACAACCATTGATAATACAGTACAGCTATTTCTCAAATTATGTACTTCTATGCATTTCTTTTTTATTGATACATAATATTTTACACAGTTATCACATGCGGTACATGCGATATTTTGTTGCATGCATAGAATGTGTAATGATCAAATCAGTCTATTAGGGGTGCTCATCACATTGAGTATTTATCATTTCTATGTGTTGAGAACATTTCAAGTTCTGTCTTCTGGCTACTTTGAAGTATATAACACATTGTCGATAACCATAGTCACCCTGCTTTGCTATTGAACATTGGAACTTATTCCTTCTAGATAATTGCATGTTTTCACCTATTGACCAACCCCTCTTCATCACCACCTCCCACTCACACCCCCTTTCCAGCATCTGGTATCCATCATTCTACTCTCTACCTCCATGAGATCAACATTTTTAGCTCCCACAGATGAGTGGAATGTATGGTATCTGTCTTTTCATGTCCAGCTTATTTCACTTAACATAATGACCTCTAGTTCCATTCCTGTTGCTGCAAATGACTTGATTTCATTCTTTTTTTTAAATAACTGAATAGTATTTCATTGTGTATCTATACTATGTTTTCTTTACCCATTGTTCATTGATGGACACTTAGGTTGATTTCATATCTTGACTATTGTGAATAATGTTACAATAAACACAGCAGTGCAGGTATTCCTTTGGCATAATTATTCCCTGTCTTTTGGATAAATACCCAGTAGTAGGATTGCTGGATCATATGGTAGTTCTATTTTTAGTTCTTTGCAAAATCTCCGTAGTTTTCCATAGTGGCAGCAATAATTTACATTCCCTCTAACAGTGTATAAGAATTCCCTTTTCTCCACAAAATCACTAGAAGCTTTTATGTTTTGTCTTTTTAGTAATAGCCATTTTAATGGGGGTGAGATGATATCTCATTGTGCTTTTGATTTGTATTGCCCAGTTGATTAGTAATGTTAAGTAGTTTTTCATGTACTTATTGGCCATTTGTGTGTCTTCTTCTGAGAAGTATCTACTCATGTCCTTTGCCCACTTTTTAATGGAATTATTTGTTGTTGTTTTTTTTTACTGTTGAGTTTTTCAAATTTCTAGTATATTCTCAATATTAGTCTTTTGTCAGATGAATAAGTTGTAAATATTTTCTCCATTCAACAGGTTGTCTCCACTCTATTGACTGTTTCCTTTTCTGTGAAGAATCTTATTAGTTTAATATAGTCCCTTTTGTCTATCTTTATTTTTGTTGTATGTGCTTTTAAGGTCTTAGACATAAAATATTTGCCTAGACGAATGTCCTGAGTGTTTTATCCTATGTTTTCTTCCTGTAGTTTTATAGTTTGGGGTCTTGTGTTAAAGTCTTTAATTCATCTTGAGTTGATTTTCATGTGTCATAAAAGATGGGGATCCAGTTTCATTCTTCTACTTATAGATATCCAATTTTTACAGCTCCATTTATTGAAGAGGGTGTCTGTCCCATAACATATGTTCTTGGCACTTTTGTCAAAAATCAGTTGATTTTAAATATGTTAATTTATTTCCGGATTCTCTACTTTGATCCTTGTGTCTGTTTTTATAACAATATCATGCTGTTTGGATTCCTATAGCCTTGTAATACATTTTGAAAACAGGTAGTGTAATGCCTCCAGCTTTCTGATTTTGCTCAGGATTGCTCAGGCTATTTGGGCTTTTTGATCCTATACAAATTTTATAATTTTTTTCTATTTTTGTAAAAAATAGCATTGGTATTTAGTAGTGATTGTATCCAATCTACAGACTGCTTTGGGCATTATGGTTCCAGTATAGAAACATTAATGATATGAATACTTCTGATCCATGAGCATGCGGTGACTTTTGATTTGTTGATGTGCTTTTTGGTTACTTTTATCCATGTGTTATAGTTTTACTTTTAGAGATTTTCACCACCTTGGTTAATTTATTCCTAGGTATTTTGTTTTCTTTGTTGCTACTGTAAATGAAGTTGCCTTCTTGATTCCTTCCTTAGCTAGTTTATTATTGGTATATAGAAATGTATGGATTTTTGTATGTTGTATCCTGCAACTATACTGAATTTATTTATCGGAGCCAAGAGTTTTTTGGTGGAGTCTTTATGTTTTTCTAGCTGTAAGATTATGTCATCATCAAAGAGGGATAATTTAATTTATTCTTTTTTAATCTGAATGACTTTCTTTTGCCAGATTTCTGTGGCTAAGACTTCCAGTACTATGCTGAATAGGAGAGGTGAAAGCAGGCATCCTTGTCTTACTCCAATTCTTAAGGGGAAGGCTTTAAGCTTTTCCTCTTTTTAGTATGATGTTAGCTGTGTGTCTGTCACATGTGGCCTTTACTATGATGAGGTGTGTTCATTCTGGGCCTAGTTTCTTGAGAGTTTTCATAATGTAGGGATGTTGAATTTTCCACATCTATTGAGATGATCACATGGTTTTTGTATTTATTATGTTGATAAGATGTATCACATTTATTGATTTGCATACGTTTAATCATCTTTGTGTCCATGGGATAAATTCCACTTGAGCGTGGTGTATTTTTTTATGTGCCCTTGGATTCAGTTTGCTAGTATTTTGTTGAGAATTTTTGTATCTATGTTCATCCGTTTTCTTTTTTGTTGCATCATTGTCTGGCTTTAATATCAGGGCAATACTGCCCTCACGGAATGAATTAGGAAGAATTCCCTCCTCTTCAATTTTTGGAATAGTTTCAGGAGAATTAGAGTTAGGTGTTCTTTTAAAGTACAGTAGAATTCAGCCATGAAGCCACCTGGTCCTGAATTATTTTTTTGTTGGAAGATGCTTTATTACTGATTTAATCTTATTACTCATTATTGTTCTGTTTAGCTATTCCATTTTCCTGATTCAATCTTGGTATGTTGGATGTGTACAGGAATATGTTCATTTCTTCCAGGAGTTCTAGTTTGTTAATGTATGCTTGTTCATAATAATCTCTGATAATCTTTTGTATTTCTGTAGTATCAGTTATAATGTTTCCTTTTTAATTTCTCATTTTGTTTACTTGGATCTTCTCTCTCTCTTTTTATTAGCCTAGCAAGTGGTTTATTGATTTTGTTCATCTTTTTTGAAAAGCTACCCTTTTGTTTTATTGAAGCTTTGTACTCTTTCAAATCTCTATTTTGTGTAGTCCTGCTCTGATCTTTGTTATTTTTTTCCTTCTACTAATTTTGGATTTGATATGTTCTCTTATTAGACTTCAGAAGTTTTCATCTATTATTTTGTTAAATTGGTATTTTCACCCTTTTGTTTTCCCTTTGTCTTTTAGGAGACTGAAAATTATAATAATATTTGGTTACCTTATGGTACCCCCATATCCTTTTTATTATTTTGTCTTTATTTTTTCTCTGGCAGGGCTATTTCAAAGGAGCTATCTTCAAGTTCTGAAATTCTTTCTTCTGTTTGATCAAGACTGCTGTTGAAGCTTCTAAATGTTTTTGTATTTCATTCACTAAGCTCTCCAGTCCCAACGTTTTAATTTTTTATTTTTAATGATATCTATCTCTTTGGTAAATTTCTTATTTGTACCCTGAATTGTTTCTGTAATTTGTTTGGCTTATGTTTTAGAATTCTGCTGAATTCTAAAAATGGAATTGAATTGAATTCTAAAAATGGAATTGAATTGAATTCTAAAAATTGAATTGAATTAATCCAAAAAGAAGTTCACATTGAGCTTCTTTACTATCAATATTTTTTAATTCTTTTTTTGAGGATTTTATAAATTTCTTTTGATTAGGTTCTATTGCTGGACAATTATTGTGTTTATTTGGAGGTGTTATATTTCCTTGCTTTTTCATGTATCCTCTATCCTTACACTGATATCTTTGCACCTGGTGTAATGGTCACTTCTTCCAATTTTTTCCAGTTGCTTTTGTAAAGGAAAACATTTTCCTGGAGATGTAGCTATAACGTTGGTTGTGTACGGCATCTTGGCTTTGATTCTGGACATGTGCAGTAGTGTAGTTTGTGTGTGGCTTCTTCAGCTGGAAACAGCATCAGCAGTGTCTATAATTTCTTGGCAGCTTAGGGTGCAGTTGTTAGTGGAGGTTGTGGTGAAGTTTTGTGGGGAACTGGGATGCCACATAGGCCAGTCCTCAAGCACCAATGGTGTCATCAATGAACTGTCCTTGGGCACCAGAGTGGCATATGCTGACACTGGTGTTACTGAGTCCAGACACACCAATTATTCAGCCTCCAGGTGGCTTGTTTGTGTGCTGGGAATATCAGCAGTTGGTTGGGCAGTTGGGCAGGTTCTTGATCCCTTGGGCAGCTGGTGTGACATAGCCAGTGGCAGTGGCAGTGGTGGGATAACCTTCTGGGACCCAAGCAGTCTGTGCTGATATAGACAGTGGCTGTGATGGGTTGGATGAACTGGTTCCAAGACCAACAGGTGAAGCAATTAGGTGGTCAGCTGCGGTGGTAGTGGCTGGTTGCATGGGCTTGATCTCAGACCCCAGGAGAATTGCTCAGGTGCCACCCATGGTAGACTGGGCTGGGTGAGCCCCAGGCCCATGTACAGTGTGCTCTGGTCTGGGAGTGGGAAGTAGAGTCAAGCCAGGTAGACCTGCTTTCAGGCTCCCCAGTGGTACATGCAGGCACTATCTGTGATAGGCATGGTTGGGGAAATCCCCCAGTTGCCGTAGAATGCTCAGGTGAGTGGGGCAGTGGCTGTGCTGTGGCCCTGCTACTGGGAGGGCAGATTTGCTTTCTTTAGGAGCAGCCATAGGCAGGCAGCTGGTGACATGAGGTTTGCTCATGCTTTTGCTCATGCTGCAGCAGCCCACAGTGGAAGTGGTGATTGCAGGCAGTGGAATTTTTCTTTGGGGCATGTGAAAATGAACAGCTGCCTCTCTGACGGGGCAGCAAGTTTATTGCCAATGGCTTCCACCTCAGCCCTTGCAAGGGTCACTTTTTTAGTCTTTGATTTTCAACCCCACCCCCAAAAGTTGTCCAGTAAAGCACTATAGTATAGCAAATGCACCAGATTTGGAGTCAAGAGATTGAGCCTCATCATTCTCACCTGTAAAAAGGGCACAATAGGCCGGGTGCTGTGGCTCACGCCTGTAATCCCAGCACTTTGGGAGGCCCAGGAGGGCGGATTGCCTGAGCTCAGGAGTTCACGACCAGCTTGGACAAAACGGTGAAGCCCCGTCTCTACTAAAATACAAAAAAAAAAAAAAAATTAGCTGGGTGTTTGGCATGTGCCTGTAGTCCTAGCTACTCAGGAGGCTAAGGCAGGAGAATTGCTTGAACTCGGGAGGCAGAGGTTGCAGTGAGCTGAGATCACGCCACTGCACTCCAGCCTGGGTGACAGAGCGAGACTCCATCTCAAAAAAAAAAGGGAGCACGTTAAAAACTATGCTAACAGTTTTTCAGGGTAGCTAAAAACATTAATAGCTTGTATACAGGTAATAGCTATTTCATTATATATTTATTAAAGAAAAAGCCTGAGAACCCTTGCCTTGTAGATTTGCTTCGTATTGTTTCTCTTCGTGCTGCTGTGCATAATCTATTCTGGATACAAGGCTAAAACTCCTGAAAAACTTAGGCCTCCAGAGTCTGGCCACAACCTGCCTCTCCAGCATCATCCCTATCACTCCCCACATACACCGTCAGTTCCCGTAAGACCTCAAAATGCTCACCATCTCCTAAGTGCCTTTTCATAGGCAAGCCCCTCTGTCTGAAAATACCTTCACCTGGAGAGCCCTGTCCTCCATTCAGCTTTCTATCCACTCTTGGAAGCTTGAATTACCTTCTCCTCTCTGCACCAGGGGCCCCTGGTATATATTTCCATCAGACCACTTACTATTAGGTTGGTGCCAAGGTAACTGCGATTTTTGCCATTGAAAGTAATGGTAGTAAATGACATATTCATTTGTGAGCCATCTCCTTCTTCACTCTGGCCTTTGAGGCACTTGAGGGCAAGAATGGAGCTCCATATACAATTTTATTACCTGAACCTAATGATTTGGCATCCACTGAGACCTGACTGTGTTCCAGGCACTGTACGAAGGTGTTTACATGCATTATCTTGGTTAACACTCATAAAGTCCTGTAAGAGGGATCCTACCGTTGTCCTTGGTTTACAGATTCATTACAAATATTTACTGAGCTCTGATTGTCCCATCCAATTCTCAGAATGATGAATAAAATAAATATGGTCTCTGCTTTCACCAGACTTTTATTCTCCTCAGATGGGAAACAAACAAAAAAAATAAACAAATAGAAATAAAATATCAAGACACTAGTAACTGTTATGAGGGGAATACAATAGGGCATAGCATTAGATTATCTATTTAAAGTGTGATTGTCTACTCTTCAAATAGTGACCAAACACTATTTTAAGTTGTAGGTTAGGAAGCAAGTTTCTGGGGAAGTAATGTTTATAGTCACAAACAATAAGAGTCAGTCATGCAGGCCAGGCATGGTGGCTCATGTCTGTAATCCCAGCACTTTGGGAGGCCAAGGGGGGCCGATCACTTGAGATCAGGCATTCAAGGCCAACATGGTGAAACCCCATCTCTACTAAAATACAAAAAATTAGCTAGGAGTGGTGGTGGGCACCTGTAATCCCAGCTACTAGGGAGGCTGAGGCAGGAGAATTGCTTGAACCCAGGAGGCAGAGGTTGCACCGAGCGGAGATCTCGCCATTGCACTCCAGCCTAAGTGACAGAGCAAGACTTTGTCTCAAAAAAGCAAAACAAAACAAAACAAAAACAACAACAACAACAACAAAAACAGTCAGTCATGCCAAGATCTGGGTTGGGAAGAACATTCCAGGCAGAGGAAATTGCAAGTACAAAGTCCCTGAGGTAGGAAAGAGCTTGACATGTTTGAGGAATGGAAAGAAGTCCAGGATGACTGGTACCATAGAAGAAGGAAATAAAGTCAGGTGGGAAGACTAGGCTAGGTCAAGAAGAGCCTTGTAGAATAGGTGAAAAACATGGGGAGATATTGTTGAGTTTTAATCTGGAGAAAGGCATGCTCTGACTTCCATTTCTTAAAGGATTGCTTTGACTTCTGATAGAGAAAGGCATTTGGAAGGGATTTGGAAGGGCAAGTGTGTAGGAAGGGAGACAGTATGAAGGTAGACCTGACCACAGAATCACATGATGATGAGAAACCTGGGTATCTTGGACTAAAGTGACAGTGACTAACATGGATAACCATTTAACCATTTACAGAGTAATCAATTTGTACCAAGCACTGAACTAAGTACATTCCACTTATTATGCTGCTTACTTCTCATGACAGCCACAATGACAGGCATCTATTCTGATGCTCATTCACAGATGAGGAAGCTGAGACAAAGAGGTTAATAATATGACCAAGGTCACATGAGGATGTGATGGAGTGGGTATTTAGACCAAAGTAAGGTCTTCCCTACACAGGACTCAAGTCAGGAAACCAGAAGGGCAGTCAATTATGTAATTATTAGTAATGTCAAGATCAAGGGTATGAGCCAGGGACTAGGTGAAATGTTCATCAGGAAATAGGTAGATGGAGGAACAATAAATGATAAAAGCAAGCATTTCTCAAATGTCTGCCATGTACCATATCCTTTCCACATATTATCTCATATAATCATTATTATAGCCATACAAAAATTTGAGATATTAACTGCTGTTTATAGATGAGAAAAACGAGAGATTAAATAAATCATTCAAATGCTGCTTCATCACTGTCAGCATTAAATGGGGCAATATGTGCAAAGCACCCAGCAGCAAATAATAGGTATCAAATAAATAAACATTTTCATTTATTAATTAGAGAGGTGCCTGTTGTGTGTCTTTGCTTTTGCTGGTTCTTTCCTTAAACACTATTTCTTCTACTACTAAATAATAAATTAAAATAGTCAGTATTTCATAGCCTCTTTATTAACTGTTCTCAATACTGTGTATTATTTAATTCTTACTAGAGCCCCAGAATGCAGTCTCTTTTTTACAACTGCAGAAACTAAGGCACAAAAAAATGAATGATTTGACCAAGGTAGTTAGACGGTAATTGGAAGACCTTGAAATAAGCCTGGAGTTTAAAAAATCTCTATTTTTACTCCCAGTCCAATATTTTCCTTATTTTACCAACTCTGCATGGCCATTATCTGCCTTTCAAAGTCCTAGTGGTTTCATTGTTTAAAGCCTTGTTCAAATCTCACCTTCTCTCTGTAGTCTTCCCAGATTGTCACGGAAACTCTGATCTCATTCTCTTCTATTCCACTTGTATTTTGCTTAAAACTCAGTGGTTACTTGAGTAAGCTTCTCTTGCCTCCCTGCTAGATCCCAATTGTCTAAAGGATAGGGATTTTTCTTATTGATCTTTCAGTCTCTTACAGTTCTTAGACCAATGTCTGATTCATCAGAAGTACTCAGTAAATATTGGTAGAATTCCTGCAAGCCCCATAAAAGAAAGTCTCTGATGTTGGGAAACAGATATAACTGTGGATCCTGGGGTCTCTACAGGTAAATATCATTTCAGTTTAAATTATTATTTAACAAATTGCAATTAAGACTGTTATGATCGGCCAGGCATGGTGACTCACGCCTGTAATCCCAGCACTTTGGGAGGCTAAGGCAGGCGGATCACCTGAGGTCAGGAGTTCAAGACCAGCCTGACCAACATGGCAAAACCCCATGTCTACTAAAAATACTAAATTAGCCGGGCATGGTGGCGCATGCCTGTAATCCCAGTTATTCGGGAGGCTGAGGTTGGAAAATCGCTTGAGCCCAGGAAGCAGATGTTGCAGTGAGCCGAGATTTCGCCGCTGCACTATAGCCTGGGTGACAGAGAAAGACTCCATTTCAAAAAAAAAAAAAAATACTGTTATGATCATGATGGACATTGAGAAGTTGACGATGCACAGAAGTTTCCTTTTACTAGAATCTCATCTGATCTTCTCTAGTGGTTGCATAATAATTTTCCATCTACTGCAAGTGAATATTGTTTGACCATAAATTTATGGAGAGCTTCATAACTGAAGCTAACTACATAATGGGTAAGACAGTAGACTTTGGAATCAGACTTCTGGTTTAAATCCCACCATTGTTGCAAACTGTGACATTGGAAAAATTCCTTAATTAGTCTATGCCTCAGTTTAAAACAAGGATAATATTAGTATCTCTGTTATAGGCTTGTAAAAATTAAATGTGAGATAATGCCTAAAAAGTACCTAGTTTATTTGCTAATAGTCATATTATATTATTAAGGCTTAGAAATATATGGCAAAGTCTGAAGCACTTTAGTTCACATTAACATAAAATATTATTGGAAGTTTTGAGAAACCTTTCAAAGTTATTTTAAAGAAAGGGAAACTACAGCTGCTTGCACACCGGTTAAAATCAACCATGCAGCATGTCTGGTTTGATTTTAGAGAAGCACAGTTGAACGTCTTCAAATCTCATGACTGAATTCCATGTGATAGCAAAGCAAATATCCCATGCACAGCATTTTCCAGAGAGACTGTGTTTTCCTAGGATTGCAGGCACTGAGTTTCTTCTGCTGAGCCTGTCTGCACCATGTATGGCACTGAGGGGAGTTCAGCGATGTTGCAGACCATGGTTCAAAAGTAAAGAGATATTCCTCTTAAGGTGTTTATTTCAGCTTTGTCTAAAGCTCAGACTCTCAGCTATCAAATGACTAAATTATAATGAAAAGCCCAACCTACTTATTCCAACACCGGTATCAGTCATCTGCTAAAGTACTTCTACCTAATACTCAATCTCAAATTCTATACCAATTTAACTAAATTAGTCATCTCAGTCTTGTGGAGTGTTTCCCATTATCAAGAAACAGAATGGAAAATTATACAAAGCAATACAGTGTTTTCAGAAAGCATATAATTTCTAGTGAGGCAGGAAGTTGGAAATTTTATTTATAAGGCAAAAAGTTCTGTGAATAAAATCACAGAATGAATTCTGAGAACGATTAAGCTCTGATGGAGCAGTCAGGCATGAGCTGTGTATCTTACAATGTCATTGTGCTGAGTGGTCACTAGGAGGGCCAGGGCATCCCCAGTCAGACATCAGTGAAAGGTAAAAGTACTTCTCTAACCTGCCCATAGATGTGATGTGGCTTCAGGAGGAATTTTTACAGCCAGCTGACCTCCAAACAGTAATTGGACACTTTGTTATACTAGCTTTTATTTTAAAAATGTTTTCAATGGAGGAGAAATTGAACCTTAAGAATAAAGAAGAAATATGTCCAGTGAAATAAGTCTACTAGGGTTTTCACTTGAATGTCATCTCACCTGAGCAAAGGAAAAACTTTTAAAACTCTATGGTTCCTATAATAGCTCTTTAAGTAAGAAATTTAAAACTTTTTATAAGTTTCTATCATTGAGCAGTCTTGCACATGCTCTACTGACTTATTTTATGAAAATCTAGTAAGAATAGCTATTAAAGAGGAATCTAAGATTATTTCAATCATTTGCTTCTGAATTTACAAGATATTTAAAAATATCAATTGACTAAAAAAGTGCAAACAGCATTTGCCCTAGAATATTCTTACAGAAAAGAAGAAGAAAAGTCTTCCAACTTTATAAAAATTAGAACACGGATTTTAAAAAATATTTTATGCATTAGGTGATAACAAATAACTAAAGCGTGTTTGAAAAATAAGTAAAAACCTTCAAGAAGTCTGTACGTTATTATTTCATTCTCCCAGGAGAGCCACAACTTTTTATGGGTCATCTGGGGACTGAACTCAAAACAAACATGAAGACAGTAAATCACACAAGCAGGTACTCGATGTCTTTATCAGATTTGCCAAATGTCAAGGAAGGAGAAACAACCTCTCTTGAACACCAAGAGATCAGTTCTCTAAATGTATCAATTTTCTATTAAAACATTTTATATTTATTACGAAGCATACTCTTTCTTTTATATCTAATTATCTCAGGAGTGTCAGGGCATTCACAGGTGGTTCAGGCAGAAGCTGGATCCCATTTATGAAGACATAAGAGGGACGATTGACATGTGGCCAATGTTTGAAGAAAATGGCTTTGGAGTTCCTTTCTTTAATACTGAGATCCCATTTTAATTTATTTATTTCCTTTATCGCCATACTTTTTTGCATTATTATTTTGTGGCTGCTCTAGAGATTAAAATATGCATCTTTAACTTCTCGCTGTCTATTAGAGTTAGCATTGTACTATGCTTAGAATGTAAGAACCTTGCAACATAGAGTTTCGTATTGTCATATGTATTATATCTGCATATGTTAAACCCTCAACGTTATAATTTCTGCTTTAAACCAAAAGTTGACAAGCCTTTTGTGTAAAGGGCCAGATCATAAATATTATAGGCTCTTGGGGTCATACAGTTTGTCACTAGTCAAATATGCTCTTGTAATAAGAAAGAGAGAGAGAGAGAGAGAGAGAGAGAGAGAGAGAGAATGTATTGCCATGGACAATACTTAAAGGAATGAATGTGGCTGTGGTTCCAATAAAACTGTATTTACTAAAATAAGCAACGGGCTGGATTTGACCCACAGATTGTACTTTTACAACCAATACCTTAATTAGTAATATATATTTTGAATAAATTAAGAGAAAACAACTTTTATATATACCCACAAATGTATTATTTCTAGAGCTCTTCCTGTCATCCTGAAAATGTAAGCCTCTGTCTGGTATCATTTCCCTTCAGCCTGAAGATGGCCTTTTAGTATAGGTCTGCTGGTGGTTGATTCTTTTGGTTTTCTGTAATCTAAAAATGTCTTTATTTCACCTTAATTCCTGAAGCATGTATTTGCTGGATTTAAAAAAAATCTACTTTGATAATTTTTCTTTTCTTTTTTAGAGATGTTTCACAGGTTCTTATGTCCTCCATTATTTCTGATGCTAAGTCAGTGGTCACTTGAATTACTGTTCCCCTGTTCCATCCTTAATATCGTGTGATTCAAGCTATCCCTATTGCCATATGTTACCCCTAGACTGCAGGCAAATTGAGAGTATCTTTAATAACTCCTTGCTGACACACAGTAGGAGTTTAATGGATGGATGATAAATAAAATTCAGATCAAGTTCTGGAAATTGGCAATGAAATGGATTTAAGTCATTGTTGGAAACAATGAAGGCTTTGAGCCTGGCCTTGGGGCTGGCCTGGATTCCCAGTGAGACTCCTGGGGATGCAGAAGTGGAACTTGGAGGTTTGGTAATGTGCCACTTTCTCTTAATCACTCTGCAAAGTGTGGTCTCCTGTGGCAGACCAGAGCTCACTCCTGCCTTCTACTCCTTTAACATTGCTCCACCAAGACAGCCATCCTCAGAGGAGACTAGACAGGCTGGTCTCAAACTTAGCCTAAACCACTGGTCCTAGATGCCAAGCCCCAAATGTCACCTTACCTAGTGAGCCATCTCCCAAGCTTTCCACCCCTCACTTCCTCATTACAGGAAGCAAGCTCCTCACACCACTTGCTAGGTTGGACCCACCTAGGGCCATTCTTTAGTGCACAGGCTGTTTAGTTCAATAAGTAAGCCCCATCCTGCCACTTTCTGAAACACATTTTGCCAATAGATACAGGTGACCAGTGAAGACCAGCAATATGATCAAGTCTGTATTAGTTAGGATATTTGGGGGTGTAAGAGATGGAAACCAAACTCAAACTAGTTTCAATGCAAATGAAAACAAATTTAGAGTCTTATGGAAAGTCCCAAGGTAGAGCTCGCATCAGATGTGCTGACTCCCTGGCCCCTAAGATGCCCTATAGCCTGTCTTCTCCTTCTCAATCTTGCTCTCTTGCTCTGCTTTCCTCCCTGCCAGCTTTATTCTCAAGTAGCCTCTCCCCTTGAGAATCTGCAAGATGACTACAAATGGCTGCAGGAAAGCTCTGGCCCAGATCCACACAAACAGGCAGCCTAAGCGAAAGAGAAAGTTATTGAAGCAGATTGCACTTACCCAGACCAAAAACATTCATGGAAGCCAAAAGAATACATATGCCCCAGGCCGGCTGGGTAGGTGTCTTCACCTGGAGACAGGGGCTCACACGGTTGTTTGACAAGGGGGTGCCTTGAACAAAGGCGAGATGCTTTATCAGAAGAAAGCGGAATGAAGGCAGGCAGAAACAACTCTCAACTACACCAAAGGCCTTGAGGAAGCAACACAAACTCTTGCATCCTTTTAAGCAGACCACAACCTGGAATTTATCACTCATGATCTTCCCCTTCCATGAGTCTGGGTTCCACTAGAAGCATATCCCAAGGTAGAAATGTGAGGCAAGTCATTTATCTGGAATTAAGTATTTACCCCAGGAAAAAGATGAAGTGAGAAAGGGAAAGAGGGTACAGGGTACGCAGTGAAGAGTGTACTGCAGTGGGCAGCAGAGGCTCCAACCCACTGAAACCATGCACATCATGCCTGAATTATCCCACCTGAGGCAGGAGGAAGCTTAGGTCTGGTGTTTGCTTTAGTTTCCTATTGCTGCTGTGACAAATTAGTACAAACCTAGTAACTTAAAACCATACTAATTCATAGTCCTATAGCTCTGGAGGCTAGAAGCCCAAAATGGGTCTCATTCAACAAAAAGTGTCAGCAGGGCCGTGTTCTCTCTGGAGTCTCTGGGAGAGAATCTTTTCTTTTCTTTTTTTTTTTTTTCGCCTTTTCCAGCTCCCAGATGCTGCCCACATTCGTTGGCTCATGACCCCCTTCCTTCTACAAAATTATTAATAGCAGGTCAAGTTTTTCTCACCCTGCCTTACTTTGACGCTGATTCTTCTTCTACTTGCAAAGACTATTATGATTGCCTTGGGCCTGTGAAGATAATCCCAAATAATATTCTTATCTTAAAGTCAACTGATTAGCAACCTTAACTCCATCTGCAACTCAATTTCCCCTTACCATGTAATATGACATATTCACAAGTTCCAGAAATTAAGACATGGACATTTCTGAGGGGCCCTTATTTTGCCTATTTTGGAACAGATATGGTGCTTTGACACCACATCCTATGGCTGAGTCTGGCTGAACTTGTCAAGCTCCTCCCTACTGGGGAATTTCCTTTCAAAGCTCTTGCCATTCCATCATAAGATTTGGCTTGTGTAAGGCCTCCTTTTTTCATTGATCAGACGTGTGAATATAGCTGCCCATATTCCTTGGCTCACAACTTTTCCATCTTCAAAACCGAATGTCCAAATGTAGATGTGGATAATTTTTTTCTTTTCCCAGGCACTCCACATTCTCCAACATATATAGAAAAAAAATTTGCTATTGAGCACAGAAAACTTAGAGTCAAAAATCTGTGCAATCCTAATAAGCATCATCATTTTCAAGCTGCTGAAAACATTTCTTCAAATATTGTAGAATCTTCACTTGGTTGTTCAACATTCTACGATAATACAGTGCTGATTATTTCTATGTGGATTCTGATGTATTCACAAAAATAAAATGTTAAGAGAAAGTAAAGGCATATTCCTATGTCTGGAATACATCCATCTCATGATAAGCTTTATCCAGCCAAATACAGTACAATTCCTGTTGACTTTTGAACAAAAACACACTGGTTAGTGGAGGTATGTTCTTATTTGCAATAGAATAACATTTATATTGTACTTTAGAGTTTACCAAAACATTAGCATTTGTTGTGTATTCATTCATTTAATTCTTAGAGCTATTCTACCTGACATTGTTTGCTTTTTTATTAATATAGAAACTGAGGCTTGGAGAAGATACAAGTCTTGCCATTATACCAATATTTGTAATTGCCAAAATTTGAATACAAGTCTTTGGAATTAGAATTTCATTGTATTTTCATTATATTTTCACTTGAGAGCTTGGAAAATTTTTTTTTTGACTAATGATGGTAGAGTTGGCCTTCACTCTGTACCTGGACAGATCATGACACCTGGTGTGTACTTATTTCAGGTCAGCAATGGATAAAAAGATTTTATTTTTTCATTCAATCAGCTTATGCATATAAATGGCATGTGGAAGAAATATGGGCCACTTGTTTTAAAAAGTGTATAAGGGCCGGGCACGGTGGCTTACGCCTGTAATCCCAACACTTTGGGAGGCCGAGGCGGGCGGATCACGAGGTCAGGAGATCGAGACCATCCTGGCTAACACGGTGAAACCCCGTCTCTACTAAAACTACAAAAAAATTAGCCGGGCTTGGTGGCGGTCGGCTACTCGGGAGTCTGAGGCAGGAGAAGGACGTGAACCCGGGAGGCGGAGCTTGCAGTGAGCTGAGATCGCACCACTGCACTCCAGCCTGGGCGACAGAGAGAGACTCCGTCTCAAAAAAAAAAAAAAAAAAAAAAAAAAAAAAAAAAAAAAAACAGTGTATAAGATGTATTTCTTTTCTTTTCTTTTTTTTTCTTTTTTTTTTTTTTTGAGATGGAGTTTTGCTCTTATTGCCCAGGCTGGAATATAATGGTACAATCTCAGCCCACTGCTACCTCCGCCTCGCGGCTTCAAGAGATTCTCCTGCCTCAGCCTCCAGAGTAGCTGGGATTACAGGCATGAGCCACCACGCCCAGCTAATTTTGTATTTTTAGTAGAGACACCATTTCTCCATGTTGGTCAGGCTGGTCTCAAACTCCTGACCTCAGGTGATCCACCTGCCTCAGCCTGCTGAAGTGCTGCAATTACAGACGTGAGCCACCACCCAGCCTAAGTTGTATTTCTATTGAAGAGATAAAATGGACACAATCTAGTTTTAACTTATAAAATTAATATTCTCTACAACTTCATGAGATCTGTGAGATCCTACCCAACTAAGGATGTCTGGAGCCTGTGGCTTCCACAACATATGGATCTGAGCTCTACTCATCCTACCTGTAGCTTCAGGAAGGAGCACTCTATAGATGACAGGACACCACCCTAGTCATTTGCAATAGCTCATGGCAGTGACCTATATGGTTAATAGAGCGTCGAAGACTGAGTTGAGCCAAAGAGCACTTCTCTGTCCCTCAAGAAGTAAGAGACCTTGACAACAGGCTAGTCAGTGGTGGGTGCATGAGGTCAAGAGCCCTGTGGACTTTGGGTTTAGTTCTTCTGTTGGGCTTTACAAGTGAGCAAAGGAAACTGATTGCAATAGTACAATGAGGAGACAGTATCAGCCTTGGTTTCTGATGGCTCCTCTGTCCCTGCTTTCTCCAGGTCTGGCTGTTTCCGCGAGTTTTCTGGGTAGCCTTTTAACCATCTCCCTCCTGATATTCCTGACTTAATCCAACAATGTTTCTCTTTCTTGCAACCAAGACATTTTATATTCAAATAAGCTGGTTCCAAAATATTTATAAAGCAAATCCCACAACTATTTTAGCTTTATTCACTCCTATCTCTTCTTTCACCACCTAAGGAGTTTTTTAATGCATTTCTTCATTAGCTACAAGTGCATGGCTATTTTTAATGCCCCCTCAAGAATCAGTGCACTCACCTCTCTGTCATTATGTCCACATTCATGTTTTTTCAACCTGCATGGATACGCTTTGCACTGAGCTTGAAACCCATTTACTCATTCATTCGATGCATTGCTCATCAGGCGGGGCACTGTTGATTGTGCTTTCTTATTTCAGCGAGAAAGTAGAGGCAATGGGGAAAGAAATTGCTTGTATCCGCAGCCATCAAACTAGCAACATGTCTGTATCAGTGTTCACATAGTCAGTCTTCCTTCCTGCCCCATCCAAAACAACAAAGCAACATTTCTCCAGAGCTCTTTTCCTCTTTACTTTGTTTTCCTTTTTCACTACTGTGGGGTGTGCGTGTGTGTGTCGGTGTGTGGTTTTCCCTGTTCCTCCCAGAAGAATGTGAGCTTCCTTCAAGCAGGAGCTTTGTACATCACTTCCTAAGACAATGCCTGGAATTTGGCAAATGCTCAGGAGAGATTTGCAGAGTGAATGAAGAAACTGTTCAGAGATGCAGTCGCATAAGACAGGTGAGATCTGTGCCTTTGTCTGGAGGAAAGACACAATAGAGTTGGATAAGTTCTCTATGGGGGCACATACAAGTGGCAATCATCACAGACTTAAGAGAGGCATGGAGGTAGATCCAAGAAGGTTTCCTAGCAAAAATGAGGTGGTCAAACTGCAACCTGCAAAGTCAGCATTGGCCAACATATTCATTGACTTTGACTACGTAATGAACTACCTCAAAACTCAGTGGCCTAAGATAACACTTATTATTGCTTATGTGTCCTCAGGTTGGCTGGGGATCAGCTAGTTGGCTGACGTAGGCTGGGTTCTGCTTGGCAGCTCTGCTTTAAGCTATGGGTCCAACTGATGCTGTCACCCTACTAAGGTCGGGGCTTCTCTTCTGCACATGGGTTCATTCTGGGTCACAGAGTGAGGGGGCAGCAGCTTCCCAGGACAAATTCTGCTTGGAGTGATGGCAGAGGCTCAGCAGTGCAGGTGGAAACCTTCAAAACCTCTGAAGGCTTTGGCTTGGACACTATCACTTCCACCCATATACAATTGACGAAAGCAACTCACCTGTTCATGATCAAAGCCAAGAGTCAGAGAAATGTACTCTGCTCATGCTGATGCCATTGCCCACATATGAATAAAGGGAGGGATGAAGAACTGGACCAGCGAAGCAATCTGCTGTGGCTAGGCTCAGAGAGGAAAGAGAGCTACAGGCAACGTTCTAACAGAAGGTGGCAAGTCCAAGAAACAGAGAGTTGTCCAGAAAGACAGAAGCTCACACAGGGTAAGGAGACAGCAGGGCTAGATGAGGCCAGAGGTGATGATGGTGGCCGGATCCCACAGGCCCCATGAGTCATGATGAGTTTGGGCTAGATTCTAAAACCAATGGGGAGCTGCTCATATCCTTATTTCAGAAAGACAATCCTAGCTTCCAGGGTAAGAGTGGATTGGAGAAGGCAAAATAAAGGGTAGGTAGGTGAAGAGGAGGCCAGTGCTGTGGTGCAGGGAAGTGGGAAACAAATCATCTATTGAGACATCATGGAATGACCCAGTCCAAGAGCAGGTGGAATGTGATCTCCATTCCAAAAGAACAGAAAAGCAGCTATTAACATAAGGGGTCACCAAATGTGCAGCTAGTAAGTTGTTACATGAATTCTCAATTACACAAAGAAAACAGAAATTAATGGGTACTATTTGTGCATAGTTTTCCAAGGCTCACATGCACAAAACTTTCATTCTTAAAATTTCCCATGAAATTTTGTTTTCTTGCCCTCTTTGGAAAATATTATAAGTGGTCTTCCTAGCCCCAGAAAAGTTGTTATACTAAGTAAGTCCCCACAGAAGCCTGAGTCACTGCCTCCAAATTATCCCACTCCAGCACAGGCAGGAAGACAGAGGACTCTACACCCAAACCTCGTCCACAGCCAGAGTAAACAGCTCAGTCATCCAGTGACTAAAGGTCAATGTTTCTAGACTTTCTCATATGAGCAGCTGGAGAGGAATTTTATTAAAAACTGTCACCCACACAGAACTCACTGAAATTATGGAGAGAAATGCACTTAGGAACAAAGCATTCACTTTTTTACATGTGTTTCCTTTGGTATCAAGTTAATAATAAAAAATTAATGCCTTCAGGTGATAATTCGTATCTGGCTGTGGATGTCCCTGTGAGCTGAGATCCAAAGGAGAAAAGGCGAACATATGTCAAGCCTGATGATGTGGTGGCATGGGAGGAGCCTGGAACAGGAGCGGGGAACCAGGCTCGGCCCTGGATTTGCTGTGTGACCTTGGAAGTCATTAAGTTCTCCTGGCCCAGCTCTTTCTCAAGAGGATTCATGTAGTGATTACTAACACATTAGAAAATGGATCATTTGGCAGCAGTTCTCAGCCAAGTAAGTTTCATAGAGGTGGACAAATGAGACTTTGGGGGGAAAATGACTTAGGAAAAGTCTACGTGAGATTCTGATCCTTTTTATCCCATTTCTCTCCCCAACAGACACAAACACACACATACATATAGACACATACACACTCATAACACACATACACTCATACCTACATGCACATAACAGGGAATACATGCAGTTCTTGTTAAATCTCTAACATTACTTGGCTCTGACATTCTTTGATTTCATCACTCTCCCTTTCAAATCCAGGCCTTGCTCTCAAATCAGTTTAGACCTTATTCTAATTCAAAGCCATTCAGACCATACCATTCCACATTTTAAAACTGGAGAGATTAAATCAACCTCTTACGTGAACTTTCCCATAAGCTGGCCACACCCACCCAGCCGTGACTGGGCAGAAGCCACTGTCTGATGCATGGCTCTGGTAGGCGTCCTGCAGGACCTCTCCTTAGAAAGGGAAAGGATCTGGAAAAGTAGGGGGGTTGGGCAGGGGTTATTAATAAGAGGGGCTCTGCAAGGCCCTTCTCTTTTCCCAAAATCCTAGAAAAGGTAAATAAACCTAAGAACAAGTCATATCTTCTAAGCCAGGATCGTCCAGTTTCAAGTTACTCTTTCTGTTTATTTCCTCTCATTATTTCCCAAATTTAATGGTCCTACTTAAGCACATCAGCCAGCACCATCATTGCTTCAAAGCATTAATGGAAAGGTTGGAAGTTCATAACTGGTCCATTCTTAAAGATGAGACAGTTTCTCTTTTTTTTTATAAGGAACACAGAAGAGAGTAGAGGCTGCTAATTTTAGCTACCTTTCTCCTCAAGGATATCCACCCAAACTCAGAAGAGCTGGCTTATGCATTAATTAAGACAGAAATCCCCTCACATTCCATGCAATAATGAAACCTGGAGGAGGCAGATCCATGGCTTCCCTTAGGTGATTTCTCAGAGATTGAGGGGTTCACATGTAAGAAAGCATTTGATAAAATGTAAACAAATATCTACAGCATCTGAACCTCGCCCCAATATTTAATGGGAATTTCTCAACCATAGATACATCTATTTGAGCCTAAAATAGATAACAGTGTGCGAAGTACACACATGCATGTACTTGCATACTCTATTTCCTTTCACGTTTTAATGCACACTGTTTAAGGATGTATTAGGAAGGAGGAAGGAAGGGGTATTTTTCATCAATGTCTAAGTTAATATTTGATGCAATGATGTGCAATAAATCTATGCAAAATATTCATATTTGAAATAAAAACGCTTTCATTAGTTTAATCTAATATTTTCTCATCTCTTGAGACAAATGTGAAAGTTGACTCTAAAAATCAAATATATAGCAGTTCTGAAAAACCTTATACCCACTACCCAACTAGGGAATTTCAATTTTGCCAAAAAACTTGGTAATGCAAAATGGTTATAAGAATATTATTCACAATATTAGACATCTCCAGCTAACTCAAGTCAATTGTATAAATTTGCCCTTAGTAGGTACTTTCTAAAAGAACTTTTGGAATCTCTATTAGTGGACATTATTATTGCTCTGCTACTTACAGAGCCCTAAGTGAATTCAAGCTGGTTAAGACATCATTTCACTTCTATAGTCCTCACGTTCTTCAGGTAAATCAGAGGAGAAACTCAGAGAGCTTTTAATTCATAGATAGAAAAAATAGTGAAACTCTGCATCAGCCACCCTCAAGGAGTCTTTTATAAGAAACAAGATTTGTGAGTTAATTCTATCAGCCATGGAAAACCTACATTTAGGGAATGTCACCAAACACACCAATAAGTCACTTCCCAGTCTCTTTCTTAATTGCAAGAACAAAGGACCTCTTCAGATCCTTCCTCAGTCCTTTTACATAGGCATCAGTGCTCTGTTGACACTGAACTCTTACTTGAAGTTTGAAGGAATCTGTTTTGAAGACCCTGAAAAAAAGCTTTGGCTAAATCATTTGCCTTCTTCAGCTCACTCCAAGTCAGTGGAATGGACACTAGCAATGACAGAAAGACCATAGGGTCTAGAGTTGGTTGAATACTCAAATAGCATTAATTTTGGTTTCATTGTGAGGCACACAGAGAGTGTTTTTCTTTGCGATGTGAGCTCAAGTTACAGAACAGAGTCTGCAGATTAGAGCCACTCTGACTGCAAGTGAGCAATGGAGGCCCTTACTTTAAGGCAACTGAGACTCCTTGAAATCTCTGCCTGAAGAGCACTTTCTAGCATGGAGCCATCACCATAGGAATCCCCCCTTCTGATGAATGTTCTATGGCTTTCATATTGGGACATTTACATCCTAAGCCCCCTCATTATATACTGAACCAGTTGGGGATGAAGAGCAAATGTGACTTTTTACTCAGTAAATACAACGTCTAATATCAAAAGAAACTCAACCCTGTGAAATGGATTGGAAAGACAACTGTTCAGGTCTCATTCTGCAGCTAAGCCTTGCAACAGGAGCTAAACTGTAACATCTTTTAAAGTGTCCTCATGGGATCCATATGTGAAGACTGCTAAAACTGTTAACATACCCAATTAGGTTTTAATTTATCTTAGTTTCCTCAGTCCTGCCATTAAAAGTCACACCATAGAGCCATCAAGCCTAGCATTACCAGCCTCACAGTTTTGTCAGGTGCTGCCCAGTGAGTCGAACTATACACAAGCTGCAGAAACTGGACCTTAATTCAAGCTAAGAAATGTTTAAATGGGTCAGGAGCATTTACCCTGGACATCTGTTTGAGGCATAACCTAAGGATATTTAAAAGTCTCTTAACAAAACAAATAAAGGTTTCCACATTCCCAAGGACAAAAACCATTTAATCTACTTATACAGCTCTTTCAAGAATGTAATATTTTGGCAGGACATGTATGTCAGTGAAGCAACAAGCAATGAGATTTATAGAGGCTAATTTATGTTTTAGTCTGTTAAGACATATTCCAGGTAGTCATGCTCGCTATGGGTAGCATTTTCCCTCCTGCATACTCATATTGTTTCAGTTTATTATAGCAGCATGCCTTGTGAGATCATGGGTTGCTGAGCACACGCATATGGCTGCACCATTTATTATGGGAAGAATCAACACCTTTAGTGAGGTCACTTATTTCCCTTTGGGTGCTCATACTGTAGGTGATGAAATCATGTATTTATCTACAACTTATTAGATTCATTTGATTAACTAGGGATCAATTTTTGCTTAACCAACTGTGCAGGTTGCTGGGTAGGAAGTTTCTTGGTACACTGCTATGGTGTTTCAAAACAGCAGTTAAAATAATTATCTTAATATGGGACCACTGGGTCATTCTCAAACACATGTTGGAGACGCACTGAAGACAGTGCTTAGAACTAAAAATACCAAACACATGGAAAAGTCGTTGGGCTCTTAAGGCACTGTGGCTTCTTTATGAATTGGGAATGGCACAGTAAATGTGTGAGATCGCTCAGGCCTGCAGCGAGCCTTTCCTGCCATCAGTGAACTTGCGACCTTATCTCCTTGGAGGGCTGTTAAAGTGAAGTCAGAGGGCAGGGGAGTTATTTGCAAGTACCCTTTTCACTTGTGTGGTCTGAAGGACTAACAGATTTATCCAAAAGACGGACAGAGGGAGCAGAGTTGAAGAAGCAGCTGGCTAATCCAACATGCAGCTCAAAACACAAAACCCAAACAAGGGCCAGAGTTGCCATTTGGTTTTGTAGGGGCCAGTCATGTTCTGAAAAGCAATTTTCCCCCACTGTGTAGGCTGTCAGCAAATGGAGACCCTAGACATCCTTATAAGGCAATGTGTCACCAAGGTAAAGATGAGGTCCTTTTGTCACATGCTAGGGGCCCACAGGGGCACTTCATTTGCAGCCGTGAAGACAAGAAGGGCAGAGCAGGCCCCTGGGCAACTAGATCATTGTAGTCAACTCCCTGACTGACCATCCAGAGGGTCCGGAACTGACGGATTGGAAATATTTGTCCAGATTTCTTTACCTAATTGAAAAGATGGCAGATTCGAGCAAAAGCCTGGGATAAAGAGAGAAGGTGCTGAGGAATTAAACGGAAGGCAAATAGTTTGGGGGAGGAGAAAGCTATTGTAAGTAGAGCATTCTCTGCCTCCCCAGATTCAGTGCACTTTACACAGAATTCCAACTGGATACTTCCTAACTTTCACCCTTTACACCCAAAATACATTGACATGGATATTATATACATTATGATATAAGAGATGTTACTTTCACAATGGAGAAAATTGGGAAAGGCTTATTGGCACTTTTGCCATTAAAGAGATAATTCTCAAGACGTGGAATTCCAAAGTAGAATGCAAGCCCAGCAAAGGTGTGGTGGAACAGCATCATCTCTGAGGTCAGGGTATGCATAGACTGATTTCTGAGTTTAATTTAACCCCTAACTACTGAAAAGGAACCAGAGAAACAAGAACAAACCAAACCCAAACCCAGCAGAAGAAAAGAAATAACAAAGATCAGAGCAGAACTAAATAAAATTGAAACAAAAAATATACAAAAAAAAATGAAACAAAAAGCTGGTTCTTTGAAAAGATAAATAAACTTGATTGACCATTAGTGAGATTAATCAATAAAAGAAGAGAGAAGATCCAAATAAGCTCAATTAAAAATGAAACTGGAGATGTTAGAACCGATACCATAGAAATACAAAAGATCATTCAAGGCTACTGTGAATACCTTTATGCACACAAACTAGAAAACCAAGAGAAGTTGGATAAATTCCTGGAAATATAAAACCCTCCTAGCTTAAATCAAGAAGAAATAAAAACTGTGAACTGACCAATAACAAGTATTGAGGTTGAAATAATAATTATAAAATTGCCAACCAAAAAAAAGGTCCAGGACCAGATGGATTCACAGCTGAATTCTATCAGACATTCAAAGAAGAATTGGCACCTATCTTACTGAAATTATTCCAAAAGATAGAGAAAAAGAGAATCATCCCTGAATCATTCTATGAAGTAAGTGTCACCTAATACCAAAACCAGGAAAGGACATAACAACAAAAGAAAGTTACAGGCCAATATCCCTGATGAACATAGATGCAAAAATCCTCAACAAAATACTAGCTAGCCAAATCCAAGAGCATACCAAAAAGATAAAACACCACGATCAGGTAGGTGTTTTATGAGGGCTGCAGGAATAATTTAACATACACAAGTCAGTAAATATGATATATCACATAAACAGAATTAAAAACAAAAATCAGATGATCATCTCAATAGATGCCGAAAAAACACTGGACAAAATTCAACATCTCTTTATGAATAAAACCCTCCAAAAAATTGGCGTAGAAAGGACATACCTCAAAAGCCATCTATGACAAACCCACAGCCAGCATTATACTAAATGGGGAAAAGTTGAAAGCATTCTCCCTAAGAAATGGAACAAGACAAGGATACCCACTTTCACCGCTTATGCAGTATGGGAAGTCCTAGCCAGATCAATCAGACAAGAGAAAGAAATAAAGGGCATCCAATCTGGTAAAGAGGAAGACAAACCATCACTGTTCATCAATAATATGGTTATATACCTAGAAAGCCCTAAAGACTCATCCATAAAGCTCCTAGATCTGATAAATGAATTCAGTAAAGTTTCAGGATACAAAATCAATGTACACAAATCAGTAGCACTACTGTGCACCAACAACCACCAAGGTGAGAAACAAATCAAGAACTCAATCCCTTTTATAACAGCTGCAAAAATATCAAATACTTAGAAATACACCTAACCAAGGAGGCGAAAAATCTATACAAGGAAAACTACAAAACACTGCTGAAAGTAATCATAGACAACACAAGCAAATGGAAACACATACCATGCTCATGAACAGGTAGAATCAATATTGGGAAAATAATTATACTGCCAAAAGCAATCTATGAATTAAATGCAATTCCCATCTACCATCATCATTCTTCACAGGCCTAGAAAAAACAATCCTGAAATTCATATGCAACAAAAAAGAGCCCACATAGCCAAAGCAATACTAAGCAAATGAACAAATCTGGAGGCATCACATTACCCAACTTCAAACTATACTACAAGGCTGTAGTTACCAAAACAGCATGGTACTGGTATAAAAAGAGGCACATAGAACAATGGAACAGAATAAAGAACTGAGAAATAAAGCCAAATATTAATACTTACAGTGAACTGATCTTTGGCAATGCAAACAAAAACATAAAGTGGGGAAAGGACAACCTATTCAACAAATGGTGCTGGGATAGTTGGCTAGCCACCTGTGGAATAATGAAACTTAATGTTCATCTCTCACCTTATACAAAAATCAACTCAACTTAAGATGGACCAAAGACTTAAATCTAATACCTGAATCCATAAAAATTCTAGAAGATAACATTGGAAAAACCCTTCTAGACACTGGCTTAGGCAAAGACTTCATGTCCAAGAACCCAAAAGCAAATGCCACAAAAGCAAAGACAAATAGAATGGACTTAATTAAACTAAAAAGCTCTTGCACAGCAAAAGAAATAATCAACAAAGTTAACAGACAATGCACAGAGTGGGAGAGAATCTTCACAATCTATAAATCTGACAGAAGACTAATATCCAGAATCTACAGAGAAGTCAAACAAATCAGCAAGAAAAAACAAACAATACCATCAAAAAGTGGGCAAAGCACATGAATAGACAATTCTCAAAAGCAGATATACAAGTGGCCATGGAACATATGAAAAAATGCTCAACATCACTAATTATCAGTAAAACACAAACTGAAACCACAATGAGACACCACTTTACTCCTGCAAGAATGGACATAATTTTAAAATTAAAAAAAAATAGATGTTGGCATGGATGTGGTGAAAAGGGAACACTTTTAAACTGCTGGTGGAAATGTAAACCAGTACAACCACTATGAAAAACAGTATGGAGATTCCTTAAACAGCTAAAAGTAGAACTACTATTTGATCCAGTAATCCCACTATTGGGTATCTACCCATAGGAAAATAAGTCATTATATGAAAAAGACACTTGTGCATGCAGTATATAGCAGCACAATTCTCAACTGCAAAAAAAAAAAAAAGTAGAACCAGCCTAAATGCCCATCAATCAACAACTAGATGAAGAAAATGTGGTATATATACACTGTGGAATATTACTCAGCCATAAAAAAGATTGAAATAATGACATTTGCAGTGACCTGGATGGAATTGGAGACCATTATTTTAAGTGAAGTAACTCAGAAATGGAAAACCAAATACCATATGATCTCACTTTTAAATGGAAGCTAAGTTATGAGGATGAAAAGACATAAGAATGATATAATGGATTTTGGCAACTCAGTGGGAAGGATGGGAGGAGGGCGAGGAATAAAAGACTACACACTGGGTACAGTATACACTGCTCAGATGATGGGTGCACCAGAATCTCAGAATTACCACTAAATAACTTATTTATGTAACCAAAAACCACCTTTTCCCAAAAAACTATTGAAGTGAAAAATTAAGGCTGGGCACGGTGGCTCATGCCTGTAATCCCAGCACTTTGGGAGGCCGAGGCAGACGGATTGCCTGAGATCAGGAGTTCGAGGCCAGTCTGGCCAACATGGTGAAACTAAAAATATAAAAAAATTAGCTGGGTGTGGAGGCATGTGGATGTAATCCCAGCTACTCGGGAGGCTGAGGCAGGGAATTGCTTGAACCAGAGAGGTGGAGGTTGCAGTTAGCCGAGACTGTGCCACTGCACTCCAGCCTGGGCAACAGAGCGAGACTCTGTCTCAAGAAAAAAAGAAGAAATATGATGTGTTACATATGTAATTTTGAAATATTTATACACATTCAAAATTTTTTTTAAAAACAGCTAAAGTTAATATTAATAATACATTTTACTTAATCCAATATATGTACACTTGTCATTCATATAAGCAATACGAAAAATTACTAGTGAGATATACTGCTTTTGCATATTAATTCTTTGAAATCCTGAGTATATTTTATAACATACCTCAATTCAAAGTAGCCATATTTCAAGTGCTCAGTGGTCACATGGGGCTTGTGTCTGCTGTACTGGACAGTGCAGGTCTTGGATTTAAGGCTGGTATGGCATAGAGAAAATGACTCTTAAATTATCTGTGGGGCAAATAGTAGAGCAAAGTAATGCTAGCCCCATCTTACAGAGAAAATCCTGGGATGGTTTGTGACAAAGCTGAGCCCAGCATTGTAGCTGACTTTATCATCAACTCAAATACGTGTCTACTGGGGTCCAGCTGTCATTCTCCTCCCTTATGAGAGGAAGCTAAAGCATAGGTGCTCAGAACGTCCACCCTGGCATCAAACTACTGAGCTCAAGTTGTGATTAGTGCTGATCCATCTTTGGCAAGTATTTATCTTCTGTGTGTTTCATTTCCACATCTGTAGAATAGGCATGATAGTACCAACTTGGCAAGGTTGTCTTAAGGCATTCACTGAGGTTATACTATAAAGCAATCACTTAGCATACTGATTGTAAGTATACTGAAAGAGAGCGCTATTAATGTACAATATTAAAATAAAAGCTATCCATGGTAGTCATAGAGCCATCACCAAATATTTTCATCTTTCTTCCTTCTAAGCACAGAGTAGGATAGTGTTTCTTTGTCCCACTGAAGTTAGGTGTGGTCATTGACTTATTTTGGACAATGAATTGTGAGTGGAGTTATGTGTCACTCCCAGGTAGAGTTACTCATTTGCAATAAGCTCTGCCACAGCGATGAGGCATGATCCAGAGAGCAGCTGCTGCATCAGGCTGGGTACCAGGGCAAGATCCATAATGGACATAAAACATGAGAAAAACATAAGACTTATCGCAAGCCATGACAATTTGGGAAGTATTCCTTGCTGCAGCATTATTTAGTCCATCCTACAGGATACGTCATCTTAATTGACGTTTGCTTTAGGGATTCATGAAGTTAACTAATTCCTCCCATCCTCTGTAACACACTGACTGATGCCCATAGGTTCAGAATGCAGAGATTTAGACAACTACTCTCTAATACCTGAGGCCCCCTACATCCATCTCACAAGTATTGTGCTTATTTCCAAGTAGTTTATACTATTGTAATTAAGTTTAATTAAATATGGCACACATTGATGAAATTTGAGTAGGAAAAGAAAATGAGCATTTTATCTATGAACAATTGAATGTTTTGTAGAGACTAAATAAATTTGAACTGTCAAAATAACTTGAATTAGTTATGCCAGAAACAATTAAAGTTGGGGTGGTATACATATTGTACAAAATACAAGAAGATTCTGCACTCTGATGCCTTTGCACACAGCTTTCAATTCTTGCTTTGCTTCAGAGAAACCCAAACTGGAAATTGCAGAAGATATATTATTGGTGTGGTTTTTGCAAGAAACACAAAGTAGAACTTCAATCAGCTACCACCCATTCAAAGTAAAGGTTGGCCTTACATCAAAAGATTGGAAAATAATTGCATAGTTTCATGCCTTATGTTAAATGAAAATGTTAAAGGTATGTATGTATCATTTTTATGACCACCCTCCCAAAATAAATCAAACATTTGGAAGAGCCAATTAAAAACTAGTCCTACTTATATGGAATAAGAGGTGATCTTAGGTATGGTGTATTTCTCTTGTTTTAGATTTTTATTTGCATAATATACTTTTGAGAAAACATGATATGAAAAAAAGTTGTTGTTGTTGTGATGACTTGGGTTAAAAAATAATACACCTGGTTAACAAGATGATTCCAGGAAAACTTCATTTGACCTCATCTCCTGCCTGAGATAATCCACACATACCATCCATCCCAACCCTTACTCTTTGGGAATAAACTTACCTGGGCCTAACAACTGTAGTCATGCAGCCAACCTCAAAAATAAGAAAGAGGAGGTACAGGCATTTCTCATTATTTTCCCATAAGCTCCAGATACAGGCTCTTCTTCTGACCATACTTACAATACCTAACATGGATCCCACAGAGCCTCACCAACTACTTTCAGCTGTTTCCCAGTGATGAAATGTTTCAGACATATGGTTACAGAGATTAATATCTGTGCAGACCAGTTTTTGAAACAGCCCAGAAATAGTTTGGGAACATGTGGCATTAAACAAATATAAATTCTGAGCCTGGCTTTTTCCTCCATGCGCCTCTCCCTTCCACACCTGGACTTTCAGAATGAGTCACACAGAAGACTCGGGAATTGAAGACAAAGAACTGGGTATGAGCACATATTTAGATTCTAGGCCACTGGACAAAAACTTCAGGAGGGGCTGTTAATCTTGTTGAATCACCAGAGGAAATGGGCTCCAGTTCTTTTGGTGGTCTCCCTAAACTAAAAGTCCTACCTGGATAGTTTGGGTTTGTGTTCTTGAGGTTGTCTCATGGAATGAGAGTAATGTCAAACTTTCTTCTAGTTTCTCCCACCCTCAGAAAACAACATGGTATGGGTTGGTATCTAATAGCTCCTTGAGCTATTTCTCTATTTCTCGAACACTAAGTTGTCCCAATTTCTGTGATATTAACCTGAAGATGATCCTTGTGAGTAAGGAGGAAAAAAAATCCAATGCATAGAACATGGAGGATTTTCACGGCTGTCCTACAAATAGCTTACAGAAGTTTCACATAGATTCACTCCTCCAAAAACACTATTTTAAAATGGTTTCAATTATGGTTAGAAAATATGTGCTGTGTGTTTTGTAGAAGCACAGGCCAGAAACAATTGATAAGTCAGAGGTGGCATTTCCAGTTTAGTTCTCAAAAGTTTGAGATTTATTACCTAGAATTAAAAATTCTATCCTGAGGAAGGACATATGGCTTTCAGGCAGCACATAAAGGCAGACACACACACACACACACACACACACACAACACACATACCCCACACAATTGGCTTGAATTGAGAGAAAAAATATTTTATAATGAAAGATGGCCAGTTACACTGATTTTTTTTAAAAGTTTAATTTAACAAATTCATCTTGTTTTGCAAGACCAGACATGTACTGTCATGAGCTTCGAGCTATTAAAGAAAGTAGAGAATGTAATAAAGTGAAGCCCAAATGTCCTTAATACAAAATTAGACAAAATTTTATTTTCAGAGAAAAGAAGACAAAAGAAGATGGCTTCCTCACCATTTCCCAACCACAGTGAATTATTTAATAAGGGCTCGTCCTTGTTAGGATAGCTTGACCATTACTTTGCCATAAAAGGTTGCAATGTGTGCAAGTTAAGAGTGCCAGGAGAAGAGAACAGTAGACTTGGATCCTTTTTGATTGCCAGAGTAGGGAACAGATAAGCAGACTTTTCTCAGCTTGCACCCTCAGATATTCCAGGTTTTCCTTAAAAGAAATGGGGTGGAAACAAAGGAGTTCTTTTTTTCTTGCTGCAATTCTTCCAAAACATGGTGAAATTCTTAAGACATACTTTTCTATTCACCTTCCAATGATGTGAAGTCCCAACTGCAAGAAGAGCCAGAGACACAATAAACAAAAATTTATGTAATTCTGCAATTTCCTTGCAAAAGAACCATAAAATAAGCTACCCCAAACCTAAAAATGCTCACCAATATTAATAAGCTCAAGCTAATCAGCCAGATTCTCTCATTGATAAAATTTCTATGCCCAGGGCATAGAAAACACCATCCTGTTCTCAGGCAACTAACCCAAACATTATACTTAGAAAGTAGACTTCTAGGTAATACCTGTTGAGAAAATCATTTGCATCCCTATAATCTTATTTCAGGAATATTAAAAATTTGAGAAATATTCAAGAAGCACCTTTTAGCTAGAACTCAGGAACTGATGAGAGTCAACCGAAAGCAGCAAGGGAGATGGTGCTTTAGGGAGATGGTGAGCAGGAATTTCTTTTTTAAGCCTTTCTGTTTTTTTCATTCATGAAAGAACACCCAGAAGGACAAGAAAGATTTAAGATTTAAAGTGATGTTAGTCAAAGCTCTTTGAAAATATAGTTTGTCCATAAATGTTTTCCCAACAGGCTCAACCAAGTTTATTTTTCTGTGGTTTTTATTTATCTTTTATAATAGCATCAATGCTATTGGTCTTATTCAACAAAAGAAAAATGTAAATTTTTTAAAGAGTTGATCTTTCCCTAAAAAATTCATCCAGACTGCTTTAGAAAAATAATCCACATAGCTGAAAAACAAAGATTTATCTATTATGTTTGTTATCTGATACTTCATAAGCTGAATCTTGCCCCAGAGAGCTTAGAATCTGATTGGAAAATAAAATAATCTTACTGATCTCTTTTGTTTAAAATAAAAAAGCAGCTTTGTTTATCCATCTAGAAAAAATATATGTTTATTGTAGCAAATTGAAAAATATATAGATAAGTCAGGAAAACCTGTTAGCATTACTGCAACTTCCATTATATACAGTTACTGTGGACATTTCAATATAAATATTTACAGAATATAACATAAATATATAAATTTAACCGAAATGGGCTTGAAGGAAAACTGTTTTATAACCTATGATATTTTTTCCTTCACATTTCATAAACATTTTTATTTTTCTATAATATATAATATATATAATATAATTTTGATGTCTATACAAAATTTCATCATGTAATTGTAATCCTCTATTATTAGATATATAACATTTCTTGAGGGTTATCTTCCAGTATAAACAGAACTGTGATAAACAAATTTACAGACACAACTTCCTGCAGACTACTCCAATAGACTTAATTTCTAAAACAGGGTTCTTGTGCCTAGAACTTTTTTAAGATTTTGATATATATTGCCAAATTGCTCTCCAAAATTTGTGTGAATTTACACTACACAATAGAGTATCAGGGTGCCCATTTCCTTGGAGTTTGTTGATACTGAGTGTTACACACTGTCTTTGTCCATCCATGCTGCTATTAAAAACATACCCAGACTGGGTAATTTATAAATAATGAAATTTATTTCTCCCAGTTTTAGAGGTTGAGCAGTCCAAGATCAAGGCACTGGCAGATTTGGTGTCTGGTGATGGCTGCTCTCTGTTTTCAAGATGGTGACTTCTTGTTGTGTCCTCACATGGCAGAAAGGGAAAGAGACAGACACTGCCCTCACATGGCAGAAGAGATGGAAAAGCCAGGCAGCTCTCTGATTCCTCTTTTATACCCACATTAATCCCATTTATGAGGGCAAAGCCCTCACAGCCTAATCACTTCCCAAAGACCATACCATTTAATATCATCACCTTGGGGTTTAAGTTCCAATATATGAATTTTGGAGGGTCATAGACATTCAAACCATAACACACACATTCTGATCTTTACCAAATTAACAGGTGGAAAGATATTTTACTGTTCTTGTACTGGGTCATTTCTATATTTTCCTTTGAGAATTGCCCTATTATGTCTTTTCTGTGGTTGAAATTCACAAAAATTTTTGAACACTATCATGCAAATAAGTGATGCAAAAATACATCCAGGTAGCACTGATACTGTTTATCTACTAGATGAACTACATGAACTCAGATATTTAAGTTAATTGCCATCTTAAGCATAGAAAGCAAGTATAATAAGAATAGAGGTGAGAAAACTAGGGTATGGCATTAGTGCTTTTAACTACACCTGCAATGAAAGAGAAGTGAGGTATTTTGGTATAAAAGATACCTTTAAACTTTCTTTAGTTATCCTTCCTCATTGATCTGCCAAATCAAGAAACCTAAGCTGTCTGCTCTCTGGAACTCAATGAAATAAAAGGTTATAAGGAGAGAACAAAAGTGCTGAAGAAAAATTCACACTTAAAAACTAGCATTTAAAATTTTGATTTTAGATCCATTACCCCAGAAACACTCTGGAGATGCATCCTCAAATCAGAGAAAAGAATGATTCTTTTTTCTACAGTCTCTGACTGCGTGCTGAAGCTGCTGGTAAGTAACTATAATGGGGCAACCACAACCTTTAAACACATAAATATTCTTACAGCATCCACTTCTTCCTAATTTTATTCACTGGATAAACAAATTCAGAGAGATTGAGAGAGAGAGAGACAGAAAAATGCAGACATTTAAAAAGTGACACAACAGTGTAAAATTCCTTAATATCTGGAAATGTTTAAAGGACTACGTGGCATCGTTTGAATCATACAGGCTACAATGAGGGCTCCACAAACAAGATTTTGCAACGTGTGAATATTATATGAATCTTCAAAATTATTTGTATTCTGTTGATTCTCTGCACTAGAGATGGGTAGTGACATGTATATTAAAATAAAAAAACACGGTTGAGTTACATTTAGGCTAATTATATGCCTGGTACTTTACATTATCTCAAGAAAATCCTTCAAAACCCTACAAAGAATAGTAACTTTATTATTATTCCTACTTTACAGATTTCAAAAAAAAAACAAACACAACTGAAGGATGGAAAGGGAAACTAAGAAGTAGATGCAGAACTTGAACTTATATACAGCTATCCATTGTCCTTAGTTCTCGGGCTAATGGTGTCAACAGAGAGGAAGCACAATGTCAATAAGTCCTTACACCTTTATATGTGGATCGTTGAACTTAAAAACAGATGAGCAATGAAGAGCTTCATATCCACAAAGCAATACCATTTGCAAATAATGACATATTTATAACTATCTAATAACCATTTTTCTTCTTCATCTTTTGAGTTTGATTTTAAAGTATTGCCAAAAAGACATACAATTCCTGCAAATGCTGTACCCCTAAAGCTCTGAAGTCAGCAAGACAGGAAAAATGTTAAAAGGTGATCAAGATTGTTCATTTTGCTTCCTCTCTGCTAAATCAGTCACCGGGCTATTATGAGTGGACGGAAAAAACCTCGTAATCCTCAGGTGTGCCATTAAACTCATAAATTGCAAGATTTCTAGGACATTTTATACTACAGTTGACACTGCTCCATGGTATGTTCGGGGATATTTTCCAAGAGAAGCCACTCTCTGAACATTAAAATGACCTTTTCACACTCTTTATGTTATAGAAAAATAAAATAAAACAGATTCAGCTTCTTAATTATGCAGCTAAGTTCCACCCAAGCTTCAGTTGACTAAGAGTCCACCATTGCCTTCTATGAAACCACTATTGTCTCCCATGGAGCCAAAGCCCAGTAACTCCTCGTTGCCAGTTATTTCTATCTATCCTGTCTCTCTTTTATCCCTTATAGGCTTGGAGAGTCAGACTTCAGTTTTCAATTATATTAAGCTGAATTTTAAAAGAAAGGGGAAAAGTGTGGCTCGAGTTTGCAAAGGTTATTTACTTATCTATCTAGAAATAATAGGTTTTTTCAATTGAGAAAAGACATTTGAAATTTTTTTGAGACAGAGTCTCACTCCATTATTGAAATGTATTTTTCAAATGGGCTTAAATACATGACACCTATCAGTTCTGGTACCCAACAACTCAAGATAATTTTGACATATTTGGAGGATAAAATGAGGCTGTCATTTTTCATTTACTAATAGAAATCCTCTGAACTATTAGACAAAGGATGATACTTCTTTCTGGAAATTCTTATAGTATACTTAGTGACATGTGAAATAGCTTTTGTTTAAATGCTGCTAAATATTCCCTTTTAACTAATACAGGTGTTCTCTCTTCAGCTAAATCACATAAACTCCTAATGTTAAGGAATATGCTTCCCAGTGTTGTGATACACCCTTAGCACCCACCTCCCTTACTGCCACATGGTGCCTTCTCCATGCCTATCTGTCTGTTAAACAAGGCATGGCAGAGAGAAGTATTAAAATCTGCAAATGTTTTACAGTAAGAAAACCTTCCATCTTCCTGGCAAAAGAAATCATTACTATAAATTTGGCCATTGCTGCATTTTAGATATAAATCTATTTGAAAGCTTCTTAGAGCAGGAGTCAGCAAACTTTTTTGTAAAGAGCAAAATAGTAAATATTTTAGGCTTTGGAAGCCATACAGTCTATGTTAGAACTACTCAACTCTGCCACTGCAACATGAAAACAGTACATAAACAAATGAGCATGCATATATTCCAATAAAACTTTATTTACAAAACAAGTGGCAGGCAAGATTTGATCCACAGATAGTAATTTACAGGCCCTTCTCCTAAAGTGTGAAAAAAAGAAAATGAACATTTTAAGTGGTTTCTATTCAAGCAAGAGTGTAGGTAAATAAACTAGAAGATAGAAAAACAATAGCTAACATCAATGAACTAGTCTGGTTCTTCAAAAAGATTAACAAAATTAACATACCTTTAGCTAGATTGACTAAGAAATAAAAATGTCTCAAATTACCAAAATCTAAAATAAAATGGGGACATCACTACCAATTTTACAGAAACAAAAAAGGTTATAAAAGAGCATTACAAAAAAATTGTACTCCAACAGATGGCATAAACTAGGCAAAATGAACAGACTTCTAGAAACACCCAACCTACCAAGACTGATGCATGAAGAAATAGAAAATCTTAATGGGCATATAACTTATATGGAAATTGAATCAGTAATCAAAAAACTACCAACAGAGAAATGCCCA
Organism: Homo sapiens; assembly: GCF_000001405.40. Lineage (NCBI taxonomy): Eukaryota > Metazoa > Chordata > Mammalia > Primates > Hominidae > Homo > Homo sapiens. The sequence goes on along the minus strand of NC_000020.11, from coordinate 21,965,245 downwards.
GGGCAAATCTCCATCAACATATAAATGGATAACAAAATGTGGTATAAACTTACAATGGAATATTATTCAGTCTTAATAATACAATTTTAATATATGATTAAAAATAAATGAACTTTAATAAAATTATGCTAAGTAAAATATACAGACATAAGAGGACAAATATTGTATGATTCTACTTACATTAGGTACCCTAGAATAGGCAAATTTGTAGAGACAATGTAGAATCGAGGTTACCAGGAGCTGAGGGGTGTAAAGAATGGGGAATTATTGCTCAACAGGTACATAGATCTGTTTGGGATGATTTTTAAAGTTCTGAAAATAGATAATGATGATAGTTTTACAACACTGTGAATACACTCAATGCCGCTGAAATTTACACTTAAAAATTGTTAAGATTGTAAATTTTATGTTATGTATACTTTATCACAATTTTTGAAACTTAACAAAATAGAGACAATTAGTGAGCTGGAATGTGACGCCCAGGAATGCTCATGGAACAGATGACAAAATACCAAAAGACTAAAAGTATGACATAAAAGATAGAATATATTTACAATAGAGCCAGAAATTCCAGTATCCACCTAATAGAAATTTTGGTTTAAAAATGGAGAGAGTGAATGTACAAACAAAAATTTGTTTTAGACTTTTCAAAACCAATTGGGAATTAGGTAAACTCACTTATTCAAAAGGAGAAATGTTCTGCTTTTGTTTACATAGACAAAAAAATTTAGTTAAATAATATTTATAAGAGATATATTTAGTACAAAATGACAAAAGTGAAATTTTAAAATTATATATGTATATATGCATATATAATTCAATATATATTTAACTTCATTTGTGTATATCAACAAAGAGGAACTATATAAATGTTATTTAGGCAAAATAACATTATATAAAATAATTTAGAATGACACATATTGATCAAAGATGAAATTTATAAAATATGCTACAATCATCAATCATGATATACCGAATCATATATCACTAAAGTATACAAAACAGAGATTATATAAATCAAAAGAAAAATTGACAAATCCACAATTGCTGAGGAAAACTTTTAAACATTCCTTTCAGATAGCAACAATTTAAAAGGAATCACACCTGTGCAAAGCTAGAGCCTATATGACTAAACATTATATTAAGACATATGTAGATTCCTGAATGTAGCAAAGAAAGAGCATGCATTATTTTCAAACACAAAGTAATAGTCACAAATACTATAGTTAACAATAATACATAGTTTTAAGTAGCTAGAGGGAGGATATTGAATGTTCCCAACACAAAGAAATGATAAATGTTTGAGATGATGTATATGTGAACTACATTGATCTGATCACTATACATTATATGTATCAAAATATCACTATGTACCCCCTGTAAATATGTACAATTATTACTTGTCAATTAAAAAATAATTAGATTTTAAAAATTAAAAAATAACATAATGTAGCCTGAGTGATAGGAAAAAGAATAAAAAAGAGTGAGCAGAGCTTTAGAGAACTATAAGACACCATCCAGCATAACAACTTACACATAATAAGAATAACAAAGGGAGAATAGAGAGAGAAAGTAACAGAAAGAGTATCTGAAGAAATAATGGCTAAATAGAAATCTCTAATTTAGAAATCCCTAAATTTTATTTAAAAAATCATTAATCTACACATCCAAGAAGCTCAGTGGACTCCACATAGAATAAAGCTAAAGAGATCAGCACCTAGACAAACCAAATCAAACTGGCAAAAGACAAACACAAAGAGAGAATCTTAAAAGCAGTAAGAGAAAAACAACTCATCATGACAAAGGACCCCCTAATAAGATAAATAGCTGATTTTTCATGAAAGATTATGAAGGCCAGAGGACAATCAGACAACTTATTCAAAATGCTGAAATAATAATACTGTCAGTCAAGAATTTTATACCTACCTATCCTTCAAAAATGAAAGAAATAAAGGCACTTCCAGATAAATAAAAACTGAAGGCATTTATAATTAGAAGAACTGCCCAACAAGAAAAACTAAAGGAAATTCCTCAGATTGAAAGGAAAGGTCACAAGACTGAAATTCAAATTCACATGAAAAAATGAAGAACACCAACAAAGTTGCCTATCCAGGTAAATATAAGAGACAGTATAAATTTTCTTTGTAATTATTTTTTTCTGTCTGATTTAAAATACAACTGCATAAAGCAATAATTAAAAATTTATGTTTATGGCCACAAAGATATAAAGATGTAATTTCTGATCATAACAGTATAAAAAGGGGGAATAGATCTGTATAAAATAACATTTTTGTTGTTTTTAAACATAGAATTATGATACAGAAATTTCACTCTTAAGTATACACTCAAAAGAATTTAAAGCAAAGACTCAAACAGATACTTGTACCACAATGTTCATAGCAGCCTTATCAACCAAAGTCAAAAGGTAGAAACAACTCAAACGTCCATCAACAAATAAGTGGATATACAAAACTTGGCAGAAACTTATTGAAATAAAGTTGGCATTAATATGAAATAGATTGCTATATATTAATATGTTAATTGTAATCATGAGCACAACCATAATAAAAATAACTGAAAAAATAGTAAAATAAATTACAAGGGAATTACAATGGTACACTAGAAATTATCTAGTACACAAGAAAAAGCAGGAATGGAGAAATGGAGAAACAAAAAAGATGTAAGAAGTATAGAAAACAAACAGCAAAATGGAAAAAGTAAATCCTCTTTCATCCGTAATTATATTAAATGTAAATGGACAAAACATTCTAATAAAGAGATTGGAATCTATGAGAGATTCATCTTAGATGCAAAGACAAGTATATGGAAAGATTTTATTTTTTTTTATTTTTATTTTATTTTATTTTTTTTTTTGAGACGGAGTCTTGCTGTCGCCCAGGCTGGAGTGCAGTGGCGCAATCTCGGCTCACTGCAGGCTCCGCCCCCTGGGGTTCACGCCATTCTCCTGCCTCAGCCTCCCGAGTAGCTGGGACTACAGGTGCCCGCCACCTCGCCCGGCTAATTTTTTGTATTTTTAGTAGAGACGGGGTTTCACCGTGTTAGCCAGGATGGTCTCGATCTCCTGACCTCGTGATCCGCCCGCCTCGGCCTCCCAAAGTGCTGGGATTACAGGCGTGAGCCACCGCGCCCGGCCGAAAGATTTTATTTTTACTAAAGAAAGAATAGAAAAAGATATTCTATGCAAACAGTAACCAAAAGAAAGCTGAAGTGGCTATACTAATACCAGACAAAATAGAATTTATGACAAAAGTTGTAATGAGAGAAAAAGAAGAAAATTTTATAATGATAAAATTGTTAACCTGTCAAGAGGACATAGCAATTATAACATATATGCACCTAACTAAAGAGCCCCAAAACACGTGAAGCAAAACCTGACAGAATCAGAGGAATAGACAATTCAACAATATTAATTGGCCATTTTAATATGGGTTGATTTTCCCTTATTCAAAATGCTTTGGACCAGAAGTGTTTCAAGTTTCAGATTTTTTCAGATTTTGGAATATTCACATTATTCTTACTGGTTAAGCATCACAAACCCAAAAGTATCAAAATTCACAATGCTCCAGTGATCTCCTTTGAACATCATGTTGGTACTCAAGAAGTTTCTAATTTTGAAGTAGTTCAGATTCTGGATTTTGGATTTGGGATGATCAAACTGTACTTCATTGTCAGTAATGCATATGCATAGAACAACCAGACAAAAAATAGGAAATAAAATAGAAGACTCAAATGACACTATGAACCAACTAGGCCTAACAGACATTTGTAGAACAATCCACCCAGCAAAACCAGAATATAGACCTAACAGACATCTATAGAACACCTCACCAAGCAACACCAGAATATACATTATTCTCAAGTGCCCATGGAATATTCTCCAGAGTATGTTATCTTAGGTCATAAAACAAATCCTAAAACATTTAAAATAATTGAAATCACATAATGTATAGTCTTCAGCCACAAATGAATGAAATCAGATATCAATCAAAGGCAGAAATTTAAAATATTTACCAATATGTGGAAATTAAACATTATTTCTAAGCAACCTCTTAGTCAAAGTCATTAGGATATACCATAATATGAATAAAAAATAATATACAAAAACTTATGGGATGCCATGAAGGCAATACTAAGAGAAATTTACAGCTATAAACAACATTAAAACAAAAAAAAGATCTCAAATCAATAACCAGCCTACCACCAAAAAAAAAAAAAAAACCTAGAAAATAAGATAAAATTAAACCCAAAGCAAACAGAAGGAAGGAAAAAATAAAGATTAAGGCAGAAATAAATAAATAATCTGAAAACAAAATCAATAGATCAAATCAACAAAAATAAATATTGATTCTTTCAGAAGGTCAACAAAATTGATAAATCTTTAGCTAGATCAACCAAGAAAAAAAGTGACAGGATTACTAACATCACAAATGAAAGAGGAGATGACAAGAAAAGCTATTGAGTTACAATCAAAAAGTTTTCAACAAAACCAACCCCAGGCTTGTTTAGCCAGGACTCCATGGTTTCAATGGTAAATTCAACTGAATATTTAAAGAATGAACACCAATCCTCCACAAACTCTTTCAATACATAAAAGAGAGGAACAGGCTGGGCACGGTGGCTAATGCTTGTAATCCCAGCACTTTCGGAGGCCGAGGTGGGCGGATCACGAGGTTAGGAGATGGAGACCCTCCTGGCTAACACGGTGAAACCCTGTCTCTACTAAAAATACAAAAAATTAGCCGGGCGTGGTGACAGGGGCCTGTATTCTCAGCTATTCGGGAGGCTGAGGCAGGAGAATGGCGTGAACCCAGAAGGCGGAGCTTACAGTGAGTCGAGATCGCGCCACTGCACTCCAGCCTGGGCGACACAGCAAGACTCTGTCTCAAAAAAAAAAAAAAAAAAAAAAAAAAAAAAAAAGAGGAACAATTCATAACTTATTCTATGAAGTTGCTAATATCTTTATACCAAAACAAGAAAAAAAATCTCAGAAAATAAAACTATAGACCAATAGCTCTTATGAATATACATGCAAAAAATACTCAACAAAATGCTAACAAATTGGAAGAATAACTTACATACCAGAAGCATTAAAAGAAAAACTTACATACCATTACCATGTGGGATTTATCCCAGGAGTGCAAGGTTTGTTCGACATAAAAAAAAATCAGTCAGGGAAATATACCTTTCTACTAGAATAAAAAAAGAACCACATAAACATTTCAACAAACATAGTAAAACAAAATTGACATCACCCAGCAATCTTTTATGATAAAAACTCTCAGCAAACTAGGAATAAAAGGAAACTGCCATAGCAACCTTATAAAGAGCATCTAAAATACTTCATACAGCTACCATTATACTTTTTTTTTTTTTTTGTCATTGGTGGGGATCAGAGTCTCACTCTGTCTCCTAGGCTGGAGTGCAATGGTGTAATCTTGGCTCACTGCAACCTCCACCTCCCGGGTTCAAGCAATTGTCCTGCCTCAGCCTCCCGAGTAGCTGAGGTTACAGGCACACACCATCACACCTGGCTAACTTTTTTTTGTATTTTTAGTAGAAACGGGGTTTCACCATGTTGGCCAGGCTGGTCTCAAACTCCTGACCTCAGGTGATCCACCCAACTCGGCCTCCCAAAGTGCTGGGATTACAGGTGTGAGCCACTGTGATCGGCCAATGTTATACTTAATAGTGAAAGCATTCCTCCTAACATCAGGAATGAGACAACGATAACCACTCTCATCATTTGTATTCAACATTAAACAGAAGTTCTATCTAATTAGGCAATAAAAAGAAATAAAAGTCATTTAAACTGGAAAAGAAGAATTAAACTAATCTGCATTGGCAGATGACAAGATATTATACATATGAAATCCTCAATAATTCACCAAAAAACACAACTATTAAAGCTAATAAATATTCAAGCAAATTTGCAAGATTCAAGATCAACAAAAAAATCAGTTAAATTTCTATACAATAGCAATGAGCAATCAGAAAGTAAAATAAAATAATATCATTTACAGTAATATCAAAAATTATAATATATTTAAGAATAAATTTGACCAAAGAAGTGTAAGATATTTAATGAAAACTACAGGACATTATTTAAAAAAAATTTTAAAGACATAAATAAATGAAAAGACATCCATATACATGGATTGGAAGACTCAATATTGTTAAGATGACAATATTCCCAAAACTGATATAAAGATTCAATACAAGCCCTATAAAAATCTCAGTTTTTGTTTTTTCAGAAATTCCAAATTTTATGTGCAAACTCAAGAATAACCAAAATTATTTTTAAAAAGGTGAACAAAATTGAAAGACACCTATTGATTTCAAAACTCTCTAAAAAGCTACAAAAATGAAAACAGTGTGCTCCTGGTGTAAGCATAGACATAAAAATCAATGGATTAGAATTAAGATTCCAGAAATAAACCCACATATTATTAGCCAATTGATTATCAATAATAGAGTCAATTCAATTTGGAAAAGAATCATCTTTTCAACAAATAATGCTGGGATAACTGGATATCCACATGCAAAAAAATAAATTTGAACCCTACCTAATACCACATACAAAAATGAATACAAAGTTGATCTAGGATCTAAATATAAGAGCAATATGTACAGAAGCCTCAGAAGAAACTTAGATGTAAATCTTTATGATCTTGTATTAGGCAATGGTTTCTTAGATATAACACCAAAAGTACAAGCAATGAAAAACAGATAAATTGAATTGTAAAAATTTGAAATTCTTGTGTGTCACAGAATACTATCACAAGTATGAAAACACAACCAACACAAACACAAAATTGGAGAAAATATTTGCAAGTCATGTGTCTGACAAGTATCTGGTATCCAGAGTATCCAGAATTCTTATAATTCACCAATTAAAATAAAACAATAAAAATGGGCAAAAAATTTCAAAAGATGGTTCTCCAAAGAAGATACATAAATAGCCAATGGCCTATGAAAAGATGCTAAATATCAGTATTCATTATGAAAATACAAATAAAATAAAAACCACAGTGAGATGTTACTTTATACCCACTAGGATGTTTATAATTAAAAAAAACAAAACAGAAAGTAACAAGTGTTGGTAGGATGTGGGGGAATTAGAACTTTTGTGCATTGCTGGTGGGGATGTAAATAAGTAAACTAATACGTCAAACAAAGAAGCACAGGAAGTAACAACAAAATAAATCCAACTAAGCTACAAGGACAGAATGGATAAATATAAAAGCCTGAAGTGTGAATTACAAAATCAAAATTCGATAAAACGAAAAAATTTTAACATCAACAAAGTAGACAACCTTTTGCAAGTTTGACCAATACAAAAATTAAAACGATATAGGAGGGGCTATAAGACGGCTGACTAGAGGCATCTGGTACCTCCTGCACAGAGAAAAACAAAAATAGTGAGTAGATAACCACACTTTGAATAGATCATCTAAGAAAGAACACTATAATTCAACAGAGAAGTGACAGGGAACACCTAAGGCAAGGTAGAGGAGCAAAGTGAAGTAGCCTGCTCAGCTGGGATAAGCTGGGATCCCAGAGGAGCTCCCCAAGTGGAGAAATTATAAGTGAGAGAGCCCCAGTGGTCCACATTTCCACTGCAACTCTAGCAATCCTAGCCATGAGAGAGCCCATCTACCCTCTCAAGCCCTGAGAGTAACAGAAGAAGATGTCTGGGCATCACACGATAGCATTACATCAGAACAGAAGTTCCTGCTGAGTCCCACACAAGCTGTGGGCTTTAAGCAGCTACAGCACACCATCGTATTGATGACTCAGCCCCTGTATCTCCATATCCCTGGATCCCTGTGATATCCCCTAACTACAGCAATGGCCAGGGCTGAAGAATGAGCCATTGATTGGCTGCAAATCTGTAGCTCCCAGCAGTGGGGCTACCATGGATTTTCACATGTCCTAAAAACAGACTCCCTGACCCACAGCTGCCACCACTGCAGGCTGCTGACATCAGGTATCAAAGTATGCCTGATTGGCAGTGACCCTAACCCCCAGCATAGATGCTACTACACATTTACAAGCACCTAAAAGACAAGCTTCTCCCTCCACAGCCACCACCTAGGATGGAAGCATGTATTTCCCAGCCACCTTCCTACAGCTGCTGACACTGAAAGCAACCCCCGCTTCCCCAGCAATAGGACCACAGTGTAGCTGCTGCTGCTTCCACTCAAGTACACTGCCAGGGGCCTAGGAAATACCCATCCTTTGTCCCCCATAGCCAGTGCCCACATGCACTACTGAGGGTGCTGAAAACAGACCAACCCAGCCCAGCTCCACTCCCACCAAATCCTCAAGCATGCTGTGTGGGGGCCTGGGAATCATCTTCCCCATCAACCACCATTGGTGCATGAGTACTCCTCCAACAGGCCTAAGGACAGGTTCATCCAACCTGTTGCTACCACCACAGCTGACATCCATCCACACATGCCACCTGTGGGACTGGTGACTGGCATGCCCAGCCTTTGCAGCCACCATGAACACCAGCATAGTCTGCATGGGAGGCAGAGGGTTGTCATGCTAATGCTACTTCAATCACCCACACCACACCTACAGTCCAGGTGCCCAAGGACCTGCCCAACTGCCCACTCTGAGAAAGCTGCCTAGAGGCCCAAGAATCAGTCCTCCTGAACCCACTAACACTAATGTCAGTGTACACTGCCCTGGGGCACAAGGACAGGCATGCTCATCCCACCACTACCACTACTGGGGCCTGAGGACTGGGTACCAGACATTCTCATCCCCAGCAATATTTCACAACATCCTCCACTAACAAGCCACCAAGGAAATCACAGACATTACTGATGCTGTTTACTTCCAAAAACATTATATGGAGATGACACTACTGCATACACCCAGAATCAGTGCCCTAACAAACCAACACCATAGATATATCTCCAGAAAAAAAGCCTTCCTGTATGAAAGCAAATTCAATAAACTGGAAGAAGTTATTATTAAACCAGAGATGCTGATATCAATATACATGACTAATACAAAAAGGCAAGAAAATATGACACCTCCAAAGGAATAAAATAATTCTCTAACAATAGATTTCAATGAAAAAGAAATGTATGGAATGCCAGAAAAAGAATTCAAAATATTGATATTTAAAAAGCTAAGTGAGATACAAGAGAACACAGATAAATAATACAAAGAAGTCAGAAAAAGCAACACAAGATATTAATGAAAATTTACCAAAGAGATAGGTATTATAAAAAAGAACCAGAGAAAAATCCTGAAACTAAGGAATTTCTTGAATCAAATTAAAAATACAAAGTCTTCAACAAGAGATAAGATCGAACAGAAGAAAAAATCATACAACTTGAAGACAGGTCTTTTGAAATCATTAAATCAGACAAAAATGAATTAAAAACTAAATAAAAAAGAACGAATAATGCCTAGATAGCATATGGGATACCATAAAGTGACCAATATTTGATTTTTGAATGTTACAGAAAATGAAGAGAAGGTCAAAGGCATAGAAAATCTACTTAACAAAATAATAGCTGAAAACTTCTCAGGTCCAGCAAGAGACTTAGACATCCAGGTACAGGAAGCTCAGAGATACCCAAATAGATACAACCACAAAGGTATTCTCAATGGTACATTATAGACAAACTGTCAGAAGACAAAGACAAACAGAGAATTCTAAAAACAGCAAGAGAAAAGTGTATAAAAACCTATAAAGGAAGCTGCATCAGATTAACACTAGATTTCACAGCAGAAATCTTACAGGTTAGAAAAGAATAGGATGATATGTTCAAAGTATTAAAAGAAAAAAAAACTGCCAGGCAAGGATATAATACTCAGAAAAACTACCATTCATAAATGAAGAAAAAATAAAATATTTCCCAAACAAGTAAAAGCTGAGAGAATTAATCACCACTATACTGGCCGTACAAGAAATGCTTAAGGGAGTCCTATACCTGGAAGCAAAAGAATAATATCTACATAGTAACACACAGAAGTATAAAAGTCACTGGAAAAACAAACACACAAGTAAGAAAGATAAATAACTCAAATGTTACAACTACAAAAAAACACAAAACCACAATTATAAACAATAACTGAAAAAAAGAACAAAGGATATATACAACAACCAGAAAACAATTAATATAATTAAAATAATAAGCCCATACATATTAATAATAACTTTGAACATATATGGATTAAACATGCTACTTAAAAGAAACAGATTAGCTGAATAGGTAACAAAACATAACCAAACAATGTGCTGCCTGCAAGAAACTCACTTCCCCCATAAAGACACACTGAGACTGAAAGTAAAGGGATGAGAAAGATCTTCCATGCAAACAGAAATGAAAAGCAAGGAGGAATAAATATACTTATATCACATAAAACACACTGTAAGTCAAAATCAGTAAAAAGAGACACAGAAGGTCATTATAAAATGATAAAGGGATCAATTTAGAGGACTTAACAATTCTAAACATATATGAACTCAAATCTGGAGCATATAGGTATATAAAGCAAATATTATTAAGGGAGTGAAAAACTATAATATGATAATTGTGGGAGACTTCAATACCCCACTCTAGTCATTAGACAGATTATGTGGACAGAGATTAAAAAAGAAACATTGGATTTGAACTTCACTTTAGACTGAATGAACCTAACCGATATTTACAGAACATTATATCCAACAGCTATAGAATACACATTCTTCTCATTAGCACATGGAACATTCTCCAGGGTAGGCCATATGTTAGGACCCAAGAAAAGCCTCAACAAATTTTTAAAAATTGAAATCATAAGTATCTTCTAAGACAAAAATAATAAATAAAACTAGTAATAAAAAATTATTAATAAAAGTAATAAAACTAGAAACCAATAACAAGAACTTTGGGAACTATACAAGTACATGGAAATTAAGCAACTTGCTCCTGAATGACCATTAGGTCAAGAAAAAATTAAGGAATTACATAAAAGATTCTTGAAACAAACAAAAATTGAAACACAACATACAAAACCTATGAAATACAACATAACTAGTGCCAAGAGGAAATTTTATAACAATAAATGCCTACATCAAAAAAGTAGAAATATTTTACATAAATAGTCTAATGATATACCTCAAGGAACTAGAAAAGCAAGAACAAACCAAATCCAAAATTGCAGAAGAAAAGAAATAATAAAGGTTAGAGCAGAACTAGGCAAATGGAGACTAAAAGAAAATATAAATGAATGAAACAAAAAGTTGATTTTTTGAATAAATAAAATCAATAAACCACTATCTAAACTAACCAAGAAAAAACTTAAGACCCAAATAAAGAAAATCAGAAATGATAAAGAAGACATTACAACTCATAACACAGAAATACAAAAGATCATCATACACTTTTATGAACCACAATACATTAAAAACCTAGACAACCTAGAGGCAATAGACAAATTCCTGGAAACCTACCAAGGTGGAATCAGGAAGAAATAGGAAACCTACATAGCCTAATAATGAGTAACAATATTGAATCAATAATAAAAGCTTTCCCCCCAAAAAAAAGAAAAGTCCAGAACTAGAGAGCCTCACTGCCTAAGTCTATCAAACTTACAAAGAAGAATTAATACCAATTCTCCTCAAACTATTCCTAAAGGTTGAAGAGGAGGAAATTCTTTCTAATTCATTCTACAAGGCCAGCATTACCCTGATACCAAAACTAGGCAAAAATGTAACAAAAAAAGAAAGCTACAGGCCAATATCCCTGATTAACATAGCTGCAAAAATTCTCAACAAAATACTAGCAAACTGAATTCAACAGCACATTAAAAAGATATTACATAATGATCAGATAATTATCCCAGGGATGCCAGGATGACTAAGCATATGCTAACTAATAATTGTGATACATCACATCAACAAAATGAACAAAAACCATATAACTGTGTCAATAGATACAGAAAAAGTATTTGATAAAATTCAACATCCCTCCATGATTAAAACTCTCAACAAACTAAGCACAAAAGGAACATATCTCAACATAATAAAGGCTATATATGACAAACCCACAGCTAGCTAGCATCATACTGCATGGAGAAAAGCTGAAAGCCTTTACTCTAAGAACTGGAGCAAGACAAGGATATATATTTTCAACACTCTTTTGACATAGTACTGGAAATCCAAGCCAGAGCAATAAGACAAGATAAAGACATTAAAGGTATTCAAATTGGAAAACAAGAAGTCAAATTGTCTCTCTTTGCAGATAACATGATCTTATATCTGAAAAAAAACTAAAAAACTAAAGCCTCCAACAAAAACTCTTAAATCTAATAAATAATTTGAGTACAGTTGCAGGATATAAAATAAACATACAAAAATTAGTAGCATTTCTATATACCAATAATGAACTAATTGAGAAAGAAATCAAAAAGGCAATCCCATTTATAATAGCTACCAAAAAAATAGCTAAGAATACACTTGCCCAAGGAGGTGAAAGTCCTCTACAAGGAAAATCACAAAACAGTGAAGAAAGAAATCAAAGAGGATACAAATGGAAAGACATCCCATGCTCATGGATGGAAAGAATTAATATCATTAAAATGATCATATTGCTCAAGTAATCTCCAGATTCAATGCAATCTTTATCAAAATATGTATGTGATTTCTTATAGGATTATTAAAAATAATCCTGAAATTCATATAAAACCAAAAAAGAGCCCAAATAGCCAAAGCAATCCTTGTCTAAAAGAACAAAACTGGAGGTATTATACCACCTGACTTCAAAATAAAAGGCTATAGCAATCAAAACAGAATGCTATTGGTATAAAAAATGACACATCGACCAGTGGAATAGAATAGAGAAGCCAGAAATAAGCCTACATATTTACAGCCAACTGATTTTCAACAAAGGCTCAAGAACACGCACTGGGGAAGGACACACTCTTAAATAAGTGGTCCTAGGAAAATTGGATATCTAGATGCAGAAGAATGAAATTTCACCCTCCCTCTCACCACCTACAAAAATCAATTCAAGATGGATTAAAGACCTAAACATAAGACCTGAAATCACAAATCTTCTAGAAGAAAACATAGAGGAAATACTTCAGGATATTGATCTAGGCAAAGATTTTATGTATAGGACCTCAAAAGCACATAAAACAAAAATAGGCAAATAGTGCTATATTAAACTAAAAGCTTCTACACAGCAAAGGAAATGATTAACAAAGAGGAAACATGTCAAATAGTAAAACATATTTGCAAGCTATCCTGCAAGGGACTAATATCCAGAATATAATAGGAACTCAACTAAACAGTAAAAGAAAAAAATTAAACAAATAATCCATTAAAAAGTGGACAAAGGACATAAATAGACCTGTCTCAAAAGAAGTTATACAAATATCCAACAGACAAACAAAAAATGTTCAACATCACTAGTCATCAGAGATATGCAAATCAAAATCACAATGGAGATATCATCTTACCCCAGTTAAAGTGGCTATTATTAAAAAGACAAAGAATATCAGATGCTGTCAAGAAGGTGAAGAAAGGAAAATTCTTACACACTGTTGGTGGGAATGTAAATTAGTACAGCCACTATGGAAAAGAGTGCAGATATTTCACAAAGAACTAAAAATGGAACTAACAATCTGGCAACTACTGGGTATTTATCTAAAGGAAAGGAAGTCAGTATATCAATGGGATGCCTGTGCTTCATGTTTGTTGCAGCTCTATTCATAATAGCAAAGATATGAAATCAACCTAAATGTCCACCAGTAGATAAATGTATAAAGAAAATGTGGTATATATATACACAATGGAGCACTATTTGGCCATAAAAATGTGAACAAAATAGTGTTATTTGCAGCAAAATGGATGGAATAGAATTAAGCCAGGCACAAAGAGACAAATATCACATATTCTCACTCATACGTGAGAGCTAAAAATGTTGATCTCATAGAGGTAGAGCATACAGTGATAGATGTCACAGTCTCGGAAGGGTGTGTGGTGGGAGGTTGGTTAATGGGCACGAACATACAGTTAGATAGAAGAAATAAGTTCTAATGTTTGATATCAGAGTAGGGTAACTATAGTTAACAACACTATATTCATACTTCAAAATACCAGAAAAGAGGACTTGAAATGTTCACAATACATAAAAATGATAAATACATGAGGTAATGGATACCCTAAAAATCATGACTTGATCATTACACATTTTAAGCATGTAACAAAATATCACATGAATACCATAAATATGTATAAATATTATGTATCAATACAAATTTTAAAATAAA